>NC_000001.11:31428835-32053835 GCF_000001405.40 Homo sapiens
CTTGGTGTTTTCCCTAAGTGGGGTGTGGTGGGGTATCCTAGGTGGGTGGGAGTTTCTGAGGTCCCTTGGCTGGTGTGAGTGGGCTGGGTGGGGTGGGGTGTCTCTGGTCTGGCAGGGGTCTTACCAGGGGTCCTCTTGCCAGGACGCCCAGCCCAACTCGGGTCTGCTGCAGGCCTCGGTCATCACCCTCTACACCATGTTTGTCACCTGGTCAGCCCTATCCAGTATCCCTGGTAAGTATGGGCCCAGGCTCAAGGAGGCCTGGCCTCGTTCCTGGGTCAGTATCAGTCTACTGTGGGGCTGGGGACCCTCACAGGTGACAGGGACATCCCTGCTCCAGCCCATTCTGAGACTCAGTCCTCCCATGAGATGGGAGGGCCCCGTCTGTTCCTGAGTTGTCTCTCTGCCCTTGTGACTGCTGAGCGCTCTGTTGCTGGGACTTGAGTGGTTGGCTGTGTATCTGTCTGTCTATTAGGGGTGGCTCTCTAGCCATCCTCAGGGCCACTTGGCTACCTAGGCCTGGCCTGCATGGGCTGAGGGTGATTGTGCTCCCATCTCCAGAACAGAAATGCAACCCCCATTTGCCAACCCAGCTGGGCAACGAGACAGTTGTGGCAGGCCCCGAGGGCTATGAGACCCAGTGGTGGGATGCCCCGAGCATTGTGGGCCTCATCATCTTCCTCCTGTGCACCCTCTTCATCAGGTATGGCCAGGTCTGGATTCTGGGGAAGGATCATGATTGAGGGCCCTGAGCCAGAGTGAGGGGAGGGTGTGGGAGCCAGGATACCAAACTGGAACGTGCTCTTCACATTCAATATATCCAGGTCTTGCATTGTGCGGGAGGGGAAACTGAGTCCCTCAGAGGGCATGGCATGAGTGGGCAACAGAGGCAGGCGTGACCTTGCCTCCTGGCTCACAGCCCTTTCCTGCATACTGGGCCAGTTCAGTTGGGTGCAGACGGCTGTGGGGTCAGGGAAGGAGCATGGACTGGGGTCAGTGGGTCCAGGGTCTGTTTCTCCCCTGCTGTGCGGCTTGGGGTAAGTGGCTTAACCTTTCTGAGCTCCTGTTTCCTCCTCAGTAAGAGGATGACAACCTCCACTGTAGTGGATGTGGCTGTGACCCCACACTCTCCCCCGAGAGAAGGCAGCTCATGCTGAAGTTCACATAGAGGTTCTTTTCAAAGGGGCATCTTAGTAGGTGCTTATCCATGTGGACTCAAATGCCTGCATTTGAGCCTGGCATTGCCACTTACTAGCTATGTGATCCTGGGCAAGTCACTTAACCTCTTTAGGCCTCCATTTCCTTGTCTGTAAAATAGAGATAAAAATAGTACCTTCCTCATTGGATTGTTGAAGGGCTATAGATGAATCAGTATGTGTAAAACACTTAGAAAGGGGCCAGGCATGGTGGCTCACACCTGTAACCCCCAGCACTTTGGGAGGCCGAGGTGGGAGGATCTCTTGGGCCCAGGAGATTGAGACCAGCCTGGGCAACATAGTAAGACGCTGTCTCTTTTTAAAAATTAACAAAACAAAACAAAAACACTTAGAAAGGAACTTGGCAAGTAGTAAGTTATTTGTAATCCAAACACTTTGCCAGACTGAAGCAGGAGGATTGCTTGGGCCCAGGAGTTCAAGGCCAGCCTGGGCAACATGGTGTCTCTAAAAAAAAAAAAGGTTTTGTAATTAGTCAGGCATGGTGGTATGCACCTTCTAGTCCCAGTGACTGAGGAGGCCGAGGTAGGAGGATCACTTGAGCCTGGGAGTTTGCCAAATTAAGTGTTGCATATTATTGTGAACATTTGCATAATATTGTGAACATTTGTATATTAGTATGAGCATAATATTGTGAACATTTGCACAACTAGGTAGCTGTAGGTGGTGGCTGTTCTTACAAGTCACTAGATCATAAGATTAGGTTTAATTATTGTTTACACGGATCAGGCAGACCCTGAGTTTGCCTCCCTGTGGCCCTGCATTTCTCCAAGCACCACTTTCCATCTGCCCTTAACTCTAGAGGGAATCTTGGCTCTGCTCCCCTGATCTCCCCGATCCATCCATCCCAGTTCCAACAGCACCCCTGCCCCCAGGCCCCTGGGCTAGAACATTTTAAAGCTCTTTCACATTTTCTTCTGTTTTGGCCTTTTTCAAAACATTTTCTCCAAGTCAGTTCTGTACAGTTCATAAACATCTGTCTTCTTTGTCACATTTGATTCCTTTTCAAGCTGGAAAGGCTTGAATTACCTCTGTGTCCTCTCCTCTCCCCTCCCCTCCCTTCCCCTCCCCCCTCCTCTCTCTTTTCTTTTTTGAGACAGGGTCTTCCTCTGTCACCCAGGCTGGAGTGCAATGACACAATCACAGCTCACTGTAGCCTCAAACTCCTGGGCTCAAGTGATCCTCCCACCTCAGCCTCCTGAGTCACTGAGACTACAGGTGCATACCACCATGCCTGGCTACTTAAAAAAACATTTTTTTTTTTTTTGTAGAGACACTATGTTGCCCAGGATGGCCTTGAACTCCTGGCCCAAGCAATCCTCCTACCTCAGCCTGCCAAAGTGTTTGGATTACAGGAGTGCACCACTCCTGGCCTGATTACCTTCATTTTACAGATAGGGAAACTGACAGCCGGGGAGGAGGCCATGAGCACATGGTGGCCGGTGGCCAAGGAGCTTGGAACTCTTTCCCTGCCCCTGGTTCTCTGTCCCTTCCCCTCCCCGACCTGGCACAGCTGTTTTTCCTGCTGCTTCCACACCCACAGCTCCCTGGCACATGCACTGCTGAGAGCCCAGGGGCACAGGTCTGTTCTTAGCATGGTTCTTACAGCACAGGCAGCAAAGAAGCATATGCAACCCATGAGGGCCAGGACCACCCAATCTGGGCTCCCATGCATGAGATATCCATATGGTATTTGGTAGATAGGGTGGAGAGGGTGGAGAGGGTGAATAGGGTGGATAGGGTGGATAGGGTGGACAGGGTGGACAGGGTGGATAGGGTGGATAGGGTGGATAGGGTGGATAGGGTGGATAGGGTGGATAGGGTGGACAGGGTGGACAGGGTGGATAGGGTGGATAGGGTGGATAGGGTGGTTAGGGTGGATAGGGTGGTTAGGGTGGTTAGGGTGGTTAGGGTGGATAGGGTGGATAGGGTGGATAGGGTGGATAGGGTGGATAGGGTGGATAGGGTGGACAGGGTGGACAGGGTGGACAGGGTGGACAGGGTGGACAGGGTGGACAGGGTGGACAGGGTGGTTAGGGTGGACAGGGTGGACAGGGTGGATAGGGTGGTTAGGGTGGATAGGGTGGACAGGGTGGACAGGGTGGACAGGGTGGATAGGGTGGATAGGGTGGATAGGGTGGTTAGAGTGGAGAGAGTGGACAGGGTGGAGAGGGTGGATAGGGACCCACTGACTCACAGCAAGGGGTGATTTCTCAATTTGCTGGGGTGGCGGGGCTGGAATCCAGCTCTCCTTTTCACTTTTGTTTGGAAACGTGAGTTGGTTTTTCAAAAATTTTTATGTCTCAAACTATCAAATTCTGTTAAAAACATCAAGGCTCATCACAGAAAAGCATGACATACAATCATTACTGTTGTTCTTTTTTTAGTGTAAGCATGAAGGAAAGGGAGGCCATTGGTAAAACCACCTGACACTAATAAAATGGAAACTTAAAATCAATGGCAAATGAGCGTGATTAATTATTAACATTCTTAATGGATGTAGTACCTGGTATGGTACTTTGTAGTATTAGGTACTCGATACGTGTTTATGGAAATGGCAAAGGAACAATCCTAACAATAGTGACTGTTGATTGAATTTATATTCTGTGCCAAGCACTATGCTAGAGACCTTACATCATTATTCCGTCTAGTCCCCCCAGCAGCCCTCTAGAGGAGGTACGATTATCCCTTATTTTACAGACAAGGAATCAGAGGCTCAGAGAGGTTAAGTGTTTTGCTCAAGGTCACACAGAAAATGGGAGTGGGGGTAGGGGTAGAGTTGAGAGGCAAAGCAGTTTGTTAACTCCCAGGCCCAGTAACCGGGTCGCTGGCCTCTGAGGCTCTGGGACCATTTGTGTCCAGTGTTATGAGCAACGCCAGAGCTATCTATTTGCCCACCTTCCTCCCTCCCCTGCAGTCTGCGCTCCTCAGACCACCGGCAGGTGAACAGCCTGATGCAGACCGAGGAGTGCCCACCTATGCTAGACGCCACACAGCAGCAGCAGCAGGTGGCAGCCTGTGAGGGCCGGGCCTTTGACAACGAGCAGGACGGCGTCACCTACAGCTACTCCTTCTTCCACTTCTGCCTGGTGCTGGCCTCACTGCACGTCATGATGACGCTCACCAACTGGTACAAGTGCGTAGCTGGTGGGGCATGGACAGAGCCCGGAGGTGCAGGGTGCAGGTCCACACATCTCTCCTGCGGCCCTTCACTGGGTTTTCCTGATGTCTGCTTAAGGCTTGGGGGTGGCGGTGTGTATCAAGGACCCTCCATAGAGCCTGCCCCTTCCCTGCTACAGTTTCCCCAACAGTGCCTTCATCTGCTCAGCTCCCGCACCTTCACTAGGAGACTGAACCGGGGAAGGCACAGCAGCTGGGGCTGGACCTGTACAGGGCAGGCGGGGTTTACAAATCAGGGGTCATGGGGTCAGATTTGGGCTTCATGGTTGGAGGGTTAGGATCAGGGTGTGGAGTGCAGAACCAAAGTTACAAGGTCAAGGATAGAAGTCATGAGGTCTGGGGCTGGGATTGTGGTCATTTAGTGTCACAAATTTGGTCATTTGGTTAAAGTTAAAATTGAGAGTAGGAGGTCATAAAGCCAGGATTGAAGTGGCAAGGTCAAGGAGCTAAATGACAGTAATAAGGTCAGGGGCCACCCCTAAGTTACAGGATCAAAGGTCAGAATCAAGGGTAGCGGTCAGGACTAAGGTCAGGAGCTCCAGGGTCCCAAGTTCAGAGGCTAGGATTGAGGTCCCAGAATTAGGATCACAAGGTTGGAGACCAGGAGTCAGGTCATGATCTCATGGACTAACACTGGGCTCAAGATGGGAATCGAGGTCAGGAGCTATGTCCACGGTCACAAGGCCGGGTGTTAAAAATGTCAGAGATGGACTGGAGTTACAGGGTAAGAGCCAGAGTTGAAGTCAGGGGTCATAACTGGGACATAAGGCCAGGGGCCAAGATGGAAGTCACCAGACTGGGCACCAGGCTCATGGGGAAGATGGTGTGTTCCAGGCCCGGTGAGACCCGGAAGATGATCAGCACGTGGACCGCCGTGTGGGTGAAGATCTGTGCCAGCTGGGCAGGGCTGCTCCTCTACCTGTGGACCCTGGTAGCCCCACTCCTCCTGCGCAACCGCGACTTCAGCTGAGGCAGCCTCACAGCCTGCCATCTGGTGCCTCCTGCCACCTGGTGCCTCTCGGCTCAGTGACAGCCAACCTGCCCCCTCCCCACACCAATCAGCCAGGCTGAGCCCCCACCCCTGCCCCAGCTCCAGGACCTGCCCCTGAGCCGGGCCTTCTAGTCGTAGTGCCTTCAGGGTCCGAGGAGCATCAGGCTCCTGCAGAGCCCCATCCCCCCGCCACACCCACACGGTGGAGCTGCCTCTTCCTTCCCCTCCTCCCTGTTGCCCATACTCAGCATCTCGGATGAAAGGGCTCCCTTGTCCTCAGGCTCCACGGGAGCGGGGCTGCTGGAGAGAGCGGGGAACTCCCACCACAGTGGGGCATCCGGCACTGAAGCCCTGGTGTTCCTGGTCACGTCCCCCAGGGGACCCTGCCCACTTCCTGGACTTCGTGCCTTACTGAGTCTCTAAGACTTTTTCTAATAAACAAGCCAGTGCGTGTACCATGTTCTGTGCCCCTCACCCTCAGCACGGAGCCCCACTGCATGGGGGCCGGTGTGGGGTTTGGGAATAGAATGTTAGGGCTGAGGAGGCTGGGACATCAGGGCCAGACCAGGAGGAGCCTCAAAGGCAGACAGAATGGCCTGAGTTCTGTCTTCTGGGTCATGGAGCGCCTGAGGGGAGGGGGCCAATGAGGAAGGAGGGGCAGACCAGGGTTTTGGGAAAGTAGGGTGTGTCTGGTGGTCAGAAAAGGAGACCCTAGAGGCAGTGGGGCCAGCAGGAGGCTGCCCGACCATCCAACCATCCGAGGGAGGGCAGTGAAAGAGAGTCACGGTGGGGAGGAGGGGGCGATGACAGGGCCAGAAGGTGGTCTTCAGGTCCCCTCTCATCAGGGCCTGCCTCAAGGTCCTGCCCACCTCTGACCTGCCTGGAATTGTTACCACCGTTGGTACCTGCCCTGACCAGTCAAGCCCCAGGCCTCGGGGTGCTGTGGGGAGGAGCATGTGCTCTTGAGTCAGCCAGGCTGGCCCAGATCCCTCCGTACCACGGCAGCCGCGGGGCTGCTGTCCGGCTCCGGATGGGTCCTTCTCTTCTCTGGGCCCTGGTTCCTCATTCATTCAATGGGAACAATGCCACCCCTCCTAGGCTGTTGTGAGGATCAGAGGAAGCAGCCCATGCAATCTGCCTGGCACAGCGAGTTCTTGAGAAATAACATCAGCCCCCATCTCACAAGGGCAGAGAGATGTGAGGGAGACTGACAGGCTCCTGGCTAGGGCCCCAAGGCCTGGTCTTGTTACGATGATGGACTGCAGGCCATTCATCCCTTCCATTTGTGGGGATAAAAAATAGGTATGAAGGTGCTGGGGATGGGTGCTGGGGACACAGCCTGTCTCTAAGGCTCTCCTGGGTTCTGGGGTGAGTGACTAGTGGGGCTGCACGGGGACCTGTGGGGTCACCGAGGAGGCAGGACAGGCATCTGGAGGATGTGTAGGAGTCAGCTGGGCCAAGAGGAGCCACAGCACTGAGGGCAGGGGGACAACACAGGAGTCGGAGGGTGTGGGGTTCAAGGACCAGGGAGAAGCCAAGATGGCCAGGGCACAGAGAGGGGTGGGGTGGCGAGGTTAGTATGAGCTTGGAGACATGGGCCAGACCAAATCACACAGGCCCTTGAGAGTCATGGTGGGGAGACCAGACCTAATCCTGCTGGTAGTGGGGAGCCATGGAGGGTTTTAGAGCAGGGGAGAAGTGGTGAAGGTGTGGGCTGACCATGGAAAGGCCCTACATGATTTCGAGCCCAGCAGGGGCATGTCATTTTAAGATTGCCATTTTAGAAAGGTTTCCCTGGATGAGATAGAGGGGAGTGCAGCAGCTGGGGGCAGGTGCCAGGGCTCAGGGCAGAGGGAGTCGGGGCCTGCTGGGGCAGGGGCCGAGGAGGGCTTCTCTTGCCGCTGGGATGGATCTTGCAGATGCTCTTGTCCCTGGTGCCTTTCAGCTGAGACCCCTGTCTTCAGAGCAGCCTGAACCTCCTTCGCCCAACCACAGATTTCGCTTATTTTCTCATTTCACCCTTGGGAGAAAAAGCCCACGTTGTGCTCTTGATAACATTTTCTTTGCATTTGTGCAAGTGGGCAATTTTTTTTTTCTTTTTTTGAGACTGAATCTCACTCTGTCACCCAGGCTGGAGTGCAGTGGCACGATCTCAGCTCACTGCAACCTCCGCCTCCCAGGTTTCAGTGATTCTCCTGCCTCAGCCTCCCGGGTAGCTGGGATTACAGGCATGCACCTCCACGCCCAGCTATTTTTTTTTTTTTTTGTATTTTTTTTTTGTATTTTTAGTAGAGATGGGTTCACCATGTTGGTCAGGCTGGTCTCGAACTCTTGACCTCAGGAGATCCACCTGCCTCAGCCTCCCAGAGTGCTAGGATTACAGGCATGAGCCACCGCGCCCAGCCTAAGTGGGCAATTTTGTCCAGCTTTTGTAGCCTTGTTGCTCTATAGGTTTTAAATTATTCATTCAACAAATGTACTGAGCATGAGTTCTTTGCTGGGCTGGGCTGGAGCGGGACTGGCTGGGAAGGGTCAGGGGCCAGGCTGAGAAGCTGGAATGCCTGGCTAGAGAGCTGCAGGTCCCCAGTGTGGAGGTCACCACCTTTGGGAAGCCACCTCTAATCCCACAGGTCGGGCTTCCCCCTGTGTCTCCTCAGCCCTGTTCTTCCTTCCAGGCATTGGCTATGCTCATGAACCTGCTGGTCGATGTCAGGCCTGACCAGCTGCCCACCCAGGACCCAGGACATCCACTTAGCCTGTCTGCTGGGTGCTCCCTTGTCTCCTGCTGCCTAGCATTGTGGTTTCCACATATCCTCCTGTCTTCCCTTCTCCTCCCTCACCCTCATCTTTCCTCCACCTCCTGTTCTCCATCACCTTCTCTTTCTCAGTCACCTCCTCTTCTCCATCATCCTCTCTGTCACTTCTCTTTCCTTTACTCTCCTTGGTCACCTCCCCTCCTTTGTCAGTAGGTGGGAGAGGCCCGTAGGATCCCACTCTTTTTGTCTGCCAGCCCCTGACACATTGGGCTTCCCTGCTGGACTGGTAATGGGGAAAACGCTGTCCTCAGCCCTGAGGGCCCATGCTGTGCCCCTGGACACTGTGCCGCAGTCCCCAGGCCTGGGCTGCTGTCACTGCAGAAATACCAGTGGCAGCCTCAGCCCTGCCTGTCCTGGCGCATCTTTGGACCCAGGCTGTGGAATGAGTATCTGGGCAGAGTGAGTGCAAAGCTTATAGATCATGTCAGGAACAGAGGCAGTGTGATGCATGTGACGAGCCTGCCATTCCCAACCCCCGTGCCCTTTCCTGCCTCCATCACTGAGGCTGGAAAAGCCGGGTGGTCACTTTGCAGCTTCCCTCAGAGTTAGACGCCTTCAGCCTAATTAGATCTAAGTGGAAATGTTCATGGATATTTCCGGGAGTTCTTGCTTTCGTATTACACAGCACTGCTTCTTCCTTCTCCTCTTTGGACACAAC
Organism: Homo sapiens; assembly: GCF_000001405.40. Classification (NCBI taxonomy): domain Eukaryota; kingdom Metazoa; phylum Chordata; class Mammalia; order Primates; family Hominidae; genus Homo; species Homo sapiens. Next base: position 31,437,695 of record NC_000001.11, read on the forward strand.
CACAGTACCTGGGGCTGCAGCAGCTGTCTTGGGACAATGAGGCAACAAGTCTGAGGATGAGAAACCAACCTGGAGAAGATGGTGTTCAGAAAAATAGGAAGTTGGCTGGGCGCAGTGGCTCATGCCTGTAACCTTCAGAGCAGCCTGAACCTCCTTCCCCTGTAACCCCATGCCTGTAACCCCAACACTTTGGGGGGCAGAGGCAGGAGGATCACTTGAGTTCAGGAGTTCAAGACCAGCCTGGACAACAGTGAGACCCCATCTCTACGAAAAATAAAACATTTGGGCTGGGCGCGGTGGCTCATGCCTTTAATCCCAGCACTTTGGGAGGCCGAGGTGGGTGGATCACGAGGTCAGGAGTTTGAAACCAGCCTGACCAACATGGTGAAACCCCATCTCTACTAAAATACAAAAATTAGCTGGGTGTGGTTGTGCACACCTGTAATCCCAGCTACTCAGGAGGCTGAGGTAGGAAAATCGCTTGAACCCAGGAGGCAGAGGTTGTAGTGATCCGAGATTGCACTACTGCACTCCAGCCTGGCGACAGAGCAAGACTCCGTCTCAAAAACAAATAAACAAACAAAAAAGAAACAAAACACTTGTAATCCCAGCACTTTGGGAGGCCGAGGCAGGCGGATCAAGAGGTCAGGAGATTGAGACCATCCTGGCTAACACGGTGAAACCCTGTCTCTACTAAAAATACAAAAAATTAGCTGGGCATGGTGGCGGGTGCCTGTAGTCCCAGCTTCTTGGGAGGCTAAGGCAGGAGAATGGCGTGAACACGGGGGACGGAGCTTGCAGTGAGCTGAGATTTTGCCACTGCACTCCAGCCTGGGCGACAGAGCGAGACTGTCTCAAAAGAAAAAAAATATTAGCCAGGCGTGGTGGCGTGTGCCTGTAGTTCCAACTACCTGGGAGGCTGAGGTGGGAGGATCGCTTGAGCCTGGCAGGTCGAGGCTGCAGTGAGCTGTGATTGTGCCACTGCACTCCAGCCTGGGCGACAGAGCCAGACCCTGTCTTGAAAAAGGAAGAGTCTAGGTCTTTGATGCATCTTTAAGTCGCTACATCATCTCTGCTGTCCTTGACTCCAGATGCCTGTTATGTGAGGAGGAAAACAAACCCCAATACATGCAAGCCCCTCTTAGTTGAGTATTACGTTCCTTGCAACTGAATGTATTGCTAACTGATATGACTTGTGAGATGGTCATTCATTTTAGTGAAAATAAAAATAACAAACAGGAGAAACCTGTCTCCATTACTCAGGGACATTGGCTGCCAATAATGTATTATGTGTGCACAACCTCCCCATATCAATGTGTATATTTATAAACATATGTGTATTAGATATGTTTGTATAATATACATATGTATTTACCAGTAGGATAAATTATGACAAAATAGTTTTTTGAAGGTTTTGGGCCTCCTTCCCCCTTTTGGGGGAAGTTTGTGGAGGTGCAGCAAGTAGGAGAGGGTTACCTGCAAAATATAACTCCTCTCCTAACTCTGGTTTCCAAAAGCCTGGGTTCACTGAGGAGCTCCTGGGTAATGAGGGATGGGGCAGTGATGGAGGCAGCACAGGGGCTTCCTGGAGGGAGAGGAGAGAGTGAGGCACAGCTGGAGACCTCGAGAGAGAGAAGCATAGTCTCCAGCCCAGCCCTACAGTGCGCCTGGTGGGCTGGGACAGTGGGTATTTTGGCAGTAACCAGTGTGGATTGGTGTCCAATGGTGCTGGGTTCTTCCCACTCTGCCCACTGACTTGCTGCCACAGGTGACCCCAGGACTTTTGCTCTGTCCTGGTGAGGGATGTGTGTGTGTCAGAGAGAATGATGAATGGGCTGAGGTTGAATTTCCCACCAGCATGGTGGGATGGAAAATTTGGATAGAAAGTTGATGCAAAGCAAATGGGCCAGGTGCAGTGGCTCACGCCAGTAATGCCAGCACTTTGGGAGGCAGGGGCAGGAGGATCAGTTGAGCCCAGGAGCTTGAGACCAGTCTGGGCAACATAGCGAGACTTCATCTCTATTAAACACAAAAAAATCAGCCAAGTGTAGTGGCATGCACCTGTAGTCCCAGCTACTTGGGAGGCTGAGGTGGGAGGGTCCTTTGAGCCCAGGAGGTCGAAGCTGCAGTGGGCCGAGATTGTGCCACTGCACTCTAGCCTGGGCATCACAGTGAGACTGTTTCCAAAAAAAGGGAGAGAAAATGTTGATATAAAGCAAATGAATGATGCTGTTTCTTGCACACCTGTGAATTGTCATATCCACTTTATTGATTTATTTTTAATTTAATTTTATTTTTAGACAGGGTCTCGCTCTGTTGCCCAGGCTGGAGTGCAGTGGTGCGATCTCCACTCATTGCAACCTCTGCCTCCCAGGTTCAAGCGATTCTTATGCCTCAGCCTCCCGAGTAGCTGGGACTACAGGCGCATGCCATCATGCCTGGCTAACTTTTCTATTATTATTATTTTTCTTTGGTAGATACCAGGTTTCACCATGTTAGTCAGGCTGGTCTCAAACTCCTGACCTCAGGTGATCCACTCACATCAGCCTCCCAAAATGCTGGGATTATAGTCATGAGCCACTGCGCCAGGCCTCATATCCACTTTAAAATAATTTTAGATATAATGCAAGTTTATGGTTTGTTTGTTTTTACTTTTTCTTTTTTGAGACAGAGTCTCACTCTGTTGCCCAGGCTGGAGTGCAATGGTGCGATCTTGGCTCACTGCAATCTCTGCGTCCCAGGTGCAAGTGATTCTTGTGCCTCAGCCTCTCGAGTAGCTGGGATTACAGGGATGCGCCACAATGCCCGGCTATTTTTTGTATTTTTAGTAGAGACAGGGTTTCACCATGTTGGGCAGGCTGCTCTCAAACTCCTGACCTCAAGTGATCTGCCCGCCTCGGTCTCTCAAAGTGTTGGGATTACAGGTGTGAACCACCACACCTGGCTGCAGGTTTATTGTTTTTAAATAAAGCCCCACTTAAACAGTACAGGAGTATGAAAAGCATTTATCTACTTGACTTTTTTCAAGCAGCAGCATAGGATTCTATGGAATGAATATTCCATTGTTTATGTAACTAATCCTCAATTGATGGGCACCTATGCTGCCTTCAGTGTTTTGTTGTTTTGTTTTGTTATTGCTACCATCTGCGGCTGTGGTGATTCTGGAAGCTTGCCAGGCTCCAGGAAGAACATGGGCTTCAGAGCCGAGATCCTCTAAGTTCTCATCTCTCAGCTTTGCCCCCCAGCTGCTAGGGACTCTCTGGGCCTCAGTTTCCCCATCTGCAGAATGGAGATTGTAGTAGCATCCACCCCATGGCATGCTGCCTGTGTCAGTGAGAGCACGTCTGTAAAGGGCCTAGCACCATGCTGGGGAGAGTGGGGGCCAAAGAAGATATAGCCCCTTCCTTTCCCCGGCTATCAGTCCTCAGGTACTAAGACAGAAGGCTAGGCTGACCGATGAGGTCACCTTAGTCTTTCCTCTCCCTCCAGGGACACCTGCCTTTTGCCCCTCTGGAGGTGGCTGTGAATGACAGATGGCAGGATGTGGGGGGAAAATGATAACAGGAGCCAATGTTTATGGAACAGTTCTATGTGCCCCTCCTTGGAGCAAGGAGCTTTAATCCCTATAGCAAACCTGCTAGTGTACAGAGAAAGGAATTCGAAACAGAAGAGGGAGATGGAGACCCTGACCCCTAGTCTAATTAGCCCATTCTGTATTCTCTGCATAGCCTTTTTTCCTTCTTGTTTTGAGATGGAATCTTTCTGTCACCCAGGCTGGAGTGCAGTGGTGGTATCATAGCTCATTGCAGCCTCAACCTCCCAGGCTCAAGCGATCCTCTTGCCTTGGTCTCCTGAGTAGCTAGGACTACGGGCACACATCACCACACCTGGCTAATTTTTTTATTTTTATTTTTAGTACAGATGAGGTTTCACTATGTTGCCCAGGTCTGCATGGCCTTTGTTACTGGGTGTAATTATGTATCTATTTATATTCTCTGACTCCTCATGTGGTCGATGAGGGTGAGAATCTATCTTTGTTGTTTATAGTTTCCCAGTGCCTAGAACAGAGCCTGATAAAGAGAAGGTATTCAGCAAGCGTCGGGTTTCTTGATTGACTGGCTGACCATCTGAATGAACATTAGTTGATTCTGCAGCAGCCATGGGAAAGCCTGGGGGCAGGAGTGGTGAGTTTATAAAGGAATTGGGAGAGGAGGAGCCCTGGGCTGGGTCAAGAGGCCTGAGCTCTATTTACTGAGGTGTGCAGGGTCAGAGGACAATTCTGAGAAATGACTGTGAAGCTGAGACTTGCAGAAATGGTGAGAGCCCAGAGGGGCACAGAGCCTGGGGAGAGTGCAGGCAGGGAACAGCACCTGTAGAGGCTCTGCAGGGAGAGGACAGCGCCGGTGCAAAGTGTAGGGGCTGGAGCTCTGCGGTTTGGGGTGAAGCTGCAGAAGGGAGAAGGGCAGGGTTATGTGGTTCAGAGGTCACAGGCTGGGCCCCAAAGGCATGTCTGGTTTGGCCCTCGCTGTGTATAAAAAAACAAGAACAGGCAGGGCGCAGTGGCTCATGCCTGTAATCCCAATACTTGTGGAGGCCAAGGTGGGAAGATTGTTTGAGGCCAGGAGCTTGAGACCAGCCTGGGCAACATAGCAAAACCCCGCCTCTACCAAAAAATACCAAAATTAGCTGGGCATGGTGGCGTGTGCCTGTAGTCCCAGCTACTTGAAAGGCTGAGGTGGGAGGGTCGCTTGAGCCCAGGAGTTCAAGGCCGCAGTGAGCTATGATTGTGCCACTGCACTCCAGCCTGGACAACAGACTCTGCTTCTGAAAAAAAAAAATCAAACAAGAACTCAACACAGACTGTGATACCTGGCCACGGAGCACCTTCTCCATCTGCCCCACTTCCCACTGCTCCTCCTCAGTGTTCACCTGGTGTTTCACCCTTTAAGGGACCTGTCTGGCCCATGAAGTCATTTGTGTTTGCAAGTCCTGACGCAGGGCCAAGTACTGTGATCAGGCTGTTGAGAGTGATGAAGATGTTGTCATGGGGTCACCAAAGAGGCCTGATACCACCCTGCTCTGAAAAGGCTCAGCCTTTCTCCATTTGACTTCTCAAGAGGTCCCAGACTAGTGACATCTTAGCTTGTGAGCGTAGAAGGGCCCTTGGGAGAGGACAGTACCATATGGTGGTCAGATCCTGAGTGTGGAGTCAGGCAGGCCCGGGCTCACATCCGGCTCCTCCCCTTACCTCACCTCTTTGAGCCCCAGCTTCCTTGTCTGTAAAAGGGATGATGAGCTCCTACCCCACAGACTTGCTGGAGAGACATAGAGACACACAGCACTTAAAGCACTCCGTGCAGGGTTTGGATACATTTTCTTTGACCATGAGCTGTTCTGGACAACCCGGTCACTTTCTCATTTGTTTAACATGCCAGGGTGCAAGCGTTTGGCCAACTATATAGCTGAGAGGGAACACAGTCCACAAGATCACCCTCACTTCTTCTTCTCTTCCTTTTTTTTTTTTTTTTTTAGCTAGAGATGAAGTTCTGCCATGTTGCCCAGGCTGGTCCCCAACTCCTGGGCTCAAGCAATCCACCCACCTTGGCCTCCCAAAATGTTAGGATTATGGGCATAAGCCACCATGCCCAGCCAACCACCCTCTCATCTTCTTTTTTTTTTTTGAGACAGTCTTACCCTGTTGCCCAGGCTGCAGTGCAGTGGTGCGATCTCAGCTCACTGCAACCTCTGCCTTCTGTTTCCAAGTGATTCTCCTGCCTCAGCCTCCCGAGTAGCTGGGATTACAGGCACCCACCACCACACCTGGCTAATTTTAGGCTAATTTTTAGTATCTTTAATAGAAACGGGGTTTCACCATGTTGGCCAGGCCCACCTTCACTTCTGACACCAATTGCAAGTCCAGGAATTTCCAAAACCATCCTTAAGTTTTATTATTCACTAGAGGGACTCACAGAATCCACTGAAAGCTATTGGGCTGAGAGTTATGGTTTATTACAGGGAAAGGATAAAGATTAAGATCAGTTAAGGGAAGATGTGCACAGAACAGAGTCTAGGGAAGTATCAGATGCAGAGTTCCCACTGTCCTCTCTCCCTGAAGCCAGGATGCGTTACTTCCCAGCATCCATGTATGATGATGTGCATGGAGTATTGTCAACCATGGAGGCTCTCCTGAGCTCTGGAGTTCAGAGTTTTTATTGGGCCTCCATTATGCAGGCATCATTGACTGATTGCCCATGTGGTTGATTTCAGTCTCCAGGTCAACTGAGATAGTGTGACCCAGAGCTCCTACCCTAAATCATGTGGTTGGTCTTCCCACTCTACATCAAAATGTTGCTATCTGGATAGCCCAAGATCCCCAGACAAACAGAGATTACTTACCAAGGACAAAGGCCAGAACTCTTTTTGGCAAGCTTAAAGTCTTTCCTGTACACAAGGTCAGCCTGGAAGAGGGACCTGACTTGTGCCCCTTGGAAGATCCTGGAGTAGCCACCTGGCCTCTACCCTCTCTTACAGTCTGAAAAGTCTGGGGCTGGCGGGTTGAGGGCATAAGGTAAACAGTTCATACTTACTGAGCACTTGTTATGTGCCAGACAGTGGCTCAACCACTTCCATGTGTTATCTCAACTAACTCTCCCACCCACTCCCTGAAGTAGACATATTCATGGTTCTATTTCATGTATGAGAAAACTAAGGCAAGGAGAAGTGTCACCCAAGGCACACAGCCAATAAGGTTCTGAGCCTAGGATTTGGACACAAGTCTAGGTGACACCTAAGTCCACACTCTGTGCTCTGCTACCTTCTATATTCTAAAAGCATGGGTTTGGACTCAAATATGTTGGGTTTGTTGACTGAAATTAAGGCTGTTGAGGCAGAAGTAATTTGGTAAAAGTTTGTCAGAAACCAAATGTGAAGATTGACCTGGAAGACACACCAACACAATTAGGCATCTTTCCAAGTCTGTAACGAGTGGGATTGCTTTTATAAGAAAGTTTAGGAAAAGGGGCAGGGGGTTCCTCATTTCAGATTTGCCCTTTCTCTTTGGAGGGCACGATACAGAGGTTACAATGATTGACAACAGGTTATATCACATGGAAGAAAATGCTCTACATGTAAGCCAGTAAACTTCATGATTCAGACACAAATCAGTGTCCTTTTCCATGTCAGTAGGTTACATATTAATCAGCACGTCAACAGTTGGAGGAAGTCACGTAAGATTTGAGGGACTTGTGATAAGATTCTTTATTCAGGGACAGGATATTGCTGTGAATCACAAGACCTTCCCCTGGTTGGAAGCCTGCCAAATGTGACCTGTAGGTTATCAGGTTCAAATTCTAGGCTCAGCTGCATCTGGGTTGGGTGGCCTCAGCCAGGTCAGGGATATTCTGAGACTCAGTTTCCTCTTTGATAGCAGTCGAGATGCCCTCTCAGGGACCTTTGCCTCCTTGTTGGCCTCTTGACTCTGGTGAGATTGTTTACCTAATGCCCCCACAAGCCTAGGGATTGCACAAGTTTGGGGAGGAATCATAACTGATGCATTCTGTCACCTTCCACTCCCTGGGGACTGGCAGAGAGCAGACATCTGTAAATGTTTGCTGTTGTTGAAGTACATTGGAACATGCCCCCGAACCACCAGGATCCAGGATCTGCTGAGCAGCCAGAGGGCGGTGGATGGAGGCCTGGCACTGTTGGGTGTCCTCAGGGCTGGGTGCCCAAAGTGGGAGGACCCGCCCCCCCGCCCCACGCCGGGTGAAACCTAGGACCCTAGTCACACCTCAAGTGGAAAACATGGACCTTAATCCTGGAGAGCTGGCTGGGGTTTAAGTCAGTGCCACTGACTTGCAGTGTGGCCCTGGGCAAGGGGTAGAACTCTTCTGGCCTGGCTTTTCTCATTAGTAAAATAAGGGGTAGTTTTAGGCAATTTGACAGCTAACGTCTGTTTCCTGTCTTGGCCCAATGGCCCTTAGGAGCTCTGGTCCAGGTCCTCACAGAAGAAGAGTCTGTGGTGGTCTCTTTGAGAATGCCTCTTTCCCTCTGGTCTCAATGGCCTACTACTGGCCCAAGTGCCCTCCCACCACACACACACACACACACACACACAGATTCACACACACATGCATGCATGCACATATGCACACACGTGCACATAGCATGTGTACACACATGGACATGAGCATACTTGCACACAGCAATGCATTCGATGGACTGACATTCGATATCCATTCACCCCACTTTTCTGTGCCTTTGCCCCATGCTGCAGGGGGTTCTGAGTTAGAGCCAGGGTTCCCCTCACATAACAAAATTTACCATTTTGAAGATACAATTCAGTAGTATTGAGTACATTCACAATGTTAAGCAACCATCGCCTCTATCCAGTTCCAAAACATTCTCCTCACCCCAGAAGAAAACCTCATATCAATGAAGCAATCACTCCCCATTCCCGCTCCCCTCAGCCTTTGCAACCGCTAATCTGCTTCCTGTTTCTGTGGGTTTGCCTATTCTGGATATTTTATATGAATGGAATCATACACTCTGTGACCTTTTTTGTCTGGCTTCTTTCACTTAGTATAATGTTTTTAAGGTTCATCCATATTGCACTACTTCATTCCTTTCTTTTTTTTTTTAATTTTTTTTTGAGACAGAGTCTTGCTCTGTTGCCCAGGCTGGAGAGCCGTGGCGCGATCTCAGCTCACTGCAAGCTCTGCCTCCCGGGTTCACGCCATTCTCCCGCCTCAGCCTCTGGAGTAGCTGGGACTATAGGCGCCTGCCACCACACCTGGCTAATTTTTTGGGTTTTTTTTGTATTTTCAGTAGAGACGGGGTTTCACCGTGTTAGCCAGGATGGCCTCGATCTCCTGACCTCGTGATCCGCCCACCTCAGCCTCCCAAAGTGCTGAGATTACAGGCATGAGCCACTGCGCCCAGCCTACTTCATTCCTTTCTATGGCTGCATAATATTCCACTGTATGAATATCCACATTTTGTTTGTCCATTCATCGTCCTTTGATAAATTATTGGGTTGTTTCACTTTTTAACTGTTACGAAAAATGCTGCTGTACACATGCATGCACAGGTTTTTATTTGAACATCTGTTTTCATATCTCTTGGGTATACACCTAGGAGTGGTATCTAAAATTGTGTTTGTGAATGTGTGGATGTCTCACACGGAAATCAGGCTACACCATGCCAGTGGCTGCTCAGAGAGGTGCAAGGGAGGACACTGTGACCTCCTTCACCCTGACTCTCCCCTGAGCAGAAAACCAGAATGTCCACTAGGCAGGTCTCTTCCTGAATTGGACCACAACAACAAAATCTTAACTTGGCTTGTGCCTAGGACAGATCAGCCTGAGCCACGCCCTCATCTTACTATACTTACAAGGCTTTTCTGTTCAGATCACCTAGGAACATCTGAATAAGATGCCACCCCCACTGAGAGTCTTTAGAACTTTCAGTAACCAAGGCAGGACAACTCATCTACTCCCTAGTAGGATCTGAACCCTGAAGTGCAATAGTAACCACAGGCGAGTAATGGGACTTTGGACAAATTTCTCAAACAAAGGAGACTCAGTTTCCTGATCTGTAAAATGGCAATGATAGTGCCTTTTTCATTCCTTCATTCATTCATCCACTAGCGGTGCGTCACACACCTATTCTATAGCAGGCCTTGTTTACACAAGGATCAGCAGCAGATGTCACACTTGCCATTAGGGGGCTGAGATCTGGTGGAGGAGGTGGACGTAAATCCAGTAGCCACACAAACGTGTACGTTGTAAATGTGTCAAGGGCCATGATAGAAAGATAGCCAATGTCACGCACTTCCGTTAGGGGTGAGCCGAGGTCCAAAGCAGGGGTATAGAAGTATCTTGTGATTTTAATCTGCATCTCCTTCATGACCACTGACGTTGGACACTGTTTCATATGCTTATTGGACTACTGAATATCCTTTTTTGCTGTGTGTAAAGTGCCTATTTAACTCTTTAGCCCATTTTTAAATTGGGAGGTTTTTTCCCTGCTGATTTGTAGCAGATACATGGGAAGTGAGTCCTTGGTGGATATATATTTTGCAAATATCTTCTCATAATCTCTGTCTTATCTTTTCACCCTCTTAATGTTGTCTTCTGATGAACAGTGATTCTTAATTTCAAAGAAGTCTAATTTTTAACATTTTCTTTAGTTTTTAAAATTATTTATTATTATTATTATTATTTTTGAGATGGAGTTTCACTCTTGTTGCCCAGGCTGGAGTGCAATGGCACGATCTTGGCTCACTGAAACCTCTGCCTCCCAGGTTCAAGCAATTCTCTTGCCTCAGCCTCCCAAGTAGCTGAGATTACAGGCACGTGCCACCACACCCAGCTAAATTTTATATTTTTACTAGAGTCGGGGTTTCACCATGTTGGCCAGACTGATCTTGAACTCCTGACCGCAGGTGATCTGCCCGCCTTGGCCTCCCAAAGCACTGGGATTACAGGCGTGAGCCACCGCACCTGGACTAAATCTTTTCTTTTATGACGCTTATTTTGCCTTTATTAAGAAAATTTTGCCCCCTCCAAGGTCGGATATTATTTTATTTTTTCTTCTGGAATCTTTATTGTTTTGTTTTTACGTTTAGGGATATGATTATGATGTATCTCATTACTTCTTGTTATAGTGTGAAGTAGAAATCAAAGTCCATGTTTTTCCATATCGACCCAGCGCTACTTACGGAAAAGACAATCCCTTCCCTCCCACAGGAGAACTGTCATCAATCAGGTAGTTGTATATGTATTACTGTGTCTGGGCTCTCTGTTCTGGTTATTGGAGGATTTTAAATGAGCCTCAGATTTTCCTTCAGAAATGCTCACTCTGGATGCATTGTGGACGATGGATTGGTGGCGGAGTGGATCCAGGGGAATGTGTAGAAGAATATTGGCAAACCAAGAGGAGATGATGGTGGCCTGGATGAGGGTAGTGGTCGTGGAGGAAGAGGATGGAGGTGAAATCAACAGGGCTTGGTGATGGATTGGAAATGAGTGGAGGTAAGCTGGTGAAAGGGAATGTCAACAGTTTATCCAATGGTGTGGCTTTGGAAGGTTAAATGGTGGTGTCATACAACATGATCCACATTAGCTGGTTTAGGTAGAAAGGAGTTTATTAGGGTGTTAAATAATTAAACATGTGTTTTTGGCTCATGGCTTTGTGTATCATTTAGGATGCTTTGAACTATAGCCAACAGAAAGCCCTATTCAAACTGGTTTAAAAAAATAAAGACTTCACCAAAGGCTGAAGAAACAGACTTTGAGTTGAAGTTTCAGGAATAACTCCCGGGACTAGGTCATCAAGAAAACTGCTGTAATCAGAAAGCCACCGGCTCCAGAATGCATCACAGCTACCACCAGGGAGCCGCCATTATCAGGAGGCTGCTACTAATGTGCCACACCATCACACCACGCCTGCCACAGTCCTTGGCAGCAGAATAAATGCGTGTTCATGTCTTATTCTTGATGTCCACTAAGCTAGGAAAACCACATCTTTACCAACTGTACGACAGAAAAACCAGATGTCTTCACAACTGTGTTGTTAGCAGAAATGGCAAAAACAACAGGAAGATGGCCTTCACCTTCCTTCCATTTTCTACATCTTGTGTGACTGAATCTGATTGGCTGAGTCTTAATTGTCAGAGTCCTGGCTGCCAGGGACCCTGGCATAGCATGCTAGAAGGAGGTGCTGACCCAATGTATCCATCACATCACATCAAACCACACAAAGTATGGTGATATTATGTTCTTTTCTGTCTTTCTTACTGGATGGAGTGGGTTCCAGGAGGGCAGAGTTCTATTAACCTTCTTTTTTTTTTTTTTAAGACAGAGTCTCGCTGTGTCACCAGGCTGGAGTGCAGTGGCATGATCTTGGCATCTTGGCTCACTGCAACCTCAACTTCCCAGGTTGGAGCAATTCTCCTGCCTCAGCCTCCTGAGTAGCTGGGACTACAGGTGTGCACCACGGCACCTGGCTAATTTTTGTATTTTCATGTTGGCCAGGCTGGTCTCTAACTCTTGACCTCAAGTGATCTACCCACCTTGGCCTCCCAAAGTGCTGGGATTACAGGCACGAGCTACTGCATCTGGCCTCTATTAACCTTTGAGTCTGTCTAATGACTTGGTATAGTGTAGGTGCTGATTAAATGTTTGTTGTATGGATTGATTAAACATGTGTTTTGGCTCATGACCTTGTGTATCACTTAGGACGCTTTGAAGTATAGCCAACAGAAAGCCCAATTCAAAGTGCTTTAAAAAGTAAAGAAAATTTATTGATTCGTGTGACTAAGAAGGTCAGAGGTAGGTCTGGCATCAGATGAGACTTGATTAAGCTGTTTGACAGTGTCACCAAGAGCCTGATTTCTTGTCATCTCCCTGTTCTGACATCTCTGATGTTGGCTTTATTTTTCCTCTTCTTAATTTCAAATGCAAGACTTTATGACTAAACCTATAGACTTATAACAAACACCACATACCACATATGATTCTTCATAATAATCACTACCACTAGTTGAGTGACTTCTAAGTTTCAGACACTGTGATAAGCTCTTTATGTGACATGTCTCATTAAATCCTCACATAATTCTGTTAAGTACGTACTATACAATTTTCTCTTTTATAGGCAAGGGAACTGAGGCTTTAAAGAATATTCATTATTACAAAATGCCAGTGTTTTATCAGGCTTCAGTTCCTCCTTACAGAGGAAGCTACCCAGGAGAGCTAATGTGTCTATTATACATGTTCATTCATTCACTCATTCATTTTTTTGACAAGTATTTCTTTTTTTTTTCTTTTAGTTTTTCATTTCCATAGGTTTTTGGGGAGCAGGTAGTATTTGGTTACATGAGCAAGTTCTTTCGTGGTGATTTGTGAGATTTTGGTGCACCCATACGTAACCTGAGCAGTATACGCTGAATTTAATTTGTAGTCTTTTATCCCTCACCCACTTCCTACACTTTCCCACTGAGTCCCCAAAGTCCTTGTGTCATTCTTCTGCCTTTGCATCCTCACAGCTTAGCTCCCACTTATGAGTGAGAACACACGATGTTTGGTTTTCCGTTCCTGAGTTACTTCACTTAGAATAATAGTCTCCAATCCCATCCAGGTTGCTGTGAATGCCATTAATTCATTCCTATATGGCTGAGTAGTATTCCGTCATATATATATACCACAGTTTCTTTATCCACTCATTGATTGGTGGGCATTTGGGTAGGTTCCACATTTTTGCAACTGTGCTGCTATAAACATACGTGTGCAAGTTATCTGTTTCATAGAATGATTTCTTTTCCTCTGGGTAGATACCCAGTTGTGGGATTGCTGGATCAAATGGTAGTTCTACTTTCAGTTCTTTAAGAAATCTCCACACTGTTTTCTATAGTGGTTGTACTAGTTTCCATTACCATCAGCAATGTAGAAGTGTTTACTTTTCACTGCATCCACACCAACAACTGTTATTTTTTTATTATGGCCATTCTTGCAGAAGTAAGGTGGTATTGCATTGTGGTTTTGATTTGCATTTCCCTGATCATTAGTGTTCTTGAGCATTTTTTCATATGTTTGTTGGCCATTTGCATATCTTCTTTTAAGAATTGTCTATTCATGTCCTTATCCCACTTTTTGATGGGATTGTTTGCTTTTTTCTTGCTAATTTGTTTGAGTTTGTTGTAGATTCTGGGTATTAGTCCTTTGTCAGATGTATAGATTGTAAAGATTTTCTCTCACTCTGTGGGTTGTCTGTTAACTCTGTTGACTGTTCCTCTTGCTGTTCTAAAGCTCTTTCATTTAATTAAGTCCAACCTATTTATCATTGTTTTTATAGCATTTGCTTTGGGGTTCTTGGTCATTAAATCCTTGCCTAAGCCAATGTCTACAAAGATTTTTTCTGACGTTATCTTCTAGAATATTCATAATTTCAGGTTTTAGATTTAACTCCTTGATCTATCTTGAGTTGATTTTTGTATAAGGTGAGAGATAAGGATCCAGTTTCTTTCTCCTACCTGTGGCTTGCCAATTATCCCAGCATCATTTGTTGAATAGAGGGTCCTTTCCTCACTTTTTGCTTTTGTTTGCTTTGTTGAAGATCAGTTGGTTGTAAGTATTTGGGTTTATTTCTGGGTTCTCTATTCTGTTCTATTGTCTAAGTGCCTATTTTTATACCATTACCATGCTGTTTTAGTGACTATGACCTTATAGAATAGTTTAAAATCCAGTAATGTGATGCCTCCAGATTTGTTCTTTTTGCTTAGTCTTGCTTTGGCTATAAATGAATTTTGGTTCCATATGAATTTTAAAATTATTTTATCTAGTTCTGTGAAGAATGATGGGCTGGGCGTGGTGGCTCACACCTGTAATCCCAGCACTTTGGGAGGCTGAGGCAGGCAGATCACAAGGTCAGGAGATTGAGACCATCCTGGCTAACACAGTGAAACCCTGTCTCTACTAAAAATAAAAAAAAAATTAGCCGGGCGTGGTGGCGGGCACCTGTAGTCCCAGCTACTTGGGAGGCTGAGGCAGGAAAATGGCGTGAACCCAGGAGGCGGAGCTTGCAGTGAGCCGAGATCGCACCACTGCACTCCAGCCTGGGTGACAGAGTGAGACTCCGTCTCAAAAAAAAAAAAAAAAAAAAAAAATGATGGTGGTATTTTGCTGGAAATTGCATTGAATTTGTAGATTGTTTTTGGCAGTATGGTCATTTTCACAATATTGATTCTACCCATCCATGAACATGGAATGTCTTTCCATTTGTTTGTGTCATCTATGATTTCTTCCAGTAGTGTTTTGTAGTTTTCCTTGTAGAGGTCTTTCACCTCCTTGGTTAGGTATATTCCTGAGTTTTTTTTCAGCTGTTGTAAAAGGGGTTGAGTTATTGATTCGATTCTCAGCTTAGTCGCTGTTGATGTATAGGAGAGCTACTGATTTGTGTACATTGATTTTGTAACCTGAAACTTTGCTGAATTCATTTATCTAGCTTTTTGGAGGAGTCTTTAGGGTTTTCTAGGTATATGATCGTATCATCAGGAAACAGGGACAGTTTGACTTCCTCTTTACCAATTTGGATGCCCTTTATTTCTTTCTCTTGTCTGATTGCTCTGGTTAGCACTTCCAGTACTATGTTAAATAGAAAAGTGGTGAGAGTGGGCATCTTTGTCTTGTTACAGTTCTCATAGGGAACGCTTTAAACTTTTCCCCATTCAGTATTATGTTGGCTGTGGGTTTGTCATAGATGGCTTTTATTACATTGAGGTATGGGTCTTGTACGCTGATTTTGCTGAGGGTTTTAATCATAAAGTGATATTGAATTTTGTCAAATGCTTTTTCTGCATTTATTGAGATGATCATGTGATTTTTGTTTTAAATTCTGTTTATGTGGTGTATCACATTTATTGACTTGCATATTTTAAACCATCCCTGCATCCCTGGTATGAAACCTACTTGATCATGGTGGATTATCTTTTTCATATGTTGTTGGATTCAGTTAGCTAGTATTTCGTTAAGGATTTATGCATCTATGTTCATCAGGGATATTCGTCTGTAGTTTTCTTTTTTGGTTATGTCCTTCCCTGGTTTTAGTATTAGGGTGATACTGGCTTCATAGAATGATTTGGGTAGGATTTCCTCTTTCTCTATCTTGTGGAATAGTGTCAACAGGATTGGTACCAATTTTTCTTTGAAAGTCTGGTAGAATTCATCTGTGAATCTGTCTGATCCTGGACTTTTTTTTGTAGCTAACTTTTTCTTACCATTTCAATCCTGTTGCTTGTTATTGGTCGTTCAGGGTGTTAGTAACAAATGCTTGTTCCTCGATGCTGCAAAGAAATGCACTTGAACATAAATTTAATTTTCTCAGCAAGGCAATTTTTACTTCTATAGAAGGGTGCGACTTGCGGATGGAGTAATGGCGAAAGCATGCCTGAACAAGGGAAGGGAAGTGGTTCTTATTCCTGATGCAGGTAGCCCCTGCTGTTGTGTCATTCCCCTATTGGCTAGGATTGGACCGCACAGTCTAAGCTAATTCTGATGGGGTATTTTAAAGAGAGCAGGGGTACGAGCCAGAGTGTCAGGGTGAGTAGTTTGGCAGGAAGGGCAGTTATAGAACAGGTGACTCAGGATGATTCAGGTCAGAGCAGGTGACAGGGGTGACTCAAGATGGAGCAGGTGGCCAGGGGTGACTCGGGTCAAAGCAGGTGACCAGGGGAACAGATGTGAACTACTGATTAGAACTGGCAGGAAAGTTGTTTACTGAAACTAGAGGCAAGGGGGGAGGGCAAGAGAACCAGGAAGTTAGACTTAAAAATGGAGAATAAAGAATAAGAGAGCTGAACATACTGACATACTGATTCTTTGAAAAGAAACTTGGAGTTCACTATCTTTAACAATCCCCCATCTTGAAATTTTACAGTTGTTTCTCTTCAAACTTCTTTAACATGTCTTGGCTTAGTTGTTCTGCTTGATTCTCTAAAAGAAAAAGCTTCTCTGAATAAGGTGGAGGAGAATTAAAGGAGGTTTTAGTAAGTGCTGCCTTTATGAGCCTCTGCACCAGCCTATGGATGCATGGTATGACACAACACCTGAAAAGAATGGCTATACCTATTATGGCTGCAAGAGAAGTAAGAATTGAGGCTATGATTCCTTTCCATTTACTGAATCATTTTTCTAGCCACCTGGTGAAGCGGTCATTTACTCCTGAGTTTTTGGCTAACTCGTTAGATAGAGCAATTAGACCTTGCAATGCCTTTGTTATACTTCCATCAGGAGCAATATTGTTTGGGATGAAGGTACAACATTGAGTTTTAATCATGATGCAAACTCCTCCTTTTTCTGCTAACATTATGTCTAAGGCTATTCTATTTTCCCAAGCCATCTGGCTAGTAGCCCCTAATTGCTCAGCTATTTCTTTAATAGCATCTCTAGTGTAGTTTATAATAAACTGCTGTTGGTTGTAATAAATGTAATTTATCCAATCTACATTTTTATTAATTGTTACCCACCAAAATATTGACTTACATCCTGCAGCTATTTGATTTCAGGCTTTAAATTTATCTGGTACTCCTGGTGGAACTCCAATAGCATTTATATAAACATGGGAATCAAAGGACCCATGTGAAGCACTTCTTTTACGATTTTCTTTTTTTTTTAATCGTGTTGACGGAATGCTAGGGTGAAAGGGATGGCCAATTGGACTAAAGCATGAGTGCTGCTTTAATTACTTGGCAGAGTACCCAGCAATAGTCCCCTGCAATACCACTACACATCTGCTCGGGGATGAACAAGGGCAGACTGATGGGTAACCTCTTGAAAAGGCTTGGTTTCACTGCACCCTGTTAAGTCTCCAAGGAATGCTAACTTTTTCCTCTGCCATGAAAGGCAGGAGGTGAAGTAAACACCAGGGGCTGGAGGCTGGATGGACCTCAGGGGCTGACCCGCAGGGCTCTTAACCTCAGGGAACAGCAGTGAAAGAGTCTTCCATCACTCATCACCCCAGGCTGTGGGGTTTTGGAAGAGAGCTACCATAACAGCTCATGCCCGGTCCGTGAGAGGACCACCCAAGTGGAAAGGGGACAATCTCTGTCTCTGGGCTGCCTGTCACACAAGTCTAACAGTCACTTTTGTTTAGCATGAGAACAGAATATTTAATCCATTCAAGCCAAGCATTTGTGTCCTGATACCCTGTGTCAATTGCTATAGTTTGTTTTAAATCTTTAACCTCTACAACTACTTTGGTTTTATCATTGGGTATATAACAAGAGAAGGTTTGGTTAGCGGAGAACTTAAGAGAGGGAGAAGGGGGTGGAGGAGGTGAGGCGGCAATGAAGCGCATTTCAAAGGATCCTATGGGGGTTGTTCCCTGAGACTTCTGCCCCTATACCATAGAAATGGCTTAATGGAGGGGAAGAACTCTGGGGAGCAGCGATGGTCATCTGTACTGGATTCCATTGGTTCAGCTGACAATGTGGAGGGATAACTCCTTTAGTAAAATGAACATATGGTTTTAAGAAACTGCAAGTACTAGTTGGAGCAGTCCATCCTCGCTCTTTAGTATTTTATAGGTCCATATAGTATTTTATATGGACCAACTTCAGCAGAGAAGCTCTGCTGTAGAAGGACAAGATTCCCAGTTTATACTGGAATCTTCGTCAAACTCTTCTCAAACTAACCTATCCCAGTTAACAGATTTCCAGTCTAAGGAGAGCTAGGGAGGATAAATATACTTTTCTGAAGCAGAGAGTTGCTTCTGACTTGGCAAGTCTCCACAGCGTATAACAAAGCAAGCATCAAATGTAATATTTTGAGGCAAAATTGGCTTGGTTACATTAATAACTAGGTGGTCAGCAATAGAATGAGGAAAGAAGTAATAGAATAGATGAAAGAGAGTTAAATTTTTCTTAGCTTTAGTTTGGTAGGGTTTTCCTCTGGGACTATGGTCCATGACCGTGGAGGGGGCGGCGCTTTCTTGACTCGAGTGTGAGGGGTCCACCCTTTTTCTGCTGTCCGGACTGCAGTTTCAGTAGTTAGGAGCGCTAGGTAAGATCCTTCCCAGGCTGGTTCTAATTTTTCCTTTTCTCTAACTTTTGACAGGGACGTGGTCCCCAGGCTGATGTTGGTGTGCTGGAAACTCTAGGGGTGGCACCTGTGCTAAAAGACCTTTAGTTCTGAGGGAAGGGAAAGTAGACGATAAACCAAGTATATAATTTCTGAGAAATTGTTCTTTTGTTTTAAATGTAGAGAGATCAGTAGTAGAATGTAGATAAGGCAATCCATAGAGCATCTCATAAGGGGACAGGCCTGTCTTTTGGGGGAGCAGTTCGGACTCTTCACAGGGTAATATGCCTTCCTACTTTCCCTGATGAAGGTGGATGCCAGAGAGTATGATATCCCCATGTTATATCCAGTATCTGTGCTAATTTCTTAGTGACATGTGCTGTGAAATGAGTCCTATTATCTGAATCACTGTTTTCTATTAATCTAAACCTGGGTATAATATTTTTAACTAATGCCTTGATTATATTATTAGCATTTGTACTTGAAAAGGGAATAGCTTCTACCCAATGAGTAAGGTGATCTACTATTACTAATAAATACTTTAGACGACCAGTTGGAGGCTTCTCTGTGTAATCGATTTGGATACTTTGGAATGGGCTTAAGCCTGGACTCCTTCCCCCAAGTGGTAATCTTTTACTAAGCAATTGTCTGTAACCTGTTTGGCCGGGGTACACATTTCTATGCACTTATAAACTCTGAGGACTGTGTTACACATGGCTTGGGGCCCCCAGTGGGTCTCTTGATGTAGTTGGGACAAGATTTCCCTCATAAGGGGTTTGGATAACATTTCTCTCTGGTCTAGCAATATCCATTTTCCTTCTGAATTTTCTTTAGCACCATTTTTGTTCGTTTTTAAACCAAAGAAAGCCAAACACCACTTTATATTTGACAATGCTTCCTGTATGATTTTATACCAGATAAGCTAAATTTTACCTTTATATTAGTGTGCTATTAATGTTAAGCTCAATTTTAATAAAATCTTGTAGACATTATTTATCCAATATTAATGTCTGACCATAAGGTAAAATTTTTACTCTTTTTAACCCTTTATGATTTTTGTTAAAGAGCAGTTTAGTGCTTTAAGAAAAACCTGTTGTGCTTTTTTTTAATGTCCAGTTCGCAGAAAAACTGGATGATACCCCCTTAACTTTAGCCAATATGTTTACACACAGAATTTCCTTTACAATTAACGTTTCAAAGCTTGCTTAAACCTTCAAAACACATTTTTTTAACCTTTTAATGTAGGTAAAAATCCACATTATTATACTTTCTTATACTCCTTTTACCAAAAGTATATTTTACTTTCCTTACACACCTTGCATATAAACTGTTTCTTCAATAGTTTTACATTCAGGAGGCCTAATTACTTTTAAATTATACAACATTTCTTGCATAAATTCCCCTTTATAACATTTTTCACAACTTTCACAGATAATCTTCAACATGCCTCAACTTTCTGACTTGTTGCAAACATCCCTTTCTTTAAACAACCAGTTAATTTATTTTAGGACAAGAATTTACCATATAAGATTCTTTTTATATAAATTCTCCTTTTTTAAATGTCAGAGATGATAACTAGTTTTCTCCAAAGCAAACTTCCTTCATGTCGGTGGACTAGGCTGCCTAAGGCCACAAGATTAGAAGTTAGGATAATACATGTTATACTGCTAACTTTTAGCAAATGTGGAAAGTAAAAAGTTCCTCTTCCTTCAAAGTTTCCCTTCTTGTTAAAGAATAAATAATAAATGTTAGAAATAATAGTTTCTTTTAAAGACTAACTTCCTTCAAAGCCTTCTTGCTTTTTGCTAATAACCCTTTATTAAGCCCTATCCTATGTAGATGTTAGATATAAGGAAATAAGTACATCCTATGTCCTTGTACTTTAACCAAGATATTGGCATGTCCCAGTTCACAGCCTATGCCCCTTTCTTATTTGGAAATGTTATTACTTCTCTAAGTCCTTTTGCAAGCAACTTCCTCTTTTCCTTTTGTTCTTCATTGCCTTTACCTATTTAGGAAAGTTTTAAGTTGTTAGCCAATCGGGTTTAGCTTAGACTGTGACTGTTAGCCAATCGGATTTAGCTTAGACTTAGACTCCAAGCAATGGAGATAGGACACAGCAGTAAGGATCCAATGTGTAAGGGATAAATATTCCTGATTTGTTTGTTCAGTGTGCTCTCATGGCAAGATTGCTGATAAGTAGCACCCTTTCTGCAGAAAGTAAAATTGCCTTGCTGAGAAAACTTTTTGTCTGAATGCTAGTTTTTCCTTGTGGCACTGAGGAATAAGCATTTACTTCTAACAGTTCTGGAGGCTCCTCTGGGATTCCCATTCTCCTTTCAGAAGGGGTCTTTGGTCACCCCCTCAGGGAGGCATACCCCACTGCCTTGTTGTGGTGGCCTTAAGGGCTGGAGATCAAAACCCATCCTTTGCAATGAATAAACCCGGGCTCTTAGCAACACGGGGAAAGAAGGGCTTGCAACACTGCTGTGACCAGGTAATTCTGTGCACATACCAAGGTAAGAAACATCACAAGGGGGTGACAAAGTATTTCCTTGATGGTCAAAATTCTGGAGGTTGAGTGTGAGTGTGCATGCGTGAGTATGGTGTGAGTGGGTCCTCTCTGCAAATTCTGTAATCATTTCATATGGCTTAGAGGTAAGAGAGGGCAAAACAAAAGGAAAGGAGTGAAAGAGACCTCCAGAAGGTGAGGGGGAATAGTTAGAATCCTCCCTGGGAAAAGAAGGGTGAAAAACCTCAAGCACGTGAGGTTGTTTGTTTGTTTGTTTGTTTGTTATTTTGTTGCTGTTGTTGTTGTTTTTTGAGATGGAGTCTTGTTCTGTCACCCAGGCTAGAGTGCAGTGGTGCGATCTCCACTCACTGCAAGCTCTGCCTCCCGGGTTCATGCCATTCTCCTGCCTCAGCCTCCCAAGTAGCTGGGATTACAGGTGCCCGCCACCATTCCTGGCTAATTTTTTGTATTTTTAGTAGAGATGGGGTTTCACCATGTTAGCCAGGATGGTCTCGATCTCCGGACCTCGTGGTCCACCCGACTTGGTCTCCCAAAGTGCTGGGATTACAGGTGTGAGCCACTGCGCCCGGCCATACGTGAGGTTGTTTTAAGCAAGCCTCTGGAAAACGGGATAAGCAAGAAAACTCTGGGTCGAGAGGTTGAGTCTAACTGGTACTCAGTATAGGGAATATTTCTAGTAAAACAGGGAAGGGAAAGAATGCAGATGGTCAAATCCCCCCCACCGATAGTCCTTTAGGGCTTATGTTAAAGTATTGGAAAGACAATGAGAGGACTAAACTCAAGGGAAAGCAGCAAATGATAAAGTATTGCTGCTTTATTTGGACTAAAGAGCCAATCCTCAAGCCCACAGTTTTCTGGCCAAAGTTTGGGTTGGATGGGGACTGGGTTTGTCAACTCCTAATAATGTATGTTAATGACAAGAGTCCTCTCTCACAAGAAGAAATAGACTATGCTCTGTGCTGGCGGCAGGGGCCGTTCTTCTCTACCCGCTAAGAATAGATGGGAAGGAACTAGAAGGTAAAAAGGACTCAGAGGCTGTCTCATCTGAGAACAAAGTTTCTACTTCTAAGACATCCACGAGTAAGTGGGACCCTCTAGACCACCATCCCCCACTTCTCAAAAACCCACCACTCCCTCCTCAAGCAATTGCCGCCGCCCCAAACCCCATCCCAGACCCAGTTCCAGACTCTCCTCTGGATCCTCATACTCAGGTTATTCCTCCCCCATACAACCCGGACTCCTGGAAGTTATTGTCCCAGGGACCCAAGTTTTGTCAGTCTGAATATCCTTCTTTAAAGAAAGGACTTCAACGGGAAATACAACAATGTAGAAAGGATATTCAGAGTCTTCCTTTCCCCCTCCCCACTTCTAAGGATTCATCTTCAAAGTTCTTTCTTTTAAGGGAGGTACCACAAGGGGGGGCAATTTGCCTTGTAAATGCTCCCTTAACTGGTTCCGAAGTCCGAAGTCTTAAAAAAAAAGAACTCAAGCCATTATTAGATGATCCTTATGGAGTGGCAGATCAAATTGATCAGTTTTTAGGCCCGCAGTTATATACCTGGGCTGAATTAATGTCCATCCTAGGTATCCTCTTTTCAGGGGAAGAGCAGAACATGATCCGCAGAGCTGCTGTGGTGGTCTGGGAGTGTGACCATCCTCTGGGCCAAAATGTTCTGGCAGCAGACCAAAATTTCCAGCCAAGACCTGGAGTGGGATAACAATATTGCAGCCCACAGGGATAACATGAGAGATTTAAGGGAAATGATAGTTAGAGGAATTTGGGAATCAGTGTCCCGACCTCAAAATCTCTCTAAGGATTTTGATATACAGCAAGAAAAAGATGAAGGGCCTATGAAGTTTCTAGACAGAGTGAGGGAACAGATGAGAAAATATGCTGGTTTAGACCCAGAAAGCCCCTTTGGGCTAGGATTGTTAAAGTTGCACTTTATTATTAACAGTTGGCCAGATATTGCAAGAAAATTGCAAAAACTGGAAAATTGGAAGAATCGGTCAATAGAAGAGCTTTTGAGAGAAGCCCAAAAAGTATATGTAAGTAGAGATGAAGAAAGGCAGAGACAGAAAGCAAAAATCTTTTGACAGAGTTCACCAGGACAAATGATACCAGGGGCTAAGTTTAGACCCACACCTGCAAAGTTTTCTAGAGAAGGTGAAAGAAGAAAGTCAGGGAACTCAGGAATGCAAAGAGAAAGAAGGCAAGATCAGTACGTTAAGGGAGAAGGTCAAAGTAAGTGCTGTAAGGGCTGTGGATGTGAAGGTAAGGAGGAAAGACAAAGGGGCCCTGGGCTTGGGAGAGAGGAAGGACAAGACAGATGTTACAAATGTGGAAGACCAGACCATTTTAATAGGTAATGTCCGGAATTAGAAAAAGTAGAAGAAGCTCTTCCACTCATGACTACCTTTGAAGAGGAATAGGGGGGTCAGGGGCTCTGTCTTTTCTATTTTGAGTCCCACCAGGAACCCTTGATACATTTAGAGGTGAGACCCAAACATGAATTAATCACCTTTTTAATTGACTCAGGAGCTGCTTGCTTGTCTGTTTGTTTTCCCCCAGCTGATTTAACTTGTTCTACAGAGGAATTGCTAGTTTCTGGGGTAAAAGGAGAAGAATTTAAGGAGAAAGTTTTAGAAAATACAGAAGCAAAATACCAAGATCAGTCAACTTGTATTCAACTTTTGTTAATTCCTGAAGCAGGAACCAATCTGTTAGGGAGAGATTCAATGTTAAAACTAGGTATAGGTCTGCAAGTTGGCCCAAAGGGTGTTCTAACTTCCTTAAATTTGCTTACCACAGCAGATGAGAAGTCCATTCATCTCGATGTCTGGCCAAGGGAAGGAAACTGAGGAAAGCTACGAATTCCTCCAATACATATCAGGTTAAGGACTCCAGGGGAGGTAGTGAGAAGAAAGCAATACCCTATCCCTTTAGAAGAAGGGTAGGGTTAAAGCCTGTAATTGAGAGTCTTATTAAAGATGGACTACTTGAACCTTGTATGTCCTCATACAACACTCCAATTTTACCAGTCAAAAAATCAGATGGGTCATACCAACTAGTGCAGGACCTTACAGCTATCAATCAAATAGTCCAGACCACTCATTCTGTTGTACCCAACCCTTACACCATTCTTAGTAAAATTTCACACAGTCATCAGTGGTTCACAGTAATAGACTTAAAGGATGCATTCTGGGCAGGTCCCTTGGCTGAAGACAGCCAGGATATATTTACTTTTGAATGGGAAGGTCCCCATTCAAGATGGAAACAACAGTATAGATGGACAGTTTTACCCCAAGGATTTACAGATTCACTCAATCTTTTTGGTCAAATCTTAGAGCAAGTATTAGAAAAAGTTGTTGTCCCAAAGCAGCTACGTTTGCTCCAATATGTGGATGATATTCTTATATCTGGAGAAGACATAGAGAAGGTAGCTGGGTTTTCTACACACGTTCTTAACCACTTACAGTTTGAAGGGTATGGGTCTCAAAGAGAAAGCTTCAATATGTAGAACCTGAAGTTAAATACTTAGGCCATTTAATAAATGCAGACAAAGGAAGAATAGGACCCAAATGGGTCAAAGGAATTGTGTCTTTGCCCTTGCCTCAAACCAAGCAAGAACTCAGGAAATTTTTAGGGTTAGTTGGATACTGCCATTTATGGATTGACTCATATGCATTAAAAAGTAAACTTCCATATGAGAAGCTAACTAAAGGAGAACCTGATCTCTTCATATGGACTTCTGAAGAGGTTGATCAGGTTGGGGAGTAAAAGGAAAGACTCATAACTGCTCCTGTCCTGGCCCTACCCTCTCTAGAAAAACCATTTCATCTTTTTGTTAACGTAGATAATGGAGTGGCTCTAGGAGTGCTTACCCAAGAACATGGGGGCTGCCGACAGCCAGTGGCCTTCCTGTCAAAAGTTCTAGATCCAGTCGCCTGCAGATGGCCTCAGCGTATTCAATCCATTGTGGCCACGGTGATATTGGTTGAAGAAAGCAGGAAATTAACTTTTGGAGGATATCTGACAGTGAGTACACCTCAACAAGTCAAGCTATCCTAAGCCAAAAGGCAGGAAGATGGCTCACTGACTCCAGAATTTTAAAATATGAAGCTATCCTATTAGAAAAAGATGATTTAACCTTAACTACAGACAATTCACTTAACCCAGTGGGTTTCTTGACAGGGAACCCACTGCTAAAAAGGGAACACCTATGTCTAGATTTAATTGACTACCATACGAAAGTCAGCCCAGATTTAGTAGAAACCCCCTTTAAGACAGGGCAGCTTTATTTACAGATGGTTCCTCCCAGGTAATTGAGGGAAAACGACATAATGGGTATGCAGTAATCGATGGGGAAACTCTCAAAGAAGTTGAATCAGGAAGATAACCCAATAGTTGGTCTCCCCAAGCCTGTGAGCTATTTGCACTTAGCCAGGCCCTAAAATACTTATAGAACCAGGTAGGAACCATCTATACTGACTCTAAGTATGCTTTTGGGGTGTCTCACACATTTGGAAAAATTTGGGCCGAACGGGGCCTTATTAATAGTAAAGGTCAAGATCTTGCTTATGAAACATTAATTGTGTCCTGAATAATCTTCAGTTACCAGAGGAAATAGACATTGTCCATGTTCCAGGACACCAACACAACTTTTATTTTGAAAGTTGAGGAAATACTCTTGTGGATCAAAGAGCCAAGCAAGCTGCTGTTTCCTCTGAGACACCATCTTTCACTTAACTCCTTGTCTTCCTTCTCCCACTGTAGTTCCTATTTTCTGTCATACTGAGAAGGAAAAATTAGTAAAAATAGGAGCTCAAAGGAATTCAGAAGGGAAATAGATACTCCCAGACCAGAAAGAAATATTATCTAAGCCTCTTTTGAGGGAGGTTTTATCTTAACTACATCAAAGAACTCACTGGAGCCCCAAGTTATGTGTGATGCAGTTCTCAGGGTTTATGGGTATATTGAGATTTATACTTTAGCAAAACAAGTTAAAGACAGTTGTCTAATTTGTAAGAAAACAAATAAACAAGCCCTAAGAAAATTACCACTTGGAGGAAGAAATCCAGGACTAAGACCATTTCAAAGTGTCCAAGTTGATTACGCTGAAATGCCCCCACCTGGTCAGCTAAAGTATTTATTGGTAATAGTAGATCATTTCACCCATTGGGTAGAGGCTATCCCTTTTTCAAGTGCAACCGCTAGTAATGTAGTTAAAGCAATAATTGAACATATTACACCCAGGTTCGGACTAATAGAAAACATTGATTCAGACAATGGAACCCATTTTACTGCACATATCATTAAAAAGTTGGCTCAAGTACTAGACATAAAGTGGGAATATCACATTCCTTGGCACCCATCCTCCTCAGGGAGAGTAGAAAGGATGAACCAAACCCTTAAAAGCCACCTAACTAAATTAGTCCTAGAGACCCGGTTGCCATAGGCTAAATGCCTTCCTATTGTTTTATTAAGGATTAGAACCTCCCCTTGGAAAGATGTTGGCCTGTCCCCTTATGAAATGTTATATGGGTTGCCTTACTTATATTCCACTGCTCATGCCCCCACATTTGAATCAAAGGATCAGTTTCTCAGAAATTATATACTTGGTCTCTCCTCTACCTTTTTTTCACTTAAAACCAGAGGTCTTCTAGCACAGGCACCACCCCTAGAATTTCCAGTACACCAGCACCAGCCTGGGGACCATCAAAGGACGGAAAGAAGCAAAACTCGAGCCAGCCTGGGAAGGACCCTACCTCGTGCTGCTAACCACCGAGACTGCCATTGGCACAGCAGAAAAAGGATGAACACATCACACCCAAGTCAAGAAAACGTCATCACCTTCGGAATCGTGGGTCATTGTTCCAGGATCAAGCCCTACCAAATTAAAGTTAAGAAAAGCTTAATCTATCTATCTTTTATTTTTCTTTTCTTCCCTTTAACTACTCCCCATCTTATTATTAACGTAACTAGATCTAACTCACCTCAAGTTATTACTTCTGATGCCTGTTTAGTTATACCCTGTGGAGATTTGCATAACCAAAGACAGTTTACTACTTCGGAAAAATATCTCTGTCCCTCTTGGACTTCCTCAGATTGGGAAGACATATTGAGTTCCTGCAAGGATACTAGTAATCCAGAGAATACTAGTTGTATTAATTGGTGGGAATCAGACTCTTGTCCCTCTAAAACAGAATCTCTATGTTCTGCTTGGTCTAATGTCCTATGGAACACTAAAGGTCTAAGATAGACTGCTTCCACGGGTCTTTGTCAGTCCTTAAAACCATATATTCATTTCACCAAAAGAATTACTCCTTCTAGCTGTCAATATAACCAGTGTAATCCTATACAGCTTACTATTACTATTGCAACATCTGAAAACTCTTCCCCTTCATTAAGTCATATTTATGGTATGGGAGCTGACATTTCAGGAAAGATAGTAAGGGAATTTTTGAAATATGCTTTATTGCTTCTTCAACCTCTATCAATCACTCCTCCCAGACACAATGACAAAACCAAAATCTCCGTAGTAAAAGTAGAAAACCTAAGGCAAACCATAGCAATTGAGACAGGGTATCAGGATGTAAATGCCTGGCTAGAATGGATTAAATATTCCATCTGCACTTTAAATAAAAGCGATTGTTACGCTCCTACACATGGTAGGCCAGAGGCCCAGATTGTCCCCTTTCCACTCAGATGGCCCTCTAATCGACAAGACATGGACTGCATGGTAGCTGTTTTTCAAAATCCTACAGCCTGGGATAATGAACTGTGCCAAACTGTCTCTCTGCTATTTCCTGAAGTGCAGCATCCTGCGGGTCAGCCCCCGCAGGCCATCCAGCCTCCATCTTCCAAGAGCAACTTTACCTCATGTCTCCAACGACAAGGGGAAAATTTGGTGTTCCTTGGAGACTTAACAGGATGCAGTGAGGTCAGGCACTGCCAAGAGCTGACCCATCAGTCCGTCCTTATTCATCCCGGAGCAGATGTCTGGTGGTATTGTGGAGGACCTTTACTGGACACTCTGCCAAATAATTGGAGTGGTACTTGTGCTCTAGTTCAATTGGCTGTCCCTTTTACCCTGACATTTCATCAACCAGAAAAAGAAAAAACATGACATCGTAAAACAAGAGAAGCCCCTTACTGGTCTTTCAACCCCCACGTCTATTTAGATGCAATTAGCATTCCACAGGGTGTACCAGATGAATATAAAGCTAGGGATTCCAAATAGCTGCAGGGTTTGAATCTATCCTCCCATGGATAACAGTTAATAAAAACAAAGATTGGAAAAACTATATTTTTTACAATCAACAACGGTTTATTAATTACACTAAAGATGCTGTCAATGGAAGAGTGGAACAGTTAGGGTCCACTAGCCAAATGGCCTGGGAAAACAGAATGGCTTTGGATATGATATTAGTTGAAAAAGGTGGTATTTGTGTTATGATTAAAATCCAATGTTGTACCTTCATCCCAAACAACACTGCTCCCAATGGCAGCATAATGATGGCCCTACAAGGCCTTACTGCTTTACCTGAAGAACTAGCTAAAAATTCTGGAATTAATAACCCTGTTTTAAAATGGCTAGAAGGGTGGTTTGGCCAATGAAAAGAGACTGTAGCCTCAATTCTTACCTCTTTAGCAACTGTAATAAGTATACTCCTTCTTTTTGGGTGTTGTGTTATACCATGCATCCGAGAGTTGGTGCAAAGGTTAATGAAAATGGCTCTTACTAAAACCTCCCTTAACTCTACTCCACCTTATTCAGAGAAGCTTTTTTTTTTTTTTTTAAGAGACTCAGGCAGAACAACTAAGCCAAGACATATTAAGAAAGTTTGAAGAGGAAAAACTATAAAATCAAGAGGGGGAAATTGTGGAAAGTAAAAAGTTCCTCTTCAAAGTTTCCCTTCTTGTTAAATAATAAATAATAAATGTTAGAAATAATAGTTTCTTTTAAAGACTGACTTCCTTCAAAGCCTTCTTGCTTTTTGCTGATAACTCTTTGTTAAGCCCTATCCTATGTGGATGTTAGATATAAGGGAATAAGTACATTCTATGTCCTTGTACTTTAACCAAGATATTTATTCTGGACATGCTCAGGCATGTCCCAGCTCACAGACTATGCCCCTTTCTTATTTGGAAATGTTATTACTTCTCTAAGTCCTTTGCAAGCAACTTCCTCTCTCTCTCTCTCTTTTTTTTTTTTTTTGTTCTCCATTGCCTTTACCAATTTAGGAAAGTTTTAAGTTTTTAGCCAATCAGGTTTAGCTTAGACTGTGAGGTCCAGCTCCAACCAATGGAGATAGGACACAGCAGTAAGGACCCAATAAGGGATAAATATTCCTGCCTTTCTTTATTCAGTGTGCTTTCATGGCGAGATTGCTGATGAGTAGCATCCTTTCTGGAGAAAGTAAAATTGCCTTGCTGAGAATTTTTTTTTGTCTGAATGCTGGTTTTCCTTGCGGCACTGAGAAATAAGCATTTACTTCTAACAGCAAACTTTACTTTTGTGGAAAATCTTGTAAATTTGGGATTTTAATTAAAGAAAGGCTTTTCTGGTGTCCAGGGACATGGACAACAGCTATTTCTTTTGACAACTTAAGGTTATTTAATACTTGGGTGATTAATTCCTTGTGGACCAGGTCTTCACCTTTGCTATTAATAAGACCTCGTTCAGTCCAGCTGTTTCCAAATGTATGAGTCACTCCAAAGGCATACTTAGAATCAGTATAGATGGTCCTTCCTGGTTCTGTAAGTACTTTAAGGCTTGGCTGAGTGCAAACAGCTCACACATTGGAGCAGACCAATTATTAGGCAATTTTCCTAGCTCTATTTCTATGAGAGTTTCTCTGTTAATTACCGAATACCCATTGTGTCTTTTTCCCTCAATTACCCAGGAGGAACCATCTATAAATAAGTGTCGTCCTGTCCTGAAGGGAGTTTCTCCTAGGTCTGGTCAGACCTTTGTATGGTAATTAATTAAGATTTAGATCCCCTGTTAGGAAACCTGCTGGGTTAAGCAAATTATCAGTGGTGAATGTTAAATCATCTTTTTCTTACAGAATAGCCTCATACTTTAAGATTCTTGAGTCAGTAAGCTACATTTTTGCTTTTTGACTTAGCATAGTTCTGACCTGGTGAGGTGTGCTCACAATGAGGTTTCCTCTAAAAGTTAGTTTTCTACTTTATTCTCTTAGCAAAGCAGTTGCTGCTACAGACTGAATGCATTTGGGCCATCCACAGTTTACTGGGTTAAGGATTTTTCATAGGAAGGGTACAGGTTGTCAGTGGCCTCTGTGCTTTTGGGTATTTCTAAGGCTATGCCCTTGTTTACACTGACAAAAAGATGGAATGGCTGCTTAAGGAGGGTAAAGCTAGGATGGGGCAGTTACTAATAGATGTTTTTGCTTTGTTTTGTTTTTGAGACAGAGTCTTGCTCTGTCGCGCAGGCTGGAGTGCAGTGGCGTGATCTTGGTTCACTGCAAGCTCTGCCTCCCGGGTTCACACCATTCTCCTGCCTCAGCCTCCTGAGTAGCTGGGACTACAGGTGCCCGCCACCACGCATGGCTAATTTTTTGTATTTTTGGTAGAGACGGGGTTTCATCGTGTTAGACAGGATGATCTCAATCTCCTGACCTCATGATCCACCCGCCTCGGCCTCCCAAAGTGCTGGGATTACAGGCATGAGCCACCGTGCCCGGCCACTAATAGATGTTTTAACCTTTCCACCTGTTGGATTTCTGGTAATTGCCAAATGAGAGGGTTTGGCCCATCTTGCATGAGCTTTCTGTATAGGGTTTTGTTTTTAGGGCATAAGAATCTATCCATAGATGACAGTACCCAACTAATCCTAAAATGTTTTAAGTTCTTGTTTAGTCTCCAGCAGAGGGAAGGATATTATGCCTTCAATCCGTTCAAGCTCAATTTTCTGTTTATCTTTGCTAATTAAGTGACTTGTTCTAATATTTGACTAAATAAATTTGGAGACTCCGTAAACCCTTGGGGTAAGACTATCAGTATTGCTATTTTCAACCAGAGTGAGGGTCTTCTTATTCAAAGGCAAATAGGTCCCAGCTGTCTCTGCTAATGGACAAGCCCAGAAAGCATCTTTTAAATCTATTACTGTAAACCACTGGTGACTGTAATAGTATAAGGATTGGGAACAATAGGGTGGGTAGTTTGGATTATTTGATTAATAGCTCCAAGGTCTTGCACTAACTGGTATGACACGTCTGGCTTCTTTTTTTTTGATACAGAGTCTCACTCTATCACCCAGGCTGGAGTGCAGTGGCGCAATCTCAGCTCACTGCAAGCTCCGCTTCCCAGGTTCACACCATTCTCCTGCCTCAGCCTCCCGAGTAGCTGGGACCACAGGCACCTGCCACCACGCCCAGCTCGTTTTTTGTATTTTTAGTAGAGACGGGGTTTCACTGTGTTAGCCAGGATGGTCTCAATCTCCTGACCTTGTAATCCACGTGCCTTGGCCTCCAAAAGTGCTGGGATTACAGGTGTGAGCCACTGCGCCTGGCCCCCATCTGGCTTCTTTACAGGCAATATTGGAGTGTTATAGGGAGACACACAGGGTTTAAGAAGCCCAACACCAAGACGACCTTCAATTATCAATTATAGGTCTTAAATTTACCCTAGTTTTCAAAGAAATAGGGTACATTGCTTTCTCTTTACTACTTCCCCAGGTGTTTTTAATAGTTTTTTTTTTTAATTTAACATGAATTGGAGGAATCTGTAACTTTCCTTGCTTCCCATCTTTTGCTGTGGTGGTAAGTTTAGGGAAAGGAGGAATTTTCTATGATTGATTTCGAGGCCTAAGCCTAATTTTAGCATTAAATCTCTTCCTTATAGATTTGTCCCTGCTTCCAGAATTAGCAGAAAGTTAATATTAGCTGATTTGCTTTTACATATGACTTTATTCTTTTTCCCACTTGGGACATTCTTTTTTGAAGTGACCTATTTTTAATTTGAAGCATTTGTTTTGTCCTCTTTCCCTTTTCCTCTCCCTATCTCTCTCTCTCTCTCTCTGAATTCCTCTGTCTCTTTCCCTCTCTCTCTGACTTCCTCTGTCTCTTTCCCTCTCTCTCTCTCTGACTTCCTCTGTCCCCTCTGTCAGTCTTTCTCTCGCCTCTAAGATTTTTTTCTCTACCTTTGAGTCTCCTGGCTTTACTCTTTTGTACCCTTTATGTTGCCTGGAGAGTGGGGGTCTAGGTTCTTTATAGGTTCTTGCCCCCTGGGTACTTTGTTGTATGGTGGACAGCAGAATTTTTGCCCTCTGCTTTTGTTTTTCTTCATCTCTTCCTACATATACTTTTTGGGCTTCTCTTAGAAGCTCTTCTATAGGTTTATCTTTCTAGTTCCCTATCTTTTGTAATTTCTTGTTAATATCTGGCCAACTGTTAGTGACAAAATGAAGTTTTAACATTCCCTGTCCAAGGGGATCCTCGAGACCTGGACCAGTATATTTTCTCATTTATTCCTTTAATCTGTCTAAAAATTCTATAGGCCCTTAATCTTTCCCTTGCTGTATATCAAATGTTTGGGTAAGATTCTGGGTTCGGGGTACTGATTCTTTAATCCCCTTTATTATCAATTCCTTAAGGTCTTGCATATTTTCTTGGTTGGCTGCATTGTTATTGTCCCACCAGGGGTCTTGGGTGGGAAATTTTTGATCCGCTGTAGGAACGTTTTGGCCGGAAGCCGGGGGCGGGGTGTTCATGGTTCCTAGGCTCCCATTGCAGCCCTATGGATCATGCCTCTTTCTTCCCCTGAGAAGAGGGGAAAGGGAAGTTCTGAATATCCTTTTTACATTGCTCTATCTCGTGTGAAGTCCTTTTAGGGAAGGGTACTCAGGCTGGTCGTGAGTGGGCTCTTGGGAACATTCCCAAGAGGCAGAATTATAAGGAGAGGGACAACAGGGATAGGAGAAGGGTCTGGGACAGCAGCTGCTTTTTCTTGTTTTTGGTCCTTTCATTACCCTTCTAATATTTTATCATTAGGCTGAGCGGATTATTAGGGGGAATATTATCATTGCTAGTGTATCCTTTTTATCCCTTACCTTACTTGGGGTATTTCCCATTTTTAGTGTGAGGCTCAATTCCCCTTGCTAGAAATGTCTTGCCTATTTTTAACCCTCAAGATACCCCAACCAGGGAATACTTCACCGCCCCACCTCCTCCGTGTCTTTTCTTACCTTGATATGTCCTGATCAAGGAATACCACCACCCCCTGTGGCTTCTCTTACCTTGGTCTGTCCCAACCACCAAGGAAATACTTTGCTGGCTCCCAGGCGTTTCCTTCCTCGGTCTGTGCACAGAGTTGCCTGGTCACTGTGGTGTGTGAGGATCCTTTCCCCTGGGTCGCCGGCTGGTTTCTTTCGACATTGCTGAGTCCAGGTTTATTTGTCACACCAGGTGAGTCTCGATTCCTGACTCTTGAGGCCACCGCAACAAGGCAGTGGGGCGTGAGAGAGGAATAGAGGCCACCCCTAGAGGAGAATAGCTCCCCATATGGGCCACGAGATTGTTAGAAACAAATGCCTGTTCCTTGGTGCTGCAGAGAAATAGCACTTGAACATAAATTTAATTTTCTCAGCCAGGTAATTTTTACTTCTATAGAAGGGTGCGACTCGTGGTTGGAGTAATGGCGAAAGCACACCTGAACAAGGGGAGGGAAGCGGTTCGTATTCCTGGTGCAGGTAGTCCCTGCTGTTGTGTCATTCCCCTATTGGCTAGGATTGGACCGCACAGTGTAAGCTAATTCCGATTGGCTATTTTAAAGAGAGCAGGGGTACAAGCTGGAGTGACAGGGTGAGAAGTTTGGCGGGAGGGGTGGTTACAGAACAGTTGACTCAGGATGATTCAGGTCAGAGCAGGTGACAGGGGTGACTCAAGATGGAGCAGGTGACCAGGGGTGACTCAGGACAAAGCAGGTGACCAGGGGAACAGATGTGAACTACTGATTAGAACTGGCAGGAAACTTGTTTACTGAAACTAGAGGCAAGCGGGGCAATAGAACCAGGAAGTTAGACTTTAAAATGGAGAATAAAGAGAGCTGAACATACTGACATAGTGATTCTTTGAAAAGAAACTTGGAGTTCACGATCTTTAACAAGAATATCTAGTTCTTCCTGATTTAAGCCAGGAGGGTTGTATCTTTCCAGGAATTTATGCATCTCTGCTAGGTTTTCTAGTTTATGTGTGTAAAGGTGTTCATAGTAGCCTTGAATGAGTTTTTGTATTTCTGTGGTGTTGGTTGTAATACCTCCTATTTTGTTTCTAATTGAGCTTATTTGGATTTTTCTCTTCTTTTCTTGGTTAATCTTGCTAATGGTCTATCAATTTTATTTATATTTTCAAAGAACCAGTTTTTGTTTTATCTTTTGTATTTTGTTGTTGTTATTTAAATTTCATTTAGTTCTGCTCTGATCTTGGTTATTTCCTTTCTTCTGCTGGATTTGGATTTGGTTTGTTCTTGTTTCTCTAGTTCCTTGAGGTGTGACCCTAGATTGTCTGTTTGTGCTCTTTCAGGCTTTTTGATGTAGGCATTTAGGGCTATGAACTTTTCTCTTAGCACTGCTGTATTAGTTTGTTTTCATGCTGCTGATAAAGACACACCTGAAACTGGGAATAAAGAGAGGTTTAATTGGACTTACACAGTTCCACATGGCTGGGGAGGCCTCAGAATCATGGGTGGTGGCAAAAAGCACTTCTTACATGGCGACGGCAAGAGAAAAAATGAGGAAGAAGCAAAAAGGGAAACCCCTGACAAACCCATCAGATCTCGTGAGACTTATTCACTTTCATGAGAACAGCACAGGAAAGACCGGCCCCTGTGATTTGATTACCTCCCCCAGGGTCCCTCCCAAAACATGTGAGAATTCTGGGAGATGCAATTCAAGTTTAGATTTGGGTAGAGTCACAGCCAAACCATATCATTCTGCTTCTGGCCCCTCCAAATCTCATGTCCTCACATTTCAAAACCAATCATGCCTTCCCAACAGTCCCCCAAAGCCTTAGCTCATTTCAGCATTAACCCAAAAGTCCATGGTACAAAGTCTCATCTGAGACAAGGCAAGTCCCTTCTGCCTATGAGCCTGTAAAATAAAAAACAAGCTAGTCGCTTCCTAGATACAATGTGGGTATAGGTATTGGGTAAATATAACTGTTCCAAATGGGAGAAATTGGCCAAAACAAAGGGGTTAAAGGGCCCATGCAAATCTGAAATCCAGTGGGCCAGTCAAATTTTAAAGCTCCAAAATGATCTCCTTTGACTTCAGGTCTCACATCCAGGTCAGAGTGATGCAAAAGATGGGTTCCCATCGTCTTGGGCAGCTCCACCCCTGTGGCTTTGTAAGTTACAACCACCCTCCCAGCTGCTTTCATGGGCTAGCATTGAGTGTCTGCAGCTTTTCCAGGCACATAGTGTAAGCTATTCATGGATGTACCATTTGGGGTCTGGAGGACAGTGGCCCTCTTCTCACAGCTCCACTAGGCAGTGTCCCAGTAGGAACTCTGTGTGGGGGCTCCGACCCCACATTTCCCTTTGGCACTGCCCTAGCAGATGTTCTCCATGAGGGCCCTGCCTCTGCTGCAAACTTGTGCTTGGGCATCCAGGCGTTTCCATACATCTTCTGAAATCTAGGCAGAGGTTCCCAAACCTCAATTCTTGACTTCTGTGTACCCACAGGCTCAACACCACATGGAAGCTGCCAAGACTTGGGGGGCTTCCACCCTCTGAAGCCACAGCCCAAGCTCTACATTGGCCCCTTTCAGCCATGGCTGGAGTGGGTAGGACACAAGGCACCAAGTCCCCATGCTTCACACAGTATGGGGACCCTGGGCCTGGCCCATGAAACCACTTTTTCTTCCTGGGCCTCTGGGCCTGTGATGGGAGGGGCCATCTCTGACATGGCCTGGAGACATTTTCCCCATGGTCTTAGGGATTAACATTGTGCTTCTTGTTACTTATGCAAATTTCTGCAGCTGGCTTGAATTTCTCCCCAGAAAATGGATTTTTCTTTTCTATTGCATAGTCAGGCTGCAAAATTTCCAAACTTCTATGCTCTGCTTCCCTTATAAAGCTGAATGCCTTTAACAGTACCCAAGTCACCTCTTGAATGCTTTACTGCTTGTAAGTTTCTTCTGTCAGATACCCTAAGTCATCTTTCTTAAGTTCAAAGTTCCAAAAATCTCTAAAGCAGGGGCAAAATACCACTGGA
Source organism: Homo sapiens (assembly GCF_000001405.40). Lineage (NCBI taxonomy): Eukaryota > Metazoa > Chordata > Mammalia > Primates > Hominidae > Homo > Homo sapiens. The sequence goes on from NC_000001.11 coordinate 31,474,042, forward strand.
CTTTTCACTAAAACTTAGTAACATCACATTTACTCCAGTTCCCAACAAGTTTTTCATCTGAGACAATCTCAGCCTGGATTTTATTGTCCATATCACTGTCAGCATTTTGGGCAAAGTCATTCAACAAGTCTCTAGGAAGTTCCAAACTTTCCCACATTTTCCCATCTTCTGAGCTCTCAAAACTGTTCCAATGTCTGCCTGTTACCCAGTTCCAAAGTTCCTTCCACATTTTCAGGTATCTTTTCAACAATGCCCACTCTACTGGTACCAATTTACTGTATAAGTTCGTTTTCATGCTGCTGATAAAGACACACCTGAGCCAGGTGCGGTGGCTTATGCCTGTAATCCCAGCACTTTGGGAGGCCAAAGCAGGTGGATCACGAGGTCAGGAGTTTGAGACCAGCCTGGCCAACATGGTGAAACCCTGACTCTACTAAAAATACAAAAAATTAGCTAGGCGTTGTGGCATGCACCTGTAATCCCAGCTACTCAGGAGACTGAGGCAGGAGAATCGCTTGAATGCAGGAGGCAGAGGTTGCAGTGAGCCGAGATTGTGGTATTGCACTCCAGCCTGAGGGATGGAGCAAGACTCTGCCTCGAGAGAAAAAAAAAAAAAAAAAGGACACACCTGAAACCGGGAACAAAAAGAGGTTTAATTGGACTTACACAGTTCCACATGGCTGGGGAGGCCTTGGGAGGTGAAAGGCACTTCTTACATGGCAGTGGCAAGAGAAAAATGAGGAAGAAGCAAACGCAGGAGCCCCTGATAAACCCATCAGATCTTGTGAGACTTATTCACTATCATGAGAATAGCACGGGAAAGACTGGCCCCCATGATTCGATTACCTAACCCTGGGTCCCTCCCAAAACACGTGAGAATTCTGGGAGATAAAATTCAAGTTGAGATTTGGGTGGGGTCACAGCCAAACCATATCAACCGCCTTTGCTGTATCCCAGAGGTGTTGATAGGTTGTGTCACTGTTATTGTTCAGTTTGAAGAATTTTTAAATTTCCATTTTGATATCATTGTTGACTCAACGATTATTCAGGAGCAGATTATTTAATTTCCATGTATTCGCATGGTTTTGAAGGTTCCTTTTGGAGTTGGTTTCCAGTTTTATTCTACTGTGGTCTGAGAGAGCACTTGATACAATTTCAATTTTCTTAAATTTATTGAGACTTGTTTTGTGGCCTGTCATAGGGTCTATTTGGAGAAAGTTCCATGCACTGATGAATAGAATGTATATTCTGTGGTTGTTGGGTAGAATGTTCTGTAAATATTTGTTAAGTCCATTTGTTCCAGGATATAATTTAAATCCATTGTTTCTTTGTTGACTTTCTGTCTTGGTGACCTATCTAGTGCTGTCAGTGGAGTATTGAAGTCCCCTACTACTATTGTGTTGCTGTCAATCTGATTTCTTAGGTATAGTAGTAATTGTTTTATAAATTTGGAACCTCCAGTGTTAGGTGCATGTATATTTAGGATTGTAATATTTTCCTGTTGGACAAGAGGTTTTATCATTACATAATGTCCCTCTTTGTCTTTTTAAATAGCTGTTGTCTTAAAGTTTGTTTTGTCTGATAAAAGAATAGCTACTCCTGCTCCCTTTTGGTGTCCATTTGCATGGAATGTCTTTTCCACCCCTTTAACTTAAGTTTATGTGAGTCCTTATGTGTTAGGGGAGTCTCTTGAAGGCAGCAGATAGTTGGCTGGTGGATTCTTACCCATTCTGCAATTCTGTATCTTTTAAGTGGAGCATTTAGGACATTTACATTCAATGTTAGTATTGCGAGGTGAGGCACTATTCCATTCATCATGCTATTTGTTGCCTGTACACTTTTTTTTAGTTGTATTTTTGTTTTATAGGTCCTGTGAGATTTATGCTGTAAAAGAGTTCTGTTTTGATGTGTTTCCAGGATTTGTTTCAAGAATTAGAGCTCCTTTTAGCAGTTCTTGTAGTGCTGGCTTGGTTGTGGTGAATTCTCTCAGCATTTGTTTGTCTGAAAAAGACTGTATATTTCCTTTATGTATGAAGCTTAGTTTTGCTAGATATGACCAATAATTATTTTGTTTAAGAGGCTGAATATAGGCCCCCAATCCCTTATTGGGATTGTAGGGTTTCTGCTGAGAAATCTGCTGTTAATTTGTTAGGTTTTCCTTTATAGGTTACCTGGTGCTTTTGCCTCACAGCCCTTAAGATTCTTTCCTTTGTCTTGACTTTAGATAACCTGATGATAATATGCCTAGGCGATGATCTTTTTGTGATTAATTTCCCATGTGTTCTTTGAGCTTCTTGTATATGGATGTCTAGGTCTGTAGCAAGACCGGGGATTTTCCTCGATTATTCCCCCAAATATGTTTTTCAAACTTTTAGATTTCTCTTCTTCCTCAGGAATGCCAATTATTCTTAGATTTGGTTGTTTAACACAACCCCAAACTCTCGGAGGCTTTGTTTATTTTTTCTTATTCTTTTTTCTTTGTCTTTCTTGGATTGGGTTAATTTGAAAAACTTGTCTTTGAGCTCTTTCTTCTGCTTGTTTGATTCTATCCCTGAGACTTTCCAGAACATTTTGTATTCTCTAACTGCATTTATTATTTCCTGAAGTTTTGATTGTTTTTTATTTATGCTATCTATTTCACTGAAGATTTCTCCCCTTGTTTCTTGTATCATTTTTTTGATTTCCTTAAATTGGACTTCACCTTTCTCTGGTGCCTCCTTGGTTAGCTTAGTAACTGACCTTCTGAATTCTTTTTCAGGTAAATCAGGGATTTCTTCTTGGTTTGGATCCATTGCTGGTGAGCAAGTGTGATTTTTGGGGGGGTATTAAAGAGCTTTGCTTTGTCATGTTACCAGAGTTGTTTTTCTGGTTCCTTCTCATTTGAGTAGGCTATGTCAGAGGGAAGATCTGGGGCTCAAGGCTGCTGTTCAGATTCCTTTGTCCCACGGGGTGTTCCCTTAATGTAGTACTCCCCCTTTTCCTAGGGATGTGGCTTCCTGAGAGCTGAGATGTAGTGATTGTTATCTCTCTTTTGGATCTAGCCACCCAGCAGGTCTACCAGGCTCCAGGCTGATACTGGGGGTTGTCTGCACAGAGTCTTGTGATGTGAACCATCTGCAGTTCTGTCAGCTGTGGATACCAGCACCTGCTCCAGTGGAGGTGGCAGGGGGTGAAATGGACTCTGTGAGGTTTCTTAGTTTTGGTTGTTTAATGCACAATTGTTGTGCTGTTTGGCCTCCTGCCAGGAGGTGGTACTTTCAAGAGAGCACCAGATGTGGTAGTACAGGGAGGATCAGGTGGTGGGCAGGGCCCGAGAACTCCCAAGAGTATATGCCCTTTGTCTTTAACTGCCAGGGTGGGTATGGAAGGACCATCAGGTAGGGGCAGGGCTAGGCATGTCTGGGCTCAGACTCTCCTTGGATGGGTCTTGCTGTGACTGCTGCGGCAGATGGGAGAGTGGTTCCCAGGTCAATGGAGTTATGTTCCCAGGAGGATTGTGGCTGCCTCTGCTGTGTCTTGCAGGTTGTCAGGGAAGTGGGGGAAAGCCAGCAGTCACAGGCCTTACTCAGCTCCCACACAACCCAAAAGGCCAGTCTCACTCACACCATGCTCCACCCCCAACGGCACTGAGTCTGTTTCCAGGCAGTGGGCAAGCAGCGCTGAGAATTTGCCCCAGGCTACCAGCTTCCCATCTGCGAAAGCAAACAGGGCTTTCGGGCCTCCCCGACCTGCGCAGTCTGCCCACCGGATTCATGTCCTCCCCCAAGTTCTGGCCAGGAGACTTTGCATTTGGTTGGAATTGCTACAAAGTCCAACTGAAGGTTTCCTTCTTCCTGTGGTCTTTTCCTAGTACCTCTGGCAGCCCTCCCCAAGGACCCCGTGAGATAATGCAGAAATGGCTTCTCAGGAGACCCAGAGAGCCCACAGGGCTTTTCCACTGCTTCCTTTACCCCTGTATTTTGCTGGGCTTTCCAAGTTGACTTAGCCCCGGGTAAGGTCAGAATCTTCTCCCGTGATCTAGACCTTCAGGTTCCCCAGTGAGGGTGTGTGTTCAGGCCAGATGATCCCTCATTCCCACTTCCACAGCTTGTGCACTCACAGTATTTGAAGTGTCTCCTGGGTCCTGTGGGAGCAATCTGCTTCCTTCAGAGGGTCTGTGGGTTATCTCAGCTTTTCTGGTTTATTCCTGCAGTAGTTCTGGAGCAAAAGTTCATGATGTGGGTCTCCACACACTGTTCTGTCTGTCCAAGTGGGAGCTGCAATCTGGTCCTGCCTGCCGTCTGCCATGATGTTCTTGAAAACCAACAAGTGCTTCTTAAATGCTGACGTATCATTTTCCCATGTCTGAGGTATGGAAGCAAGCAAAACAGACCAAAATTTCTGTTTCCATTGATTTCATTTTCTAGTAGAGATGCACAGATAATTTTTAAATGTAGACTATATAGTGTATTAAAAGGTGAAAAACACTATGAAATATAAAAACAGAATAAAATAATAAATAATAAAATAAAAATAATAAAAATAAAACAACCTGGGGGATGGAACGAGCCAGTGGTTCTTCATCTTTTCAGTGCCATAGGCCTCTGGCCACCTGGGGAAGCCAAAGGATCCCTTCTCAGAGTGTTTTTATTTTTGAATTAAATTAAATAAAAATTTATTATTATTACTATTAGAGATAGGTTCTCACTATATTGCCTAGGCTGGTCTTGAACCTCTGGCCTCAAGTGATCCTCCCATCTTGGCCTCTTAAAGTACTGGGATGACAGGCATAAGCCACCACACCAGGCCTCAGAATGTGTTTAAATGCACAAAGTAAAATGTATAAAATCACAGAGGAGGCTGGGTATGGTGGCTCATGCCTGTAATCCCAGCACTTTGGGAGGCCGAGGTGGGTGAATCACTTGAGGCCAGGAGTTCAAGACCAGCCTGGCCAACATGGCAAAACCTTGTCTCTACCCAAAATACAAAAATTAGCCGAGCATGGTGGCACACACCTGTAGTCCCAGCTACTCGGGGGGCTGAGGCAGCAGAATCACTTGAACTCAGGAGGTGGAGGTTGCAGTGACAGAGATTGCGCCACTGCCCTCCAACCTGGGTGACAGAGAGAGACTCTGTCTCAGAAAAAAATCACAGAGGAAACAGAGTGTATTAAAATATAGCTACCAAAATAATGAATAAACAAACTTCCAATAGAGTAATATACATTTTTGAATTAATACATTACTTAATAAGACAGTATATTATAAATATGGGCAAGTCAAAGTTTTAATTTGATTTTAAAATGACACATCAGTGAGGGTGGTTGCTACGCTTTAATACGAGTGTTAAACTGTGAAGTGCTCTTTGACTCACCTCCTTCCACTGATTGATAAACTAATGTGAATAGGGGATCCTGGAAAGCAATTAATGTGTCTGGGTCACCAGTGTGAGAATGTGAGACATCATTGTCCCATGGCAAAGAGTTGTCTGATATTGGCTAGCAACATTGCAGGGGCATCAGATGAAAAGACTTTGATCACCTGTATGCAGCAGGAAATGTAATAATTACCTTACTTTTGAGATGTCTGCAACAACTGTCATGTAATATGAATATCTGTGATTTCCTCTGGGTCACAAACACACACATATTGCTAATGTGACTGTGGATGTTTCTTGTATTCATAATCAAAGAAAATGACAAATGTCAATGGGACCCTGGTGAAAATAAAGATGCAATTACTTTCTTGTATGAGTTCATGTACCCCTTTGAATTCTGCCAGTGGTCTGCAGGTCAAGAATATAAGTCATTCATCACCAGCCCACCCAAAGGTGAGATCAGTGTTACCCAACTTCTAATAGCTGGAAAATTCTGGCATGAGAAGAAAAGATGACATAGAGGTTGGATGCTGGGGAGGCCCCAAAGCAGGATTCCTCCCCCACATTCCACTTCTGTGGTTCATTCATGAAAATGTTAGAATTGGTCATTTGTACTTCCCTTGCTTTACCATTGAAAGTCCCACATCCTGGGAAACCCATCTGTCTTGAGCAAACCAGGAAAGTTCATCTCCCTAGTCATACAGCCTTCTCTGTGATCTCTGGGCATAAGTGAGTTCATGAATTTTGCTTTATCCACGTGAACTTCCACTTACCCTGGTTATAAATTATACAGAGCAAAAATTGATAGACGCACAAGCAGAAATAAATAAACCTACAATTTGAGAAATTTAGATGTGCCTCTCTCAGTAAATGATATCAAACAGACAAAATGGGTAACAATAGAGAAATTTGAATGACATTTTCAACAATGAATGACATATAGAAAAGCAGGGAAATAGAAAGTGTTGGGAGCAAGCCCCCCAAAATCTGGCCATAAACTGGCCCCAAAACTGGCCATAAACAAAATCTCTGCAGCACTGTGATATGCTCATGATGGCCATGAAGCCCACACTGGAAGGTTGTGGGTTTACCGGAATGAGGGCAAGGAACACCTGGCCCACCCAGGGCAGAAAACTGCTTAAAGGCATTCTTAAGCCACAAATAATAGCATGAGCGATCTGTGCCTTAAGGACATGCTCCTGCTGCAGTTAACTAGCCCAACTAGTAAACTAACCATCCCTTTATTTCGGCCCATCCCTTTGTTTCCCATAAGGGATACTTTTAGTTAATTTAATATCCATAGAAACAATGCTAATGACTGACTTGCTGTTAATAAATACATGGGTAAATCTCTGTTCGGGGGTCTCAGCTCTGAAGGCTGTGAGACCCCTGATTTCCCACTTCACACCTCTATATTTCTGTGTGTGTGTCTTTAATTCCTCTAGTGCCAGTGAGTTAGGGTCTCCCAGACCGAGCTGGTCTCAGCAAGAAAACTTAAAAATTAGTAAGGCTAGTAGGACGTGGTGGCTCACACCTGTAATCCCAGCACTTTGGGAGGCCGAGGCAGGCGGATCATGAGGTCAGGAGTTTGAGACCAGCCTGGCCAATATGGTGAAACCCCATCTCTACTTAAAAAAAAAAAAAGAGTAAGGCTAATGACATTTTGTGGTGGCAAGATTCCTGGGAAAACAGGAATTCATAACTATCTAGGGCTATTATTTTGAAAGGAAATGTGGCAATATCTGGGAAATTTTAAGATGAGCACATCTATGATTCAGCAATTCCACTAATAGATGTTTATTGGGGACAAAACTCACCCATGTGCACAAGGAGACATTTCAGCCCTGTTCATAATAGCAAAAAGTCCAAAAGCCTAATCAGTGCTCAATTAAGGATGGGTAATTTGAGCCGGGTGCAGTGGTGTGCACTTGCAGTCCCAGCTACTCCAGAGGCCGAGGCAGGAGAATTCCTTGAGCCCAGGAGTTTGAGACCAGCCTGGGTGATACAGTGAAATGACGACAGTGACGATGACGGAGGAAGAGGAAGAGGAGGAGAAGAGGAAGAGGAAGAAGGAGAAGAAGAAGAAGAGAAGGAGGAGGAAGAGGAGAAGAAGAAGAAGAAGAAAGTAAAAGAACGGAGAAATGTATCATGCAAACAGAAATCACAAGAAAGCTGGTGTCGCTCTACTAATATTACAGAATAGACTTGAAAACAAAAAGATGATACTCTTTTAAAGAGAGACATTTTATAATCATAAAAGGGTCAATGTGTCAGGAAGATATAATAATCATAAACATATATGCACTTAACAACAGAGGCCAAATATATGTGAAGTAAAAACTGACAAATGAAGGGAGAACTAGGCAATTCAACAATAGTAGTTGAATACTTTCAATAATGAATACAATATCTTGGCAGAAGACCAACAATGAAATAGAAAACTTAAACTACACTATAAACCAAAAACTTAAACTACACTATAAACCAACTATACCTAAAATACATCTTTAGAACACTGCACCCAATAAATTATACAAGAAAAGAAAAATTGACCTTTGAACAACACGGGTTTGTGTTTGAACTCTGTTCATTCACTTATATGTTACTTTTCTGCTGCCTCTGCTACCCCTGATATGACAATACCAACCCTTCTCTCTTTCTCCCTCTTCCTCCTCCTCCTCAGCCAACTCAGCATGAACACAATGAGGATGAAGGCATTTATGATGACCCCACTTCCTCTTAATAAACAGTAAATATATATTATCTTCCTTGTGATTTTCTTAATAACATTTTCTTTTCTCTAGCTTATGTTATTGTAAGAATTCACTATATAATACATATAATGCACAAAAAAATGGGTAGATAACCTGAGGTTTATTCAAACAGTGGACTACTTTATAGTATTTGAAATAATTTAAGTAGAGTTACATGAACCAATAAGGATAAACTTAAAACACACTAAATACTGAAAAAAGAAGCAGGTTGCAAAATGATATGGTATGATACTATTTATTTTAAATTTTTAAGAACACACAAAATAATACTTTATATTGTCTATGGATACATACATAGGTGGTAGAAATACAAATGCATGCATGGCAATGATACTTATCAATTAAAAATTTTTCCTGTGGGGAATAAGGGAGAAAGGAAGGACTCCTGCCCATAGGACCACTAATGCTACTCTAACCCTAATCAGGACTGGGTACTGAGTGTGGGGAGATTCCCTCACCCCAGTTGGGAGTAGCCACAGGGTGTTAATCAGATTCCAAGGCAACCCTTGCTCTCTATCCATCGCACATGAATTTGAGCTTGTGATCTTGGGCACAACCCACAATCTCTGGACCTCGGTCAACCCATTTGTGAAACGAACTAAAGATATTTGCCCTGGAGAGTGGCAAACTCAGTGTCAACCTTCACACTGTCAGAAGCAAATGGGGAAGATAATCTAGACTGCCTTGTACTGTGTGGCTTTGTAGCAGCACAAGCTGCAGACAAAGCCTCTCAGACACCGAGTTGTAGAAGGAAGGGCTTTATTCAGCTGGGAGCATCGGCAAGCTACTGCCTTAAAATCTGAGCTCCCCGAATGCACAATTTCTGTCCCTTTTAAGGGCTCACAACACTAAAGATTTCACATGAAAGGGTCGTGATTGATTTGAGCAAGCAGGCAGTACATGACAGGGGCCACATGCACTGGTGGTCAGAGAGAAACAGAACAGGGCAGGGAGTTTCACAATGTTCTTCTATATGATGTCTAGAATCTATGAATAACATCGGTTTCTAAGTTATGAGTTGATTTTTAACTACTGGGTTTAGGCCAGGCAGGCCCAGGCCTGGTTTTTGGCCTGGCGCCGGGCTGCCTGTCTTTGGTTTTACTTCCTTGTCGTTTTTTCTTAAAACGGGTACTGAGTATAAAACAATATCAGAGGGTCTCTCTCTTCCCTCAGCTTCACTGTCAAGTAAGAATTTCTCTCCCCAGGGGAAGCAGATGGAATTAAAACATGGTGATTATTCTTAAACACCTCACGCAACGGCTGCTACACACCATCTGTGAAGTCAGTTGCAGATCTATGATGAGGAAGTAGAATCATGTGGTCCCCAGGCCCTTTGCTGAAATGTCTTTCTGCTGGGTAATTAATTACGTGGTGTTGAAATGCTCTGCGTCAACTCCCTTTGGTTTAGTCATCATGCTTGCTTAATGTTCTGTTAATGTCCATGCTGCTTTCTAGGAACTTGCACATCAGCATCGCTGTCCAGGTTAAAGGAATTTGCAATGTCCCCGTAGGCCCTGAATTTCTACCCTGAATGAAACAATGAAAAGGGGGTGACCATACTCTCATCTTCCCCAGCTTCCTGGTTGCTGCAGTGTAGGGGGTTGGCTGTGGGTGGTGGGTAATGAATCCCTGTTGGCTCCTATTGCCAAACAGACTGATTACACATCAGCTCTGATAACTGACGGATCCCACCCTCAGACAAAAGCAAGAAAATGTGGGTAGCAGTTTGCATTGTAATTAGTAGGGAATAAAAGGCTCTAAGTGCCTCATGATTTCTGGTTCATTGGAATTGAAAACAAAGTAAGGTCTGGTACTGAGGGAGAGTCAGTCCCTATTTGGTTGACCCCAAAACATTTGCAATTAGATTTGCTGGATCTGGGATCCCAAGAGATTTTGAACCATGGGGTGGGAAGCCACCAAATTCAAATTCTTGATGGCATGATGGGCTTGATCCATGGGGAATGGGGCTCCCCCAACCCCTTTCTGCTGCCACCAACAGCTGAGGCTGGTGTTGGGGAAGAAGAACCCAACAGTCCAGCAGGCAGAGGCAGCAAGTCACTGGTAGGCTGTCCTCAGTAAGATCTTGTCTCTGCTCAGCAGCCCCAAGTGGATGAGTATTTTGTTTTTTATTGTGGCAAAATATACATAACATAAAATTTACCATTTTAACCCTTTTTGAGTATATTACTAGGTGGTATTAAGCACATTCATGTTGTTATGCACCCATCACCACCACCCATCAACAGATTTTTTTTTTTTTTTGGGAAGGAGTCTCACTCTGTCGCCCAGGCTGGAGTGCAGTGGCAGGATCTCGGCTCACTGCAAGCTCTGCCTCCTGGGTTCAAGCGATTCTCCTGCCTCAGCTTCCCGAGTAGCTGGGACTACAGGCGCCTGCCACCATGCCTGGCTAATTTTTTTGTATTTTTAGTAAAGACAGGGTTTCACCGTGTTAGCCAGGATGGTCTCTATCTCCTGACCTCGTGATCAGCCCACCTCAGCCTGCCAAAGTGCTGGGATTACAGGTGTGAGCCACCACACCTGGTCTGAATTTTTTTGGGGGTGGTGGCTCATGCCTGTAATTCCAGCACTTTGGGAGGCTGAGGTGGGTGGATCACGTGAGGACAGGAGTTTGAGACCAGCCTCGCCAACATGGCGCAACCCCGTCTCTACTAAAAATTAGCCGGGTGTGGTGGTGGGCACCTGTAATCCCAGCTACTCTGGAGGATGAAGCAGGAGAATCACTTGAACCCGGAAGGCGGAGGTTGCAATGAGCTGAGATGGTGCCATTGCACTCCAGCCTGGGTGATGGAGGTGGGGATAGGGGAGGGGGGAACTCCGTCTCAAATAAATAAATAAAAAGAACATTTCAAAGTAAGGACATCCTGTCACATAACCTCTAATTATTTCAGCAAGCATCTCTTTAAAAAAAAGGACACTCTCCTACATAACCGCATGGTTATTATCCCACCTAAAAAAGTAACAGCAATTCCCTAATGTCATGTAAATTCCAATGCAAATTTCCTCAATTTCCCTCCAAATGTCTTGTATAGCTGATGTTTTCAAACTATGCTCTAATCACTAACCACACATTGTAGTTAATTGTTGTATGTCTGAATTCTCTTGGTTTCCCCTTCTGCTTGTTTCTACGAGGCTGGGAGGGTTAAATTGCATAACATCCCGCTTTCTGAATGGGCCTAATTATTTCCACTTGATGTTCCTTCATCTCCCGTATCTTCTATAAACTGAGATAAATGTCTGTAAGCTTGATTTGATTTAAGCAGAACAGCCTTGGCAAGAGTAAATACTTCATGGGTGGCGATGAACTTCACCTTGAAACATGACTACTCCTTGGCAAAGCTGAATGTGACACCTCTGTGTGCCCTGGGCGGGGGTTCCCAAGTAGGACAATGCAAAACGACTCCAAATAATTCATCTTATTAGAAATGCAAGTGTTTTAAAATCACACGTTTTGTATTGTAAGAATTGTGTTATGCAGTTCTTCTTCAGAAAAGGTTTTTCCTTGAAGGGCTAGAGCTGGCAGGTTAACACCAAAAACTAAAATAAAATGAGAGACGCTTCAGTGAAAACACTAAGGACAATTGTTATTAGAGAATGTGGAAATCTTGAAAAAGAAAAGGGAGAAGGGTTCTAGGAGAGTTTAAAATTGTATATTTAAATAACATCCAAATAGTATTGTGAAAATGACAAACTATAGAGTTTCACATAAATTTTCAATGTGGAATTTGATATCATATTACATAAATCAATGCGATATGTGTTATATATGTGTTATGTTATAATTTAACCACATTATAACAATATTTTAAAAATAATGTTGAATATTGGCTATCTTTTCTGTCATTTCCTTTTTTTGAGATTTCAACAAATTTACTCAATATTGATGTAAATACATGAAATTTCATATGTAATGCATGGCCTTTAGTATCATAGGATTTGGCCTTCTAAAGTAAATCACAGGTAAACAAAAGCATGCTGCATTTCCAAACTAACCAACAGTGTTGCAATCTAATATGGCTTGGCTCTGTGTTCCCACCCAAATCTCATCTTGAATTGTAATCCCCATGTGTCGAGGGAGGGAGGTGATTGGATCATGGAGAAAGTTTCCCCCATGCTGTTCTCATGATAGTGAGTGAGTTTGCACGAGATCTGATGGTTTCATAAGGGGCTCTTCGCTCTCTGCTCAGACTCTCTCCTGCCGTCTTGTAAAGAAGGTGCCTGCTTCCCCTTCTACCATAATTGTAAGTTTCCTGAGGCCTTCTCAGCCATGCAGAACTGTGAGTCAATTAAACCTCCTTTGTTTATAAATTACCCAGTGTCAGAGTACTATCTTTATAGCAATGTAAGAATGAACTAATACACAATTCAACAGAGCCCTCCCATAGCTTTTCACTAGGTACCTGAAGCAAGATTCCTCCTGCTTAGAAATAGGTGGAGGCTGGGCATGGTGGCTCATGCCTGTAATTCCAGCACTTTGGGAAGTCGAGGTGGGCGGATTACCTGAGGTCAGGAGTTTGAGACCAGCTTGGCCAACATGGTGAAACCCTGTCTCTACTAAAAATACAAAAATTAGCCAGGCATGTTGGTGTGCGCCTATAATCCCAGCTACTCGGGAGCCTGAGGGAGGAGAATAGATTGAACCTTGGGGGCAGAGGTTGCAGTGAGCCGAGATCACGCCACTGCACTCCAGCCTGGATGACAGCAAGATTCCATTTCAAAAAAAAATAGGTGGGGGAAGACACCCTCAAATTAACCCAGAAAAAAAAATGGTAACTCAGAATTATATTCTCATAAGGTTTCACAGCTGCTCAACACCAGAAATAGATTATGAAGTCTTTTGCCTAAGCACTTCTATAAAAGTTTCAGTGTTGACCAAAAGAAGACACAGTTTTCTCATTAAACTTTGTCTTGATGGGTCTCAAAATTCTGTGACAGATTTTTGGTCAAGTTGTTTCCATTAAAAATTACTGATTTTGAAAACTAATGACTTGCCAGGTGCAGTGGCATGTCTGTAATTCCAGGTACTCAGAAGGTTGAGGTGGGAGAATTGCTTGAACCCAGGAGGCGGAGGTTGCAGTGAGCTGAGATGGTGCCACTGTACTCCAACCTGGGCAACAGAGTGAAACTGTGTCTCAAAAAACAAAACAAAACAAAACCAAAACCAAAACCAAAACCGAAACCAAAACCAAAAAATCTGATTACTGAAAATTGCCACACGAAAACAAAACAAATATGATTCATAAAATATTCTCCTTCCCTTCTGAATCTTTTATGATGTATTATTATCATTAACCAGTCTTTTACTATTAAACTTAAATGGCCAATTGAAGCAAACTGTTCTAGACAGTTCTTCCATGACTGATTAAGACTTGGGTGGCAGGTACTAGGGATAATGTTCATTTAGCCTTCCGAGCTTTCTGGGCAGGCTTGGTGACCTTGCCAGCTCCAGCACCCTTCTTGTCCACTGCTTTGATGAAACCAACAAACGGCAAAAGGACTCAGGGGAGCTCGTCAGAAAAGCTCTCAACACACATGGGGTTGCTAGAAACCATATCCATGGTGGAAGCATCACCTGATTTTAAGAATTTAAATCTTCCAGCTTCTTACCAGAACAGCAATCAGTCTTTTTCTTCAGCCCAGCAAACTTACAAGCAATGTGAGCTGTCTGACAATTCAGCACAGGGCCACAATCAGTACTGATATGGCCTGGGTGGTTCAGGATAATCACCTGAGCAGTGAAGTCAACTGCTTCCACAGGTGGGTCATTTATGCTGTCACCAGCAACATTGCCACAACGAACATCTTTGACAGACACATTCTTGACATCGAAGCCCACATTGTCCCCAGGAAGAGCTTCACTCAAAGCTTCATGATGCATTTCAACAGACTTCCCTTCAGTTGTAACATTGACTGGAGCAAAGGTGACTACTGTGCCGGGCTTGAGAACACCAGTCTCCGCCCAGCCCATAGAGACAGTACCAATATCACCAATGTTGTAGACATCCTGGAGAGGCAGACGCAAGGACTTGTCAGTTGGATGAGCTGGTGGCAGGATGTAATTCAGAGCTTCAGGCAGCATGGTTCCACTGTCATTGCCATCATTACGGGTGACTTTCCATCCCTTTAACCCAGGCATGTGAACCCTTGGCACCAGCATGCTGTCACAGTTCCAAACAGAAATTGGCACAAATGCTACTATTCAGGGGATAGGGGTTGTAGTCAATTTTCTTAATGTGAGTGCTGATTTTCTTAATGACTTCCTTGTGTCTTTTCTGGCTGTAGGGTGGCTCGGTGGAATCCATTTTAACACCAACAATTAGTTGTTTCACACCCAGGGTGTAAGTTAGAAGGGCATACTCATGAGTCTGCTCATTCTTGGAGACACCAGCTTCAAATTCACCAACACCAGCAGCAACAATCAGGACAGCACAGTCAGCCTAAGATGTGCCTGTAATGACATTTTCGATAAAGTCTCTGTGTCTTGGGGCATCAATGTTAGTCATGTAGTACTCGCTGGTCTCAACTTTCCATGGGGAGATGGTGACGTCAATGGTGACATCACACTCTTGCTGAGCTTTCAGTGTGTGCAAGACCCAGGCTTATTTTAAAGGAGCCTTTTCCCATCTCAGCAGCCTCGTCTGTGACCAAAAGAAGACACAAGTTTTTCTACCATTCTTTTATCAACTCCACCACATTTGGAGATCAGATGGCCAGTAGTGGTGGACTTGCCTGAATCTATGTGTCCAATGATGACAATGTTGACAAGAATATTTTTCCTTTCCCATTTTGGCTTTTTGGAGTGGTTTTCATGATACCTGTGTTCTGGCAGCACACCCATTCCAAGAAAGCTCTTCTCTGACATTCTTGAGTGGTTTGAGGAGGGTAGGGCTTTATAACACTGAGGTGATACACATTATGTGTTTCTGAAGCCTCTAGAAGACTAGAGTTCACCCCTGAAATGACTTATAACAAAAGAATAAATAATGGCATTATTAAAAGGAAATTTATAAACATGAGGTTCAAGTAGTTCAAATAGTGGGATTGAGATAAAGAAAGCTAGATGCATATGTTCAGCCCCTCCATGGGGCTAGAACTGAAGGAAACTTTTAGAGAAAACTTCAGAAGCAGATCTTTGTCTTTATTTTTTCCTTTTATCATTGTTCTCTACATATCTAGTGCATGGAGACTATTTGTGACACTAGGTGCTCTTGTTCTCTGCCTTCTCTGGGGTTCCTGGAAGCCCTTCCTCACCTGTTCAGAATAGTCCAGCTCCTTCCCACCCTTGCACATCCCATTTAGTAGAGTGAAAGCCTGCATTGCCATCACTCAAGTAGGCCCTCAAGGGACCCACTCTGCCTCCAAGTGACTTTTCAATGTTTCCTTTGTGATATGGTTTGGCTGTGTCCCCACCCAAATGTCATCTTGAATTGTAGATCCCATAATTCCCATGTGTCATGGAAGGGATCCAGTGGGAGGTAATTGAATCATGGGGGTAGGTCTTTCCTATGCTGTTCTCATGATAGTAAATAAGTCTCGTGAGATCTGATGGTTTCATAAAGGGGAGTTCCCCTGCACATGCTCTCTTGCCTGCTGCCATGTAAGACGTGACTTTGCTCCTCATTCATCTCCCGCAATGGTTGAACTAACTTACATTCCTACCAACAGTGTACAAGCATTCCTATTTCTCCACAGCCTCACTAGCATCTGTTGTTTCTTGACTTTTTAATAATTGCCATTCTGACTGGTGTGAGATGGTATCTCATTGTGGTTTTGATTTGCATTTCTCTAATGATCAATGATGTTGAGCTTTTTTTCATGTTTCTTGGCCAATAGATGTCTTCTTTTGAGAAGTGTCTGTTCATATCCTTTGCCCACTTTTTGATGGGGTTGTTTGTCTAACTATTTTTTTACACTCATCAACCATACCCACCTCCCCCACCAGCCCTCCATTACCCTTGTCAGCCTCTGGTAACCATCCTTTTACTCTCTATGTCCGTGAGTTCAATTGTTTTTGATTTTTGTTTAGATCTCACAAATAAGTGAGAACATGAGGAGTTTGTCTTTCTGTGCCTAGCTTATTTCACTTAACATAATGATCTTCAGTTCCATCTATGTTGTTGCAAATGACAGGATCTCATTCTTTTTTACAGCTGAATAGTACTCCATTGGGCATATGTACCACATTTTCTTTTTCCTTTCATCTGTTGATGGACACTTAGGTTGTTTCCAAATCTTGGCTGTTGTGAACAATGCTGCAATAAACATGGGAGTGCAGATATCTCTACCATATACTGATTTCCTTTCTTTTGGGTATATATCCTGCAGTGGGATTGCTGGATCATGTGATAGCTCGATTTTTAGTTTTTTGAGGAACCTCCAAACTGTTCTTCATAGTAGTTGCACTAATTTACATTCCCACCAACAGTGTACCAGGGTTCTCTTTTCTCTACATCCTTGTCAGCATTTGTTATTGCCTGTCTTTTGGATATAAGCCATTTTAACTGGGGTGAGAGGATATCTCATTGTAGTTTTGATTTGCATTTCTCTGATGACTAAAGACGTTGAGCACCTTTTCATATGTCTGTTTGTCATTTGTATGTCATCTTCTGAGAAATGTCTATTCAGATCTTTTGCTCTTTTTGACTGGATTATTTGATTTTTTTTCCTATAGAGTTGTTTGAGATCCTTATATATTCTGGTTATGAATCTCTTGTCAGATGGATAGTTTGCAAATATTTTTTCCCATTCTGTGGGTTGTCTCTTCACTTTGCTGATTGTATCCTTTGCTGTGCAGAAGCTTTTTAACTTGTTATCCCATTTGCCCATTTTTGCTTTGGTTGCCTGTGCTTGTGGGGTATTGCTCAAGAAATTTTGGCCATAATAATATCCTGAAGATTTTCCCCATCCTATGATATTTTAATCCTCCTTAAAACTCAGTGCTCCAGGAAGCTTCCTGACTGACCAATGCCTGGGTCCAGTTATTTTATTTATTTATTTTGAGATGGAGTCTCGCTCTGTTTCCCAGGCTGGAGTTTGGTGGTGTGATCTTGGCTCACTGCAATCTCCACCTCCCAGGTTCAAGCGATTCTCCTGCCTCATCCTCCAGAGTAGCTGGGATTACAGGTGTGTGCTACCACACCTGGCTACTGGGTCTAGTTCTGATCACCTCCCACTGTTCCCTGTAAGTAAAGTGAACTTTTCCAAAGGAGGCATGTATTGAGCTGAATGGGTTAACTGATGCTGCAGTAACAAACAACCCTCACATTTCAGTACTTAAACTAATAAGGTTGTGATTGCCTCAAACTATATCCCTATGAAGGGAGAGAGCTGGGGGCCCTGCTCTCTGCTGTCCCCACCCTAGGAACTGGGCTGATAGAGTAACCACTGGCTGCTGACTGCTTCTGCAAAGGGACAGAGCGCATGGTGAATTAACACTGGCTCTTAAAGCTTCCTACTGGCGGTAACATCACTTTACTCACATTTCATTAGCCAAAGCAAGCCACGTGGCCATATCCCATTTCAAGGGGGAGGAATATAATAGACCTTATTATTGCCAGAATGTTTGCTGTCCCCACCTGTGGAAGGATTATAATTCTTTCCTCATTAACATCTGGCCTAGCCACATGACTTGCTTTGGCTACTGGTCTTCAAGTAGAAATGTGCCATGAGGGACTGACTGCTCCCTTAGCCTGAGTCCTGGAGATGATGGAACAGAGCAAAACTGATCCACATGGGAACACTGCATGAGTGAGAAAGAAGTCTTTGTAGTTATAAGCTCCTATGATTTGGGGATAGTTTGTTACTGCAGTATAACTTAACTTACACTGATGGCCTCAGTGGGGAAGTATAATTTTACCCCGTGATCAAGAGGAGACTTGGAAACGGCTAATGGGCAGCACTCATGACGAGCACATAGTGCCATTTGAATTGAAAACTGGAGAGAATAGCAGCTGGCTAGGCTGGAGGGAAAGGGTTTCTGAAAGAAGGACGCATGATTGCAGAGGTTTGGAACAGAGAGGGATGCAGTAAGTGGTGGGTATATGATAGGAAGGGTAGACTGGCAGGGACAGATGCCATCTGTTCTCTTGAGATTGACTGTTAGGTTTGGCCTGCATCAGACCCAGATCTAAGGTCACCTTTGAGATGACTTTTGTCAGTTCTGGTAGTAATTTGATTTGGATGAGGTCTTACCCCTCTCTGACCTTACAGATGCCTCTCTTAAACAGGCATAATAATAGTCACTTCTCAATGTTGTTGTGTGCTGAGACCAGTTCGGTCGGGGAGACCCTAACCCAGTGGCTCTAGAGGAATTAAAGACACACACACAGAAATATAGAGGTGTGAAGTGGGAAATCAGGGGTCTCACAGCCTTCAGAGCTGAGAGCCTCGAACAGAGATTTACCCACGTATTCATTAACAGCAAGCCAGTCATTAGCATTGTTTCTATAGATATTAGATTAACTAAAAGTATCCCTTATGGGAAACAAAGGAATGGGCCGAAATAAAGGGATGGGTTGGGCTAGTTATCTGCAGCAGGAGCATGTCCTTAAGGCACAGATCGCTCATGCAATTGTTTGTGGTTTAAGAATGCCTTTAAGCAGTTTTCCACCCTGGGTGGGCCAGGTGTTCCTTGCCCTCATTCTGGTAAACCCACAACCTTCCAGCGTGGGCATCATGGCCATCATGAACAAGTCACAGTGCTGCAGAGATTTTGTTCATGGCCAGTTTTGGGGCCAGTTTATGGCCAGATTTTGGGGGGCCTGTTCCCAACAGTTGTGAATACTATTCAATGAGTTAAGCACTGGTGGAAGAAGCCTGGGGTCTGGAATCAGACAGACCCATGTTTGAATCCTGGCTCTGCCACTTACTGACAACCATGGAAATTCTTCATTTTAAACATCTGTAAGCCTCTGATTTTTCATCTGTAAAATGGAGATGATGATTAGTGCTTCATGGGATTGTTATGAGGATGATAAGAAATAGTGAAATTATGCAATGCATAATTTATAAAGATTCCATATTCATTAATCCAACATGGGAGTCATAGAAATGTTGGACCTGGTTTATTTTTCTTCTGATCCTTGCTACAAAACAGATGATAGTTTTTATACATTTAAGGCAAAATAACATTGGCATCTTATTTTTGTGAAATATCTCCCTTAAGGTGAAGCTTCAGATATTGCACATAAAGAAGACCTTTAATAGCATAGTTAAAGAAAAACTGAAGTATTTTTTACTTTATTCACATGGCCATCCCAGGGCCTAAAGGGTCTAACCCCCATTGTTGGCTAGTCACCCTTGAATTCCAACTCCATGCTTAGTTCATAGGATCAAACTTGTTGCTTTGTTTGTAGTGATGTTCCAGAAGAAATGAGGATATAATCAGGCAGAATGAGCTGAAAACTATTTACCCACCAGAGCTCTGCACAAGCCGGTCACAGCCCTCTGAGAAAGATAGAGCTGTCAGAGCCATTTGCTAAGAACTTTCTGCTAACATGTGTATCAGGCAGATGAGGCCAGGAACAGTCCTCTAACCCCAGGGATTTCAATTAACACGGTTTAAACTAAGATCTTTACTTAGATTATCTCATTTAATCCTCAAAACAATGCTGGTATCAAACACTAACATATTAATTCCATTTTTCAGATGAGGAAATGGAGGATCAGGAAAGGTGACATAATTTTATTAGAAGCTGGGATTCAGAAGAAGAACACAATCTCTGCATTAAATAACTTATTAAGGTTTTATAGTCAAGGGAACTGAAACCTGAGTGGCTTATTCAGGCCACAATATCCTTTTAGTTAATCCCCAGGTGTCCTAACTCCCAGGAAGAGCTGAGTTTTATATTTATGAATATACACAAATTATAAATCAGGTGCCACCAAACCTGATGATCTTTCACAAGTGTGATCTCTTGTGTCACATCCAAGCTTAGAAAGTAATTCTTTTAAAGATACTTTAGTCAATTCTCTCTCTCTTTTTTTTTTTTTTTTTGAGATGGAGTCTTGCTCTGTCACCCAGGCTGGAGTGCAGTGGCATGATCTCTGCTCACTGCAACCTCTGTTCCCTGGGTTCAAGCGATTCTCCTGCCTTAGCTCCTCAAGTAGCTGGGACTACAGGTGTGCGCCACCACGCCTGGCTAATTTTTTTGTATTTTTAGTAGAGACAGGATTTTGCCATGTTGGCCAGGTTGGTCTCAAACTCCTGGCCTCAAGTGATCTGCCCTCCTCGGCCTCCCAAGGTGCTGGGATTACAGGCATGTGCCACTGCACCTGGCTGATTTTTTAAATCCCAGCACTTTGGGAGGCCTGGAATC
Organism: Homo sapiens; assembly: GCF_000001405.40. Taxonomy (NCBI): domain Eukaryota; kingdom Metazoa; phylum Chordata; class Mammalia; order Primates; family Hominidae; genus Homo; species Homo sapiens. The sequence goes on from NC_000001.11 coordinate 31,494,506, forward strand.
CTAGCACTTTGGGAGACCAAGGCAGGTGGATTGTCTGAGCTCAGGAGTTCGAGATCAGCCTGGGCAACATGGTGAAACCCTGTCTCTACTAAAATACAAAAAATTAGATGGATGTGGTGGCGGGTCCCTGTAATCCCAGGTACTCAGGAGGCTGAGACAGGAGAATCGCTTGAACTCAAGAGGCAGAGATTGCAGTGAGCCGAGATCATGCCATTGCACTCCAGCCTGGGAGACTGAGTGAGACTCTGTCTCAAAAAATATATATATATATATAATATATATATTATATATATATAATATATATATTATATATATTATATATAATATATATATTATATATATTATATATATTATATATAATATATATATTATATATATATTATATATATTATATATAATATATATTATATATATTATATAATATATATAATATATATATTTTATATATATTATATATAATATATATATTTTATATATATTATATATAATACATGTATATATAATATATTTTATATATATTATATATAATACATGTATATATAATATATTTTATATATATTATATATAATACATGTATATATTATATATTTTATATATATATTTAACTTTTTTAATAAGAGAATAACTGGTGATCCTGGACCCCCCTGGATGGATGCAGAGATTGTGCAATCTGTTTTTTGTTTTGTTGTGTTTTGGTTTTTTTAATTTAATTTTTTTATTATTATACTTTAAGTTCTAGGGTACATGTGCATAACGTGCAGGTTTGTTACATATGCATACATGTGCCATGTTGGTGTGCTGCACCCATTAACTCGTCATTTACATTAGGTATATCTCCTAATGCTATCCCTCCCCACTCCGCCCACCACACAACAGGCTCCGGTGTGTGATGTTCCCCACCCTGTGTCCAAGTGCTCTCATTGTTCAATTCCCACCTATGAGTGAGAACATGCGGTGCTTGGTTTTTCGTCTTTGCAATAGTTTGCTGAGAATGATGGTTTCCAGCTTCATCCATGTCCCTACAAAGGACATGAACTCATCCTTTTTTATGGCTGCATAGTATTCCATGGTGTATATGTGCCACATTTTCTTAATCCAGTCTATCATTGATGGACATTTAGGTTGGTTCCAAGTCTTTGCTGTTGTGAATAGTGCCACAATAAACATACGTGTGCATGTGTCTTTATAGCAGCATGATTTATAATACTTTGGGTATATACCCAGTAATGGGATGGCTGGGTCAAACCATATTTCTAGTTCTAGATCCTTGAGGAATTGCCACACTGTCTTCTACAATGGTTGAACTAGTTTACAGTCCCCCCAACAGTGTAAAAGTGTTCCTATTTCTCCACATCCTCTCCAGCACCTGTTGTTTCCTGACTTTTTAATGATCACCATTCTAACTGGTGTGAGATGGTATCTCATTGTGGTTTTGATTTGCATTTCTCTGATGGCCAGTGATGATGAGCATTTTTTCATGTGTCTGTTGCCTGCATAAATGTCTTCTTTTGAGAAGTATCTGTTCATATCCTTTGCCCACTTGTTGATGGGGTTGTTTGTTTTTTTCTTGTAAATTTGTTCGAGTTCTTTGTAGATTCTGGATATTAGCCCTTTTTCAGACGAGTAGATTGCAAAAATTTTCTCCCATTCTGTAGGTTGCCTGTTCATTCTGATGGTAGTTTCTTTTGCTGTGTAGAAGCTCTTTAGTTTAATTAGATCCCATTTGTCAATTTTGGCTTTTGTTGCCATTGCTTTTGGTGTTTTAGACATGAAGTCCTTGCCCATGCCTATGTCCTGAATGGTATTGCCTAGGTTTTCTTCTAGGGTTTTTATGGTTTTAGGTCTAACATTTAAGTCTTTAATCCATCTTGAATTAATTTTAGTATAAGGTGTAAGGAAGGGATCCAGTTTCAGCTTTCTACATATGGCTAGCCAGTTTTCCCAGCACCATTTATTAAATAGGAAATCCTTTCCCCATTTCTTGTTTTTGTCAGGTTTGTCAAAGATCAGATGGTTGTAGATGTGTGGTATTATTTCTGAGGACTCTGTTCTGTTCCATTGGTCTATATCTCTGTTTTGGTACCAGTACCATGCTATTTTGGTTACTGTAGCCTTGTAGTATAGTTTGAAGTCAGGTAGCGTGATGCCTCCAGCTTTGTTCTTTTGGCTTAGGATTGTCTTGGCAATGCAGGCTCTTTTTTGGTTCCATGTGAACTTTAAAGTAGTTTTTTCCAATTCTGTGAAGAAAGTCATTGGTAGCTTGATGGGGATGGCATTGAATCTATAAATTACCTTGGGCAGTATGGCCATTTTCACGATATTGATTTTTCCTATCCATGAACATGGAATGTTCTTCCATTTGTTTGTATCCTCTTTTATTTCATTGAGCAGTTGTTTGTAGTTCTCCTTGAAGAGGTCCTTCACATCCCTTGTAAGTTGGATTCCAAGGTATTTTATTCTCTTTGAAGCAATTGTAAATGGGAGTTCACTCATGATTTGGCTCTCTGTTTGTCTGTTATTGGTGTATAAGAATGCTTGTGATTTTTGCACATTGATTTTGTATCCTGAGACTTTGCTGAAGTTGCTTATCAGCTTAAGGAGATTTTGGGCTGAGACGATGGAGTTTTCTAAATATACAATCATGTCATGTGCAAACAGGGACAATTTGACTCCCTCTTTTCCTAATGAATACCCTTTATTTCTTCCTCCTGCCCGATTGCCCTGGCCAGAACTTCCAACACTATGTTGAATAAGAGTGGTGAGAGAGGGCGTCCCTGTCTTGTGCCAGTTTTCAAAGGGAGTGCTTCCAGTTTTTGCCCATTCAGTATGATATTGGCTGTGGGTTTGTCATAAATAGCTCTTATTATTTTGAGATATGTCCCATCAATACCTAATTTATTGAGAGTTTTTAGCATGAAAGGCTGTTGAATTTTGTCAAAGGCCTTTTCTGCATCTATTGAGATAATCATGTGGTTTTTGTCTTTGGTTCTGTTTATATGCTGGATTACTTTTATTGATTTGCATATGTTGAACCAGCCTTGCATCCGAGGGATGAAGCCCACTTGATCATTAAAAATATGGAACGCTTCACGAATTTGCGTGTCATCCCTGTGCAGGGGCCATGATAATCTTCTCTGTATCGTTCCAATTTTAGTGTATGTGCTGCCGAAGCGAGCACACAATCTGTTTTTTTAAACAACTTTGTTGAGATATGATTCATATACCATAAAATTTGACCTCTCAAAGCATACAATTCAGTGGTTTTTAGCATGTTTGCCAAGTCGAGCAGCCATCATCTCTATCTAATTGCAGAATATTTTCACCACCGCAGAAGGAAACCCTGTCCCCACTAGCAGGCCCTCCCCATTCCTCTCTCCCCTTTCCCCAGTCATAGGCAACCACAAATCTACTCTCTGTCTCTGTGGACTTGTATATTCTGGATATTTTATATAAATGGAATCATATGATCATATATATATTTATTTATTTAACTTTTTAAACCATTTCACTTTTATTCTATTGAGAAGTGAGGTTCCAAACAGACTTTACTTTCCAAACTGTTTACCTATTGTCCCAGCACCACTTCTCTGTCCCCTTCACCTTCTTTGGTGATTGGTGATATGTTCCAGTTTTTGCTATCAGCTCTGCTTCTGGGCCCTCAATTCTGCCCCATTGATGTTTCTGTTCAGGATACCTACAGGGTGTGAAGTCAGATAGGAGTTGATCTAAATCCCAGATCTCATATGTTAGCTGTGACATCCATTTATTAATTTATCCTACAAATATTTACTGAATTCTGTGCCAAGGCTTTTTTTTTTTTTTTTTTTGAGACATGGTATCTATTGCCCAGGCTGGAGTGCTGGAGTGAAGTGGCATGATCACAGCTCACTGCAGCCCCAACCTCCTGGGCTCAAGCCATCCTCCTGCTCAGTCTCCCAAGTAGCTGGGACCACAGGCGTGTGCCACCACAGCCAGCTAATTTTTGTATTTTTTTGTAGAGACAGGGTTTTGCCATGTTGCCCAGGCTGGTCTCCAACTACTGGGCTCAATCTATCCACCCACCTTGGCCTCCCGAAGTGTTGAGATTACAGGCATGAGTCACCACGCCCCGGCCCAAGTCTTAACCTAGGCACTGGGGACCCAGCAATGCAGATTTGGTCCCTGTTTTAAGCAGAGGGACCAATACAATCTGGCAGGGAAAGTTCCTATGGATAGAAACACAGACACAAACAGCAGCGGTGAGAGTGAGGCAGTTTGTATATATTTTCTTTTTATATCTTAATCTTCATAACTGGCCTTAAGGCCCCATTTTCCAGATGAAAAAACTGAGGTTCAGAGCAGTCAACTAACTTGCCTGTCGCAAATTCATTGCGAGTGGCACACCAGGCTTGGTAAGTGGTAAACAAGGCTGATGTCGAGCCCTTGGGATTAAGCCCTCTGCTATACCAAGGAGAAAGGGCCATAGAGGGCCAGTGAGCGAGAGGCAGGCCGGGAGAAAGGAAGAACAGCTGGTCCAAGGTCTCAGAACAGGTTCGTTTCTGGGGAAAGACCCCTATCTCTGCTGCCCCAGGCAGAAGAAGACTTGGGCCCTTTGAAAGGAAAATAAAGCCTCGGGATCCCCAAATCACTAAGCCAAGGGAAAAATCAGGCTGGGAACTATGTCAGGCAAACCCACCTCCCATTTTATTCCTAAATAAGATAGCTACATACCTCCCTCACAAACTGCCCACAAGAAAATTCGTTGTGGGCCTCAAGGTCTTTATCCTAAAACAGTTCTGTTGAATTTCACCCTGGCAATGTAAACTAATAGCTGATCTTCAGAGGTGCAGACAGAAAGTCATCCTTCTGCTCACCTGAGACAAATGCATATCTGATTGTTTCCTCTGCCCTATTGTTTACGTAAAAATGCAGATTCACTGAGTCAGATTAAATTGTGTATTCAGTGGAAGGCTGATCAAGGACTCAATGCAATCTTTCATCTCTTATCAACCTTTTGTCTCTTATGACCTGGAAGCACCCCTGCCGCCTTCAAGCTGTCCCACATTGCCAGACTGAACCAATGTACATCTTACACATATTGATTGATGTCTCCTGGCTCCCTATGAATCAAAGCAAGCTGTACCCCGACCACCTTAGGCACATGTCAGGACCTCCTGAGGCTGTGTGATGGGTGCATCCTTAAGCTTGACAAAATAAACTTTCTACATTGACTGAGATCTGTCTCAGATATTTGGGGTTCACAGCCCTGTCATCTCTGCCCTCCTCCCCACCTCCTGCCCTGGGCATGGCTGGCAGACAAAAACCTGGAGAGCAGCCCACTCCCTGTTGATTGTCCTTCACTGGAACAGGCAGAGGAGGTTCTGGGTCACAGCACAGAGGTGGGGTGTAAGCCTGCAGGAGATTACAGCTGATCCCTGCAGTGGGGCTGCCCCAAGGTGGTGGCTTCAGCCTGGGAGGGCCAGAAGAGCTCAGGTGAGACCTCAGCAGTCCACGTGGAGAGGGAGGGAGGGGAGAGGGTGGGGAGATGACTAGACCCTGAGTGACGCACACAGGCTCCCACTTCCATTCGAAGACACTTCCAGTGAGATGCTTAAATCTGCAGTGGAGGGCAAGAGACACGACCCCAGGAGACAGCAACTGGTCTCTGAGGCGGTGGAACCAGCTCCCTGTTGGAGTCTGAGGCCTTGGTCCTACTCCCAGTTTCACTCCTGGTTTGCTGAATGATCTGGAGATCTCTGGGCCCCACGGCTTTCCATCTGCAGAGCGGAAAGAGTGGATGGGAAGTTTCTAGGTTCCCTCCACTTCTCATCATTGCCGGCATTCGCTTATAACAGGGGTCGGACTCCTCTCTGTGCACCTGTCCTGCGGGCAGACCTAGGAAGGTACATTTTTCTGGCTGGGAGATTTGGGCTGAGCAGTCCAGGGTGGCCGAGGTTTAGAGGGGACAGCTAGGAAGTACTTCCCCTATCCCTTAAGATCTGGGCTGGACTCTGCTCTTCCCATAGGGATCTACCTGAAGCCCAGGAACACCGGAGATCTGACTCCTGAAACTGCCTTTGCAAAATTAAAACACTGAGAGAAATCTAACACAGCTGACTCCATATTGCTGCTTTTTTTAAAAAAAAATTAGCTTTTGGTGTACAAGTGTTTTTTTGTTTTGTTTTGTTTTGTTTTTGTTTTTTGTTACATGGATGAATTATACAGTGGTGAATTCTGAGGCTTTAGTGCACCCATCATCTGAGTAGGGTTAATTGTACCTAATGTGTAGTTTTTTTTAATCTCTAGCACCCCTCCAGCCTCCCCCTTCTGAGTCTTTGAAATCCATTATATTACTCTGTTTGTCTTTGTATATTCATAGCTTAGCTCCCACTAGTAAGTGAGAACATACGGTTTTGGGTTTTCCACTCCTGTGTTACCTCACTTAGAATACTGGCCTCCAGGCTGGGCACAGTGGCTCATGCCTGTAATCCCAGCATTTTGGGAGGCCAAGGTGGGCAGATCACTTGAGGTCAGGAGTTGGAGACCAGCCTGGCCAACATGGCAAAACCCTGTGCCTACTAAAAATACAAAAACTAGCCAGGTGCGGTGGCAGGTGCCTGTAGTCCCAGCTACTAGGGAGGCTGAGGCAGAAGAATTGCTTGAACCTGGGAGGTGGAGGTTGCAGCGAGCCGAGATTGCGCCACTGCACTCCAGCCTGGGCGACAGAGCAAGACTCCATCTTAAAAACAAAACAAACAAACAAAAACACACAAAAGACTTATTTGGGAGCTCTGGCTCCCAGGGCCTGTGGGGAGTGGGGAGCTGGGGGCTGGGAGGAGGCTGGGTCATGAGAGCAAGTCTTTTCCAGGATGCCAGGACCATGCCCGGTAGAGGGCTCAGTTGGAGTTTCAGGGATGAGCACCTGCCTCGGGGGCCTGAAGGAAGCCCATGGAAGGCCATGGCCAAAGAAGCTCATCGCCCTGGGGCCAGAAGAATCTGCCCAGCAGATGGTCCTGTGGAGGATCCAGGAGCTTTCTGACTGAGTATGGAGGGAGGTGAGAGACGGGGAGTTGTGAGCCTCAGGTCTTCCTTAGTGGCAAGAAATAAGGCTTTCTGTTTCACCGTTCTGTAACGCCATTAGGCCGTCTCTCTCAAGGCTCTCTTGTTCTGGGGCTAATGGGAAAGCATGACTTTTGTTCTTCCTGCCCTGCCTGCTTCCACCACTGGGGGTTTTACCCAGTGCCAAGCTGTGGGGTCCTCCAGCTTTGGTCTACAAAGATGATTGCCTGCTTGTCCTCCTGGCTTCCCTGGCTCCCTGGGTTTTTAGGGCTGTGCTGCCTCTGGACATATTCTCGTCTGGACCTGATTGTCACCATCACTGGAGAACCTGTTGGCAGTGCAGACTCTTTGTCCACCCTAGACTGACTGCATGGAGCACACAGTTGACAGGATCCTGGGGGATTTGCCTGCACATGAAGGCTGGGAAGGCCTGCTCTAGACTCACCCGGTGACTTACCATTTCCCCACTGGCTTCCAGGGGCTCCATCCTACCACCCCTCAGATTCCCTTAGGGCACAAAGTCTCAGCTCTCTTACCATCTTCACCACCCCATCCCCGCCAGTCAGGGGACCCTCTTCCTGGTCAGGGAGGGCCTTCTATCGGTGTCACCATGACATTCTTCTTGTACCCTGGCATCCTCTTCTCCCAAGGGCTAAGCTTCCCTAAGAAGGCCGCCTCCTGCCTGGCCACATCTGCCTCCTGCCTGGCCACATCTCTCCCCAGGGACATTATAGAGCCAGACACTGGCATCAATAAGGGGGAGAAGAAGAGAGAAAATTAGAAGAAAAAAATAGATATCTCGAAAATATCCTGGCCTACAGGTGTTCCTGAAGCCATTTCCTTTTGGGATTGAATGTCAACTGTGCTGCTGTCCAGCAGTAAGAACTTGGGTGAGGCACTCCAGCCCTCTGCACCTCAGTGACTGCATCTGTGCAATGGGAATGATTTATATAGTATCTCCATCCCTTCCCCCAGCACAGTGTGTGGCTCATGACAGTTGATTAATCAGCTCATGCTGCCTGAGTCCATGCCTTTTTCTCTGTGGCTCAGTTGGATGGAAGCTCCACAAAGACGAGGATTTTTGATCTGTTTTCTTCACTGCTCTTTCCCCAGTACCCAGACTAGAGCCTGGCACAGAGTAGGTGCTGGATAACCCTGTTGAATGACTGTAGAACAAATAGCCTGGAGCTGCCCCAGCCCAGCAGGCTCCTCTCTCCTACCCAGGACCGTGGCAAGGCAGAATGGAACAGTGTCAAGGGCGGTCTCCCTAGGCTTAGGAGACCTGGGTTCAGACCCTGTCTTTGCCATGCTTTTGCTATAGGACTTTGAGCCAGTGACCACCTTTTTGAGCCTTTGCTTCCCCATCTGCAAAATGGGGATAACAGCAGCCTTTACTTCATAGAGCTGTTATGAGGATTAAGTGAGATAATCCAGCCCCTCAGCCTTTCCTCCCTGTCTCCCTGCCCCGTAGGACCAGCAAGACCCCTTCATACTGGCTGACCTGGACATACTGGCCAGCTGCCATCAGGCCTTCTGCCAAGCCCTGCCACAGGTCTCGCCCTTCTATGCAGTGAAGTGCAACAGTAGCCCTTGGGTGCTGCGTGTCCTGGCCGCCCTGGGCACCGGCTTTGACTGTGCCAGCCAGGTAAGCCTGTGCCCACCGAGGATTAGGCCAGGCCAGCTGGAAGGGGGTGAATCCCATGCTGCTGCTGCTGAGGTCATGAATAAGCGTCCCCTGTCCCGCAGAGCACTTGAAATATGCTAAGCACACTGCAGGGGGCCTAACATGCATTCTCCTTGATCCTCCCATCGGCTCTGCAAGGTAGTCAGGGGATCCACATTCATAGAGGAGGAGACAGCCTTAGGGAGATCACTTGCCCATGGGCCAACATATGGTAAGAGACAGAGATGACCGATCCAAAGTTGGCATTTTTTTCTTACGCCAGGGGTGAAACATTCCAAGGGGTTCTTAGCAGAAGGGGATTCAGCAATGTTGAGGGAGGTTAGAGCCGAAGCTCAAGGGTGGGAAGGGGGAGAACTCAGGATGGGAGTATTTTGCTGAGCCTCTGTCCTTCCTTCCTTTCTTTTTAAGACTAGTCAAGTGTAGTAGTGAGAAGTGGGAAAGAAGAGTAGAACAAGGAGTTCATCTGTAACTGACTGTTAACAGTCAATTGAGATAACTCACTGCCTTCGGACCAGCCCTTCCTCCCTTTCTGAGGAGCCCTCCACTAAGCAGGATTAAGTGCACCCGCTGCCTCTAGGAAGCCAGCCCATCTCCTCTCTATGGGGCTGAAATTGATGGGAGGGGGGTTGGTTCTAAACTGAGACTATGAGCACCTGGAGTGCCCGGCACATTGAGACTATGAGCCCTGCCCTGCCCTTCCCTGCCCTGCAGGGACTCCATAATGAGCACCCCGTCAGCCCCACGCAGGGCTCCTGCCTGGAAGTGAGGGAGCAGGGGGTGAGACCCAACCCGGGGTTTCATCAGGGCAGCCTCTTTGGCTCATGCACAGTGTTTCTGTCCCCACATAGCTGGGGTGGGGGCAGTGATGCAGCCCCCAACCCTGGCTCTTGGCCACCCCAGGTGGAACTGGAGCAGGTGCTGGGCCTGGGTGTGGCCCCCTCGCGCATCGTCTATGCCAACCCCTGCAAACCTGCCTCCCACATCCGGTATGCTGCCCAGCACGGGGTGCAGCTCCTGACCTTTGACAGCGAGGAGGAGCTCACCAAGGTGGCCCAGCACCACCCCAGGGCCAGGTGAGTCCAGCAGGGATGCAGGCAGCTAGGGTGAGGGTCAGCAGTAAAGAACGAATCACCCAACACAGCACACCCCTGACAAATGCTGATCTGAGACAAGTGAAGGGGAGGACCCTCAAGGCCCAGCCATTTTAAAAGGGTCTGGCAGCTGCCTTTGGAGTGAGACAGCCCAGGTTCAAATTCTGGCATTGTTGCTTACCTGATGTATGCATTGGGCAAGTTTTTTGTTTTTTGTTTTTTTTTTTTTTTTTTGAGACGGAGTCTCTCTCTGTTGCCCGGGCTGGAGTGCAGTGGCGCGATCTTGGCTCACTGCAACCTCTGCCTCCCGTGTTCATGCCATTCTCCTGCCTCAGCCTCCTGAGTAGCTGGGATTACTGGCGCGTGCCACCATGCCTGGCTAATTTTTGTATATTTAGTAGAGACAGGGCTTCACCATGTTAGTCAGGCTAGTCTTGAACTCCTAACCTTGTGATCCGCCTGCCTTGGCCTCCCAAAGTACTGGGATTACAGGTGTGAGCCACCGTGCCCAGCCAAGTCTCTTTTTTTTGAGACAGAGTTTTTCTCTTGTTGCTCAGACTGGAGTGCGTGGTGCAATCTCAGGTCACCACAACCTCCACCTCCTGGGTTCAAGTGATTCTCCTGCCTCTGCCTCCGGAGTAGCTGGGATTACAGGCTCCTGCCACCACATCTGGCTAATTTTTTGTATTTTTAGTAGAGATGGGGTTTCACTATGTTGGCCAGGCTGGTCTCGAACTCCTGACCTCAGGTGATCCACCCGCCTCAGCCTCCAAATGTTCTGGAATTACAGGCTTGAGCCATCGTGCCCCGCCTGGGCAAGTCTCTTTTAACATTTTTAACACTCGGTTCCTTCATTTACAACTTGGGGGCATGTTGTCTGGCACATAGTAGGTGCTTACCAATACTATCATTTTTCTACCCTCCCTTCTCTGGTTGTACCTGGGGAAGAGTAGATGTATACACACGTGTGTTGGGCTGGTGTGATGGCCGCATGGATTTGGTGGCATTGGAAAACCTCCCAGATGCGGGGATCAGCTGGGCCTGGGTGGGGGTGGTATAAGAAGCCCTGGGCTCTTTGGCATCTCTGGCTAAGTGCTCTCTGCCTCCTCCCTATCCTTGGTGTCCCTCCTCCGGACTGCTCCTCCGGCTGAGGACCCAGGACAGTCAGAGCACCTTCCCTCTGAGCACCAAGTTCGGGGCCAGCCTGGAAGCCTGTGGGCACCTGCTCACGTCTGCCAGAGACCTGGGGTTGGCCGTGGTCGGAGCCAGGTGAGTGACGCCTGAGGACTCCAGGAGCCCTGGGTTCTGGTCCTTCCCTTGCTGTGGATAACTGCGACAGAGACAGCGAGACACAGTCACACATAAGGCACGAAACCACTGGGGCCAAATGCAGAAACAAACAGCTGGAAATATAACTGACTACACTGGCATAAGTGTAATCAGTTGGGGCCCATGGCAAGCTGTGGCCCCTCTCTGGGCCTGTGAGACCCCATCTGTCTAAAGGGGCAGGATATGATGTGAAGGTTACTCAGGGCCTCCCTGCTCTGAGGCCCTGGGGTTTGGTGTCTTGTTGTGAAGTGTCCATGAGGGGAAGGGCAGCCCACGTGGCAGTGCTGGGATCATGGGCTCCATGGCAGTGTGTGTCTAAGTGTGTGTACGTGTGAATACTCAGGGTGAGTGCCCCTTCGTAGGTGCCTCGTTGGCCTGAGTGTGCAGCTGTCTGAAAGCACACACTTATGCCAGTGTAATCAGTTATGTTTCCGCTCTTTGTTTCTGCATTTGGCCCAATGGCTTCATGCCTTATGTGTGACTGTGCCTCTCTGTCTCTGTTGCGGTTATCCACAGTCTGTGTGGCTTTGTGGTTTGGAACATGTGTTTCAGTACATATCTCTCACCATGTCACATGCACTGGCTCTGCTAGCTTCCACCTGGGCTCCAACTGCCAGACCCCCCCAGAGCTTCACACAAGCTATCGCTGACTGCCGGTGCATGTTGGAAATGGGCCACAGGGCTGGGCATGATATGAGCTGCCTGGACATTGGAGGGGGCTTCCCCGGAATGGAGGGCTCCGGGCCCAAGTTTGAGGAGGTGAGCTGGTACGGGCGCTGGGGGTGTTCAGGGAGGTCCGCATGTGTGCCCAGGCATGGGTGTGTGTGGGGAGTCTGTGTTCATGCATGTACCTCTGTGTGTTTAGGTCTCTCTGGTGTATCTCTGTGCTCTGTGTGCACAGGTGGGTATGTGTGTATGTGCATGTCTTGGCTTTGATATCCCCCAAAAGCAGACTCTGAGACAAACACTTGGATACAAGTAGTTTTTTTGGAGATGATCCGTGGAAGCGCCAATGAGGAAGTCAGGAAAGAGAGATAGAAGGGAGAAAAGTCAAAAGAAAATTCATCTATGAGCTGGTTACCACTGTGGGCCGCTGCACCAGTCCCCCTGGGGACAATGTAGAACCTCAGAATCATCCCACTAGAGGACATGGGGCTGGTCCTTTATTCACCAACTCCTGTCCTTCTTTGGTTGAAGGCTGTGGTCTGGGGGTGTTAATTTCCTCACATTCCAGCTAGTTTCCGAGGGTGCTGGAGAAAGCCCACAGAATGAGAAGCAAAGGGAGGCAGGCGCTGGAGGCTGGAAATCATTTTGCACGGGCAGATGAGCTCAGGTAGGCTGAGGGGAGGTGGCACAGGGTGTCCACTGCAGCTGCAGCAAGGTGTCTGGGGGCTGTGCCTCTCTGTGTGTCTGTGTGTCTGTATGTGTATATGTTTTCCTGTAGAATGTAGAATTCTTGTTAGCATCACCAATACAGTTACAGTTACAGTTGGGAGTTTACATTCCCTGGGTCCACAAGACACTCGCCTTCTTACGGTGCATCAGATTAAATTGCTGCACCTTTGGACTTCTCAGGGAGCCTGGTGGCCAGCAACCCCACACAAGTGACCTCCTGTCTCTCAACTTCTGTTTCCTCTTTGGTAAACAGGGATAATTCTAATGCCTACCTGCAGGGTGCCTCGGGGATGAAAGGACTGATGCAGGTAAGGCGTTGGCACAGGCGCTGGCACATCAACACGTGCTGGATGAGTTAACCTCTTCCTGCTGTCCCTCCACCCCATTCCAGTTGGCGAGAGTGATCAGTGCTGCCCTGGCCCAGGACCTCCCTGAGGAGCGTGGTGTCAAGGTCATCGCAGAGCCTGGCTGCTTCTATGTGGAGTCTGTCTGCATGGCCGCTGTCAACATCATTGCCAAGAGGGCTGTGCTGGAGCCCGGTGGGTGGGCCAGGATGGCACTGGGTGGGGATGCCACTGTCCAGGTGTCCCCAGGCCCTGGAGGAGAGGAAGGGCAGAGGGTTGGGCTCTGTCCCAGGAGCTGGGGGTCAGAGTAGTGACTGAGCACTCCCCAGGAGGCAGCCGGAAGCTGGTGTATTATCTCAAAGATGGCCACTATGGCTCCTTCCGCCTCTGCTACCGAGAGCCTGTCCCAAGGGTTCCCATCGTGGTGAAGGTAAGGGGGCCACTCCAGCCCCGAGTCTAGTCCCTTACCTTGAGGTGCCTTGTGCCTCCCCTACTGGGAACAGTGGCTGTGCTGGACCCCAGAGGCAGGTCCTGGCCTGCTGCTTAGAACACATGTGGACACGTACATGATGTGTGCTCACAGATCAGAGCGTGTGCAGCAGCTGGATATGTAGGCCTCCTCAGGCAAAGGGGCGATCACCAGAACACAAAGGCGTGGGTTGTTTTCCAAAATATTGAAGTTCTTCTCCCTGGTGGCTTAAGAGCCATTCCTTCTTCCTGGTGGTTAAAGAGCTATTCCCCCGAGTCCACCAGGGGCCTCCCTGCCGACACTCTTGCTGCTCAGTCCCTCCCACGATCTGGCAACAAAGCTTCAATACCTGACCCTGTAGGGCCAACAGGATCTTCCTCCAGCTCTGCAGCAGTTGTCTCCTAATGTGATGGGTTGGTGTCCGGGCCACACTGCTTTGTAAATATCTTGACTGTTTCTCCCGGCCAGTGAACGTCTTGGTGTGTGCACACATTTGGTCATGTATGTGACGTGTGTTTGCATGCATGTGCGAGTGTGTACGTGTGTGAAGTGTTTCTGGGTGTGTGTCTTCGTGTGTGTATTTGCCTCTCTTCTCATCGGAAGGAGTGAGTTCTGGATGTGGAGGAACCAGTAGGAGACCCTGTGTTTGTTTGGTTCCCACAATAGTTTTCAATTTTAGTTGCCCATATTAAAAAATCTAGACATATTTCATAAAAGCCTGGATTTTCTCAGCTCCTCTCAAACATTTGAGAGATCTGATGATACGTGGCCTGCAGAACAACAAGGCAACAAATAATTCAACAAATTAGTCTAGCATGTCAGGCACTGTGATCTGCTGGAACGGGACTTCCTCAGTGGCTTTCCCCTTTGGACAGACATTGACTTTCCAGTTTGTTGTAAGACTTACCTGGCCCATTTCACTCATTTGTGTTACCTGCTTGACCTCTAGGTAATTGAGTTTTCAACTGCTGCCTTATAGCAATTATTGAAGACAACAGCCCCACTTACAGAGGAGGAATCTGAGCCCTTACTTGTAGGCACATCAGACCTGGCCAGGCTGGGCAGGGGCCATGGAGGGATGGGTCCCAGCCAGTATACACCCGTGTGCCCCTGGGAGTGTCCTTCCGGGTCTTTCAGTGCCTTCCAGATAAGGGGGTGGGATAGGCCAGCCTGCTGTCTTTTCTGACCCCCTTTCCTATGTCACACAGGAGTTCTGCTCAGAGCCGCCCCTCTTCCCCTGCACCCTCTATGTCCCATGTGCGATGCCTTTGACAGGCTCTTCTTGGAGGATGTGCGGCTGCCCGAGCTGGATGTAGGCGATTGGCTGGTCTTCCCCTCCATGGGTGCCTACATGTCCTCCATGAGCTCCAGCTTCAATGGCTTCCTGCCTGCCACCATCTGCTACACCATGGGCCCCCAGCTCAGGTGCCTAGGGGTTGGGGTTGAAGAGGAAGCAGGAAACCTCACACTCATTTGAGCTTGGGGTGGGAACTGGCCCCAGGGAATCTCCCTTCCCCTGTTGACTCACTGAAGTCAAAGTGTCCATCTGACCTTTGGACTCTCATCTGCCTCTGGCCCCCCTCCCAGGGAGGTGGAGAATTGCAAAGAGATCCCCAGGCCCTCTAGCCACTGGCTGGCCCTACTCCTGCTTCAGACGCCCACTGTCCCAGCTCTGCCTCCAGGCCCCAGCTCTGCTGCTGTGTGTGCAGCCTCAGGGCTGTAGGCAAAGGCCTTGACACCCACCCTGTACCCCATGTCCTTTCCCCATGAGCCTTCTGGAGGCAGAGCCTTAACCCAGAGCCAGCTAGGCTGGAGGGCTTTAAGACACTCTGGTAGGTAGGCCCCTGGGAACTGTTGGGAGTTGGGATGGCAGGGAGGAGGCAGAGGTTTGGGTAACTATGAAATCCTATGCAGACCTTCCAAAAATATCTTGCTGTCATTTTGGGTCAGTTCTTTCCTTTTCTCTTTTCATTTCTTTTCTTTTCTTTTTTCTTTTCTTTCTTTCATTTTCCTTTCCTTTCCATTCCTTTCCTTTTTTCTTTCTCTTCTTTCTTTCCTCCCTCCCTTCCTCCATTCCCTTTCTCTTTCTTTCCTCTCTTTTTGAGACAGAGTCTTACTCTGTCGCCCAGGCTGGAGTGCTGTGGCATGATCTCGGGTCACTACAGCCTCGACCCCTCAGGGCTCAGGTGATCCTCCCACCTCAGCCTCCTGAATAGCTGGGACTATAGGTGTGTACCACCACACCCGGCTAATTTTTATATTTTTGGTAGAGATGGAGTTTTGCCATGTTGCCCAGGCTGGTCTCGAACTTCTGGGCTCAAGCAATCCGCCTGCCTCAACCTCCCAAAGTGCCGGCATTACAGGTGTGAGCCACCGCATGCCTGTGTCTTCGGTCAGGTCTTACACTGACTTTTCTCAGCAGTGGCCTGCCCTGCCCACCCTCCTTGTCATTTGCCTCTGCATCCCTCCTTTCCCACTCTCTTGAGCAGTGGTTGAAGGGGACGCATTAGAAGCTACTTCTTCTCAGAGCGACTACAAAAAATGGGCTATTGATCTTTTACGTTAAATAATGCAGCCCACACACCTGCTCAGTTCATACCTAGCTGGTGTCAGTTTACATCCTTAAATTCATCCTGCCGCTCCTCCCCGCTTTTTATTTATTCATGCCCTTGCCTTGTCCCAGAAAGCGTTTCTATAAAATTCATCAACATATCATAGTGGTTAAGAGCATGTCACTGGAATAAGGAAGAACTGGGCTCAAATTTAGGCACCACTGCTACTAGCTTTGAATTTGGGCAGGTTAACTAACATAGTTGAACTCTAGTTTTCCTTGTAAAATAGTGGTAATAATAATAACTTTAACTTCCCCGTAGGGTTGTTGGGATTAAGAGAGGGATGAATATATCGTTTAGGGCCAGCTTTTCCTTCGGCCACCCTGTTCTTGCTGGCTCTCCTCCTGGAGTCTAGATGTCACAGAGACCCCACCGTGCATCCTGGGTCTTTTCAGAGAGTGTTGGTAGGGTGTCCCACTCAGGCCAAGCCAGGATGTGTGCCCGATGCTAGGGGGACAGGGGAGGCAGGCACAGACCCAGTCTTTGAGTTGTCCTCAGGCCTGTGGAAAGCTAAAGGCAGGCGCAGCTGGCTGCAGCACAGGGAGGAACATGGGACATACTTTGAGGACAGTTCAGGTGGAAGCCATCCATTTGGAGGAGTGGGTGGCTTCTTGGAGGGAGAATGGTGGGACCTGGAGGCAGAGCAGAATCAGTAGGTAAAAGTGGGTAGGAAGCGTGGCTCAGGTGTGGGAACAACTTGGCTCAGGCATGGGAATGAGCCTCTGCTCAGAGAACAGTGAGTGGCCAGGATTGGAGATGAGAAACAGAGATTGCAGAGCCTGGGGACACAAGGTGACCAGTTTGCCTGGATTTGTCTGGAACATTCCTGGTGCTAGCACTGTAAATCCTGAGTCCTAGGAAGCTCCTGAGTCTCAGGCAAACCAGATGGTTGGGGAGGGAGAGGAGGGAGGGGAGGAGCTCGTCACACCCCAAGGCCACATTCCTGCAGCTATAGCAGGTACAGCCATTGATTTCTCAGCTTCCAGCTCAGCCAAGGAAGGTGTCTCCCCTCCCTTCAGCAGGGCCTCTCCCACCCTCTCTGCTACCACTCAACTCAGCCAGGTCCTCGGGGATCCCAGAGTCCCTGGAGCTGAAGAGGAACTTCCCCTGACATGTGGGAAGCAAAGAGCAGATTGGGGTAACAGAGGCCACTCAGAGAAGCTAGAGGAGCTCAACAGCCCATCCAGTCAGGTGCATCTCATGAGGGCATCCCAGAACATCAAATTTCCCGCCTGCAAAATGGTCTTGCTTATGCCCAAACACTCAGAATATAAGAAGCACGGATTATGGGTACGATACTTAGGGGTGTGAGCAGGCTTTGGGAAATGTGAACTCTTTCCAGATGGAAGACATTCCAGTGAGTTTTCTTTGCCCCTGGGGGGTGGGAGAGGGTGAGTGGGTCTGAGTATGTAAGTCACAGGTCTCCAGGTCTAACCAACCAGTGGCGGGGTGAGTAGTTTGGTGGGAAGGACAGTTAGGAACAGGTAACTAAAGGTGAGTTAGGTCAGAGCAGGTGACCAGGGGTGATTCAGGTCAAAGCAGGTGACTGGGATGAGTCAGGATGCAGAGCAGGTAACCAGGGGAACAGATGTGAACTGCTGATTAAAACTGGGGGGAAATGTTGTTTACTGAAACTACGGGGAAGTTAAACTTTAAAATGGAGGACAAAGAACTGAACATATTGACATATTGATTCTTTGAAGAGAAATTTTGAACTCATTGTATCCAACAGGAGGATCACGTGAGCCCAGCAGTTTAAGGCCAGCCTAGGCAACATAGAAAGACTCTGTCTTATTTTTAAAAATAAAATAAAATAAAAATGACAGAAATGTATTCTCTCATAGTTTTGGAGGTTAGAAGTCTGAAGCCAAGGGTTGGCAAGGTCACTCTCCCTCTGAAGGCTCCAGGGAAGAATATTTCTTTGCCTCTTGCATCTTCCAGTAGCCCCAGGCCTTTTCTGGCTTCCGGCAGCATAACTCTAGTCTCTGCCTCACAACGTTTTTCTCTTTGTCTCTGCGACCTCTTGTCTTCTTATAAGGACACCAGTCATCCAGTGGACACAAATTTTGTGGGGGCATGATTTAACTTCAACCTCCAACCCCCTGCCGCAGGTCACCCTTTGGCCCTTATGGCCTCCAAGTCTTGCGGCTGGAGCTCACTTCTCAGCCTGGGGTCATCTGTGTCTACTTTCCATAGCACCAGGATTCACCTCTGCTGGTGGTTCCCAGGTTCTCTCTCCAGCTGTGACCTCTCTCCCACACTCCAGACCTGAAAATCTCACAGCCTCTTGATCACCGACCCAAGGATGTACCACAGTTCACTCAGATTCAACACAAGCCAAAGGGAGCCCGCTATGGGCCCCCATCTAGCGGAAGGGCTGCTTCCCTTAGCCAGAGTGTACCTCACTCCTCAGCTAGAAATCTGGGCTTTGTCCTCCATTTTGAACTTCTCCATCACCTCCCTCATCAATGGGCCACCAAGTCATTCACACTGGAGGTGGTAGAGAAAGCCAACTGTGTGCCAACAGCTTTTTTTTTTTTTTTTGAAATCCTTCCTGTTCTACCCCCAGAATGTCTCATGCACACAGCCCCTCCCTTCTTCCCTCTCTCCCAGGTCACTGTCAGGTTCCAGCCCCTCACTAGTTCTCTCCAGAGCCAGCATAACAGCCTGGTGGCCTCCCTGCTGTGGTCTCATTTTCTCTAATCCATTGACCACATGACCCCACAAGCTCCTTCTTTTTTCTTTTTTTTGGAGACAGTCTCGCTCTATCCCCTAGGCTGGAGTGCAATGGCATGATCTTGGCTCACTGCAACCTCTGCCTCCTGGGTTCAAGTGATTCTCATGCCTCAGCCTCCTGAGTAGCAAGGACTATAGGCATGCGCTACCATGCCTGGCTAATTTTTGTATTTTTAGTAGAGACGGGGTTTCACCATGTTAGCCAGGCTAGTCTCGAACTCCTGACCTCAGGTGATCCACCTGCCTTGGCCTCCCAAAGTGCTGGGATTACAGGCATTTGCCACCACACTTGGCCACCACAGAGTCCCTTCCAATGTGCTCTCCTGAGCCTGATGCCCACTGTGTAATCCCATTTGCGGCAGCCCATATATGCAGGATAAAGTCCAAGCTCCCTAGTGTTATGGGATCTTTGGGGTGTCAATTTTTTGGCTGGAAACATCTGTGGCCACAGCACCTTTGCCCAAGTTCTTGTCCTGTGTCCAGGAAGAATGAGGTATGCAGACAAGCAAAGAGCGAACAAGATGAAGAAGAGTTTTATTTAGTGTTACAACAGCTCAGAGACTGGCAGTGTGTAGCTCCTCTCTGCAGGCAGGTCATCTGTCCAGTGTTCAGTTCTCAGCAGAGAGGAGGCCTCGGAGAGGGTGGCTCCTCCCTGCCAGCAGGTTGTCTCTGTAGCTCTCAGTGGAGAAGGTAGCTCCTCTCTGCTGCTAGTCATCCCATCATCTCCAGCTATCAGCAGAGAGTACTCCTCTCTGCAGCTGGTTGTGCCATTGTCTCTCTGCTCTCCTCATCCTCTGGCCATCCTCTGATCTGCTCTGGCTGAGCCTAGGGCTTTTATGGACCTTTTATCAGGGAGGAAGTCCATGCCAATTGGTCCACGGGCAGCCATGGGTGGGCTGGAAGAGGCACCATGAGTCCCCACTCCAGTCCATGGGACTGGCAGCCTGGCCCGCAGCCTTCAGGCCTTCCCTGACCTGAAAGTGGGGTCTTACTGGGGACCTGCCCCCTTCTGCCCAGGACTCTGTCTGCCTCCCGCTGCCATTCAAGGCCCCAGGGCTTGGCCCCAACCCCGCTCTGAGATGGGAGCAGGTGCCAGGAGCAGATAGAGGCCAGGCAGCGGGAGCAGACACCCCTGAGCCTGCAGGCCACCACTGGGCCCTTCGTCCCACCAGCAGAGGGAGAGCTGACCTTCTTCTCTTACATTCTCAGCACCTGTGAGGTGGAAGGGGATGCTTTTATGATCACTTCCTGAAAGAGAGGCTCACAGAACTGAACTGATGTGCTTGTCATCACACAGTGGAGGACTGTCTAACACCAAGTCTCTCATTCCCTTGGTGGCCAGCCCCTCTCAGACCTCAGCAAGTCCCTCTGGGCCTTCATGGGAGAGCAGTGTCCAAGGAATGCGGTGTCACGCTTGCGGCTCTGCCAAGGGCTTCTTCTTCGGGCTCTGCCTCTAGCTGCTTCTGACAGAGGCGGATTCATCATGAAGCAAACGCGGCTGAACCCCCCAGTGGTCTTCATTCTTCTCCAACCCCTTTCAAGACCCAGGGATGGGCTCAGCAATTCTGTTTTAATAATTTTGCATTCTGTCCCTTAAATCATAAAGAGAGCCCCCAATCTGTAAAGCTTCTGATCCCACACAACCTCTCAGGGCTCCAGGGTCCTGAGGAGGATGGCCAGGTCACTGTGGGCCTGTGGTGGAGCCAGCGGGCACCCAGGGCTTCCTGGTGGGCCAGGTCCCTGGTCATAGACTGAGCCAGCCAGCATCAGCCTCCGATCTCCAGGCCCCTGCGGTGAGGGCCCCAATGCCCCTGATAAGGCTCTGCTCCTAAAGGGCTGTTGGCCTTGAACAAGCTGCTCTCCTGCCTCAGTTTCCACTTCAGGATGGAGACATGAATGAGAGAAGTGTCCCTGAAACTCCTGATGGCTTTCCATTTCCTGGTTTCCTGTCTTTCCTGAGGCTGAATTCTTCGCCTGCTTTCTCTGAGATCCCTCACTTTCCTGCCAAGAAATTTCCTCTTTAGTCTGTTCAGAGTGAAGTGCAAATCAAAATAAAAAAGTGCAAGTTCAAAGTGCAATCAAAACAAACAAACAAACTTTGGCTAAGGCAAAACCAAACCAAAACAAAACAACCCAACTATCTCTTTTAGTAGAGTTTTGACGCTGCAGCATGTGTTGAATAGAGCCCATGTGAGTTAGGCTGCCCAGGGCCTGAGTGACATTGCGTACTGTGGGGAGTGTGTGCTTTTGTTCAAGCGGTGGCTCTCAGGAAGCCAGGAGGAGATTTGGACAAAAGTTGGAAAGGTTGGAAGAATATGTAAGCTTGGACTGACATGGCTGATTGGGTTTGGGCCAGTTTGAGCTGGTTTTATCTGGTTGGATCCAATACAGTACGGACTCGGGAGGCCAAGGAAGGTCTTGGCAAGTTTGGACCAGTTTTTGCCATTTGAGCTGACTTGGGCTGGCTTGAGCTGGTTGCTCATCACAGTGGCAAAAAAGAAGAACCCTTGGGCAGGGGTGTTCAGGGTCAGGAGTGGAGGAAGGGAAGCTATGCTCATTGTTCGTGGCACTTGGTAGAGCTGTGCATCTTTACAAAAGCAATTTACAGTACAGGCACCCCTCATTTTCTTGCACTTGCTTTGTTGCACCTGCAGATATTTGTTGTGTTTTTGTTTTGTTTTGTTTTGTTTTACAAATTGAATATTTTGGCAAAAGTTTGTGGCAACCCCTTGTTGAGCAAGTGTACTGACACCTTTTTCCCTAAAGCATGTGCTCACTTTGTGTCTCTGTGTCATGTTTTGGTAATTTTTACAATATTTCAAACTCACTCTTTTCTTTCTTTTTTTCTGTCTCTCTTTCTTTCTTTTCCTTCCTTCCTTCCTCCTTTCTCCTTTCCTTTCCTTTCCTTTCCTTTCCTTTCCTTTCCTTTCCCTTTCGGGTCTAGCTTTGTTACCCAGGCTGCAGTATGGTGATGCAATCTTGGCTCACCCCAACCTCTGCCCAGGTTCAACTGATTCTCGTGTCTTTGCCTCCCAAGTAGCTGGGACAACAGGTGCAAGGCACCACGCCCAGGTAATTTTTTTTTTTTTTTTGTATTTTTATTAGAGATGGGGTTTCGCCATGTTGGCCAGGCTGGTCTCGAACTCCTGACCTCAAGCGATCTGCCCATTTCAGTCTCCCAAAGTGCTGGGATTACAGGTGTGCGCCACCACACCCAGCCCAAACTTTTTCATTTCTACTGTATCTGTTATGGTGATCTGTGATCACTCATGTTTGATGTTTCTATTGTAATTGTTTTGGGGTGCCACAAATTGCACCCATATAAGACAGAGAACTTAAGAAATATTGCATGTGTTCTAACTACTACATCAATCAGTGGTTCCTCTACTCCTCTCTCCTTCTCCTCAGGCCTCTCAATTCCCTGAGACCCAACAATATTAAAATTAGGCCAATGAATAACCCTAAAATGGTCTCTACATGTTTAAGTGAAAATGTCACACATCCCTTGCTCTAAATCAAAAGCTAGAAATATTAAACTTAGTGAGGTAAGTGTATTGAAAGCCAAAATAGGCCGAAAGGTAGGCCTCTTATACCTAACAGCGTAGTTGTGACTGCAAAGGAAAAGTTATCCTCAGCCTTTCATGTGTATTGGCTTATTCAGTCCTCATAACAACCCTACCAAGTAGCATGTGTTAGCCTCACCATTTGGCAGAGGAAAATGGAAGCACAGAAAGGTCAAGTACTTGCCCAGATCAGCAGCAGAACAGGCTCAAAGGTTGGCAGTCTGGTTGCAGAGTCCATGAACTTCACTACCACACTCCACAGCAGTTGTGAGACCATGGGCAAGCCATCTAAACTTTTGAACTTTAATATCTTCATCCATAAAATGGGGACGATAATACCCTGCCCCATTGCCCAGTGAGTGTGTACACCCTTAACTCGGTGCATAGGCTTGGGTTGGCTTGATCCGGTCTCATTCATTTCTCCCCACCTGACCCTACACTTGAGTCAGAGTATCTCATGTTGGCTGAGCTTGAAGTATGCAGGAGCACACCCCAGAAAGGCCAGGGCACAAGCCCTGCTTGGGGTGGAGCAGGGAGGGCCTGCTCTGCCCCACTGGGGTGTTCTTAGGTGGAAGTGGGTGTGGGATGGTCCCTCTGGGAGAACTCTCTCCCTCCAGCCTCCCTGCAGAGTCACCCAGGGAACTGAATCACAGCACAAGTGAAATGGGAAAAGTTCCCTTATCCCCCTCGCAGGGCCTGCAATGGGGGTGTGGCTCGCTTCTTTGGTACCCTGCTGCTCAAACCTCTAGGGGGAGCATGCAGATGGGCAGGTTGTGGGGCTTCAACCCCACGGCAGTGTCTAGGGGTGAATGCTTACAGTTCCTGAAGCCCCAATGGGTGTGTGTTACAGAGCGCTCTTTTAGTTTTGCTATCTGTAGGCAGCTTGTGTTAATCAGCTCGATTAGATCCTCTGCCTTATCACAAGGACAGAGGGCTTTCTGTATCCCAGGGTTTTTGCCTTGGTGTACTGGAGGAATCAGATCACACGTGGGCTTAGGGACCGAGTGCAAGTTTTTATTGAGTGGAAGTAGCTCTCAGCAGATGGGGGAGCCAGAAGGGAGATGGAGTGGGAAGGTGAACTATCAAGATAAAATCAGTCTACTACTCCATAACAGAGGTAAGGAAGAGTATGCATGGAATACAGGACATCCTTTAGAGCATCTCTTAGTATTACCATGCCCTTTGATTAAGGTCAATGGGAAACTACAATAGCGCAATCCAGGCAGGACTACAAATAGCCCAGACCCCTCAGGAATGAAGGTTTGGGTCACTCCACCAGGAAAAAAACCACAACCTGCTGAGGTGCTTGCTGAAGGCAAAGGGAATACAGAATGGGTAGTAGAAGAAGGTAATCATCAATACCACCTATGACCATGTGACCAGCTGCAGAAATGCGGACTGTAACTATCATGAGTATTTCCTCCTTCTTTGGCTAAAAACATGTTTGTGCATGTATACACTTGTACGAAGAAAATATATCCATTTTATTTCCTTTTCCTTTATCATGTGACATAAGATTTACTGACTTCATATCAACATTTAAGTATTATTAACTTTATGTAATAATATTTGGGTTGGGGATTGGTGGGTTTCCAGTTGTACCAAGGATAGTTGTATTATTTTAGGCATAATTATGACCTTATTATTGTCTTTATTTGAAGATTATGTATGATCTCAGGAGATGTGTATGGGTTCAGCTTGACAAGGGGTGGACTTACCATGGTTAATACTGAGTGTCAACTTGATTGGATTAAAGATGCAAAGTATTGATCCTGGGTGTGTCTGTGAGGGTGTTGCCAAAGAAGATTAACATTTGGGTCAGCGGGCTGGAGAAGGCAGACCCACCCTTAATCTGGTGGGCACCATCTAATCAGCTGCCAGCGAATATACAGCAGGAAGAAAAAGGTGAAAAGGCAAGACTGGCCTAGCCTCCCAGCCTACATCTTTCTCCCATGCTGGATGCTTCCTGCCCTTGAACATCAGACTCCAAGTTCTTCAGTTTTGAGACTTGGACTGGCTCTCCTTGCTCCTCAAGCTTGCAGACAGCCTATTGTGGGACCTTGTGATCATGTAAGTTAATACTTAATAAACTCCCTTATATATATATATATATCCTATTAGTTCTGTCCATCTAGAGAACCCTAACACAAGTGTTTTCTTCATTTTCCTTCATATTTATGAAGTGTGCTTTCTTGCCATCCTTTCCAGACTCATCACCTTATGTTATTAGTTGACTTTTTAAAAATCATTATTATTATTTGAGATGGAGTCTCGCTCTGTCACCCAGACTGGAGTGCAGTGGTGTGATCTTGGCTCACTGCAACCTCCATCTCCCCAGTTCAGCCGATTCTCGCGCCTTAGCCTCCTGAGTAGCTGGGACTGCAGGTGTGGGCCACCACGCCTGGCTAATTTTTGTGTTTTTAATAGAGATAGGGTTTCACCGTGTTGGCCAGGCTGGTCTCAAACTCCTGACTTCAAGTGATCTGGCTGCCTTAGCCTCCCAAATCGCTGGGATTACAGGCATGAGCCACTGTGCCCAGCCTCTAACTCTCTTTTAACATAAATTAATTCCTCTTCCTATATTTGTTCTCAGTGCTATTGACTTCCTGAAGAAACTGTGTCAATTCTCATGTAGAGTTTTTACACTAGGGATACAGTCACTTGCTTCTTTATACTTCATGGGATACCTTGTAAGTCTCCAGTGCATCACACCTGGAGGCATATGATGTCTGCTGGTCTTGCTTTTAATGATGCTAAGATCTATCTTTAGGTTCAGGCAATGGCAACCTTACCCTTCACTGAGAAGTTCTCCATCAACCTTTCACTGAGTGATTTTGGCATCCATTGAAAACCATTGCTTGAATCAGTTATTTTCTTAGGGGCTTAAAAAATGATAATTTTCTGATTCTAATTTTTTCTTCATGTAGTAGCTGAAATTCTTCTGCATAGAAGAGCTTTCCTTCATTCATTTTGGCTATTTAATTACCAGAAAATGCAGTTAGGCATAAAAAATGCTTAATTCTTTTCCTTTAATTAACAATTTTTAGAGTAATAAGTTGGTGCCCCAACTTCCCCAACGGTGCCCAGTAACTTTTATTTTCTTTCTGTATCTTCTTTTCTTCTCCTGCTCTTTTTCATCTGCTGGCTAGAAGTAGGGTACTTCAATACCCTAGGAGATGGCAAGACCTCATGAAGGAAGTTGCCTGGGTCCCTGAATGACTACATGGAGCTAATTCCTTCCTGTGACTTGGGGAAGAATGGGACTGTGATGGGAACAAGAAATGAGCTTTCTTAGTCACAACCCACTGAGATTGTGATGGTTTGTTACAGCATTGACCCTATCCTGACCAAACAGCTATTACATTTTTATTCTTTTTTATTTTTTTTTTAAATTCTTTTTGAGACAGAGTTTAGCTCTTGTTGCCCAGGCTGGAATGCAATGGTATGATATCGGCTCACTGCAACCTCCGCTTCCCAAGTTCAAGCAATTCTTCTGCCTCAGCCTCCCAAGTAGCTGAGATTTCAGGCGCCCCCCACCAGGCCCAACTAATTTTTTGTATTTTTAGTAGAGACCGGTTTCACCATGTTGTCCAGACTGGTCTTGAACTTCTGGCCTCAGGTGATCCACCTGCCTTGGCGTCCCAAAGTGTTGGGATTACAGGCGTGAGCCACTGCGCCTGGCCTACATTTTTAATTTCTAAGAGCTCTTTCTTGTTCTCTGATTGTTTCTTTTCCATAGCATAGTGTTCTTGTTTTATGCATATCTCTTCTGTTTCTGATGATGTTTAACTCTTAATGACACATTCTTCTGTTCTGTGCATTTTTTTCTGCCTCTCCTGACTTCCTTTTTATTGTTTGTGGGTTTTGCTCTCAATTTCAACTAAAACTAGTTTAACATTTATTTGGAGGAGGAACAACATTATGTGGAGGAAGGTTTAGAAAAAGGAAGGTTTCTTTTGACAGTCCTTGGCTTCTCTTTCCTGTCCTAAACAATTCAGCTGTGGTCCACATTTGCTCACCCTAATTACTAGCAAAGCAAGAGCCTAATATTTACCCAGACAGAATCTTCTAGGAAGGCAATCAACTCCCAGCCATTATGATTGAGGCATGCCTCTTAGAGAACTCACTGACATTCCAAGCAGCTTATCAAACAATCCTTCCAACACTTCATTTTCTCAGGTTTTAGCACCTCTTACGAATGAGTGTCTGAGCAGCCAAAAAATAAATAATGAATCATCCAGGCAAAGGGGAAGAAAAATGGACTTGGCCAGAGATGGGGAAGAACGTACGCAAAAAGGTGAGATGAGAGGGAGCCTAGGTAATATGACTTATTACAAGCAGAGCAGCTCTGCGGAGGGGTGGATAATGAGGAGGGCTACAATGCAAGATGAGGCAGAAAGAAAGGTCTGGGCCAGACTAAGCGGGGGCTCCTAAGCCCTGTTCTTGACGTTCTCATGAAATACTTCAGGAGAGAGAACACACCCTACTGGGGAACTGGGGAGAAGTTCCATTTGAACCAGACCTGGAAGGAAGACTGGGACTTGTTAAAACAGATAACAGGCTGGGCGCAGTGGCTCACGCCTGTAATCTCAGCACTTTGGGAGGCCAGGGCTGGCAGATCATGAGGTCAGGAGATCGAGACCATCCTGGCTAACATGGTGAAACCCCGTCTCTACTCAAAAAAAAAAAAATTAGCCAGGCATGGTGGCACACACCTGTAGTCCTAGCTACTTGGGAGGCTGAGGCAAGGGAATTGCTTGAACCCAGGAGGTGGAGCTTGCAGTGAGCCAAGATTGCACCACTGCACTCCAGCCTGGTGACAGAGCGAGACTCCATCTCAAACAGACAAACAAACAAACAAACAAAAAAACAGATAACAATAGAAGTACCATTGAAATATATATATATATATATATATATTTTTTTTTTTTTGAGATGGAGTCTCACTCTCCCAGGCTGGAGTGCAATAGCATGGTCTTGGCTCGCTGCAACCTCCGTCTCCTGGGCTCAAGCGATTCTCCTGCCTCAGCCTCCTGAGTAGCTGGGATTACAAGTGCGTGCCAACACACCCAGCTAATTTTTGTATTTTTGTACGGACGGGGTTTCACCATGTTGGCCAGGCTGGTCTTGAATTCCTGACCTCAGGTGATCAGCCCACCTCATCCTCCAAAAGTGCTGGGATTACAGGCATGAGTCACCGTGCCCGGCCCATTGAAAGATTTTCAAAAGGGATTAACCATGATCACATCTGTTCTTAGATGAGGTCGTTCAGATTGGAAGTTGGATTGGAGGGCGGACCAAAGGAGAAGCTGCTGAAGTAGATGTTAAAGATGGAGAGAAGTGGACGGCAGAGACATAGAGGAGGAAAAGTCAGCAAGACCCGAGATGTGTATGGAGAGTTAGAGTGTGGGAAGTGTGACATGTAACTGAATCGGATGATGGCAACTTTCACTGGGCAGTGAAAGGTCAGGTTGGTGGTAAAAGTCATGAGTTGACTTTGGGGCATCTTGATATAGTCACTTCCAATATCATGTGTTTCAACAAGCCCGTGTTCCTTCCTGGTCAGTTCCCCCAGCTAGAGTGTGTTTTACATCCCGCAGCATTGTATGAGAACTGCTAGAATATCACTCACCACTTCCCATAGAGATTCTGTTTGTTCATCTGCTTGTCCCACTGTGTGCCTTACACATAGTAGGTGCTCTTGGAATGTGTGTGAGATGGATTAACATGAGAAGTGCTTCTCTGCATGATTTCACCATTGAAGTGTTGAAAGCAACTAGCACTCCTCCTTCCTGACCTCCAGGCTTCCACCCAGCTGTGGGGACTGCTGTGGTGGAAGGGCCTAGTCTGAATCTGGACAGGGGAGGTGCCTGCAAATATTTTCGTGCCTGCAAATATTTTTGTGCCTCGGGACAGATGGATGTCCAGTTTACTGTCTGCTTCCTCAGTGGTTCTAGAGGTAATTGCATCCTGCTGTGTACAGTTAGGTCGTGGAGGAGACAGGCACCTTCTCTCGTCTTTCTGGAAGGTAACCAGAGGTCTTTCCCCTTTCCTATCATGGCAGCTGCTCAGTCGCAGGCTCCAGATGTCTGCTTCAGAATTCAAGAACACCTTCCTGAGCTGGGAAACAGATCCAAGGAAATATCAGCCAGAGGCTTCATTTTATCATCTGTGGAAATGCAAGATGTTAGAGCACCTAGGAGGGTCTTAACGTGCAAAACACTGTCTTGAGGCTGCCTGCAGAACAGAGGGTCATCTGCTTTCATTAGATTCTCAAGGGAGCCTCAACAGGCTACACCTGAACCCCAGGTTTGGGGCATCTCTCCAGCCCTCCCAGCTCTGACATCATCATCACCATTAACAGCTGAAATGTGTGAGGTGGTTGGGATGTACCAACAACCCTCCCAAGAGTCCCATATCTACCTGACCTCATTTGACCTTCACAGCAACCCAGTGACTCAGCTGCTATTTGGCCCACGTTTTACAAACCTGAGTCAGTGTGCTTTACCTCAGTGACCCAAGAACCCAGGTGCTAGAGTCAGGCCTGCATCCAAATCAGGGGTGGGATCAGTGGTGTGCCCTGAACAAATCATTATCCTCTTTTTTGTTTTATTTTTTGGAGACAGAGTCTCACTCTGTCACCCAGGCTGGAGTGCAGTGGTACAGTCTCAGCTCACAGCAACCACTCTCTCCTGGGTTCAAGTGATTCTCCTGTCTCAGCCTCCCAAGTAGCTGGGGACTACAGGTGCGTGCCACCACGCTCAGCTAATTTTTGTGTTTTAGTAGAGACAGGGTTTCACCATGTTGCCTAGGCTGGTCTCGAACTCCTGAGCTCAGGTGATCCACCTGCCCCGGCCTCCCAAAGCACTAGGATTACAGGCGTGAGCACCCCACCCAGCTCATTACCCTCTTTTAACTTCAATTTTCTCATCCACAAAATGAGGGCAATAATCTCCTTTCTTCCCCACTAGCCATGTTCATGAAAGTACTTATTTGCCCATTTTAAAATATGTAGCAATGTGCCCCAGAAAGGCTGGGGCATGAGTCCTGCTTGGGGTGGAGCAGGGAAGGCCTGCTCTGCCCCACTGGGGTGTCCTCAGATGAAAGTGGGTGTGGGCTGACTTTCTCTGAGCTCCCTGTGGAGTCACACGGGGAACTGGGTTGAGTCACAGCACAAGGGCACTCACATGCCCCACCCCGAGGAGGTCCCTGTTCTGACAGAAGCCCTGAGCCGTGACTGTGGACTGACACCCACTGCCTCTGTGACCTTGGGTGGGTTACATAACCTCCCACATGAGAAGGAGGCGGAGGCACCCGGGCTTGTGGCCTGAGCTAACCTGGGTAGTGGGAGCCCTATCTGTGAATTGCCAAGGGACTGCCATGGGGACTGGTGAGAACACAGCTCTGCAAGGCCCTTTTGATTTGTTTTAACCTTTAACTTTTCAAAAATTTCAAATTTAAAGGATGCATGACACAGTTGAAGTTTATCACAAATGGACTCACGAGTGTGTCTCCTCAGCTCCCAACTCCCGGACTCCTGACCTCCAAGGCCAATACTTCGAATTCTGTTAGGCATTTCTTCTAGCATTTATCTCAATAGTTCCAAATAACAAGCTCGTGATGCGATTTCACAACCCTTGCTTCAAATGTCATGTATTGACTTTCCATATGAGGGATGGTCCTTGTTTCTGTTATATCTCCCTGCTTCCTCTTTTCAGTTCTCTGAATATATGTTTTAAAAATTTAGGCTGGACGCGGTGGCTCACGCCTGTAATCCTAGCCCTTTGGGAGGCCGGGGCAGGCAGATCACCTGAGATCAGGAGTTTGAGAGCAGCCTGGCCAACATGGTGGAACCCCTTCCCTACAAAAATACAAAAATTAGCCGGGCATGGTGGCATACGCCTGTAGTCACAGCTACTCTTCAGGCTGAGGCAGGAGAATTGCTTGAACCGGGAGGTGGAGGTTTCAGTGAGCCAATATTGCGCCATTGCACTCTAGCCTGGGTGATAGAGCCAGACTCTGTCTCAACAAAACCCAAGGGCGGAGGTTGCAGTGAGCCAAAATCATGCCACTGCACTCCAGCCTGGGCGACAGTGTGAGACCCTGTCTTAAAACAGAGCAAACAAACAAACAAAAAAAAAAAAAAGAGAGAAAGAAAATGGGAGAAGGGGGCTGTTCCATGAAAGGGCCTTATATCCAAAATGACCCCCAAATGCCAAAGGAGCTGGAAACCAGAAAAGGAGGGAAACAAATTCAGTTTGGTCTAGAGTGTTTTACTGGGGGAGAACTTACAGGCAGAAGCGTAGTCTTGGGATTTT
The DNA here is from genome assembly GCF_000001405.40 of Homo sapiens. NCBI lineage: Eukaryota > Metazoa > Chordata > Mammalia > Primates > Hominidae > Homo > Homo sapiens. The sequence goes on from NC_000001.11 coordinate 31,525,085, forward strand.
AGCTGCAAGGCAGAAGATAGATCTCCACACTGCTACTCCCCAGACCCGGGGCTTCTGTACCATAGGGAAAGGGCGTGTGTGTCCAGCAAGACAATAAAAGGCAGCCTCCAGAACAGGCAAGAATGTTACATGCATCATGGCCTATGATTTGTGTGATGACATTCAGATTGTCATCTTCTTACACTAAGGATAGTAAATAAAGTAAGAATCAGAAGGCATTTGCAGGACTGGGGCTAATTAGAATACAACATGGCACATTCATATCCAAGATGGAGTCACTTCCTGTCTCCACAGGGGCATTGAAGGAAAGGTGACACTTACAATTCTGATTGGTGCTTAGTGACATTATGCATAAATAAAGAAATATGCAGTTAACATATATAGGGTAAAAAGTTGTGGAATACGTAGGGGTCTTAAGGTCTGGAGAGGGGTGATTGATTCTACCCTGCATTTGTGCTTCATCTGATAGGCAAGGTTACAATCAGTCATGCCAGTGAAATATTTGACAGACTCCACCCTAGCAGGCGAGACTTCAGCTTTAGTTCATAGGCCTTATATTAGTACCTGTTTGTCCAGCCTGCAGCCATCTTGGGCTGTGTTTTAAAACTTTTTCTTTCAGATTTTCTTTTTTCTAAAAATCTTTCCCTTTTGGTTAAATTCTCCAAAAGAGGACTTTGAAAACCAAATAATATATCTGATGGATTTGAAGAGGACAGGTCCCCTTTGCTTGGAATTATAGGGCATAGGGGAATCAAATTGGAATTTTTAAGTGCCCTTGTTCTATTTTTCACTCCTATATGAAGTTCTGTCATTTGGTTTGTCAGTGAGGATGCAAAAATTCCTGTATTTCCTTTCAGAATGCGAGAGGCTCTCCTGTCATGCCAATATCTCCTCACGTTATGGAGAAAAGAGGTGATCATTGCAATTAGAATTATTTTCTTAGGCTGTTCCTCAGATGCGATGATGTGTTGCATGGTCAACCATATTGCTGAAGAGCCTTGAGGAGTTGGGAGGAAGAATAGGCCATTTGATGTGTTTTATAAACCTTGGGACTTTAGGATTGAAAAAATTTAAAACAAGGCCGGGCGCGGTGGCTCACGCCTGTAATCCCAGCACTTTGGGAGGCAGAGGCGGGCAGATCACGAGGTCAGGAGTTTGAGACCAGCCTGGCCAACATGGAGAAATCCTGTCGCTCCTAAAAATACAAAAATTAGCTGGCCGTGGTGGTGGGCGTCTGTAATCCCAGTTACTCAGGAGGCTGAGGCAGGAGAATCACTTGAACCCAGGAGGCAGAGGTTGCAGTGAGCCAAGATCATGCCACTGCACTCCAGCCTGGGCAACAAGAATGAAACTCTGTCTCAAAAAAAAAAAAAGAAAAAATTTAAAATAGAAAGCCCTTCCTCAGTTGATCAGAAATAGGGAAATAATGTGTTGGACAAATAGTCATCAGAAGACTACTCTTACATACATGCTACAGCTGTTAGTTCAGATCAATGAACTCACTTAATTTGGGCTGGAGTTCTATTCTTTCAGTGACATTTGCAATTTTTGCAGCATTTATAATATTTGTAACGTAGACATACTAGAAAAATAATTAATAATAGTGTGAACAACTGAGAGGTCCTTTCAGGTAAAGACAATGAAGAAAGGAAACAATCTATCATAGAAAAAAACCTTGAACTTGTATTTTGATAGTCTTATGACTAATCTAATAATTTTCCTCCCCCCTTTGTTTGTTTGTATTTGTACCTTACGATTTTTTTAGTGTATTTCACTTAGAACTGTAACTAATTGATGATTTATCTAATTGCTCTTCTAGCCATTCATTTTTTTGCTGGAAATACAACTTGAGGTGAACTGAGTTTCAATTTTCAAAATTTTTTATTATCAATGTCATAATAATGTCACATATCATAATCTTCAGTGTTATACTTGTCCTAAAAGTAACTTCTCTATGAACTCCATATTGCACCAAATGGCAGTATAATTTAAATCAAATATTGTCTGGTTGCAAACTTAATTGCTGCTACCTATCTCACCCTAACTTGGAACACCCAACATATTTGGATTCACAACCTGTACCTAAATTGCACTTCTGCTATAATTGTTCAATGGCAACAACATGTTTGGTGGATAAAACAGCACTGGCCAACTAAGGTAAAAATGAGAATGGTTATAATCTCATTTTTTTCCTTTCCCAACAAAAACATTCTTTTCCCATATACCACATATTATTTTGTTTTGTTTTTGAGACAGGGTCTTGCTCTGTTGCCCAGGCTGGAGTGCAGTGGTGTGATCATGGCTCACTGCAGCCTCGACCTCCCAGGCTCAAGTGATCCTACCACCTCAGCTTCCCGAGTAGCTGAGGCTACAGGCATGGGCCAACACCCCCAGCTAATTTTTTTTTTTTTTTTTTTAGAGATGAGGTCTTATTATGTCGCCTGGGCTCCATATATTATTTTGAATAGGGGTAGAAATTAGAGGTCATGTTTCCATGATTTCAGGATTCCAAATCTAACAGGGACAGTACTAGTCTCCCTGAATGTGTTTACAATCTAGAACTGAAATTGGATTCCAAGTATTATTATTTAATATGGTCCATCAACTGCCCATTGGGAGAATGTAGGTATTGTTAAAATAATCCCTGTTCCTGCTAACTGTACTATGTAATAGGTCTGGTGACTACATATATGGGGTGCTGTATTAGTGTGTTCTCATGTTGCTAATAAAGACATACCCAAGACTGGGTAATTTATAAAGAAAAAGTGGTTTAATGGACTCACAGTTCCACATGGCTGGGGCGACCTCATAATCATGGCGGAAGACAAAGGAAGAGCAAAGTGATGTCTGACATGGTGGCAGGCAAGAGGGCTTGTGCAGGGGAACTCCCATTCATAAAACCATCAGATCTCATGAGACTTATTCACTATCACAAGAACAGTATGGGGGAAACCTACCCCTGTGATTCAATTACCTCTCACCAGCTCCATCTCAGGACCTGTGAGGATTATGGGAATTACAATTCAGGATGAGATTTGGGAGGGGACACAGCCAAACCATATCCGGTGCTAAAGCTGTAGAGTGCAGCAAATTAGGCTACACACCCTGGTAGTAATTTTCCAGGAAGAAGAGGATTTTTTTCCATAAATGCACACCTTGTGCTTCTGTATCCAAAATGGTTGGCCATGTTTTAGAGGCTTTTGCTTCCATTTGTATTAGCATGGTCAATAAACCTTGCTGAGTTTGGATGTATGCTCTCTCATCGCTAGGTTTTGGTATGGTCCCTCATTAGTTGAGCAGTTTGACTTATCCACTTAGCAACAGTGTCATTATCTTTCCATGCAGCTTCCTGATCCTTACTTTCCTCATGAAAGAGTATTTCTTCTAATCTATTTTGATTGGTAAGTATCAACTTTTCTTGTGAATGTCTTTTTTCATAAAATACATTTTTATCTTGTCCTAATATCACAAGTTATTCCCCTGTTGCACCTAAGTTTCTTTTTACCTTAGTTGGCTAGTGCTGTTTTATCCACCAAACATGTTGTTGCCATTGAACAATTATAGCAGAAGTGCAATTTAGGTACAGATTGTGAAACCAAATATGTTTGGTGTTCCAAGTTAGGGTGAGATATGTAGCAGTTACCCCTAGATATAGTTTAGTTTGGGTATACCATAAGGCTTTTCACATTCTCCCTGGTTGAATTCCCAAATTATCCTCCGGCGGTATTCTTATCCACTAACTGGATGAGGATACCACTGGAGAATACCATTTCCACACTGCTATAAAGAATACCTGAGATGGGGTAACTTATAAAGAAAAGAGGTTTAATTGACTCATGGTTCCACATGACTGCGGAGGCCTCAGGAAACTTACAATCATGACAGAAGCCAAAGGGAAAGCAAGGCACATCTTACATAGTGGTAGGAGAGAGAGAGAGAGAAAGAGTGAGGAAGTGCCACACTTAAACCCATTAGCAATCTTGAGAACTCCCTCACTATCATGAGAACAGCATGGGGAAACCACCCCCATGATCCAATCACCTCCCATCAGGTCTCTCCCTCCACAGGTGGGGATTACAATTCAAGATGAGATTTGGGTAGGGACACAGGCCAAACCATATCACCGAGTAATTCCCATTGTATGATTCCAAGTTTCATTAGAATGTTTCATAGACCTACAGCCACAAAAACAAAGCCTCTGACCTCTAGGGCAAGAGACACTGTGGCAAGGCACAAAAGCTGCAACTGTTTTCAATTATCTCAAGGACTTCAGGTAGTAATTGATCATCTAGATTCACAGTCATGCAGTGAGCTATTAGTAAAGTATTAAAAACTGCCCAACCAGGCATCGAATTGAGAAGAATTTTCTGGATGTATTTCTTTAAATAAGGTCCCTAATAGTATATTATGCCTGAAAAGAAGGTGCCATAGGCTATAGGAACATCGAACTGATTCTAAGAAGTCAACATCAGAGTTCCAATATCCTCCTGATATTGAAAAAGGTTTGTTCTACTTCCATATAAATTAGATGAGTGATTTCCCAATAAGAGAAATGGGGATCAAACAAAGGAGAGGATGTTACTAGATACTCATTATCGTGACAGGAAAATGCAAAAACAAAAGGTATATGCAGAAGAAAATCATCATGAATACACACCTGGTCTGGTATCTTGGGAAATGCTGTCTACTCAGATGTCTCCTTCCCACCTTCAGAGGAGTCAGAAATCTTAGAGATCTTTAATTGGAGGTCTCTGGTGGACTTAGAAGTCCATTTAGGTGTTGGAGCTTTTCTTAACTTAGAAATGTGAATCCAGGAGTCAACTCCTTCAAGTTTAGCTTCACAGTGATTAGTCAACAATACCTGATAAACTCCTTTCCAATGAGGTTGAAGCGAGACTTTTAGTTGATGTCTTTTTCAATCAACAGAGTCACCTGGCTAGAGATCTTGGTATTTGAGATCTTCATCTTCTGGGAGCACAGTGTTAAAATCAGTTTTATTGATTTTTTTTTGAAAAGACGTTTAGTTAAGCCTTGACAATAATGGAGTATATCTCCTTTCAGTAAAGTTGGTTTATATAAACCACCATCCAATTTCATAGGTCACCCTGTAATTATCTTATGAGATAATTGATGTTTTCTGAAAGGAGTTGCTCTTAGGTTGAGTGAAACCAATGGAAGAGCCTTGGGCCACATAATAGGAAAAGCTTTCATTAATTTTTCCAGCTGGGTTATTATTATTTCATTTCTCCATTCCACCAATTCAGAAGACTGTGGATGGTAAGCAAAACGAAAATGTTGGAAAATGAGCCAGATTTTACAAATGGAGTGGATAATCTCTCCAGTAAAATGAGTCCCCTATTGCGATGTAATTTGGAAGGAATTCCCCAAGAGGGAATTACCCACAGCAACACATATTATTCTACTGTTTGTGCCATGACTCTTCTGCAAGGAAATGCTTCAGTCTGATGAGTGAACATATAAATCATAACCAGCACGTATTTATAACCCTGGGCTGGAGGTAATTGGATAAAATTCATTTGCCATATATTGAAAGGTCCAGTGGGCAAAGGGAAATGCCCTTGAAATCTGTGAAGACACTTTCCTGGATTAGGTTTAGGACAAATTGGACATTTAGCATAAAGTCTATGTGCTATTGTGGGTGAGGATTCCCAATAATAATTGTTTTCCCTGGGCAATCATTTTTTCAGGCCCCCAGTGAGTGAGCTCATAGACATGTTGTGACATAGAAAATTGAAATCCCAAAGGCAAAACTAGTCTGTCTTTGGGTCCATACCATAATTTGCAAGTGGAGAAAAAGCACCGCCATTTTTGTTAGCTATATCTGCTTTCCCCTCTCTGAAGGCTTTTCTTGAGCCTCTTGGAGTTCCTTTTCAATGGAGTGCATTTTAAATATAGCCACCTCTCTAGTTTTATTTGATATCAGTGTTAATGCAGACTTTTTTGCTGTTGAATCAGCAAAATGATTTCCTTTACTCTCTGGAGAGTGAAGTTGGAAATGTCCAGGGCTATTATAAATGGGCTTGATAATAGTCCATTATTTTTGTTGTTGTTGTTAATTGGATGGCTTCTAAATGATCAGAGACTTGAGAGCCACGATAATAGGGCGTCTGGAGGAGGTTGCTATTTCCACAACATTCCAAAATCATGAGCTACACCCAAAGCAGAATAGCTGTCAACGTAAACATTAGCCATTTGATTTTTGGCCACTTGACAAGCTCTGGCGAACCCTATTAACTCAGCTAACTGTGCTGATTCTACTGTAGGCAAGGGATTGCTCTCTATAATGTCCACAAGAGACACAATGGCCTAGCCTGCTCATTATTTTCCAAATTCATCCTTTAGATACGATCCGTCTGTGAACCAGATAACATCAGCATTTTACAGCAGTGTCTCCTGTAAATCCTGTCTGGGCATCAAAAGCTATTCTGTTAGTAAAATACAGTCATGACGTATTTCATCAGTTGTTTCAGGAAGTAATGTTGTGGGATTAAGAGAATTACAGTAAGGGAGGATAATATGTGTAGCAGAGAGTAAAAGTACTTTATAAGAAGCTAATCTGTTAACAGAAAAGTGTTGCATGTATTGTGAATTTAAAAGAGTTTCTGCAGAATGAGGTACATATACAGTCAAAGGAGCCTGCATTACTGTTGCCTGAGTGGCCTTAAGGAGCTTGCGGCTACGGAAATAGACCTCAGACAAGGGGGCAGCACATGCGCTATGGTGTGTCACTGCTGACTATAATGGTCAATAGGTCTATCTTGTCAGATAGACAAGATAGAATATCTTGTGTTTTTGGGTCAGAATACCCAGGGTACTATCATGTTTTTTATAAACAAAAGGGAAAAATGACAGCTGATAATTTAGATGGCCCAAAGCAGGGGCCCTTCTAAAATCTTCCTTTATTTCTTGAATTGGTATGTGTCCTTCTGATGTCCACTGTATAGAATCAAGTTGATCTTCTTTTAACAATGTATATAAAGGCTGTGCCATGAGAGAAAAATTGGTGATCCACCTACAGCAGTAACCAGTTAAGTTTAAGAATCCCGGAGCTACTTTTTAGCTTTTGGAGTGAGGTATGCAAGAATTCCAGTAACTCGATCCAGATTTATATGTTGTCCCTCTTTAGAAATTAAATGTCCCAAATGTTTTACTTCCATTAAGCAAAATAAGAGTTTTTCTGTACACACTTTGTGTTCTCTGTTTGCTAATTGTTCTAGCAAGTAAAGGGAGTTGTTTTTACAGTCATGCAGACTAAAGGAGCAAAACAAGAGATTATCCACATACTGAAGTAGAGTGGAATTTCCTTAAACATTTAGCTCATCCAGGCCAGCCCTTAACATTTGTGGAAAATAAGTTGGGCTTTCAGTATGACCTTGAGTCATAACAGTCCAGATGGACTGGTGTCCCAGGTAAAGGCAAACAAGTATTGACTGTCAGGATCAACTGATATTTTAAAAAGCACTGCATAAATCAATTGCAGTGAAATATTTACTGCTTACATGTATATTAGATAAAAGAGTGTGGGGGTTTGGAATTACTGGGTAACAAGGAATGACAATATTTTTAATGGCTCTCAAATCTTGTATGAATCTCCATCCTTTCCCATTAGGTTTTTGTACTAGAAGGATGGGAGTATTACAAGGACTGGTGCAAGGAATAATCATTTTTTTAATCAATGAAATCTTCGATTATTTGTTTTATTCCTATTATGGCTTCCTGTTTTAATGAATATGATTTAATATTGGGAAGTGGCTTATTTGAATCCATCTGTATCCATATTGGAGTGGCTATTAAATTTTTCCCTATGTCAGTAGACAACTGGGACCATAAACAACCAGGGATTTGGCATAATAAAGCATCAAGTTCTTTTTTGTCTTACTACTTTATGAATTTTGATGATCATTTGATCTATCATTTGATCTAAACTTCCTGATTTATCATATTCAGTCAATGCTCTTTCAGCCATTTTCTTTTTCTTTTTTTTTTTTTTTTTTTGACACGGAGTCTCGCTCTGTCGCCCAGGCTGGAGTGCAGTGGCATAATCTCGGCTCACTGCAAGCTCCGCTACAGCCATTTTCAAAAACATTTCTCCTCTCTTTGAAAAGGAAATATGAACATTATAAAGCTCCAGAAAATCTCTTCCTATAAGATGTACTGGTGCAAAGGGCACCAAAAGAAAAGAATGTCCATCTAAATGACCTAATTGGAAAGGGAAAAGTTTTTATTTGTATATAGTCATTGGTTGATTATCTAATCAACCCTATCATTTGAACAATTTGATTACTTCAAGGAAGAGGGCTCTTTAAAAAGATAGGGTTGAGAACAGAAAGGATAGATCCTGTGTCAACTAATGCCTTCGTTTTTTCTCCATTTATATATAGTTCCACTTGCCCCAGAGTGTTGCTTAAAAGACAGGGGAAGGCCCTCTTTATCTCCTTAGAGTCTCCCTATTCCTTTTCTCCTTTCTCTTTTTCTTTCTGTTTCTGTACCCATTTCAACTTTCTGCAATTTTTCTTTAGATGTATTATTTTCTTGCAATAATAATAGACATCTTTAGATGTTTATGGGACTCCCTTTTGAAAGAGAGACTTCTGTTTAGATCAGATAAATTCACCAGTACATTGTTGATGCTGTAAATTCATGATTTTAGTGGCTTTTTAATCTTCCTTCTGCTGTATAACTCTAGCCAGTTTACCAGCAAGATTCTGTAGTTCTGAAGTGTGCACAGAATCCCAATTTATTTGGTGCAATTTGACCATCTTGGCCAATTGCTCATCAAGTCCATGAAAGAAGATTGAATTTAATAAAGAATCATTCTGATAGTCCCTTAGACTTTCTTTATTCATTCCCAAATATTATTTAAAATCCCTCTCAGATATTTCAAAATAGTCCAGCACAGTCGCATTTGCTCTTTGTTTACATTGCTGGTCTTTAGAGGAGGCAGTGGTCTTAGGAAATATCTGGGAAATTACTTGTGCTACACGATTTGCTATTTCCCGAGTTCTTTCTTGGTCTTCGGCTTTTTCTTTATGAAAATTGCTTAATGAATCCTTCCAGTCAGCCTTTGATAATGATTCCCTCACTTTTTTTTTTTTTTTTTTTTTTTTTTCAGATACTAACATGTGAACCAGCTGATACACATCTGAAGAGCCAGGTTCATAAGTTCGTACAATTTAGACTAAACCCTTTAGTGAAACCTATAGGATCCTGGGTAGGATCTGGAAGTTTCTTAGTAAGAGCTGTTAAGTTCTGCCTTGGTCCAGGAGTATAAGCTACTAAAGGTTCTCCCCTTGGGTCAGGCTTTTTATTTTAAAAAGATGCTGTCAAAACTTCTGTGGGTGGGCCGGGCGCGGTGGCTCACGCCTGTAATCCCAGCACTTTGGGAGGCCGAGGCGGGCAGATCATCTGAGGTCAGGAGATGGAGACCATCCTGGCTAACACGGCGAAACCCCGTCTCTACTAAAGATACAAAAAAATTAGCCGGGTGCAGTGGCGGGCACCTGTAGTCCCAGCTCCTCGGGAGGCTGAGGCAGGAGAATGGCGTGAAGCCGGGAGGCGGAGCTTTCAGTGAGCCGAGATCGCGCCACGGCAGTCCGGCCTGGGCGAAAGAGCGAGACTCCGTCTCAAAAAAAAAAAAAAAAAAACAAACAAACAAACAAAAACCACAAAACTTCTGTGGGTGGTGGAGAAAGGAATAAAGGAAGAGCTGGAAGCAAAGGGTACAAGGGTTCTGAGGCAGTAGGAGTGGCAGGTGAAGGATGTGAGACGGTAGAGACTTCAGACGATGTTTCCAGTCAAGAAACAGTTTCCAAGATCTTGTGGTTCACTTCCTGAGAGGAAGCAATTTTATCATTCCCTCTTTTAGAAGCATCTAAATACCATTTGAAATAACTATCTCATGCTTTCTGTTTAATTTTTGAGCTGGCTTATTCCAACTGTGCATATAAATAAACCAATTTCAGAATCCTGAATGAGCCCCGTTTCGGCCAAGTTAAGCTAATTTCATTTTTAGTGATGTTGGTCTAATGAGTCAGAAGCTTACAAAATAAGGCACCATAACTTTTAATTATAAATCCAACTGGTGTCTTGGAAGGTGGTGACCCTGTCAACTTTAGATGTCTTGTTTTCCTTGTTTCTCCCCACTTCTCCCTTGTCTGCACCAAACTAAGGTTGTATTATTCAGGGTCAAAAGTGTGCTGCGGGCTGGGGTGCAGTGGTTCATGCCTGTAATCCCAGCACATCGTGAGGCTGAGTCGGGAGAATTGGTTGAGCCCAGGAGTTCAAGGCCAATCTGAAAGAAGACATACAAATAGTGAGACCCTATCTCTACAAAAAAGAAAAAAGAAATGAGCCGGGCATGGTGGTGTGTGTCTGTAGTTCCAGCTACTCAGGAGGCTGAGATGGGAGGATCTCTTGGGCCCAGGAGGTTGAGGCTGGAGTGAGCCATGATCACACCACTGCACTCCAGCCTGAGTGACAGAGTGAGACCCTGTCTCAAAAATAAAAGGGTGCTGCATATGAGCTTCACTCCTCCGGCTCTTACCCCCGAGGTGGTCTGCTCTCTTGCATGTCTCAGGAGAAGCTCTCCTGATGAAGCAGCGTGCTATTCCGAGCACTGGGTGACTAACCTTTATGAGAAGTTCCTAGAGGAACTATTGCAATTTGAGTGTTGATGGTGACGCCCTTTGGGATTGCTGCGAGTCATGAGGAATCTCCTCCAACACCTCCACAAGGTTCTTAGTCACCTAAGAATACCTGAGATTTGGGCTGGAGAGAGCAATTCTATCTCAATTACCCTAATATAGAAGGTAAAGGGTTGCTGCAGACAAAAAAGCCTTTTTGTCGCACAGGCTGGAGTGCAGTGGCGCGATTTCGGCTCACTGCAAGCTCCGCCTCCTGGGTTCACGCCATTCTCCTGCCTCAGCCTCCCACGCCCAGCTAATTTTTTGTATTTTTAGTAGAGATGGGGTTTCACCGTGTTAGCCAGGATGGTCTGGATCTCGTGATCTGGTGATCCGCCCGCCTCAGCCTCCAAAGTGCTGTACAGGCGTGAGCCACCACGCCGGGCCCAAAAAGCTTTTAAAAAGAAAAACACTCAGCTGATGAAAGAAACCACCGCTCTAACCATGACAATGCTTGGTTGACCTTTTCCTTCCTTTCTAGCAGTTGAGAACAACAAGCAATAACAACCATACGAAGAATCTAGCAAACTCAGACTTTACTTCTCCTTTTCGTGGTCCTGGAAACAGCTCAGAATAAAGTGGATCTGGACCTCTACAGAAGAGAGGGAGCTCCAGATTCCAGGTAACTCACGCCGTTGCACTCAGTGGCTCCTCCGGAGTCCATTTGAACACAATGAGTTCGTGCTGATACCAAGCACCAAGTGCCAAGAATGAGTTCTGGGTGTCTGCGGATCCTGCTGGAATTCTGCCGAGTATGCTATCTGTTGACCCAAAAGGTGAAAGAATAGGCACTATAAACTTAAATCAAAGTTAATGTTATTCTGAGACAAGTTTGAGGACTATAGCCCGGGAACACAGACTCAGTACAAACCCAGAATGCATCCTGTGGTGGGTTCCACGAGGCACAGTATGTGTATGTTTTCTACATAGAAAATGGGAGAAGCACGGCCAGGCGCGGTGGCTCACGCCTGTAATCCCAGCACTTTGGGAGGCCGAGGCGGGCGGATCACGAGGTCAGGAGATTGAGACCATCCTGGCTAACATGGTGAAACCCCATCTCTACTAAAAATAAAAAAAAAAATAATAAAAAATAGCCGGGCGTGGTGGCGGGCACCTGTAGTCCCAGCTACTCGGGAGGCTGAGGCAGGAGAATGGCATGAACCCGGGAGGCCGAGGTTGCAGTGAGCCAAGATCACGCCACTGCACTCCAGCCTGGGCGACAGAGCGAGACTCTGTCTCAAAAAAAAAAAAAAAAAAAAAAAAAGGAAAAGAAAAACAGAAAATGGGAGAAGGGTCAGTGGAGCAAAGGTGGTGTTCTTACAATTTTGATTGGTGTTTGGTGACATTATATATAAGATAAAGCAAAGGTGCAGTTAATGTATATAGGGTAAAAAGTTAATGATTACATAGGTGTCTTAAGGTCTGGTGAGGGATATTTGATTCTATCCTGCTTTTGTGCTTCATGTGATAATCAAGGTTACAGTCAGTAATGCCAGTGAAATATTTTGACAAATGCCAGCCTTGCAGGTGAGACTTCAGCTTTAGTTCATAGGCTTACTTTCTATTACTTAATGTCCAGGCTGCAACCATCTTGGGTGGATTTTTAAACTTTTTCTTTCAGATTTTTCTTTTTCTGACAGACAGATTTTGCATGATCTTATATGTGGAACCTGAACGAAGTTGAACTCATAGAAGCAAGAGTAGAATGGTGGGGAGTAGGGGAAATGGGGAGATATTGGTCAAAGGGCACAATCTTTCAGCTGCACAAGATAAGCCATAAAGAGCTAATGTACAACACAGCAACTACGATTAACAATATCATATTGTACTCTTGAAATTTGTTAAGAGAGTAGAGCTGAAGTGTTCTTTTTTTTTTTGATACGGAGTTTCACTCTTGTTGCCCAGGCTGGAGTGCAATGGCATGATCTTGGCTCACTGCAACCTCCGCCTCCTGGGTTCAAACAATTCTCCTACCTCAGCTTCCACAGTAGCTGGGATTACAGGCATGTGCCACCACATCCAGCTAAGTTTGTATTTTTAGTAGAGACGGGGTTTCTCCATGTTGCTCAAGCTGGTCTCGAACTCCTGACCTCAGGTGACCTACCCACCTCAGCCTCCCAAAGTGCGGGGATTACAGGCGTGACCCACTGCGCCCGGCCTATTTTTTCTTTCAGTCCATTACACACATGAAGTATGCTTGCGGCCCACACCACTGCGCAATTCTTCAAGACTATGTTGTATATTCTTCACTTACATAGAAGACATCTCAGTTTCCAGGACCAGTTCAGGATGTAAAAGTGTGAGTCACTTACCAGTGGCACAGGTCAGAGTATCTCCTTCAAATCCTGGTAACCCAAGAAGAAAAGGGGTCCTCATCCAGGCAAGCTGATTTTCCTAGCATGGTCCCAATTGATAGTGATACTGTGAAGAGACACATTTTGTGCTGTTTTGCTGGCAGTGATACTATACCTACAAAAAGAAGCTCGGTAGTTGTTGTGGTTGTCCGCTGGTATAGCAGCTTTTGTGCAGGGGGAATGATGGGATGAGCTGTCAAGAACATCTGGTGTATAAGGATCCGGTGTTTTCCATGGGTGATGCAAATGGCCTTGGGAACTGGTGATTTAGCTGTTGGACTATCTGAAAAGGTAGGCTTCACCTGTGAAGACTTTACAGGTGCTTGTTGGGATTAGTTTTAGGAGGCCGGTGTCCTGGTGGTCAAGCTGCTAGATGTTAGGACTCCTGCTGGGATCTCAGAAGTTGTTATCCTATGACCAATTTTATATAAACCTTGGAGGATCGCTCCTTCTTTCTTACCTCACACTCAGCTGCCTCACCCAGCTAGCCCTCAGCTCAGCAGCCCTACCCCGACCATTGCAAGGCCACTCTGCCCCACTCCCCTGCCTGATTTCACGGTATTTTACAAAAGTATTAGCTGAGACAGATGGAAATTATTTCATTTTTTTAAGAAGTCATTATAGAAAAGGAAAGTGAAGCACTGACGGGTTAAATCACTTGCCCAAGTTCAGGAAGACAGTAATGCTGTCGTTCACCTAACCTCTGATTTAACAAATGTTTATGAAGAGACTTGTATGCCAGACACCAAGCTCCATGCAGGAACTACTGTGTAAAAAGAAAAAATTATATGGATGTATAATCAATGGATTTTTTTTTCTTTTTTTTGAGACAGGGTCTCCTTCTGTCACCCAGGCTGGAGTGCAGTGGCACAATCACAGCTCACTGCAGCCTTGACCTCCTGGGCTCAAGAGATCCTCCCACCTCAGCCTCTCTAGTAGCTGGGACTACAGGCATGTGACACCACTCCTAGCTAATCTTTTTTATTTTTCATGGAGATGGCGTTTCACCTTGTTGCCCAGGCTGGTCTCGAACTCCTGGGCTCAAGCAATCTGCCCACCTCAGCCTTCCAGAGTGCTGGAATTACAGGAATGAGCCACCATGCCCAGCCTACAGTCAATGAAATATTATTCATTATAAAAAAGAAGGAAGCCCTGTCATTTGCGACAACATAGAACCTTGAGGCCATTATGCTAAGTGAAATATGTCAGACAGAGAAAGACAAGTACTATATAATCTCACTTCTATGTGAGAAACATACAGTGATTCTCACATTATCTGTGGAATCTACATTCTATACCTTAAATTTATATAATTCTATTTGTCATGTATACCTCAATAAAGTTGGGAAAATTATGTACAATTAAATGACTTTTAGTATCTTCACAGAGTTGTGCAATCATCACCACACTCTAATGTTTGATGTTTTTGTCACCCTAGGAAAGAAATCTTATACCCATTTTCTCTCCTCATTTCTTTTCTTTTCTTTTCTTTTTTTTTTTTTTTTTTTTTGAGATGGAGTTTCACTCTTGTTGCCCAGGTTGGAGTGCAATGGCACGATCTCGGCTCACTGCAACCTCCATCTCCCGGGTTCAAGGGATTCTCCTGCCCCAGCCTCCCAAGTAGCTGGGATTACAGGCATGAGCCACCATGCCTGGCTAATTTTGTATTTTTAGTAGAGACAGGGTTTCTCCATGTTGGTCAGGCTGGTCTCAAACTCCTGACCTCAGGTGATCCACCTGCCTTGGCCTCCCAAAGTGCTGGGATTACAGGCGTGAGCCACCACGCCTGGTATCTCCTCATTTCTTTAGGTGTTTAAGAAATCATATCAGCCAGGCATGGTGGCTCACGCCTGTAATCCCAGCACTTCGGGAAGCCGAGGCAGGTAGATCACATGGTCAGGAGATCGAGACCGTCCTGGACAACATGGTGAAACCCCATCTCTACTAAAAATACAAAAGTGAGTTGGATGTGATGGTGTGTGCCTGTAATCCCAGCTACTCAGGAGGCTGAGGCAGGAGAATCGCTTGAACCAGGGAGTCAGAGGTTGCAGTGAGCCGAGATTGAGCCATTGCACTCCTGCCTGGAGGCAGAGTGAGACTCCATCTCCAATAAATAAATAAATAAATAAGAAGCCATATCTAAGAAACCCCTGCCTAACCCAAAGTCATAATGACATACTCTTGTGCTGTCTTCTAAGAGTTTTATGCTTTTAGCTCTTACATTTAGGTCTTGGTTCATTTTGAGTTATCTTTTGCATACGGTGTGAGGTAGGAGTCCAGATTCATTCTTTCACATGTGGAAACCCAGTTGTCCCAGCAATAAACAGTTATTCCTGAAGTATTTATTCAACATTCATTCAGATGGAGGTATGTAGAGGGAGGGTAGATGGCTGGGCCTGTGCTAACAGCACTGGACCTCTCTTTTCTGTCCTCAGCAAGGTTTCTCTGCCCAGACATGCAGGATTTCTTCAGCAAAGCAAAAGCCCTGCAGATTACCAGATCCATCCTCTCCTAAAGCCAGAGGGACCATGAGACATTAGTACCTGAGCATCACCTCTCTCCAAGTGATTTATCAAAGCTTTATTTCCAATCACATACTGAGTTTTGATAAAACAGTTTTATTCTTTGGTTTTCTTCTTCTCCTTTTATTTCCTGTGTGTTTTGAGGCCTCAGCAGTTGAGCTGGTTCACCTTGGAATCTGACTCTGACAAGCAAAAGGAAGCAGAGTCTGATCATCTTTCCAGGTAATACAAGAGTGTTCCTGCAAAGTGAGCCTCTGAAGCTTTGGAGGGGAAGTGTATTAGTCTGTTTTGCGTTGCTACAAAGGAATACCTGAGACTGGGTGATTTATAAAGAGAAGAGGTTTATTTGACCTATGGTTCTGCAAGCTGTACAAGAAGCATGGTGCCAACATCTGCTTCTGGTGAGGACTCAGGAAGCTTCCACTCATGGCTGAAGGCAAAGGGGAAGCCGGCATCACATGGCAAGAGAGGGAGCAAGACAGAGGAGGGGGTGCTTCAGGCTCCTCTAAACAACCAGATCTCGTATGGACTCACAGAGTGAGAACTCACTCATTACTTCAAGGACAGCACCATGACATTCATGAGGGGTGCGCCCACATGACCCAAACACCTCCCACTAGGCCCCACCTCCAACATTGGAGGTCACATTTCAACATGAGATTTGGAGGTGGCAAAACATGCAAACCATACAGGGAGGGAGGAGCAGGGTGGTGGATACAGCTGCACAGACTGGGAAATGGGCCAGAAGCAGCTTTCCGGCTTGTGTAGGTGCTAGGAAAGACAGGCTGGTAAGACACAGAATGCCTTTCGGTCTCCAAGCGTCCAGCATGGTCTAGATCAGATCTGCATATAAGGTCATCTTATCAGAAGGGTTCTTTGAGTTCTGGAAACCACACTCTGCCCCTCCACTTTCACATCTGGAATATCAGGACAATATTTGACATGTAGCATACATCGGTTTTGGAGCCTAGGAAATTCCCACCTACCTTCTTCCACCCACTACACTCCTTTCTGTTCCTCCTGATGCTAGGCTTGTTCCCGCCTCCGAGCCTTCACACTGCTAGCCGTTACCTATGCCTGGAATGCTCTCCCCTGGTGTCTAATCTGCCTGATGCTTCCTCATCCTTCAGGACTGAGTTAAATGTCCCCACCTCAGAGAAGCCTTCGCTGACTGCCTTTGCTCCTCCTGGGCCTGGTTGCCCCTAGACCCACTCTCTGCCCCCCAACACTTAGTTCTATCCTGCAGGAGCACTGGCTTCCAGCAGAGAGCAGCTGCTGGGGACCACTGACAGGAGACTGGGAAGACAAGGAAAAAGCCCTCTCCTCTCTGTCCCAGGTGGCTTCTTAGGTAGCGGCTATGTCTTCATGGTTCCAGCTTCTGCAGAGTGGCGTCCGAACCTGGCTTGGGAAATACCGCTTTTCCTTTTGCCCCTCCGGTCCAGGCATGATTGCAGCAATTCAGTCACTTGTCCGGGTTCCACTCCTAATTCTAGTTCTTTTGCTATTTTCACCACATCTGCAGTGACTTCTCCCACTGAAGTCTTTAACACTTCAAAGGCATCCTTGAGGGTTAAAGTCAACTTCTTTCAAACTCCTGTTAATCTTGATATTTTGACCTCTTCCCTGGAATCACAAATGTCCTTAACGGCACAAGAATGGTGACTCCTTTCTAGAATGTTTCCAATTTGCTTTGCCCAGATCCATCAGAGGATCTCTCTGTAGCAGCTATAGCCTTACAAATTGTATTTCTTAAATAATAAGACTTGAAAGTTGAAATGACTCCTTAATCTATGGGCTGCAGAATGGATGCTGTGTTAGCAGGCATGAAAACAACTTAATCTCTTTGTACATCTCCATCAGGACTCTTGAGTAACCAGGTGCATTGTCAATGAGCTGTAATATTTTTAAGGGAATCTTTTTTTTTCTGAGTAGTAGGTCTCAACAGTGGACATAAAATATTCAGTCAACCATGCTGTAAATAGATGTGCTGTCATCAGGCTTTGTTGTTGCATTTATACAGCATAGGCAGAGTAGATTTAGCATAATTCTTAAGGGCCTAGGATTTTTGGAATAATAAACTAGCATTGGCTTCCACTTAAAGTCACCAACTACATTAGCCCCTAACAAGAGGGTCATTTAGTTATTTGAAGCTTTGAAGCCAGGCATTGACTTCTCTCTAGTGATGAAAGTTCTAGATAACATCCTGTTCCAATAGAAGGCTGTTTTGCCTACACTGAAAATCTGTTGTTTAGTGTAGCAACCTTCATCAATGATCTTAGCTAGATCTTCTGGATGACGTGCTGCAACTTTTATATCAGCATTTACTGCTTCACTTGCCCTTTTAAGTTATGCAGATGGTTTCTTTCATTAAACCTCATGAACCAACCCCTGCTAGCTTCCAACTTTTCTTCTGAAGCTTCCTCACCTCTCTCAGCCTTCATAGAATTGACAAGAGTTAGGGCGTTGCTCTGGATTAAGCTTTGGCTCAAGGGAATGCTGTGGTTAATTTGACCTTCTATCCAGACCACTCAAACTTTCTCCATATCAGCAATAAGGCTGTTTTGCCTTCTTGCCACTTATGTGTTCACCGGAGTAGCACTTTCAATTTCCTTCAAGAACTTTTCCTTTGCATTCTCAACTTGGCTAACTGGTGCAAGGGACCCAGCTTTCGGTCTCTCTTGGCTTTTGATAGGTCTTCCTCGCTAAGCTTAATCAATTCTAGCTTTTAATTTAAAATGAGAGGCATGCAATTCCTCCTTTCATTTGAACACATAGAGGCCATTGTAGGGTTATTAATTGACCTAATTTCAATATTGTTGTATCTTTGGGAACAGGGAGGCCTCAGGATGAGAGTGATGGGGGAATAGCTGGTCAGTGGAGCAGTCAGAACACACACAGTATTTATTAAGTTTGCCATCTTGTATGGGTGTGGTTTATGGCACCCCCAAACTTTTACAATAGTAACATCCAAGATCACTGATTATAGATCACCAACACCAACACAGACATAATAACAATGAAAAAAAAAGGTGTTTTTTTTTTCTGAAATGGATTCTAGCTCTCTCGCCCAGGCTGGAGTGCAGTGGTGTGATCTCGGCTGACTGCAACCTCTGCCTCCTGGGTTCAAGAGATTCTTGTGCCTCAGCCTCCTGAGTAGCTGGGATTACAGGCACCCACCACCACACTCGGCTAATTTTTGTATTTTTAATAGAGAAATGGCCTCGAACTCCTGACCTCAAGTGATCCACCTGCCTCGGCCTCCCAAAGTGTTGGAATTACAGGCATGAGCCACCGCGCCTGACCAATAATAAAAATGTTTGAAGTATTGTGATCTCGCTGCTGTTTCCCCACTTGTGCCCAGGCAGTGGGGTTCTGCAGGAGATCTTCTCTGTGCCACCCCTCTTCCCTTGCACCCTCTATGGCCACATGTGAAACACCTTTGACAGGCTCTTCTTGAAGGAAGTACAGCTGCCCAAGCTGAACATAGGCGGTTGTCTGGTCTTCCCCTCCATGGGCACCTACATGTCCTCATTTCATTCAGTTAGTGGCCCCTGCGTTGTTCTAGAAAAGGGTTTGGATGAACTATAGGTGCCTTCTCTAGTGGTGAGAGCTCTGGCTTTTGGAACAAATCCAGGCTCTGCCACATACTAGCAGTGTGGTCAGAGCCTCAGTTTCCCCCCCATGAAGTGAGGATGATATGAGTATCCCCCTTGCAGGGTTGTTGAGAGGGTTAATGCAGATAATGCAAATCCTTGCTGAACATCAGTCCGTGTCCAGGGCCCTGCCTCTGGCAGGCCCTGATCCTGGCCTGACCCTCAGAGGCCGCCCCTGCCTCATGGTCTGGCTGTCCTCAGAGAGCACACACAGCATCTGACCATAGCCAATGGGCCAGGTGCAGGGTGTGCCTCAGAACTCACCTTGGCCTTGAGAAGCCCCCAGGTTGGAAGGTGTGATGAATGAGGTGTGGATCCAGCCAATTCTAAAATAGAGCAGATGCTACAGCATGTCTCCCAGGCACTTTAAAACTTCAAAACTACTATTTGGGGAGTTCTGAGCTCAGAAAGAGAATGTGCCCTACAAGGATGGACATTGTCAGAGATGGGGGTAGGTGCACATTAGGATGACCAGCCACATCCCTGCAGTGCAGGGAGGGCAGTGGGCCCTAGAGGCTAAGACCACCTCCATCCTGTCCCCTTTATAAACTTCACCTGCTGAGGGAGTTATCTGAATGACAGCCTCTGCAAACAATCCTCCCCATCTGCCAGAGTCAGCCCCACCAATTTTGCTGCTACCTCCTCAGCTCAGCCAAGGCCAGAAGGAATCATTCAGCACCCTTGGGCTGAAGAGAATTCTCCCTCAGACATCTTAGGAGCAGGGGTGAACTGCAGATGCTACCCATAGAAGCCAGAGGGGCCTTCAGGCTTCAATGTGTTACTCATCTGGTACCCTCCCAAAGCCTGCAAATTAGAAGTAAAAACATCCACCCTTACCCCTCAGAAGTGTTTGGAAGTACAGATATGAGTGAACTTTAGGGAAAACATAACATTTTATTCAGATGCAAGAGATTCTGGTGTGTTTTGTTTGCCCTATGGGTACTGTCTTATGAGATTGTGGATATCCATCCATCCATCCATCCATCCATGCATGCATCCACCCATCCATCCATGCATCCATTAATCCATCCATCTATGCATCCATTTATCCATCCATCCATTCATCTATGCATGCATGCATGCATCCATCCATCCATCCATCCATGCATCCATCCATCCATTGATCCATACATCAATCCATGCATCCATTTATCCATTCATGCATCCATCCATCCACCCATGCATCCATCCACCCATCCATCCATCCACGCATGCATCCATTTATCCATCCATGCATCCATCCATCCACCCATGCATCCATCCACCCATCCATGCACACATCCATTTATCCATCCATGCATCCATCCATCCACCCATGCATCCATCCACCCATCCATCCATCCATGCATCCATGCATCCATGCATCCATCCATCCATCCATCCATCCATCCGTCCATCCATCCATGTATCCATTTATCCATTCATACATACATCCATTCATCCATCCGTGGATCCATGCATCATCCATTCGTCTTTGCATGAATGCATGCATGCATCCATCCATCCATCCATTCATCTGTTCATCCATCCATCCATCCATGCATCCACCCATCTATCCATTCATTTATCCATCCATGCATCCACTTATTCATCCATGCATCCATGCTTCCATTTATCCATCCATGCATCCCTCCATCCATCCATTCATCCATGCATCCATCCATGCATACATACATCCATGCATCCATCAATCCATCCATGCATGCATCCATCCATCCATCTATCCGTCCATCCATGCATCCATTCATTCATCCATGTATCCATGCATCCATCCATCCATCCATCCATCCATCTATGCACGCATGCATCCATCCATCCATTCATCCTTCCATCCATCCACGTATCCATGCATCCATCCATTCATCTATGCATGCATGCATCCATCCATCCATCCATCTATGCATGCATGCATGCATCCATCCATCCATCCATACATGCATGCATTCATCCATCCATCCGTGAATGCATCCATCCATCCATGTATCCATTTATCCATCTGTGCAACCATCCATCCATCCATGTATCCATTTATCCATCTGTGCAACCATCCATCCATCCATTTGTTCATCCATCCATGCATCCATCCATCCATCCATCCATCCATCCATGTATCCATTTATCCAACCATGCATCTATCCATCCATCCATGCATTCATCCATCCATCCCTCCATGCATCCACCCATCCATCCATGAATCCATCCATCATCCATCCATCCATCCATCCATCCGTCCATCCATGCATGCATCTATTCATCCATCCATCCATCTACTCAATAAAAGTGTGAGGTCCTAGTCTTCCTGGCACTGCTCCAGACACAGGTAACACATGGTGAACAAGATGGGTGAGAACCCACACGTGTGCAATTTACCTTCCAGTTGGGAGAAGACGGCATAAAAAAACATATAAAGAAACGATGAAGTGGAAGCATTGGTGCTGTGAAGAGAAATTAAACAGGATGAAGGGATAGTGAATGGTAGAGGGCGGGGCTACTTTAGGTAGAGGGGTCAGGGAGGCTTCTCTGAGGAGAAGAGACTTGAAGGGAAGAGGGAGGGGCTGTGCGGTTGGCTGGGTCGCAGCTACAGGCATTGAAACAGCAAGTTCCAAGGCTGGAATGGAGACTGTACCAAAAAAAGGGGGGGCGTCAAGGAGTCCTGAGTGGGTGAGCAGAGTGAGTCAGAGGGAAGTGTAAGGAGATGAGGCAGGAGAAGGGTCCCCACTGCTCCTGTCAAGCCTTGTTGTGTCGGGACTTGAACTTTATTCTAAGCAGGTGAATGCGGTGCATGCAAGAGAGACAGAGAGAATGTGGCAGGACCAAGGAGGAGGCTATGCCACTTATGTCACTCCTGGCAAAAATAAGGGGGCATGGAGTAGGCTGTTTGTGGTGCAGATGGTGAGAGCAGTCAGGTCCAGCACAGATTTTAAAGGTTGGACCCAGAGAATTTGCTGCAGAATCAGATGTGGGGTGTAAGGCAGAGAGGAGTCAAGGGCAACTTCAGGATTTGGGGCCGGAACTGCCATTAGACAGACAGGGACACTGAGGGAGAAGCAGGTTAGGTGGGATTAAAATCAAGAGTTCAAGTTAAGTTTGAGCAGCCTGTTAGACCTCCAGCGAGGGCCAGATAGAAGAATCTGGTTTCCAGGGAGAGGTCAGGATGAGAGATACACACGTGGGAATGATTGGCATTGGGTGGACTTTATATTCTCTGGGTCAGTGAGACAGCTGGGAAGTGACCACGGATAGAGAAGAGACAAAGTCACAGAAACCAAGAGAGGTAATGTTGCAAGGACGGAACACTCAACTCTCAAATGCTGCTGAGACGTGGGCTGAGGGCTGAGAATGGAATTGGGAAGAACCGAGGTCACTGGTGATCCTGAGGGTTTCAGTGGCAAGGGCAGGTGGACTGCAGTGGGGCCCGGTGGGGATGGGTGGAGCATGGGCCCCTCTCCCGGAGAGTTGCACTGTAAACGAGGGCAGACATATGGGAGTGCAGCTAGAGGGAGGGAACGTAGGGTCAAGGGAGAGTTTATTCTGAATGAGAGAGATCACAGCTTGTTTTTAGGCTGACGGGCATGATCCATAGAGGGGAAAGTAATTAAGATGCAGAAGAGAGGCCGGGGGTGGTGGCTCACGCCTGTAATCTCAGCACTTTGGGAGGCTGAGGTGGGTGGATCATTTGAGGACAGGAGTTCGAGACCATCCTGGCCAGCATGGTGAAAACTCGCCTCTACTAAAAATAAAAATAAAAAAAAATTAGCTGGGTGTGGTGGAGGGCACCTGTAGTACCAGCTACTTGGGAGGCTGAGGTAACAGAATCGCTTGAACCCTGGAGGCAGGGGTTGCAGTGAGCTGAGATTGTGCCACTGCACTCTAGCCTGGGCAACAAATTGAGACTCCATCTCAAAAAAAAAAAAATGCAGAAGAGAAAGGTGAGACTTGCCAGGGCAAAACCCAGGGTGGTGAAAGGGCTTGGCACCCTGTGCATGAGGGAGGATGTGCCCTCAGTGTGTACCTCTGTGGTACCTGGGTGGTGCTGGTTGGTGGAAGATTTGGCATCCTGAGAATGCGGCATTTTCGTCTGATTCTCTTTTCTCAGTGAGATAAGAACCAAGGTCACAGCCAATAGCCAGGGGGCAGGAGGGGGTCTTGGTGAGGACTCGAGGAGAAGAGGGATGGGGGTGGGAGAGTTAATGGGCCGGTGAAGCCTGGTTGGGTTGCCGGAAGCACAGGGGCCCATTCCAGGTTTGTGGGGTCACCTTGGAGTGAGGCCAGTCATCTGATGTACCTTGTCCTCAGCCACATGCAGCTGCGTGGGTGCAGCAGCAGAATGGGTGGAGGGCTTTGGGGAAGAGCCAACGTGGGCGGGGGGCGTGGCTTGGAGTATGAGGTGGCCGTGGGCTCCCTGCAGGCCCAGGCTCCATTTACGGCCAGCTGCCTGCTGTCCTCGCCCTGCTCCGGCATGCTGTCTTTCCACATCCGTTACCCACTGCGCGCTCATAATGCTCCCACTTTACAGAGGCCATTTACTCTGGCCACCTAGTAGTTGGTGGCAGAGTTGGGATTTGAATCCAAATGGAGGTTCATTGTTCTCCATTCAGGGTAGCAGGGGCACGCGTGCTGTGTTTAAGAGAGACTTGCATGCCTCGTGGTGGAAATAAACTTTGGTGGATTAAACTTTAGGTATTTTGCGCCCTGGTTGGGCCAGGCTTTGTCCCAGTTCGACCACAGTGACTTACTGCCACCTACTGGCCATTCTCAGTGTTGCACCCACGTAGGATTTGCTCACGGTCTGGGTCTAACCATGCCTGGTTCAAAGGGGAGGACCGGAGCTCTTATCTCTTTGACAAATCAGACAAACCAGGAAACAGAGGTCCAGAGAGGTGACTTTAAGCTTTCATCTGCACTTGCCTACCCCATCTATTCAGTTGTTCATTCGTTCAATAAATATTTCTTGGAAACCTACTATGTGCTAGGTGCTGGGGCTCTGCAGGGAATGAGACAGCAGAGAGCGCTGCTCCGTATAGCTGACATGCCCTGTAGGGGAGCGGGAGGGAGGGACACACCATCAACAAGTAAATCAGTGAGAGGATGAAAGATGGCGATGGGTGCCGGGAAGGAACAAGGAGACAGCGACTGGAGAGGGTGGTCAGGAGTTGCCAGTGGAGGGAAGACCTGAAGGGTGAGAGGGACGGGGAAAGACACCCTAGGAAGAGGGAGCAGCGTCACAAAGGCCCTGAGAGGCTGAAAGGTTTGGGCGGGTTCCAGGAACACAGGCGGCCAGGGAGGTGGAGCCCACACCTCAACACACAACTACCCGTGAAGAACGTGGAGCGATCCGTGTAGATCCTTGTAGAAGGTTCTCTCAGAGGGCCATGTCACTGACCTGTCAGTCAGCCCACAGCCTCCTCCCAGTCCCCAGATAGCTGACCACTCCCTCCTTGAAATTCTCTCCTCTCTCAGCTTGTGCAACACCAACCTCCGGTGGCAGGAAAAACTATTATTATTCTCTTGTGAAAATTAAAACTTAACCATCAACATAGAGCTGTTACTGGTTTGAAGGAAGCCATTGACGCTGTGTCAAAGGCTAGAGCAGAAAACAGTGGCATGCAGTGTCAAAGGTCAAAGTCAACACTTCTCGGACTGGCACAGGGAAGGTAGGTCAGGACAGAGTCAGTCTTGCTTGCAGCTGTCACCATGTTATAAGCGTGTTGATGGCCCTGTCTGCTGCTAGTGGTGAGTCATTCTTGCAAATAAAGTGACTATTTATAAGTTTATAGATATGAGTATGCTTTGTTCAAATCCTACGAGTAGTGTTCAAGAAATAAGGTGTGGGAGTAAAATAAGTCTGTGATCCAGTAAGTCCATTGGCAATTCCCATATGTTACTCAAATGCTATCCAATTAGCTGGTATTTTCCAGTGTGTGAATATTTGCTATAGGCTATGGTTCTTTGTAATGCAAAATATTTTCATCCTTAAAAAGGAGAAAGTTAAGCCTGGACAACATAGTGAGACCCCATTTGTACAAAAAATAAGAAAAAATTAGCCCAGCATAGTCACGCATGCCTGCTCTCAGCTACGCAGGAGGCTGAGGCAGGAACATCGTGATCCTGAGAGTTCAGAGGTTGGGGGGAGCCATGATTGCTCCACTGCACTCCAGCCTGGGTAACAGAGCATGACCCTGTCTCAAAAAAAAAAAAAAAAAAAAAAAAAGAGAGAGAAAGTTATATGAAGCAACATGTACCCTCATACCCAACCTGAAGATGTGATTAGACACAATCTTATGAATTCAACTAACATCAATGCAAAATGAAATAAAATTTCCTATGTTTGAATTATTTGTCATAAGAACAAAGATCAAGACTATTGGATAGGGCAGTTAATACTTTGAGTGTTTTAAATTTTCCTTGTAAGAATAACACTTTTTTCTGATAGATGTTCAAAAAAGAGTAACTTAAATAGCAAACATTTGGCCAGGTGCAGTGGCTCATGCCTGTAATCCCAGCACTTTGGGAGGCTGGGGCGGGTGGATCATCTGAGGTCACGAGTTCAAGACCAGCATAGCTAACATGGTGAAACCCCGTCCCTACTAAAAATACAGTAATTAGCCAGGTGTGGTGTCAGGTGCCTGTAATCCCAGCTACTTGGGAGGCTGAGGCAGGAGAATCACTTGAACCCAGGAGGCAGAGGTTGCAGTGAGCCAAGATCGTGCCATTCCACTCCAGCCTGGGCGACAACAGCGAGACTCCATCTCAAAAAAAAAAAAAAAAAGTAAACATTTGTGATACTATTGTTCCATTTTTAAAATAACTTTTATTTGGCATTTACTTTGAGTTAATGTCTCCTTCTTTTAATGTTTTCTATTATTAAATGTCTGCATAAGGTAGAGATCATTTTTACATGTCCTTGAAATACATCACTGAGTCATGGTATATTAAAACAAAATAATAAAATAAATTAAAACCATGCACTTTAATGCATAATAAAAACCATGCACTAAACAGAAAACCTCTGACATTTTTAGTGTATCCCTGTCACAGAAAAATGTTCACTATTTGTTTTTATGGTCAGTTCTTATCTTTTCAAAACACATAAGCTGTTAGGAAAAATACAGAATAGTGTGTCATTTTTAGGAATTCTTGGAATTCCCTGGAATTCTGATTTCTCATACTCAAATCCCAAAGATTGGTGTCTTTTAGGCATTTTTTTTTTCTTTTCAGATAGGATTTCACTGTGTTGTCCAAGCTGGAGTGCAGTGGCTCAATCACAGGTCATGGCAGCCTCGACCTCCTGGGGTTCAGGTGATCCTCCCATCTCAGCCTCCCGAGTAGCTGGGGCTACAGGTGCGTACCACCCCGCCTGGCTAATTTTTGTGGGTTTTATAGAGACAGGATTTCACCAGGCTGGTCTGAAACTCCTGGGCTCAAGCAGTCCTCCTGCCTCAGCCTCCCAAAGTGCTGGGATTACAGGCATGAGCCACCGCACTTGGCTGTATTTTTTGGGGGGGCGGGTATGGTTTTGTTTACATATGGCTTTGCTTTGCCTGTTTTTTATTTGTCTTGATGTGTCTTTAAATATTGTTTTATCTTTGGTTCCCTTTCCATCTTTTTTACTCTTGTAATTCATTCGTTAGTGAAACCAGATAAAAAATCAGACCAGATTTCTTGGGGAAATACCTAGGAGTAGAATTGCTAGTTCCTAAGGCAGATAAATGTTTAACTTACTAAGAATCTGTTCAACAGTTTTCTGAGTGGTGTACTTACTTACACTTCCACCAGCAATGCAGAAAAGTTCCAATCGCTCCAAGTCTTCACCAATATTTAGTATTGTTAATCTTTTTTTTTAAGAAAAATTTTAGCCATTCTAGTGGCATGAAATGCTATTTCATTGTGGTTTTAATTTAAATGTAATTTGAAGTTTCCTAATAACTAATGATGTTGAACACCTTTTCATGTGCTTACTGGCTGTTTGCGTATCTTCTTTTGTGAAATGTTTTCCATATCTTATTTAAATTCTCTATTACTGTGTAACACACCACCACAAAAATTAGTGATGTGAGACAAAACCATTTATTTGCCCATTCTTCTACGATCTGACTTGGCCATATCTGGGCAGGTCTTTTGCTCCACGTGATATTGACTATGATCATCTGGAGGGTCCGTGGTTCCAGTGACTTAGCATCAAAGACGGCCTAACACACACGTCTGGTGCCTCTGCTGGGATGGCTGAAGCAGCCGGAGGCTGGCCAGGTATCTCTCTCCTCATGGTCCCCCATCAAGGTAGCCTGGTCACTTTACACAGTGGTGCAGGGTTCCAAAATAGAGCATTCAAAGAGGACAATACCCAATGTGCAAGGGTTTGTCTTCTTGCATCATGCTCCACAGGCCAAGATAAATCACATGTCCGAGCCCAAGGGCAAGGTGGGAAGGGACCATACAAAAGCATGGATACTGGGAGGCATAGGTCATTGCGGACCGCCCACGTAAGCCTACCACAATCTTTTGTCCATTTTCAAATGCATTGTCTTTTCCAAATTGCTTTAGCTCTTTTTTATTTATTTATTTTTTTTTTTGAGACAAAGTTTCTGTCTTGTTGCCTAGGCTAGAGTGCAATGGCTCAATCTCAACTCACTGCAACCTCTGCCTCCGGGGTTCAAGCGATTCTCTTGCCTTGGCCTCCCGAGCAGCTGGGATTACAGAAGCCCGCCTCCACGGGCGGCTAATTTTTGTATTTTTTAGTAGAGACAGGGTTTCACCGCATTGGCCAGGATGGTCTTGAACTCCTGACCTCAGGTGATCCACCCACCTCAGCCTCCCAAAGTGTTGAGATTACAGGCGTGAGCTACCGCACCCAGCCTTCCTTAGCTCTTTATACTCTGAATACAAGTCCTTTGTTAGACACAAGTGTTGTGGAAATATTTTTTCCAAACCCATGTCTTGCCTATTTGTTTTCTTAAACGTGTCTCTTGAGAGAAGAAATGTTTAATTTTGATGAAGTCCAATATGTGTATTTTCCTCTTCTATGGATAGTGCTTTTTGTGTTCTAAGGAACTTTTGCCAACCCCGAGGTTATAAAGATGTTCTGTCAGAAAGATATTCTATCTATTTTCTCCTAGACTTCATGGTTCTATTTTTTTTATTTGGGTTTATCATCCATGGCAAATTAATTTTTATTTATAGAAAAGGACAGGGATGGAGATTCATTTTTTTCCGTATGGATACCCAGCGGTTTCAGCACCATATATTAAAAGTCTTTTCTTCCTCCATTGAATTAACTTCGCATCTTGGTTAAAAAAAAAAAATTGACTCTATGTTTACTATTGTAAATAGTATTTTTATTTCATTTTCCAATTGATTGTGACTAATACAACAAAAATTGATTTTCACCTATTAATTTTATAGCCTGTGACCTTGATAACTTCACTTTTAATTTTGGTAGGATTTTGGAGAGGGGCGGTGAGGTGGAGAGGGTAGATCCCATAGGGTTCACCATGTACGCAATCATGTGGTATGGAACAATGACAGTTTTACTCCTTCCACCCCCCTCCCCCACTCTTTATGCCTTTTCTTGCTTTTTTTTGCTTTATGGAACTGGCTGGAACTTTCTAGTACAATGCTGAATAGAAGCGGTAAGAGCAAAATATTTGCCGTAGGGAATCTTAACAAAAACATATTCAATGTTTCTGCATTAAGTATGATGTGAGCTGTAGATTCTTTTATAAATGCCTTTTATCAAGAAGTTATCTTCTATTCCTAGATGACTAAGGTTTTGTATGTGTGTTTGAGTGTGTGTGTGTGTGTGTGTGTTGTCTGGTTTTTTTTTTTTGAAATAAAGAATGGGTGTTAATTTTTGTAAAATTTTTTTCTGGATTTGCTTGAGGTTATTTTGTGATTTTTATAGTTCTCTTTGTTAACATAGTGAATCACAATAATTGATTTGTGAATGTTAAATCAATCTTATATTTCTGGGATAAACCTCATTTTGTCATTAGGTTTTATCTTTTTTATATGTTGCTAAATCAATTTGCTAATATTTTGTTAAGATTTTCTGTGACTATGTTAATTGGTCTGTGGTTTTTTGGTAATGTCTTTATCTGATTTCGGTATTAAATTTATGCTCGCCTTACAAAATATGTTGGGAAGTCTTTCTTCTTTCATTTCCTGAAATAGTTTGTGTAAGACTGTTGTTATTTTTCCCTTAAATGTTAGCTAGTATTTACCAGTAAAGCCATTTGAGTTGAACTGGACTAATCTTTGTTAGAACTTTTTTTTTTTTACTTCAAATTCAGGATTTTTTGTTGTTGTTGATACAGGGCTATTTAGATTTCCTATTTCTTTCTGCATTAGTTTTACTAAATTGTTTATTTCAAGGAATTTGGTCATTTTATCTAGGTTGTTGAATCTGTTGACATAAAGTAGTTCATAATGTTTCTTCTCTTTTCTTTCTTTCTTTTTTTTTTTTTTTTTGTAGACAGAGTCTCGCTCTGTTGCCCAAGCTGGATCATGCAGTAGCATGATCTCAACTCACTGCAACCTCCACCTCCTGGGTTCAAGCGAGTCTCCTGCCTCAGCCTCCCAAGTAGCTGGGATTACAGGCATGCGCTACCACACCCGGCTAATTTTTGTATTTTTAGTAGCGACAGGGTTTCACCATGTTGGCCAGGCTGGTCTCAAACTCCTGGCCTCAAGTGATCCATCCACCTCAGCCTCCCAAAGTGATGGGATTACAGGCATGAGCTACCATGCCCAGCCATAATATTTCTTTATTATCCTTTTTATGTGCAGGATCTGAAGTGATGTTCTCTTGCACATCCCGATATTGGTGATATTTGTTTTCTCTCTCTTCATTCTTGTTAGAGGTGTATTTATTTTATTAATCTTTTTAAAGAACCACCTTTAGACTTTTTATTATTCTCTACTGTTTGTTTTCTATTTTTATTACTTCCTTTTTACTACCTACTCTGGGTTTAATTTGTTCTTTGTTTTAGCCTTTTCATTAATTTTTAAAATATTTATTCTTTCCTAGTATAATGTAAACCTAAACAATTCCCTACAAGCTCTGTTTTAGCTGTATTCATACATTTTAATACATTTTGTCTTATTCAATTCAATACATTTTCTAATTTCTCTTCTGACTTCATTGACTTGTGGAATATTTAGCAGTATGTTCCTTAATTTCCAAGCATTTAGTGATTTTTCAGTATCTCTCTTTTATTGTTTTCTGGTCTGTATGATTTCAATCCTTTGGAATTTGTTGAAACTTGCTTTATGGCCCAGCATAGGGTCAATTTTTGTAAATCATTCATATGAACTTGAAAATTATGTGTATTCTCCATATATATTCTATATGTGTCAATTGAGTTAAGTTGGCTAACCACTTTATTCAAATAATCCATTTCCTCACGGATTTTTTGTTTGAGTTTCTTTTAAAAAGTGTGTTAAACCAGCCTGGCCAACATGGTGAAACTCCGTCTCTATTAAAAATACAACAATTAGCTGGGCGTGGTGGTGGGCACCTGTAATCCCAGCTACTTGGGAGGCTGAGGCAGGAGAATCATTTGAACCCGGGAAACGGAGGTTGCAGTGAGCCAAGATCACACCACTGCCACTGCACTCCAGCCTGGGCGACAGGGCGAGACTCTGTCTCAAAAAAAAAATTTTGTTAAAATCTCCAGTGGTGGCTGCATATTTGTCTATTTTTCCTTTCAGTCTCAATAATTCTTACTTTGTATATTTTTAAGCTGTGTTATTTGGTGCACACAAGTTTAGAATTGTTATATTTTCCTGCTGGAAAAATCTGTTATCATTATTTAATGTCCATCTTACCTCTAGTAATACTGTTTGTCTTAAGCCTATTTTATTTGATATTAATGTAGTAATACCAACTTATTAAAAATTAGTATTTAAATGGTATATACTTTTTCATCTTTTTGTTTCACCTTTCTGTGTTTTTACATTAAAATTGTGTTGCTTAAAAATAAAATGTAATTGGGGTTTTAAACAAAAATCCATTCTAACAATATGTGTCTTTCTGTTTGTTTACATCATGTACATTTAATGTAATTACTGATATAGTTGGATTTAGAGCTACCATCTTTCTATTTGTTTTTCTGTCTTATTTGCTCTTTGTTCATTTATTCCTTCATTATTTTCTTCTTTTGGATAATCAAGTTGTTTTCACTATTTCAGTTTTTCCTCTATTAGGTTCTATTCATACGTTTTTACAAAAAGTTTTAACTTTAGATATTTAAATATGCATCTTTGACCTATTACAGATATATTGTCATATTAAATTAATGTTTCCCATGGTTTTAACAGTGCAAGAACTGGCCGGGTGTGGTGCCTCACACCTGTAATCCCAGCACTTTGGACTTTGGGAGGCTGAGGCAGGCATATCACTTGAGGTCAGGAGTTTGAGACCAGCCTGGCCCACAGGGTGAAACCCCGCCTCTACTAAAAATATGAAAATTAGCCGGAGGATGTGCTCATTTGAATCAAGGAGGAGGCAGTTGCAGTGAGCTGAGATCGTGCCACTGCACTCCAGCCTGGCTGACAATAAGACTGTGTCTCAAAAAAAAAAAGAAAGAAAGAAAAAGAAAACAATGCAAGAACTTTACAACTGTTCAACTCCATTTACCTGCCTTCCACCCTATGTGCTATTATTGTGTATTTTACTACCTGTTATAAGCCCTACAAGGCGTTCCTATTATTATTTTATTAGTTAATTATTTCATTTTTGTCCATATATTTGTCCTTTTTGGTGCCCTGTATTACTTCCAGAAGATTTGTGCTTAAAAAAAAGAAATTACTCCCCTCTTTTCTGACAATTTTTTTTTTTAAGTGACCAGGCTCTTGCTATGTTGTTTAGACTGGTCTTGAGTTCCTGGCCTCAAGCGATCCTCCGACCTCAGCCCTACAAGTAGCTGGGATTACAGGCGTGCGCCACCACGCCAGGCTTTGTAAAGTTTGTGCTTTCATCTGAGATCATTTTACTTCAGCATGAAGAAATTTCCTTTAATATTTCTTGTAACATTATTAAGGTTTGTTAGCAATGCACTTTCTCAGCCTTTTCTTTGTATATAAATGTCTTTGTTTTACCTTAATCCTTTTTTTTTTTTTTTTTTTTTTTTTTGAGATGGAGTCTCGCCCTGTTGCCCAGGCTGCTCTGCCTCCCGGGTTCACGCCATTCTCCTGCCTCAGCCTCCCGAGTAGCTGGGACTACAGGCACCCGCCACCACACCTGGCTATTTTTTTCTTTCTTTTTTTTTTTTTTTTTTTTTTTTTTGTATTTTTAGTACAGATGCGGTTTCACTGTGTTAGCCAGGATGGTCTCCGTCTCCTGACCTTGTGATCCGCCCGCCTCGGCCTCCCAAAGTGCTGGGATTACAGGCGTGAGCCACCGCACACGGCCTGTTTTACCTTAAATCTTACGCATTTTTTTTTCAGTATAGAATTCTAGGTTAGCAGGGTTTTTGTTTTTTTCTTTTTTCTGAACTTAAAAAATTACCTTTTGGATTCTATAGTGTCTGTTGAAATGTAGGCATCACGTAGCTTATCTAGCTGCTTTTAAGGTTTTCTCTTTGTCTTCGTTTCCAGCTGTTAACAATGATATGCTTGTGTGCTTTTCTTTTTTTTTTTTTTTTTTTTTTTTTTTTTTTTTTTTGAGACGGAGTCTCGCTCTGTCGCCCAGGCCGGACTGCGGACTGAAGTGGCGCAATCTCGGCTCACTGCAAGCTCCGCTTCCCGGGTTCACGCCATTCTCCTGCCTCAGCCTCCCGAGTAGCTGGGACTACAGGCGCCCGCCACCGCGCCCAGCTAATTTTTTGTATTTTTAGTAGAGACGGGGTTTCACCTTGTTAGCCAGGATGGTCTCGATCTCCTGACCTCATGATCCACCCGCCTCGGCCTCCCAAAGTGCTGGGATTACAGGCGTGAGCCACCGCGCCCGGCCGCTTGTGTGCTTTTCTTTGTTTTTATCCTACCTGGATTTACTAAGCTTCTTAAATTTAAGGGTTGATATATTTCAACAGTTTTGGGAAATTATCAGCCATATTACTTCAAATATTGCTTCTTCCTCAGTTTTTTCTTGCCTTCTGGAAGTACAGTTACACAAATGTTAGATCTACTAACTATGTCCCACAAATCTTACGCTCTGTTCCTTCTTCTATTTTTTTTTCTGTGTTTCTGGCTTGGATATTTTTTGTTGACCTGTCTTCGTTTGCTAACCCTGTCCTTTGTCCTTCTGCTAAACACATTCAATAAATTCTTAATTTCAGATGTTGTATTTTTCAGTCCTAGAACATTTTATTTTTGAAAGATATCCCACTTCCTCTGCTGACAATCTCTATTTTTATCTACTTTGCCAATCTTTTCATCTATTTTATTTAACATATTAATTGGTTATCTTACATTTTTTTGTCTGCTAACTCCAGTATGTGGGGCACTGTGGTTCCGATACTACTATCTATTTTTTCTCTTAACAGTCACATTTTTCTGTAGGTCTAGAAATTTCCAACACATGATATGGTTAAAACTGTAAATTATCCCAATATGGTGAGTGTGTAGTGATATCTTTTTGTGGTCTTAATTTGTACTCTGATTACTAGTGATGTTAAGCATCTTTTCATATGTTTATTCATAATTTGGTTTTCCTTTTTGTTAAATGCCTGTTCAAGTATTTTGTTCAACATTTGATTTGGTTATCTTTTTTCTCATTGATTTTCAGTTGTATATAAGTCGATATATCTTCCTGATGACTTGATCCATTTATTATTATTACTATTATTACAGTTTCTGGAAACAGGGTCTCACTCTGTTGTCCTGGCTGGAGTGTAGTAATGCGATCCATGGCTCACTGCAGCCTCCACTTCCTGGGCTCCAGTGATCCTCCTACTTCAGCCTCCCGAGTAGCTGGGGCTACAGGCATGCACCACCATGCCCAGTTAATTTTTGTATTTTTTGTAGAGATGCGATTTAGCCATGTTGCCCAGGCTGGTCTCGAACTCTTGGGCTCAAGGGATCTGCTCACCTTTGCCTCCCAAAGTGCTAGGATTCCAGGCATGAGCCACTGTGCTCAGCCCCATTTATTATTATACAGTGATCTTCTCTATTCCTAATAGTACTTCTCGCCTTAAAGTCCATTTTGTCTGATATTAATTTTTGTTGTTGTTGTTGTTGTTGTTTTTAGTAGATCTCACCCAAAAAAAAACTTCTGCTTTCTTCGACTAATTTGGAAATTACACTGTCTGTTTTACTCATTATCCAGTAACCTAGAAGTTATAATCTGAACATTTAACTTGTTCAAGTCTAGAGTTAATTGATACATTTACTCCAAGACAATGTAAAGAACTTACAACAGTTTAATTCCATTTTAACCACTATTATTAACGTTTTATACAATCGAGTTTCATTTAGATTTGCCATGTATTTGCCATTTGAATTCTCTTCATTCTTTCTAGCATTTTTGACCTTCAATTTGAGCTTTTTTTTCTTTCTACTCCAAGTCCATTGGTGACATACACTTACAGCTTTTGTTTGTCTGAAAATGTCTTTATTTCATATTCATTCTTAAAGGATGTTTTCACTGGGTATAGAATTCTTGGCCTGCAATTATTTTCTTTTTGCACATTGAAGATGATCTTTCTGCTATCCTCTGTCTTTTAATGTTGCTCTTGAGAAGTTAGCTCTCAGCTTACCTTGCTCTGTTGAAGATAATCTGACATTTTTTCCTGGCAGTTTTTAAGATATTCTCTTTGTCTTTGGTATTCTGCTATTTCACCACATATGTCTAGGTGCAAATTCTTTTTGAATTAATAGACTTCATTTTTTTTTAGAGCAGTTTTAGGTTCACAGCAAAATCAAGTAGAGAGTAGAGTTGGCCAGATGCAGTGGTCCATGCCTGTAATCCCAGCCAAGGCAGGAGGATCGCTTAATCCCAGAATTCGAGACCAGCCTAGGCAACATGGCAAACCCCATCTCTACAAAAAAATACAAAAATTAGTAGCCAGACCTGGTGGTGCACGTCTGTAGTCCCAGCTACTAGGAAGGCTATTAGAAGGATCATTTGAGCCTAGGAGGTCGAGGCTGCAGTGAGCTGTGATTGCACCATTGCACTCCATCCTGGGCGATGGAGTGAGACCCTGTCTCAAAATTAAAAAAAAGAAAAAAGAAAAAGAAAAAAAACCAAAGTACAGAGAGTTTCCACATGCCCCTCCCTCGTTTTCCACACACAGCCCCCCTTAACATCAACATCCTCCATGGGTGTTGTACATTTGTTACAATCAATAAACCAACATTATCGTTATCGACCAAAGTCCATAGTTTACATTAGGGTTCACTCTTTGTATTGTAAATTCTATGGGTTTTGACAAACTTATAATGAAATGTATATACTATTACAGCATCATACAAAATAGTTTCACTGTTCTAAAAATTTCCTGTTCTAATCTATTCATCCTCTCTCACCCCAAACCCCTGGCAGCCACTGATCTTTTTACTGTCTCCATGGCCTTGTCTTTTCCAGAATG
This sequence comes from Homo sapiens, assembly GCF_000001405.40. NCBI lineage: Eukaryota > Metazoa > Chordata > Mammalia > Primates > Hominidae > Homo > Homo sapiens. Next base: position 31,560,840 of record NC_000001.11, read on the forward strand.
TTACATAGTTGGAATCATACACTATGTAAGCTTTTCTAGGTGTAAATTAATTTTTTTTTTTTAGAGGAATCTCGCTCTGTCGCCAGGCTGGGGTGCAATGGTGCGATCTCAGCTCACTGCAACCTCCGCCTCCCGGGTTCAAGCGATTCTCCTGCCTCAGCCTCCCAAGTAGCTGGGTCTACAGGCATGCACCACCAAGCCTGGCTAATTTTTGTATTTTTACTAGAGACGGGTTTCACCATGTTGGCCAGGCTGGTTTTGATCTCCTGACCTCGTGATCTGCCCGCCTTGGCCTCCCAAAGTGCTGGGATTACAGGCGTGAGCCACCACACTCAGCAAATTAAAAAAAAATTTTATCTGGCCAGGCAAAGTGGCTCATGCCTGTAATCCCAGCACTTTGGAAGGCCAAGGCAGGTGGATAACCTGAGGTCAGGAGTTCAAGACCAGCCTGGCCAACATGGTGAAACCCCTTCTCTACAAAAATACAAAAATTAGCCGGGCATGATGGCGGATACCTGTAATCCCAGCTACTTGGGAGGCTGAGGCGGGAGAATCGCTTGAACCCAGGAGGTGGAGGTTGTAGTGAGTCGAGATCACGCCACTACACTCCAGCCTGGGCAACAGAGCGAGACTCCGTCTCAAAAAAAAATTTTTTTTTATCCCACTTGGGATTTGTTGGGCTTTTTGAATCTGTAGATTAATGGCTTTGATCAGTTCTGGGAGATTTTCAGCCACTGACGTTTCCAATATCACGTTTTCATTAGTCTCTCTCTTCTCTCCTGAAGTTCCAGTTACAAGAGTGTTAGATCCATTTCTCATTTATTCTTCGTGTCTTTTACTATTTCTTGCTATTATTTTTAATCTTTATGTCTCTCCATGCTCATTTTGGATTATTTCTTCTGACCTTTCTTCCAATTCACCAATTATCTTTTTTGCTATGTCCAAAATGCTTTAAATTTGCTATTGATTTTTAAATTTTAGTTAATTGTATTATTCATTTCTAGAAGTTCAGTTTGTCCCTTCAAACCTACTGTCACTTTTCATCCTGTTCCAGGCAAATATTTTCAAGCTACTCTATTGTTTATTTAAATATGGTTGTTCTATATTCTATGTAAAATAATTCCAGTGTTTAAATTCTTTATAGATATGTTTCTATTGTCTCTCATTTCTTCTGGTTCTTGCTGTGTGGTCTCATTTCCTTATGTGCCTGATTATCTTTTTTTTTTTTTTTTTTTTTTTGAGATGGAGTCTCACTCTGTCACCAAGCTGTAGTGCAGTGGCGCGATCTCAGCTCACTGCAACCTCCGCCTCCTGGGTTCAAGCAATTCTTCTGCCTCAGCCTCCTGAGTAGCTGGAACTACAGGTGCCCGCCACCATGCCCGCCTAATTTTTAGTAGAGACAGAGTTTCATCATATTGGCCAGGCTGGTCTCAAACTCCTGACCTCAGGTGATCCACCCACCTCGGCCTCCCAAAGTGCTGGGATTACAGGTGTGAGCCACCGCGCCCGGCCCTGATTATCTTTTACTGTGTGCTGGCCGTCGTACTTAAATATTTCTTTGTGTGACTCATTTGGAGCCTTGACTGAAGGACCTCCCTCCAGAGAAGGTTTTCATTTGCTTCTTCCAGAAACCTTTGGAAGAAACAAATAGTCTAGGGTCACCTCAATCTAAGTTCAAGGCTTGAGGTTACCGACCACCCAGGAGATACAAATTAGAGCTGCAAGTCTGTTACTGGAAAGGAGTCCCAATCCAGACCCCAAGAGAGGGTTTTTAGATCTTGTGCAAGAAAGAATTTGGGGCGAGTCCATAGAGTAAAGTGAAAGCAAGTTTATCAGGAAAGTAAAGGAATGAAAGAATGGCTACTCCACAGGTAGACCAGCAGCACCATGGGCCTCTGGTTGTCCATTTTTATGGTTATTTCTTGATTATACACTAAACAAGGGGTAGATTATTTATGAATTTCCAGGGAAAGGTGTGAGCAATCCCCGGAGCTGAGGGTTCCTCCCCTTTTCAGACCCTATAGGGTAACTTCCAGATGTTGCCATGGCATTTGTCAGCTGTCATGGTGCTGGTGGGAGTGTCTTCTAGCCTCCTCCTCACCTTACAGCCAGTAAGAAATAGAACCAGGCTAATGTATTATAATTATCATATAGTGAGCAGTGAGGATGACCAGAGGTCATTCTCATTGCCATGTTGGTTTTGGTGGGTTTTGGCCGGCTTTTTTACTGCAACCTGTTTTACCAGGAAGGGCTTTATGACCAGTGTGTTGTGCTGACCTCCTGTCTCATCCTGTGACCAAGAATGCCTAACCTCCTAGGAATGCAGCCCAGTAGGTCTCAGCCTTATCTTACCCAGCCCCTATTCAAGATGCAGCTGCTCTTCCTCTGATTCAAACGCCTCTGACAAGTCCATACTGGGGCTGGTTTACTTCTGAGAGTATGGCTCTTTGGGATCCCAACTAATTTGGGGGAAGGTCTTCTATTTGATCTTCCACCATGTGCTCTGGACTTTTATTTGTGTACATTGCCTAGAGGAGTTATCAAAACAACAGTTCAAACTAGCCCAAATCAGGAAGTGCCCTCAGAGTAAATGTGAGTTTCCCGTATGGTTTATCTGTCTACGTTTCTGTTTTCCCTTTAGCTTTGTTCTAGTGATGCCTTACCCTATGGCTGCACCAATATGTCAGTGTTTTTAGTTGTTTTCTTTTTTTCTTTTTTTTGAGACAAGTCTTGCTCTGGTGCCCAGGCTGGAGTGCAGTGGCCTGATCTCTGCTCACTGCAACCTCCGCCTCCCAGATTCAAGCGATTCTTGTGCCTTGGCCTCCCGAGTAGCTGGGATTACAGGCATGCACCACCATGCCCAGCTAATTTTTGTATTTTTAGTAGAGACGGGGTTTCCTCATGTTGGACGGGCTGGTCTTGAACTCCTGACCTCAGGTGATCTGCCCACCTTGGTCTCCCAAAGTGCTGGGATTACAGGCGTGAGCCACCGTGCCCGGCCTTTAGCTGTTTTCAATAGGAGAATTGATCTGAGGAACTTGGCGTGGCATTCCCAGAAAAGAGAAGCCGGCCAGATGGCAGACTCCATTTGAAAGAGATGGAAACTGTGGCTTAGAGAGGTGAGGCCACTTGCCTAGGGCCTTACAGCCAGTAAGAAATAGAGCCAGGCTGCAAGCTGAGGGCCGTTTTACACCAAATTCAGTGTTCTTGTCCCCACTCCCTGGCAGCACCCTCTTGATTTCTTTATATGTAATGAGGAAGTCAGAGAGTCTCTGAGGGCCCTTTGGACTCAGATGTTCTCCAACCAGGATTTCACGGCTTTTCAAATCTCTAAGACTCACTGAGCCTCCTCCTCACCTTCAGTCTGGGATTTAGAGAGAATTCCTAGATCAGCCATGAGGGGGCAGTGGTGTGCAGAGAGTGCCCAGATTCTAAAATGATGACACAGCCAAGGGCTTCTTTCTTTGTGGAGGTCTTTGCTTCTCACTGTCAGAGTAAAAAGAAAATGATGCAGCCTAGTATTCTAAGTCCCCTGTCCCTTCTGCTTCATTTGTCCAAGTCTGGTCGATGCCGCCTCTGGCACAGAGGATGGGACACAGAGATAAGTCATGTTGTGTCTCTACCATCAAGGACCCATGGTCCACTAAACCCTCTCCAGGCTAGGTTTCTGGCTGATTTTCCACCTCCTTGTCTTTGCTCTTGCTGTTCTCTGCACTGAAGTGCCTCCCCTTTCTCATCGCTGCCATTACATTTCCCCTCATTCTTAAGGTTCAGTTCAGACGCCACCTCCTCTCTGGAGCCTCCCATCCACCCCCATCAGCACCCCGCTCCCTCCCCTGCGCTCCCAGCCCAGGTTCTGAATCTCTCTCATGGCTTGAATTCAGGTCTGGCCATGTGCTTGTATCACCCTCCAGACTGGAAGCTCCTCAGGCAGCTAGGATCCCCATCAACCCTGGACCCTGTGCCAGCCCAGAAGATCAAGAGTGCTGGAGAAAGGGAAGCTGGAAGAAGATCTGCTGGCTGGGATTCCTGGCAGGGCTGAAGGAGATCAGAGCCTGCACTGAACAGACTCCACCGCGGCAGCTCCTTTCTCTACTCTGGACTCCAATCCTTTTGGGATCCTGCTTTGCACTCACTGATGAGAAAATGACAAGGGACACCTCCAGCTCCAAGAAACTATGGATTTTAAAAAATGAAAGTATAAAAGCCCCAGAAGAAAACACAGGAGAATGGCCAGCCGTGGTGGCTCACGCCTATAATCCCAGCACTTTGGGAGGCTGAGGTGGATGGATCACTTGAGATCAGGAGTTTGAGACCAGACTGGCCAACATGGTGAAGCCCTGTTTCTGCTAAAAATACAAAAATTAGCTGGGCTTGGTGGCGTGCCCCTGTAATCCCAGCTACTCTGGAGGCTGAGGCAGGAGAATTGCTTGAACCTGGGAGGCAGAGGTTGCAATGAGCTGAGAAATGCAAATCAAAACCACAAGGAGATACCATCTCATGCCAGTTAGAATGGCAATCATTAAAAAGTCTGGAAATAACAAATGCTGGTGAGGATGTGGAGAAATAGGAACACGTTTACACTGTTGGTGGGAGTGTAAATTAGCTCAACCATTGTGGAAGACAGTGTGGCGACTCCTCGAGGATCTAGAACTAGAAATACCATTTGACCCAGCAATCCCATTACTGGGTATATACCCAAAGGATTATAAATCATTCTACTATAAAGACACATGCATACATTTGTTTATTGCAGCACTACTTACGATAGCAAAGACTTGGAAGCAACCCAAAAGCCCATCAATGATACACTGGATAAAGAAAATGTGGCACATATGCAACTTGGAATACTATGCAGCCATAAAAAAGAATGAGTTCATGTCCTTTGCAGGGACCTGGATGAAGCTGAAAACCATCATCCTCAGCAAACTAACACAGGAACAGAAAACCAAACACTGCATGTTCTCACTCATAAGTGGGAGCTAAACAATGAGAACACATGGACACAGGGAGGGGAACATCACACACCGGGGCCTGTTGGGGGCATGGGGAAAGAGGAGGAAGAGCATTAGGACAAATACCTAATGCATGTGGAGCTTAAAACCTAGATGACGGGTTGATAGGTGCAGCAAACCACCATGGCCCATGTATACCTATGTAACAAACCTGCACGTTCAGCACATGTATCCAAGGACTTAAAGTAAAATTTTAAAAAAAGCAAAAAGAAAACAGAGAATTTCTGATTAACTTTAGAGCTAGAAAGACCTTTCTATGCCTCAAAACCAGAAGCCATAAAGAAAAAAGTATATAAATGGCTCTTATGCTTTTGAGGAAATGCTCAGCCTTATTCATAAGGCGATAATTACAATTTTAAAATACAATTGAGATTCCATTTTTCTCCTATCAGACTGGCAGAAATCCAAAGGTTTGATAACATTCTCTAAGCAGCACCATGGAAAAGCAGGTACATGTACTGTTGCTGGAGGAGGAGAGTTCCCTCTGCATAATCCCCACGGAGGACAACATGGCAACATCTACCCAAATTACAAAACACCGGTGTTGGGCAGAATTCTGAGGTGACCCTCACTGGCCTTCACTCTTCTGTGGTCCCCTGCCCTTGTATGAGTGTAGGGCCTGTGAATAAGATGAGCATGTGAACCAAATGATTGTATTCCATTATATGACAAAAGGGATTTTGCAGATTAACTGAGGTTCCAAGTCAGTTAACCTAATGTTAGGGAGATCACCCTTGTTGGACGGATCTGACTGGGTGAGCCCTTGGAAAATGGCAAGCTTTCTCTGGCAAGAGAAATTCATCAGAGATTTGAAGCATGAGAAAGATCTGTTCGGCCATTCCTGGCTTGATGTTGGAGGGAGCTGCATGGTGAGGACTGTGGGTGTCCTCCGGGAGCCCAGGGAGGCCCCTCCTGGAAGCCTGCAAGAAACCAGAGACTCAGTTCTACAACCACAAGGATCCAGATTCTGCCAACAACAAGAATGGCCTTGGAAGTAGATTTTCCCCCCAGAGCTTCCAAAAAAGAACCAAGCCTGGCCGCCACCTTGGTTTCACCCTGAACTCAGCACCCAGTTCAGGTGAGACTGTGAGCTAAACAATGGGTGTTTTTTTAAACTGCTGAGTTTATGATAATCTGGTATGCAGCAATAGATAACTCATACAGTACTTTCAACCTGCCAGGCATGGTGGCACATGCCTGTGATCCCAGCACTTTGGGATGCTGAGGTGGGAGGATTGCTTGAGCCCAGGAGTTCAAGACCAGCCTGGGCAATGTGATGAAACTCTGTTACACTGAGAATATTAACCAGCCGTGGTGCCACATGCCTGTAGTCCCAGCTACTTGGGAAGCTGAGGTGGGAAGATCGCTTGAGCCCAGGAGGCTGAGGCTGCAGTGCATCGTGATCATGCCACTGCACTTTAGCCTGGGCAACAGATCAAGACCCTGTCTCAAAAAAAAAAAGATACTCTTAAATCAGGAATTCATTTTTGGGAATTTATCCTGCAGGTATACCTGCACACATGTGAAACAGTGCATATGCACAATTACTTATTGCAGCACTGTTTGTGATAAGAAAAAAAATAGAAAAAACAAACAAACCAGAAACAAATGTCCACCAATAGGGAACTGGTAATTTGAATTATTCTAATCTATATAATAGAATATTTATTATGCAGTGATATAAAAGATCCAGGAAGCTCTCTAATTACTGATAAAGGTCTCTAAGATGTGTGATTAGTTAAAAAAACAAACAAGAGCCAGGCGCGGTGGGTCACGCCTGTAATCCCAGCACTTCGGGAGGCCAAGGTGGATGGATCACTTGAGGTCAGGAGTTCGAGACCAGCCTGGCCAACATGGTGAAACCCCATCTCTATTAAAAGCACAAAAATTAGCTGGGCATGGTGGCAGGCTCCTGTAATTCCAACTACCCAGCAGGCTGAGGCAGGATAATCGCTTGAACCCGGGAGGCGGAGGTTGCAGCGCGCTGAGATTGTGCCACTGCACTCTAGCCTAGCTGACAGAGCAAGACTCTGTCAAAAAACAAACAAACAAACACACAAAAAACAAACAAGGTACAGCATGGTGTGGGTAGATTATTACCTTTTATGTGAAAATGGGCATTAAGAACACATCGCCACTTTTGGCCAGGCATAGTGGCTCACGCCTGTAATCCTGGCACTTTGGGAGCCCGAGGCGGGTGGATCACTTGAGACCAGAAGTTGGAGCCCAGCCTGGCCAACATAGCAAAACCCTGACTCTACTAAAAATACAAAAATTAACCAAGCATCATGGTGCATGCCTGTAATTCCAGCTACTCAGGAGGCGGAGGCAAAGGATCGCTTGAACCCAGAGGCAGAGGTTGCAGTGAGCCGAGATTGCACCATTGTACTACAGCCTGGGCAACAGAGCGAGACCCTGTCTCAAAGAAGAAAAAGAAAGAAAAAAAATCATTATTTTTGTACCTGCAGAAAGAAACTGTGAAAGAATACATGAGATACTAATAAAAAGTGGTGACTAATGAACTAAAAATTAACTAAAACTGGATGTTTTTGAATAGGTCAACAGGACACTGTCCTCCCCACTTCTTCCCAGGCCTGAGCCCGTTCCCTTACCCTCTCTCCATGGGTTAATTCTAGGGTACATTCCGCATGGAATCCTTGACCACTGGCTTCCCCCCACCTTGCTTCCTCTGCTGCCCTAGGGGAACTGGAAAAGAGTGTTCAGATAGCTGTGTCTGAGTGAGTCTTCTCTCTGGGATTCAGTTTTGCCGCCTGTGAAATGGGGATGATAATACCACATAGGGTTGTTAGGGAGTTAAATGAGATAACCCATGTCAAGTGCCAGCCCAGAGAAGGTGCCCAGCCCGTAGTAGATGCTCACAGCATTTGTGCTGCTGGATGTGGGAAAGCCCATTCCACCAGGAGGGAGTTTATCAAGCACAAGTAGCTGGATAATCAATGGTAGTGATAGCTCCCTTTGCCACCCACTCATCACTGCGGCCGATTACTCCCCCTTGGTGTCTCCATTCCTTCAGTTGCAGAGAGTTGGACCAAATGAGCTCTCTCTCACTACATGATTTAAAACCTGCAGTGACCAGGGACGATACCTTCTCATTCCGTATATGGGTTAGCGAAGCCCAGACAGGGTGGTGACTTGCTCAAGGTCACATGGCGTGTCAGAGGCAGAGGCAGAGCCAGGACTGGCACTGAGGGCCCCTGACTCCCTGCCAGGCCCTTGACCTGCATGCCTCTCTCTGCCCACGTGCATTTGTGTCAAAGTAGCCATGTGGTGACACAGGGGAAACTCTGTCCCTCCCCTGGGACTCTACTTATCTTCCCAGGTTCCGATTGTTATTACGGAGGGGCTGCTCCCCACCCGGCCAGGTGTCTTCTGGCCCCTCTGCAGGTCTGCTCCTGCCAGGAAACATAGAGTGACACAAACGCATTATTGGTGCTCTGTGAAGCAGGCACCCCAGAGGACGGGGTGGAGCCAGGGAACAGCCTGGGACTTCCAAGTGCCCACAAGTTGGGGCTCTTGTGTCCACTGGTGCAAGCTGCCCCCCACAACAGCCTCTGACTTCTAACCGGTCACCTGCAGCTCCCACCTCCCTACCAGCCTCCTGCTCACTGAGCTCCTGCCTTTGAGGGAGTTAATTCCCCTCCATGGGCCAGAGAGAGGGGCCTTGAGCTCTGATAGCCTTCCAGACACTAACTGGCTCCAGCTGACCTTCCTACCCATGAGTTTCACGAGTGCCTCAGGATCCTGAACCACAGATCCCGTCTCTTGTTTAGTTAGTGTGAGTGAAATTGGTTTCTGATATTTGAGCCTTGACCTGCCGTAAAGAATCTGAGCGCGTTTCCGACAGGGAAATGTCTGCATGTCTTAGGTGGGGACATCGGCGGCCCCCTGCCTGTCCATTATGCTCGTTCTGGTGGGGACATTGGCGGCCCTCTGCTTGTCCATTATGCTCATTCTTGGGAGATGTGGGACTGTTTGTTACTATTCAATCTGATGTACAGAGGGGGCGGAGAGAGACCCCTCAAATGTGCAGGCGTGCGTGTAGAGATTCCAGACTGACTATTCTAATCCTGTTTTGACTGATTTAATCTGGTTTTAGTACAGCTTGGCCCAAAAGGCTTGAGCCAGTTTACACTGGTCTCAGCTAGTTTTAACTGGTGGGCTCCATTTGAACATATCTGAGTCTACTTGAGTATTCTGAATTCATCTGTGTCTGTTTTGATTTGGGTTAGCTTAATAATGGCAGACACTTATTTTGTATTTGTGGTATGTCAGTATTGTCAATTCCAAGTGCCTTACATATATGAATTCATATCATCTTCACAACCACCTTGCAGGTAGGGACTGTTATTAGTGCCCTCATTTTACACATGGAGAAACTGAGACACGGAGCATTTAAGAAGCTTACCCCTGTTTCCCCGGTTGTTGAGTGGTGGAGCCAGGCCTGGAACCTGCTTTACCTGGCTACTGAGTGATAAACCTCCTTGAACCTGGCTCTTAACCACAATCAATACCACTCACTGTGGTGCGTGAACCACTTCAAGATGACTTGACGTTGCGTGAGCCGGTTTGGTCTGCTTTTGCCAGCATGAGCTGCTTGTGCTGGCGTTACCCGCACACAACCTTGATTTTGGTGATTCCAATCGACAGATGGAGCTCAGGCCTCGTGGATCCTCCTTGAACTGGAAGCCCACTGTATTTCTTTCCCAGGGCTGCTATGATGAACTGCTACAAACGTGGCTGCTTAACACAACAGAAGTTAATTTTCTCAGTTCTGGGGGCCAGAAGTCCAAAATCAAGGTGTCGGCCAGGCTATTCTCCCTCTGTATCCAGAGGATCAGGGAGAATCTGTTCCTTGCCTCCTCCAGCTTCTGGTGGCTCCAGGTGTTCCTCGAATTGTGGCCACAGAGCTCTGATCTCAGCCTCTGGGGCCACATTGCCTCTTCCTTTCCTGTCTGTGCCCTCTGGGGTCTCTCATAAGGACATTGTCAACAGATTTAGGGTCCACCCAGATAACCCAGGATGATCTCCTTATCTCAAAATCCTTAACTTAATTACATCCAAAAGGACTCTTTTTCCAAATAAGGTCACATTCACAAGTTCTGGGGATTAGAACATGGATATATCTTTTTTGAGACCTCCATTCAACTCATTACAACCAAAAGGCCACACCACAGTATTTGACCCTGAGAACCCAGCTCTTAAAACTGATTCTTCCTGTTGGATGAGTATTCGCCCAGCTATTGGGGTTTCATCACTGTCTGCTTGGGGATCAGAAAAGGAAGAGTGTCAAATGTGCTTGGAGCCATGGAAGAGCCTCTTGCACTTTTCAAGACCTATATATTAATATTCCTGGCTGGAAGGATCAAGATTTGCTGGAAATGTCAAGTGAGATGTAAAAATGTTTCTGTAAACAGGCACTCAAGGATAGCATTAGTTTTCTAAGATGTTTGTGGGTGATAACACCAAGCTCTTCTCCTGGGAGAGCATTCTTTAACGAATGTGCAGCTGAAGTGAAGGAGGGCAGGTAATTAAGAGATGAGGGGAAGCTGTTAACCCCCAAATATCACAAGGAAACAGCACTCAGGGGCCCTTTGTGCTCAACTGGCTCCAAACACCAACGATACAGAAATATGACAGAAAAGGGGAAGCTGTGTTTCTGTTTTCTGCATTTCTCCACTTCCATCCACAGTGAATGACCACAGACACTACCAGGTGTGAGAGTCAGCTTAGTCTTTGGACAGTTGTGGCCATTGCAGAGGCAGTGTGCTGGGGACCTCAGGGCTTGGGCACCAGGACGCTGCTCTGCTCCTAACAGCCGTGTGACCTTGGACAAGCCAGAGAGTCCTTCTGCATCTTGACTTGCTCATCTGTGAAATGGAGATAATAGGGCTACCTGTGAGTGTATTTGGTAGCATGCTATCTACCATACACGGCACGTACCCAGCCTCCATCTGACCTCTCTAAATCCACTTTTACCCTGCAATCATCTGTTCTCTCTAGAGCAGCCAGAGTGGGCCTTTGCACATGGAAATCAGATGATTTTGCCCTCATGTTTATATCCCCTCAGTGGTCAGAAGACAATTCAAGCCCCTTCCTCCAGCCTGTCCTGCATGATCCGGCCCCAGCCTTCTCCCAGCCCCTTCCTGCTCCTCTGTGCACCTCGCTTGCTGCACTCCGGATGCTCAGGGCTCTCTCCTGCTTCTCAAGCAGACCAACTTGTGCCAGGCCTCAGGGCTTTTGCTCATGCTGATCCGGCTTCCTGGGATGCCTCCCCTGGGCCCTGGGAATGGCTGCTTTCTTCTCATCCCTCAGGTGTCAGCTCAAACGTCATCTCCTCTCTGAGACCGCCTTGACCAGCACATTACACCAGGTTCTTACGCTATGTGCATATCTTCAGAACGCTTCACATTTTGGAATGACTTCTTGATCTGTGGGTGGGGGGGCGGGGGGATGGTTTGCTTATGTATTTGTCTATCTTCCCGTTGTTATTATTATTATTATTATCATCATCATTATTTGAGATGGAATCTCACTTTGTCACCCAGGCTGGAGTGCAGTGGCACAATCTCAGCTCACTGCCACCTCTGCCTCCTGGGCTCAAGCAATCCTCCCACCTCAGCCTCCTGAGTAGCTGGGGCCATAGGTACATGCCACCATACCCAGGCAATTTTTTTAATTTTTGGTAGAGACAGGGTTACACCATGTTGCCCAGGCTGATCTCAAACCCCTGAGCTGAAGCAATCCACCTGCCTTAGGCTCCCAAACTGCTGGGATTACAGGCATGAGCCGCCATGCCTGGCCTCTCTTCCCATTAGACTGCAAACTCCACAATAGCAGGAACTCCATCTGTTTGGTTCAACAATGTACACTCAGCACCTAGCACAGAACCTGGCACATCGTAAATGCTTAACAAGTATTTGTTGAATGAATGAGAAAATCAAATAGTAAAGCATGCCATTGCGTGGCGCAACACACTTCCACATGGCCTGGAATTTTGTCTGCTGCAAGCTCCAGCGTGCTATGACAGCACCACACTCTGACTGTCATGCAGCCCTTGATGTGGGACTTTCTACAAAACAGTCCATGAGCCCTGGGAAGCCCCAACATATCACAACATGGCCCAACCGGCTACAGTATTAGGCCTGGACAGGGTCTCAGATGCAGTCCCAGGGAGCACTGACCTGAGCTCTGGACATGTCCCACTGACCACAGGGAACCACAAGGAGCCCCAGCCTTGGATGGGGTGCTGTTTGGGCCCTGAGCATCTGAACTCCCAGGCCTCAAGTATCAGGTCCTCGGCTAGGGACCTGAGGTGAGCAGACAACAGGTCTTTGTCTTCCCAGAAAGCCCTGCTCAGCTCACAGAGGAGAATGGCTGATTCCGAGCATTTAGAGCAGTTGTGAAGTTTGTGGGGTGTGGGGAGCTCTGGGACTCCATAGAGAGGAGAGCCCTCTGCTCTGCCGTGTGTTCTTAGGCTTGTCACTGTCCCTTTCTGGCTTCACCTCCCTCTGTAAAAGTAAGAGAATACCAGAGGGCCTCCAGGGAGCATCTGGGTACAGGTTGGTACCAACGCCCAGAGAGGGGCTGCGCTGCCGGGGGTCCGGAGTAAGGGAGGACAAAACCACCACAGGGACCTAGGCTACCTGCCTCTTGAAAAGCCGGAAGGGCTCAGAGGGGGAAGTCTCGCTGGTGTCTCCTCCTCTGCTGCTCTGTCCCAGGCCCTTGGATAAGGCCCCACTTTGCTCAAGAATAAGTCATTGAGTCGGCCAGGCATGGTGGCTCATGCCTGTAATCCCAGCACTTTGGGAGGCTGAGGCGGGCGGATCACAAGGTCAGGAGATCGAGACCATCCTGGCTAACATGGTGAAACCTCATCTCTACTAAAAAAAAAATACAAAAAATTAGCTGGGCCTGGTTGTGGGTGCCTGTAGTCCCAGCTACTCAGGAGGCTGAGGCAGGAGAATGGCTTGAACCCAGGAGGCAGAGCTTGCAGTGAGCTGAGATCACGCCACTGCACTCCAGCCTGGGCGACAGAGCGAGACTCCATCAAAAAAAATAATAATAAGTCAATGAGTCACTAGGAGTCACTAGGAGGCAAAGGGTCAAAGGGTCATGGAAAAGGAAAGTGGGGGTGTCCAGCACCCCCGGCCCTGCCCTTTTCCTCCTCGGCCAAGGAACCCAGTGAGTCACAAAATTCCACTGGGGCGGGCTCTGTGCCAAGCTGAGTGATGGTGGGAGGCTCTGGCTCTGCTCCCATCCCCTGCTCTGAGTCCCTGCCTCTTATGCACAGACAGGCAGGCAGACAAGGACAGGCAGATGGCCACAACTCCCACACAGATACACAGACACCTCTTAGACAGGGAGGCACAGGCAGGACACACACACAGACATACAAGCCAACAAGTGCACAAATGCAGGCAAACAACACACGCTGGCAGACAGACAGATCCATAATGGACACAGAGACAACATCCAGACAGATACACACACACAGATGCACAGGTATGTAGCAGATGGACAGGTAAATGGATAGACAAGCAGACAATCAGTCAGACAAGGACAGGCAGATAGCCAAAATATCCAGACTCACAGATACACAGGCACATAGCAGATAGACAGGTAAACACACTTCGGAAGGCCAAGGCAGGCGGATTGCTTGAGCTCAGGAGTTGGAGACCAGCCTGGGCAACATGGTGAAACCCCATCTCTACTACAAATACAAAAAAAATTCAGGCAGGCATGGCGGTGTGCACCTGTAGTCCCAGTTACTCAGGAAGCTGAGGTGGGAGGATTACTTGAGCCCAGGAGGTCAAGGCTTCAGTGAGTCGAGATCGCGCCACTGTACTCCAGCCTGGGTGACAAAGTGAGACCTTGTCTCAAAAAAAAACAAAAAACAAAAAGCAAAAAAAACCCAGACGATCAGATGTGGACTGACAGACTCAAGCAGAAGCAGAAACACCCCCACAAACACCGCAACTCAGATATACACATGCATACATGCACACAGAGATAACACACCCAGACTCACGAGGGTAGCCTATGCGGTGTGATTTTGGGCAAAAGAGAGGCCAGATGTCTCTAAACAAGCCCCCAGCCCCAGAACCATGAAAAAGTAGGTACCATAAAAGTAGGAACTCTGGACACGAACTCTTTTGAAAGAAAGCAGCTTTCATCTCTTACCCTGAGGATATGACATTTACCAATACCGAGGGGCCCGTCCTGCAGTAAGATGAATGGAGTTTAGATAAGAAAAGAGACTTCCCAACCAGGAGCACGTTGAGACCTGTAGTGGGTGACTAAGGGTGACTAGGGGTAAAGGAGTGGGCTGGTGGCAGGCAGGGAGCCTGTGTTCTGGCTGCACGACCTCAGGCAAGTGCATTCTTCTGAGCCTCAGTTTCCCACCTAGGCTTTGTCCTCCCAGGTCCCTGCAGGGAGCAGATGGGCAGCTCCTGGGTGTGTTAGTGCCAGTGCTGGGGCCCCCGGATATTATCCCTCCACCCCCACCACCAGGGCAGGACCCCCTTGGTGACTCACCACCCAGTGGTCCATGGCAGGGGTAACCCAGCCACAGGTGCCGGTGATCCTCGGCTCTCTCCCTTCCCCCAGGGTCTGGCCAGCTGAGGATGCCCCTTGGTTTGGGGGAGGTTTGCAGGGAGGTCAGTGGGAGGGCAAAGGGAGTCCCTGATGCCTTCCCCGGGGCCACATGTGAGGCTCAGGCCTGGGCCTGGGAGGGTTTGTCCAGGTGTAGTCTCTTTTATCCTCTTTGCTGGTAGAGACCTCTGGCCTGGGCCCAACCTGTTGAAGAGAGGGCGTTGCACAATAGGGAGGTAAAAGGTGACGGCAGACCTGGCGGGACAGAAGCCCCATTGTTTGGGTCCCAGGCCAGCCTGGGCAAAGAAAGGTTTATGCCTGCGGCAGGAAGGAGGGCCTCTGCAGGGGGTGCCAGCTGGTAGGGCCCTTGCCTTTGGACCCTTGGAGGGGGACAGGTGCCAAGCAGGATGCCCTTGGGTTTGCTAGAGAGGGCAGTGCTCGTCTAGGGGCCCAAGCAGGCAAGGGAAGGCAGACTCAACAAGGGATCAAAGGGTGCAGAGGCCACCCCCACACCCTGCCCACCTCCCAGGGATGAGCCGCCCAGGGCACCTAAGGATCATACTCCTGGAATTCCAATCATTCCTAGGAGCTGGGGTGGCTAGGGGGGCGGCACCCAAGCCTAGGGGGCACAGTGGAGAGGGGTGTGCATGGCTATTTTTATTACCGAGGGGTCAGGAGAGGCTTACAGAATTTTGCCTCACATGCCCTCCCCATCATTTCCCAAACTTGTGTCCATAACCCAGAGCTCGGCTGCCCATATCCCCCCTTCTCCACCAGAGCCCCTCAGCTCCACAGGGATGCCCACTGTGAAGTCCTTCCCAGTGTGAAACCGCAATCCTTCCTGCTTGGGGTTCCCCTAAGGGAACGGCTTCCGCCACAGGAGACCCAGCCAGGACAATCGTGTGCTTGTCGTTTCTCCACCCTGCAAGCCCATGAGTTGTGGGGTAGTTACTCCAGGTACAAGCCAGGCGCCCCTCCCTTCCGCCACTGCTGGGGCGGTGCAGAGGGCGGGCGGTACAAAAAGCGCCCCGCCCCGCGCTCCTCTCTTGACTTTGAGCGTCCGGCGGTCGCAGAGCCAGGAGGCGGAGGCGCGCGGGCCAGCCTGGGCCCCAGCCCACACCTTCACCAGGTAGGGACGCTCCCCTGCTCAGAGGGCGGAAGGTGTAGACAGAGAAGAAACAGGGGGAGGGGGCAGGTAGAGGAACCAAGACAGATGGCAGAGAGAGGGACAGTGGAGGGGGACAGAGGGACACAGGAACAGAAGAGAGGTGTACCCAAAAGACCGGGGGAGACAGGAAAGCACAAAGTCAAGGACCCAGGTCAGGGATGGAGGCTGCTGGAGGGCAGAGAGACCTAGGACAGGAGAGAAGACCTTGGGTCCACAGGATGAGTGTTGGGTGGGAGCACCAAGAATGCCACCACCCTCATTTCCTTGTCCTTGAAGGTCCCTGCCTAGGTCAGGGAGGGGCTCCGTTTCTGCCCAGTCCCCATCCCCCTATAGCCAGGGCCCACACACTGGGGCTCCTCTGCCCGTGTCCTGCCTGGGGACTCAGGAATCGGGATCTCCCTCCCTGCTGGGCCCTCTTGAACTCACAGCTCCAGGAAACTGGGAGACTCATCCCTGGTGTTCCAGGGAGTCTCTGCTGCCCACCATCTCTGCCCCCCAGGGCCCAGGAGCCACCATGTGGCGATGTCCACTGGGGCTACTGCTGTTGCTGCCGCTGGCTGGCCACTTGGCTCTGGGTGCCCAGCAGGGTCGTGGGCGCCGGGAGCTAGCACCGGGTCTGCACCTGCGGGGCATCCGGGACGCGGGAGGCCGGTACTGCCAGGAGCAGGACCTGTGCTGCCGCGGCCGTGCCGACGACTGTGCCCTGCCCTACCTGGGCGCCATCTGTTACTGTGACCTCTTCTGCAACCGCACGGTCTCCGACTGCTGCCCTGACTTCTGGGACTTCTGCCTCGGCGTGCCACCCCCTTTTCCCCCGATCCAAGGTGGGCACTAAGATGGCCAGGAGGGTGGGTCACTTTGTCCACCTCAGACTCAGCAAGGCTCAAGAGCAAAGCTGATGGATGCACTGACATTTCCAGGGGAAGCTCTGTAGAATCTGGGACTCTTCCCTGCCCCTCTGGGAACTTTACTCTCCAGCAAGACTGAAGAAGCTCCTTGGTTAGAATTCTAATTTGGCCCAGGGAAAGGGCAACCTCCCACATTTTCTCCCAATCCTGTCTCTTTTCCAGACACGGAAGGTGCTGGCCGCACCTGCTGACTCACTCTTGGGCTGATAAGGCACATATGGGTTGGTGAGGGTCATCTTAGCCATTTTTCTGCCTTTGCTGAGGATTCTAGGATCCTGTGCCCCGAGATGGCTGCTCATACCTGGGAGATGGGTCAAATCTTTTCCTGCTTTCAGCCTCACCATCATCCTTTTCCATGCACTTGCCCCTGTCCAATAGGAGAATCACTTGCGTTCCTTCCCACAGTTCCATGGGGCTTGGGCCGGCAGACTGCATACCTGAGCTGTCATCTCAAGAGTGCTGTGTTATCTTAGGACGGTTGCTTACCTTCTCTGGGCCTTGGCTTCCCCATGCTCCTCCCACTCCCCATCTCCAAGCCCTAACTTATTTAAATGGAAAAGGATCCCAGGAATGTTGTGGCTGGCATCCAAGTAAAGTAAGAGGAATCCAGGTTGGAATCATTGAAGAACTTCCCAAACAGCAGTTGGTGTGTGACCCTGCAGGATTTGTCTTCAGTTATAGTTTAATTTCAGTGAGAGCTGGTGTGTGTGTGTGTGTGTGTGTGTGTGTGTGTGATGTCTTCAGTTATAGCTTAATTTCAGTGAGAGCTGGTGTGTGTGTGTGTGTGTGTGATATCTTCAGTTATAGTTTGGCTTCAATTTCAGTGAGAGCTGGTATGTGTGTGTGTGTGTGTGTGATGCCTTCAGTTATAGTTTAATTTTAGTGACAGCTGGTGTGTGTGTGTGTGTGTGTGTGTGATGTCTTCAGTTATAGTTTAATTTCAGTGAGAGCTGGTATGTGTGTGTGTGTGTGTGATGTCTTCAGTTATAGCTTAATTTCAGTGAGAGCTGGTGTGTGTGTGTGTGTGTGTTGTCTTCAGTATAGCTTAATTTCAGTGAGAGCTGGTGTGTGTGTGTGTGATGTCTTCAGTTATAGTTTAATTTCAGTGAGAGCTGGTGTGTGTGTGTGTGTGTGTGTGTGTGATGTCTTCAGTTATAGCTTAATCTCAGTGAGAGCTGGTGTGTGTGTGTGTGTGTGATGTCTTCAGTTATAGTTTAATTTCAGTGAGAGCTGGTGTGTGTGTGTGTGATGTCTTCAGTTATAGTTTAATTTCAGTGAGAGCTGGTGTGTGTGTGTGTGATGTCTTCAGTTATAGCTTAATCTCAGTGAGAGCTGGTGTGTGTGTGTGTGTGTGTGATATCTTCAGTTATAGTTTGGCTTCAATTTCAGTGAGAGCTGGTATGTGTGTGTGTGTGTGTGTGATGCCTTCAGTTATAGTTTAATTTTAGTGACAGCTGGTGTGTGTGTGTGTGTGTGTGTGTGATGTCTTCAGTTATAGTTTAATTTCAGTGAGAGCTGGTATGTGTGTGTGTGTGTGAGACAGAGAGAGAGAAAGAGAGAGAATCTTGGAAAGGTTCAAGGTACCTGACCTCCAAGGACCTGGCCAATTAGCCCATCCTCTCTGGTTCTGGTTCCACTTCTCTTCTCTTCCCTTCCAACAGGATGTATGCATGGAGGTCGTATCTATCCAGTCTTGGGAACGTACTGGGACAACTGTAACCGTTGGTGAGTGTTTGGAGCTTAGAGGGGTCTTGCTTTGTGAGCCTGTGGCTGACAGACTTGGTTCAAATCTTATCCCTGACCCCTTTTGCAAGGGAGAAGTCTTTTCCCTTCTTTGAACCTCAGTTTCCTCATCTGCAATAGAGGAATTTTAACACTGACCAAGTCAACTTATCTAACATCATTCCAACAACATTCCTCAAGCATGGCCAGCCATGGGTGCCTGGCCCAGGGGTCACCCTTGAACTGAGATCCTTCCCCACCCCTCCTGGCTTGGGCTGGGCTATTCCTCCCAGCTATTCCTGCTGTCACTGCAGAGTCAGAGGGAGAAGGGGGCGCCAGGAAGGAAAGCTCTGACTGCAGCATCCGCTGCCCTGAGCGGATGAGGGTCAGGGATGGCTGAGCGGGCGGCCAGCCAGCCTCTAGCAGGGCCTTCCCTGAAATGTGGCCCCTTTTTCCTTCCCCACCCCTCCCCACCATTCCCAGTAGGAGGAGGAAGGGGTCATGGGTACCCCCCTATTCAGTCTGAGATGGGAAGTGGAGAAGGGCCAGGTAGGAAACCCTGAAAGCCTTAATAGAAATAATGGGGAGCCTGCGACTTGGAGGAGGCGGCCCTGCACCCACTCCACCCCCACTCCCTCTTTGCCTGGGACTAAGAGGCCCCAGAGAGAAGGAAACTTTTTGGAATGCATTGCGCATAAGATATTTCCATTGCCTCACTAGGGTGAGGGGTGCCCGGGTCACAGTGAGGGAGGGAACGTTTCAGCATGTGTCTGGGTGTTCAGCGTGACTGTGTGTGCACTGTGTGTGTGTGTGTGTGTGTGTTCAAAAGGATAAAACATGCCTGGCCCGCGTCTGCAGGTTCTGATAGGATGGCTCTGGACGTTGAGGGGTTAATGCGCTCTCTCTCTCTCTCTCTCTCTCTCTCTCTCTCTCTCTCTCTCTCTCTCTGTCTCTCTCTCTCTGTCTCTCTCTGTCTCTCTCTCTCTGTCTCTCTCTCTCTCACTGCTGTCCCTGGCCCCTTAGGCCCCCTCTGGAATGCTGGGACCTGCTACCACCGGCCCTGCCTGGACCTGTGTGGGCAGCCCTGGGGGCAAAGGAGGAGATGGCAGGAAAGGACAGAACAGTCTACTGCCCTCTCCTCATGAAGGCTCTGGGGGCGAGGGTGGGGGAGTGTCCAGGGTGTCAGAGCCCTCAAAGGATGCTTCCAGAGTCTAGTCGGGTGCTGCTGCCTAGGTGTGCAGAGGGGGAACAGCCTGGTGTGCAGAGAGGGAAAGGAAGGATGAGGAAAGCCTTCCCGGCCCTGCAGACTCCTCTGGCCCTCCCCAGCAGTGCCCCCGCCTCTCCTGGGGCTGGAAAGCCCAGCCATACTGGGTCTTGGCTCCCCTTGAGGCTCCTTAAAAGGCAACATTGGAGGTGGGAGCCTTGGACAGCTTGCAAGGAGGCAGTTCAGCATCTTGTAATAACAGAGTTATGAGCTTGTAAAAGCATTATAGAATTCATAGAATGCAGCCCTTCAGTCGGCACCTATTATTAAAGACCTACTGCGTGACAGGCACTATGCTGAGCTCAGGAGATGGAGCGGGAATGCAACAGACACAGTCCTTGTCCCATTTCTAGTGTAAGGTGAAGGGCATGGGAAGACAACAAATGAGTATATTCTGACAAGCTGCCCAGTGTTATAGGGAAAAGAGAGGATAACGGGGGTCCCAGTTTAGAGTAGGGAGTGGGTGGGAAAGCTACTCTGAGGAAGGGACATTTATGCTGAGACCAGGGAGAAGGATAGGAGAGGCCTGGCCTAGGCAGAGGGAGTGGCTCGTGGGAAGGCCGGGAGGTGACTGAGCTCATTTTAGCTGGAGCTGGGGTAGGGGAGAGACGTCCCAAGGAGGTGCAGGCCACGTTCCGTGGCTCACATCAGCTGTGCCCAGGATTCTGCATTTTGTTTGGAGTCACAGGAAGCCACGTAGAGAGCACACGGTCTGATTTACGTTCTTCAAAGATCTCTCTGGCTTTGGGGTGGGTAGGGAGGGGATGGCCGGGAATTTTAAGGGGTAGCAGACTTGGTGAATAAGGCAGTGCCGGGGTCCAGGTGAGAGGTGATGAGGGACGGGAGTAGGGTGGCCACAGTGGAGGGGCGAGAGGTAGGTGGATTCCTCATGTGCCATCTCCAAGCCCTGCTGATGGGGGACATGTGGGCGGACACCACAGACCACCTGGAGCTCTGATGTGAACAACTGGGTGCCATTTTCAGAGTTGAAGATGTTAGGAAAGAGCAGGCTTGTGGGAGGCAGACGGGCTATTTTGAGTTTGAGATGCCTTTTGCACATCCAGAGATGTCAGAAGGTCAGTGGGATATGAGTCTGAAGCTCTAGAGAAGTGGGGTCTGGGATTCCTGTAACAGAATGGTGATAGTAGATATTAATTCTGAGCACTTAATGATGGACCAGGCCCAGTGCTAAATGCTTTACAAGCCTATCATTAAATCCCTGGAAAGTGGTACCACTGTATTATCCTCATTTTATAGACAAGGGCATTGAGAGAGACAGAGCTTGAATGATTCTCCTAAGATCACACAGCCAGTGGGCTGAAACCCAGAATCTGAATTCCAGAACCCATGCTCTTAGTCAATTCAGCATATGGCCTCAGTCATTGACTCAGTTAACAAATATTCATTGGGTGCTTACTATGTGCTAGGCTTTGTTTTCCTAGGCGCTGAAAATACCAAACAATACCTGCCCTCAAGGAATTTACAGCCTATGAGGAAACAGGGATAAGCAATATAAACAGGCCGGGCCTGTGGCTCACACCTGTAAATCTCAGCACTTTGGAAGGCCAAGGCGGGTGGATCACTTGAGGCCAGGAATTTGAGACCAGCCTGGGCAACATAGCAAAACCCCATCTCTACAAAAATTGCAAAATTTAGCTGGGTGTGGTGGTGCACTTGTAGTCTCAGCTATTTAGGAGGCTGAGGTGGGAGGGCCACTTGAGCCTGGGAAGCAGAGACTGCAGTGAGCCGAGATCACACCACTGCATTCCAGCCTGGGCAACAGAGCAAGACCCTGTCTCAAAAAAAAAAGCGGGGAGGAAGGGGAGCAGGCAGATTGGTGTGAACCATCAGGGGCCAGCCTAGTTGGAGCCTTAGAACCAGAACTTGAAGGAGGAGGGGATCAGGGGACAGGAGGACAGAGCGTGCAGGGCCTTGTTGTCACCAAACTTTGGCTCTTATTCTGTGATGTGAAGCCAGTGGAGGGTTTTGGGCAGAGGAACGACATGATATGACTTAGGTTTAGCAGGGTCACTCTGGCAGCTGTGTTAAAAATACCCTGGGAAGCAGGGCAAGGGGCAGATGCATGGAGCACCCACAGTGAGGAGGCCACAGCAGGAATCCAGGTGAGAGGTGATCGGACTTGGGCGGGCTGCAGGAGAGAATGAGAGTGGTTCGGATTCTGGATGCATTTTTAAGGTAGACCCATAGGATATGCGGATGAACTGGATCAGCATGGGAAAGGAAGTCAGCGGGGACTGCCAGGTTTGGGGCCCAAACTCCAGGAAGGATAGAGTTGCCGTTTTCTGAGAACTGTAGGGGGAATAAGTGAGGGGGGTCAGGAATTCGGTTCAGGGAGTGTTTTGGTTCAGGGTAGTGATGTTGAGTAGCCGTGAGATCCTTGACTCTGGTGTTCAGGCAGAGATCTGGGCCACAGATATAAACTTGAGAATCATGAACTAGACGTTGACATTTAAAGCCACCAGGCTGGATGGGATCACCTAGAGATTCTCCCACAGTCACTTGCACAGACTCCCTGGCCCATGTTAACCTCCGAGGCCACATTCCTTCAAAGTATCCCCAGTCCCCCACTTACCCTTTCCTTCTCTCCTTTTCTCACCAGCACCTGCCAGGAGAACAGGCAGTGGCAGTGTGACCAAGAACCATGCCTGGTGGATCCAGACATGATCAAAGCCATCAACCAGGGCAACTATGGGTGAGAGGCCCTAGAGGCACCCTCAGTGGGCACACATGCATACTCATGCATGTATACACGCATGCTGTGCTGTGGGGCACGTCCAGCAGGCCACTCCTACACCCAGATTTGACTGTGTGTGCGCTCAGCCACTGTGCGTCTCTCCCACCCACATGCACCCACGCCAAGGACCCTGAGCCTCGGCAGATCTGTGACTTCCTTCCGTCCCCTCTCCTTCAGCTGGCAGGCTGGGAACCACAGCGCCTTCTGGGGCATGACCCTGGATGAGGGCATTCGCTACCGCCTGGGCACCATCCGCCCATCTTCCTCGGTCATGAACATGCATGAAATTTATGTAAGTCCATCCTTCCCCACAATGCTGCCATCTCCCCATGGCTCAGAACCTCAGGGATGCTGGCCCTGTGCCCTGCTCCTCCAAGGGCCTGGACCATCCCCTACTACAAGGCTGTGTGTCCCTGGACAAGTTACTCCCCTTCTCTGGGCCTCTGTTCCCTGCTTCCACAGGATGTGCTGTGCTGGAAGAACTGATGCTCAGATTGAATTTCGTGGTCTTGGCATCAGCTCCCCCCTGATCTCTCCAGCCTGGGAAAAATGCTGTTGGTCTCAGTACAGCTGGGTTAGGGCCCAAGGGGACAGGGGGTCACCTTGGTATTTTGGGAAGGGAAGGACACACACTCCTCCAGTTCTGGCCAGAGGGCAGCAGTTCTCGGAAATAAATGCCGGTTCAGCGGAACCCCAAGGGAGGAGAGGGCTTCTCCCTTCCCACCAGTGGGACCCTCTGGGAGAGGAATGAAAACCAGGCCCAAAGTGAAAGGGTGAGGAAGGGGAGCTTCAGCAGGCCTGGACCGGGACATGTGCCGGAGCATTTGTCCATCAGTGGCAGGCAGCGGGGAGGCAGGGGCTGGCAGGAGTGGCCCTCCCTGCGGAGACTTCGGCCTTGGGTGACCAGACCCTGGCCCTGCCCTTATTCCCCTGGGCCTCTGGCTATTTTCTGCCTCTTGCTGTTTGTGTTGGCAGACTGCCTGGTCACGGGACCCTACTGCCTCTTCCCTCCCCTGAGGGAAAGCTAAGGCCTGAAGAAAGCTAAGGCCGATCAGAAGGTGCAGAGGAAAGAGGCAGGGGTTGAGAATGGAAAGCTGAGGGACCTGGCCTGGCCACTTCTCTGTGCCTGGCCTCAGCTGCCTCATCTGGGAAGCAGGACTAGTCACCACCGCCACCCCGCCCCGCCCCACCACCTGATACCTGGGAGGCACTAAATGGTGCTTGGTTCTTCAACACAAGTCAAAATTGGAGGCAGCTGGAATCCTGCAGCAGCAGGAGGGCTCAAGATTAAACTGCAGAAGGCCCTGGACTTGGTGGCCCTCCAGTGCCAATGGGCACCTGAGGGGCAGGCCAGGGCAGAGCAGGAGGCAGACAGGGCAACCTTTATCTTGCAGACAGTGCTGAACCCAGGGGAGGTGCTTCCCACAGCCTTCGAGGCCTCTGAGAAGTGGCCCAACCTGATTCATGAGCCTCTTGACCAAGGCAACTGTGCAGGCTCCTGGGCCTTCTCCACAGCAGGTAAGCCAAGGGCAAGGGCTGGCGCCTGGGAGAGGAGGGCCAAGTCCTGAGCCTCCCGACAGCCCCTCTATCTCACCCCACCAGCTGTGGCATCCGATCGTGTCTCAATCCATTCTCTGGGACACATGACGCCTGTCCTGTCGCCCCAGAACCTGCTGTCTTGTGACACCCACCAGCAGCAGGGCTGCCGCGGTGGGCGTCTCGATGGTGCCTGGTGGTTCCTGCGTCGCCGAGGGTATGCAGCAACAGGGGATGTGGGCAGAGAAGAGGGCAAGGAGCTCCGTGGGCATGGCCTGGGCCATGATGCACTGAGTCTTTCTGCCTTTGCTCCCTCTTGCTGCCTTTGCAGGGTGGTGTCTGACCACTGCTACCCCTTCTCGGGCCGTGAACGAGACGAGGCTGGCCCTGCGCCCCCCTGTATGATGCACAGCCGAGCCATGGGTCGGGGCAAGCGCCAGGCCACTGCCCACTGCCCCAACAGCTATGTTAATAACAATGACATCTACCAGGTCACTCCTGTCTACCGCCTCGGCTCCAACGTAAGTCAGCACTTGGGTGAGGGCGCCGAGGCAGGAGGGTTGTGAAAGCCTGGAGTCTCACCCCTGACGTATGCTCTCTGTCCATCCCCTGCCCTCCAGGACAAGGAGATCATGAAGGAGCTGATGGAGAATGGCCCTGTCCAAGGTAAACCCCCTTATCCAGCACCCTGGTTCCAGAAGCTTGTGCCTGCTTGAGAGTGGGCACAGTAGCACAAGTGGCCTGCACAGCATTCAGCAGCATGTCCAGTAGGGCCAGGAGTAGGGGTCCCCCCCTCCCACAGGCAGCACCTGGAGGGAGCACTTAGAGCTTTGGTATGGAGGGACCCTGGTGCCTGGGCACATCTCAATAGACTCAGGCTCCAGTGCCTGTGCCAACGGGCTGAGTGGACCCTACCTTGACATCTGCCCACAGCCCTCATGGAGGTGCATGAGGACTTCTTCCTATACAAGGGAGGCATCTACAGCCACACGCCAGTGAGCCTTGGGAGGCCAGAGAGATACCGCCGGCATGGGACCCACTCAGTCAAGATCACAGGGTGAGGGGCGTGTGGGCAGAGGGGGTTTGGGACAGCAGGGTTTGTGCTAGGGGCTCTGGAGCCTGCCTTGGGTTCTTACAACCTCTCTAAAAAGCCAGGACTGCTCTCATCATTTCAATAGGGAGAAAACTGAGACTCAGAAAGAGAAAGGACTTGCCCTGGGTCGAATTGAAGGTTGGGAGCCTCTGAAGGCTTTTTTAGGAACTGTTCCTTCCTTACATTGGGATAAAATAACTCCAATATGAAGAGAGCCTCAAGAGTTTCTCAACCTCTCCCCACCTCAGCACCTGTCCCAGCTCTGCCTGACCCACCGAGTGACCTGGGAGGTCGCTCCCCTGGCCTCAGTTTCCCTATCCGATTTAGGGAATATAGATGTTAGGATCACTGACTTCAATGAACTCGGTGAAATGTGCTTTACGGTGGGAATTGGCGGTCTCTAAGATACCCATATTCTCAGAGTGTCTTCCTTCTGGCCCTTGGCACCTACCCCTCCCTGGATCCCCAAGTGAGGGAGGGCAGGTGGATGTGTGGTCCCATAGAACTGGCCCCTAGGAGGTGGGTCTCTGGAGGACCCAGGTTCCCTCCTCTTCTGCTCACCTTGCCTCCACTTGTCCCCTTGGTGCCCCACCCCCTCCCATGCTGGGCCTGGGTGCACCGACTTACAGATGTGAGAGTGAGGGAGATGCAGAGAGGTACAGAGACCTGCCTGAGCCCTAAGGGTGTACCCAACCCTCCAAAGGCAACTGGGGGCTGGATGGGGCAGGTTTCCGGGATTGGAGCTCCTGAGAGCAGGTAGACCCAGCTCCCTTCCCCCTCCTCTGCTCTGCCCACAGATGGGGAGAGGAGACGCTGCCAGATGGAAGGACGCTCAAATACTGGGTGAGGCCGCTGACCCTTTCCCCGCCCCCTCTTCCCCTCGCCCCACTCCCATTCCCCTTCTCACCACCCCTCCTTATTCCCAGACTGCGGCCAACTCCTGGGGCCCAGCCTGGGGCGAGAGGGGCCACTTCCGCATCGTGCGCGGCGTCAATGAGTGCGACATCGAGAGCTTCGTGCTGGGCGTCTGGGGCCGCGTGGGCATGGAGGACATGGGTCATCACTGAGGCTGCGGGCACCACGCGGGGTCCGGCCTGGGATCCAGGCTAAGGGCCGGCGGAAGAGGCCCCAATGGGGCGGTGACCCCAGCCTCGCCCGACAGAGCCCGGGGCGCAGGCGGGCGCCAGGGCGCTAATCCCGGCGCGGGTTCCGCTGACGCAGCGCCCCGCCTGGGAGCCGCGGGCAGGCGAGACTGGCGGAGCCCCCAGACCTCCCAGTGGGGACGGGGCAGGGCCTGGCCTGGGAAGAGCACAGCTGCAGATCCCAGGCCTCTGGCGCCCCCACTCAAGACTACCAAAGCCAGGACACCTCAAGTCTCCAGCCCCACTACCCCACCCCACTCCTGTATTCTTTTTTTTTTTTTTTTAGACAGGGTCTTGCTCCGTTGCCCAGGTTGGAGTGCAGTGGCCCATCAGGGCTCACTGTAACCTCCGACTCCTGGGTTCAAGTGACCCTCCCACCTCAGCCTCTCAAGTAGCTGGGACTACAGGTGCACCACCACACCTGGCTAATTTTTGTATTTTTTGTAAAGAGGGGGGTCTCACTGTGTTGCCCAGGCTGGTCTCGAACTCCTGGGCTCAAGCGGTCCACCTGCCTCCGCCTCCCAAAGTGCTGGGATTGCAGGCATGAGCCACTGCACCCAGCCCTGTATTCTTATTCTTCAGATATTTATTTTTCTTTTCACTGTTTTAAAATAAAACCAAAGTATTGATAACTACAGTGTCTTGGAACCTCTGGGAGTGGAAAGCCAAGCCAAAGTTGGGCTGGCAGTGGTTAGACAGCAGAAAGGACTGCCTGAGGTGTTGCTGGTTGGCAGGGGTGGGGGGACTGGAAATCCTAACTTCCATTCAGCCCTAATTGTCAATGCCCTGGGCACTGACCCACTTGGGGGAGGGGCATGGATGGCATGGCCTTTGGCCCTAGAGAGAAACCTGAACCGTGGGAACCACCTTTCAGACGCTGAGTCAGCTGCCGCCTGAAGGGGGAGCCCTGCACTCCTATCAGCTGAACCGGTGCCAGTGCCCAGCAGGCAAGGGGGGCACAGCCCTCAGAAGCTGGAGCCTCTGTCTCTGTAGATCAGTCTCTCCAAGCCATCCAGGCAAGGGGGGCCTCTCCTCGGCCTGCTCTTGGGCCAAGCTGAGCCTGCTTCCCACCCCACCTCCTCAGATTCCCAGTGCCAGCACAATAAGCCAGGCCTCAGCCTGGCTCCAAGGCCATCAGAACCCACCCGCCCAACCTCGTCACCAGCTCCTTGCTGCCTCTCAAATGCCCGGTACACATGCAGACTGCCAGACATTCGCTCACGCTGCTCTCCGGGCCAGATGCCCTTCCATGCCACCCACCCCTTGTCCCGCTCCAAGGTTCCTTCTTCCAGACAGTGCCTGTGAAGGTCACTGAAGTGCCAGAGGCTGTGCAAGGAGCCCAGGCCACCCCATCCCCATCCGGCGTGGGTTAGACCCTCCCTCAAATCATCTGCACTCTGCCCTTCACCCAATATTTCAGGTATCTGGGATCTATTGAACTTCCGCATTATGCTGGAAGTTCCTAGAGGGCAGGGATGGTCTGTTTCATTAGTGGGTCCTGGTACCCACACCGAAACCCTGGTATAGGGTGGCCCTCCAATGTATGGAATGACTGAGTGGATATGGCCCATTCTTTCACCTCCAGGCCCCTCCCAAGCCTCCACTGCGTCCCCCCGGGCACAGACGCCAGGCTGGTGCTCCTTCCTTTCTGGGAGCCCAAGGGCCTGTGCCTGGGAGGGGGATCCCCGAGCGCAAGGAATCCTCCCCGCCGCCACCTCCAGCCAGTGGGGAGGCAGGGGCACCCTCAGTCGCCGAGGGACTGCGGCAGGGAGGTCCCCGGGGGCCCCTGGCAGCCCCTCAGGATCGCCGCGTCCCCCGGGCCTCACGGGCATCACCTGAAAGGAATGCGGGCGCCGGATAAGTGGCCGCCTTTGTCTCGCTTCCTGTTTGCCAGGACGTCCAGAGCCCGGCTCCAGCGGCCCGCCCGCCGGTCCCCAGGGAGCCAAGGCCGGCGGGGAGCCCCGAAGGGGCGGCGGCCCCTTCGCACCCGCTCAGTGGCCCCGGGACCCGCCCCGCCGGTAAAACCCGGTTCGGAGGCAGCTCGGTGGCCCCGCGAGGCTGGAATTTTCTACGGGTACCTTCCAAGGAAGCTCTGGGGGGCGGGGACGGTCGGGCGCGGCCCGCCGGGTCTCAAGGCTGAGGCTAAGGCTCCGGCTCCAGCTCCGCCCGCCCTGGCGCTGCGGACCCGTGTTGATGCCAGAAAGGGGTCCAGATCCAGACCCCAAGAGAGGGTTCTTGGATCTCGTGCAAGAAAAAATTAGAGGTGAATCTCTGCAGTAAAGTGAAAGCAAGTTTATTAGGAAAGTAAAGGCATAAAAGAATGGCCACTCCGGCAGGGCGCGGTGGTTCACGCCCGTAATCCAAGCACTTTGGGAGGCCAAGGCGGGCGGTTCCCGCGGTCAGGAGGGGCCAGGCTGACCCCCCAGTGTCAGAGACCTCTGAACCACAGCAACTCCATCTTGAATAGGGGCCGGGTAAAATAAGACTGAGATCTACTGGGCCGCATTCTCAGACAGCTAGCCATTCTAAGTCACAGGGTGAGATAGGAGGTCGGCAAAAGATACAAGTCATAAAGATCTTGCTGATAAAACAGGATGTGGAAAGAAGCCGGCCAACAGGCGCGGTGGCTCACGCCTGTAATCCCAGCACTTTGGGAGGCTGAGGTGGGCAGATCACGAGGTCAGGAGATCCAGACCAGCCTAACCAATGTGGTGAAACCCCGTCTCTACTGAAAATATAAAAATTAGCCGGGCGTGGTGGTGTGGGCCTGTAATCCCAGCTACTCAGGAGGCTGAGGCAGGAGAATCGCTTGAACCCGGGAGGCGGAGGTTGCAGTGAGCTGAGATGGTGCCACTGCACTTGAGCCTGGGCAACATAGCGAGACTCCATCTCAAAAAAAAAAAAAAAAAGAAGAAGAAAAGAATGGCTACTCCGTAGAGCAGCCCCAAGGGCAGCTGGTGTCCCATATTTATGGTTCTTTCTTGATTATCTGCTAAACAAGGGGTGGATTACTCATGCCTCCCCTTTTAGGGTCACTTACTGACATTGCCATGACATTTGTAAACTGTCATGGCACTGGTGGGAGTGCAGCAGTGAGGACGACCAGAGGTCACTCTCGTGCCATCTTGGTTTTGGTGGGTTTTGGCCGGGTTCTTTTTTTTTTCTTTTTTGAGATGGAGTCTTGCTATATTGCCCAGGCTGGAGTGCAGTGGTGCGATCTCAGCTCACTGCAAGCTCTGCCTCCCGGGTTCATGCCATTCTCCTGCCTCAGCCTCCCGAGTATCTGGGACTACAGGCGCCCGCCACCATGCCCGCCACCACACCAGGCTAATTTTTTTTTATTTTTAGTAGAGATGGGGTTTCACTGTGTTAGCCAGGATAGTCTCAATCTCCTGACCTCGTGATCCGCCCGCCTCGGCCTCCCAAAGTGCTGGGATTACAGGCATGAGCCACCGCACCTGTTGACCGGCTTCTTTCCACAGCCTGTTTTATCAGCAAGATCTTTATGACTTCTATCTTTTGCCGACCTCCTATCTCATCCTGTGACTTAGAATGCCTAACTGTCTGAGAATGCAGCCCAGTAGGTCTCAGCCTTATTTTACCCAGCTCCTATTCAAGATGGAGTTGCTGTGGTTCAGAGGTCTCTGACAGTAGGGGGTCAGCCTGGCCCCTCCTTAGCCTTGTTCCTGGGGCCAGCAAGCCCAGGCCCACCTGGGCCAGTTCTGCAGTGGACGAGGGTTCAGATAGGGCTGGAGATGCCCTAGCCGGGGCCTCAGCCACCTCCACCAGCCACTCCTGCTCCTCCGATGTTGGGCATGGGAGTGTTGTTATAAAGAGCGAGGCTTACCTCAAGCACCCCAAACCCGATTACTGCCCCTGAATCTGCCCCTAAAGAAACCCTGGTCCCACAGCCCCTTGCTGTGTGTCATGGGGCCAGTCCTTCCCTTTCCCAGGGCCAAGGGTGTGGGATGTTAGACAGAGCTGGGTTTGAACCCCTACTCTGTCCGGCTGTGTGTATTATTGGACAGGTTTTTCCAACTTAAATGGGGGACAGTAGTACTCACCTACCTCCTGGGGTTGGTGGGAGGATTCAATGAGACAAAACATGCTAAGCCTTTAGCTCAGTACTTGGAACTCATTAAGGGCTTAATAAATGGTAACAGCAACAGCGATGATTGTTTTAAGAGATTGGACCTGATAATGTAAAGGCTTTTTATAATGAGCTAAACATTCATTGAGTGCTTAACCATAGGTTTCTGCCAGCATGTTGTTCTGAATGCTTTACATACATTGTCTCATTTAAGCCCCCCCAAACCCAAAAAACAAAACAAAACAAAAAACTATTTCCAGAAGCATAGAGAAAAGCAAGTAAGTTGCTGAATGTCGTACATTTAATAATTGCATCAGGATTCAAACCCAAGTCACCTAAATCCTCACACTCATCAGCTCTGTATTAAGATTAATAGTGATATTCCAATGTCCTTCCCCAAGCCCTTTCCCTGTCTGGCAAGCTCTTATTCATCCTTCAAAACCCAGCTCAAATGTCCCCCCTCTGGAAAGCCTTTCCTGGCACCCATCCTCTGGATCTCCGGGGACTCCTCCATACACACCTGGCACAGAGGGAGTATCTGTCAACAACTTCTCCTCCTACAGGCGGATGGGGCAGCGACTTTTTCTTTTTCAGCTCCATCCTTTCCTGACCACCAAATATTTCACTTGGGCATTCATTCTGGCCCCCTGTGGGGCTCTGCGGGGGTCCCGAGGCACCTAACTCTAATCTCCCAGGGGCTGCTAAGTTACATGACTTCACAAGTGCTGATGCCTCACATCTTCTTGGGATCTTGCCAAACCCCCATCCCTGCCTGGTGCCCATTAAGGGAAAGGAATTCATGCCTACCGAGCCTGCAGTGAGCCACGCTTTGGACTATGTGCTTCACTCACTTTAGCTCCTTCGATCCTACCCTCGTTCCTAGGAGGAAGTGTATGCCTAGAAACCCAATGTCAACAAGTGAGACAACTCTCAGACTCTACGAGAGGGGTAAACCTCCAAATTGTGAGGAGGGCAAGTGGGTCCAGGCACAGCTGGAACCAGGGACCCAAAAACTGCCAGGACACACCCTCTCTGTCTCTGTCTCACTCTGCCTCTCTTTTCTCTGCCTTTCTGTCTAACTCTGCCATGAGGAAGGATTTGTGGCCAATGACAACTCCTGAGCCTCCCAATCCACAGCCATGTTCTCAGTACTGATTCAAAATAGAGAAGTCTTTTGATTGGCCACACTCCAGTCAGGTGTCCACCTGTGGGACAGTCACCTGTGGCTGAGGGACAAGGTCATGGAAATCATGACAGTCCTTGCCAAACCAGTGTTTAGGAGAGGAGATCCTCAAAGAAGGAGGATCCAGGGGAAAGGAGGAATGCCAAACAGATTAAGGTAGGAGGACAGACTTAATTCCAGGGATTGGGGCCTCAATGATTACTACCCCTTCCCTAGAAATTTCTGCATAAACTGCCCCTTAATCTTTGTGCAATTTAAAGTGGGTATAATTGTGACTGCAAAGCTGCCCTGAGCTGCTACTTTTGGCCTACGGGGTAGCGCTACTCTGCAGGAGCAGTCACGGAGCTGTGACACTCCTCTTCAATAAAGCCATTTTCTTCTACCTTTGGCTTGCCCTTGAATTCTTTCCTGGCCAAAGCCAAGAACTCAGTGGGCTAAACCCTACTTTGGGGCCTGCCTCCCCTGCATCAAAATGACAGAAATGGGTCCACAACAGCTAGGAACAACTCTTAACCTCCATTTGACAGATAAGGAGATGGAGGCTCAGGGAGGGGATGTGACTTGTCAAGTCACACTGCTGGTAAGCGCTGGAGCTAGATGCAGACCCCACTTTATGAAAATCCGGGGGCTCTGACACCAACACCCGAGCCAGTATCTTTCCAAAGTAAAACAAGGCTGAGTCTGAAGAGGACTTCTAGGGAAGCATCCTGCTTCCTGCTCCAGGGGGCTGCAGCCTGGCTCCCACCATGGGATGGGATGAGATGGTAAACCGAATATGCCAGTGGACACATCAGAGAGATGGGTCCCAGGAAAGCCATGCTGAAGATACGCACTGTAGGTAAGGGCTGCTATTACCTCCTTTTTACAGGGAGGAGACTGAGGCTGGGGGGTGGGGGTTGAGGTGGGGGAAGAGAAGTGACTTGCCTGAGGACACATTGCTAGGAAGTCGTGGGCAACCTCATTTGTCAGACTCCAAAGCCGGAGCTTTTTCTAAGCTGTCTGGGTGTATACACAGCCACTCTTCAGGTTGTACCCAAGCAGGCTCTTTGGCCTCCAGTTCTGTGCACAAACAGCCTGGATCTGAAGTTTGGGGCTTGCAGAATTTGCTGATGAAGGTGCAACTGAGGGGAGGGGCAGTGGTGGGGGTTATGTAACACTCAGGTGGGCTTGGCCTGGGGCTGCAGGGAGGTGCTAGGGTCTGCAGAGTGCAAGCCGAATCACTGCTCATCTTGTCAAGTTCAAAAGCCTCCTCCTCTGAGAAGCTTTTTTTTTTTTTTTCTTTTTTTAGAGAGAGTCTCGCTGTCACCCAGGCTGGAGTACAGTGGTACAGTGGCAGGATCATGGCTCACTGCAGCCTCAACTTCCTAGGCTCAAGCAATCCTCCTACCTCAGCCTTCCAAATAGTTGGGACTACAGGCATATCACCACACCTGGCTAATTTAAAAAAAAATTTTTTTTTTTTTAGAGATGGGGTCTCACTATGTTGCCCAGGCTGGTTCAGAGCTCCTGGCTCAAGTGATCCTCCTGCCTCCACCTCCTGAAGTGCTGGGATTGAGAAGCCTTTTTGACTCCCCAGGACAGCCCTCATCCATCATCGAGACTCCACTCTCACACCACTTCCTCCTTCATAGTCCAGCATGGGAGCTGTCCATACCCTTCCTGATGTGGGGTTCTGAGAGCAGGGCTGTGCCTCACTCTCTCTGCTCTCAGTGTTGCCTAAAACTATACTGGGCATGGAAGAGACACCAGACCCGTTTGCTGGAGGATGGAGGAAGCGAATGAATGTGGATGTTCACTTGGCAGCACCAATCTCAGCAGTGTCAACCTCCGCAGCATCCCTGCCCCCTGGTGGCTGAGTCCACACCTCCCCCTGCTGCAGCCTAGAGGAGTAGTGGAGAGAAGCCACCTGTGCAGATTCTCAGACCTGAGCACCTGCTGTGAGTTCGTGTCTTACTCTTTGGAGCCAAAACTGTTCTGTGAGGCCTGGAGACTGGCACAGGGGGACAAAGAAGGATGGGACAGATCTGGGAATGGATCTCAGTCGGTCTGACTCCAGAGGCCAACTCATTGCTGCGGCCCCACTTGTCACCTCTCACCCAGATGTTGTGCTCCAGCCTGGCCAGAAGAGAGTCTGAGTTTGGCTCTTTTTTTTTTTTTTTTTTTTTTTTTAAAGACAGGGCCTCGCTTTGTTGCCCAGGCTGGAGTGCTGGAGTGCAGTAGCACGATCATGGCTTGCTGCAACCTTGACCTTCCAGGCTCAAGCAGTCCTCCTTTGGGAGGCTGAGGCGGGCAGATCACCAGGTCAGGAGTTCAAGACCAGACTGACCAATATGGTGAAACCCTGTCTCTACTGAAAATACAAAAAGTTAGCCGGGCATGGTGGCAGGCACCTGTAATCCTAGCCACTTGGGAGGCTGAGGCAGGAGAATTGCTTGAACCCAGGCGGCGGAGTTTGCAGTGAGCCAAGACCATCCCACAGTACTCCAGCCTGGGCAACAGAGCAAGACTGTCTCAAAAATAAAAATAAAATAAAAATTAAAAAAATAAGGAAATGGAGAAACAAGCTTGCCCACTGAGAGCTGGACTGAAGAAATCAGTATCTAGGCTGGGCGTGGCAGCTCACGCCTGTGATCCCAGCACTTTGGGAGGCCAAGGCAGACGGATCACAAGGTCAGGAGTTTGAGACCAGCCTGACCACCAGGGTGAAACCCTGTCTCTACTAAAAATACAAAAATTAGCTGGGTGTGGTGGTGGGAACCTGTAGCCCCAGCTACTCGGGTGGTTGAGGCAGGAGAATCGCTTGAACCCGGGAGGTGGAAGTTGCAGTGAGCTGAGATCGCACCACTGCACTCCAGCCTGGGCAACTGAGCGAGACTTTGTCTCACAAAAAAAGAAAGAAAGAAAGAAAGAAAGAAAGAAAGAAAGAAAGAAAGAAAGAAAGAAAGAAAGAAAGAAAGAAAGAAAGAAAGAAAGGAAAGAAAGAAAGAAAGAAAGAAAGAAAGAAAGAAAGAAGGAAGGAAGGAAGGAAGGAAGGAAGGAAGGAAGGAAGGAAGGAAGGAAGGAAGGGAAAGAAAGAAAGAAAGAAAGAAAGAAAGAAAGAAAGAAAGAAAGAAAGAAAGAAAGAAAGAAATCAGTATCTAATGAATGACAACAGGGATGTGCAAAGTCACCTTAAAAGGCCAGGCTAACTCCAGCTCCTGAGAAAGATTCTTTGCTTGGCCTAACTTTAGTCAGGCTCTTGAATCTTCTCCTAAGCCCATCTGAGCATTTCCTTGTAAAATTAGGTTTTAGCAAAAGAACCCCACTTAATCCATTTAGGCAGAACACCTCATCCTCTACATCTGATCATCCTTGATATCTGATCAGGTTGCTTATCTTCCACCCTTCCCCAGGTGATGTCTGCTTACCCAGGCCTGTCTTCAGCAAGAATCCTGTTAAGTCATTTTAGTCAGAATCCCCCTTAGTCCTGCTGTTGCTTCTTAGTAATTTTTCCATCCACTGGCCCCCACCCTGCTCCATGACTATAAACTCCCACTTTCCCATTCTGTATTCAGAATCGAACCCAGTCTCTCTCCCCTACTGCAAGATCCCTGTTGCAGTGGTCCCTATACTTCTCAAAATGGTCCTGAAATAAATCTTCCTTATCATGCTTTCACAGGTATCATTGAATAATTTTTTCTTTAATGGTCCTACAGAAGTTGGCAGGCACCATGGTGGAAATATTGACTCAACTAAAATAGTGAAGTATCCACAGACAAAGATGAGTCTCCATGATCCCAGGATGCTGAGTGTTGTCCAGGGAGAGTCAGCTTGGCTGTTGGACCAGTGACCAAGCTGAGGCTTGTGTTCAGATGGACGGAGGGTATTCCTGATGGACTCTGAGGACGGTCCTTTCCCCATGGCAGGCTGGTGCTTTGGAGACTTAGGTGTGGTGGGCTTTCTTAGCCTGGGGCCATAAACTCAGGGTTTCAGCCTCAAATACCATTGGGACTTGGCAGATACATGAGGAAGCCAGGAGTGTTAGAGAATAGGGAGTAGCAGGGTCTGTGTCCAGCATGTATTGGAGAGTGCACATGTGCCTAAAGGCATTCAGAATCAATGACTTTTAAAAACATCATGCCATCCTCACTCACACAGGGTCTCAATAG
Source organism: Homo sapiens (assembly GCF_000001405.40). Lineage (NCBI taxonomy): Eukaryota > Metazoa > Chordata > Mammalia > Primates > Hominidae > Homo > Homo sapiens. The sequence goes on from NC_000001.11 coordinate 31,596,476, forward strand.
GAAACAGATGGTGAACTCTAATTAGGATAATTGGGGTAGAGTTTATTTTCAAAAAGATGAATAACAAAGAAGGGTCTAGGGAGGTCATCAGAGAGAGTGCAGAACTCTGGGGCTAGCGGTGACCTGGTTGTCACTTCCCCTAGGCCTACAGGGCCAAGGGGTAAGAGAGGTCACCAGAACTCTGAAGGAGTCATTTAAAGTAGAGGTGGCCTGTCAGTGAGGAAGCTAGGGAATAAACCCCTCAGCCTGGCTCTCCCCTCCCTGTCATCTGCTAGGCTCCACATTTACCAAATCCCATGAGAAGCTAGAAGGCAGGGAATCACGGCTGTGGACTTTTACATGAACAAGGAATAACCTTCTATCTTATTTAGACCTCTCTTTTCCAGGGTCTTTTGTAACAGCAGCTGAACCCATAACCTAACCGATACACTCATAACAGGAAACATCTGCCAAAAAGATATGATAATCACGAACTTACACGTATCTCGCAGAACATGTTTATTTTGGTGAAACATATAAAGCAAATCTGGCAGAACTGCAAGAAGTTTATAGACAAAGTGGAATTTATAGACAAATTTATAGATAAAGTGGAAAATTTTAATCGAACTTTCTTAAAACCAATGGATCAAGTAGCAAAACATTAGTAAGGTTACAGAAGTTTGTACAATATAATTAAGGATCTTGAGCTACTAGATAAACAAATTTTACACCCCCACCCAAGAATACCCATTGTTTTCAAGCTCATGTGGAATATTTTTCTAAAAATGCTGCCTAGTTGGCAACAAAGAAAGTCTAAAATTTGTTCAAGGAATCAATATCATCAGTCACATCCTCTCATCCCAATATAATAAAATTAGAAATCAATAATAAAAAGTTGGCCAAGAAAATCCAATATGTTCAGTAACTTAATAATTCATTTCTAAGTACTTCACAGGCTAGGAAGAAAATTATTAATATAGTGGAAGTTACAAGATATTTAAAACTGAATAACAATAAGCTAAAGTGAAATTTGGAGGGAAAATATGTTTATTAAAAGCAGGAAGAATTGGTAACAAATGAATTAAGCATCCAACTCAAGACTCCAGGAAGAGGTATCAGAAAACCCCAAGAGAATAAAATAAAGGAAATAATAAAGATAAAGCAGAAAGGGATGATACGGAAAACAACCTAAAGTTGAGATGAGTCTTTTTAAAACCTTAATAAAATAAATAAATCATTAGCACAAAATAGACAATATTAGGAACAAAAAGAAGGCTATGGCTAGAGATGCAATCAAGATTTTAAAAAATCACAAGAAAACGCCATGGGGACCTCCGGTTCTGGCAAGATATCGGACTAAGTTAATATGGAAAATCTAGGAGATAAACTCAGAAGGAAGAAGTGGTTTGTAAGAAGAAGCGGAGAATTAAAAAATCATTAAGTGTGGACAATTCAAACAAGCAGAGACTTCATAAGAAAAAAATTTAAAAGGCTGATTAAAAAGAAAAATAAGGCATGGCCAAAAAAAAAAAAGGGAAAACAATATAATGACAGACAGGACACTATGATCAGAGTTCAAAAGCATTCTAAGGTTGTGCTAGAGGTGGAAATTGATTAACTTCAGACTTTAAACCTGAAGTATACATGTTAAAAATTTAAGGATGACTGACCGGGCATGGTGGCTCATGCCTATAATTCCAGCACTTTGGAAGGCTGAGTTGGGAGGATTGCTTGAGGCCAGGAGCTTGAGACCCACCTGGGCAACATAGCAAGGCTCTGTCTCTACAAAAACTAAGGAAGGTAGCCAGGCATGTGGTGCACACCTGTATTCTTAGCTACTGGAGAGGCTGAGAGAGGAGGATCACTTGAGCCCAGCAGTTTGAGGTTGCAATGAGCTATGATTGTGCCACTGCACTCCAGTCTTGATAACAGAGTGAGACCCTGTCTCAAGAAAATAAAAACAATAACAAAACAACAACAAAAATATCTCAGTACATCAGTTCGTTTCAGTCGCTGTAGTTGGCCTTTGTTTCTTGCAGCTAAATGCATCAGGCAAATACTAAGCAACAGAAAGCTGGTGTCACTTTATAAGTATCAGACAACTGAATACAAAGGTTTTGTTTTTTTGTTTTGTTTTGTTTTGTTTTGTTTTAAGACCGTCTTTCTCTGTCGCCAGGCTGGAGTGCAGTGGCGCGATCTCAGCTCACTGCAACTTCCGCCTTCCGGGTTCAAGCGATTCTCCTGCCTCACCCTCCCGAGTAGCTGGGACTACAGGCACATGCCACCCCGCCCAGGTAATTTTTGTATTTTTAGTAGAGACGGGGGTTTCACCATGTTGGCCAGGATCGTCTTGATCTCTTGACCTTGTGATCCGCCCGCCTTGGCCTCCCAAAGTGCTGGATAAAGGTTTGAATATAGCTAAAGCAATCCTTGAGGGACTATGTATGTATATTCTTAAATACATACATTTGATAAGAATAAAGATGACACATTAATGATTCAGCATCCAATTTAGGAAATCAGAAAAAGACAATATAATAACAGCACCCCATCCCCCGCCAAATAGCAGGAAATAATAGAGAGAGAAATCAATAAAACAGAAAACAAAGAAACAATAGAGATGGTCAAAACAAGTGACTAATAAAATAGATCTATTTCTAGCAAGTCTGAGAAAAAAAAAAAAAAGAAGGCCCAAATAATATTGGAAATGAAAAGGGGAGGACATGCGCAGTGGCTCACGCCTGTAATCCCGGCACTTTGGGAGGCTGAGGTGGACTGATAACTTGAGGCCAGGAGTTCGAGACCATTCTGGCCAACATGGTGAAAACCCACCTCTACTAAAGATACGAAAATTAGCCAGGCGTGGTGGTGCATGCCTGTAAGTCCAGCCACTAGGGAGGCTGAGGCAGGAGAATCTCTTCAACCCAGGAGGCAGAGGCTGCAGTGAGCTGAGATTGTGCCATTGCACTCCAGCCTGGGCAACAGAGAGAGACTCTGTCTCAAAAGAAAGAAAGAGAGAGAGAGAGAGAGAGAAAGAAAGAGAGAGAAAGAAGAAATGAAAAGAGGAATTTAACTACAGATAATTTTAATCATAAGAAACAATATTACACAAATAAATTTGAAAATGCAGATGTAATGGGTAAGGGTCTGTAAGATGTAACGTCAAACCTGAATTAAGAAATGGAAAAGTGGCCAGGCGTGGTGGCTCACACCTGTAATCCCTACACTTTGGGAGGCCAAGGTGGGCCGATCACTTGAGGTCAGGAGTTTGAGACCAGCCTGGCTGACAGGATGAAACTCTGTCTCTACTAAAAATACAAAAATTAGCCGGGCATGGCGGCATGCTCCTGTAGTCCCAGCTACTCCAGAGGCTGAGGCAGGAGAATCGCTTGAACCCAGGAGGCAGAGGTTGCAGCGAGCCAAGATTGTGCCACTGCACTCCAGTCTGGGGAAAGAGCAAGACTCTGTCTCAAAAAATAAAAATAAAAAATAAATGGAGGCCTGGCACGGTGGCTCACGCCTATAATCCCAGCACTTTGGGAGGCCGAAGAGCATGGATCAAGACCAGCCTGACCATCATGGTGAAACCCCATCTGTACTAAAAATACAAAAATTAGCCAGGCATGGTGGCACGCACCTGTAATCCCAGCTACTCAGGAGGCTGAGGCAGGAGAATTGCTTGAACCCGGGAGGCAGAGGTTGCAGTGAGTCAAGATCACACCACTGCACTCCAGCTTGGGCGACAGAGCGAGACTCCGTGTCAAAAAAAAAGAAATGGAAATGAGAAATAAATAATAACATTAAAGAAATTGTTATTGAGATCATTCTGTTTTTATCTTTTCAATCTCTCCTGGGTCTGTAGTTATCATATCATTTGCATTCTTAGTATTTATTAATTTGTGCCCTTCCTTTTAAAACAAATCAGCCTCGGAGGTTTGACTATTTTTTTTTATCTTCTCAAAGAACCAACTTTTGGCTCATTAGTCCCCTTTGTTTTCTGTTTTATTAATTTTTGTTCTTATCCTTTCCTTTGTTCTGCTTTCACTAGGTTTGTTCTATTGTTCTTTTTTATTTCCTAAGTTAGAGCAAGATATAGAATATTTTCAGAATTCCAGTCATAACCTCCCCCGTATCCCCAGAGGTAACTACTACTCCAACTTCTATCTCCATAGATTAGTTCTGGTCCCTTTTGAATTTCATGCAAATGGAATTAGAGAGTATCTACTCTTTCTGGCTTCTTTCACTCAAAATTAGGTCTGTGAGGTTCATCCCTGTTGTCCGTTACAATGGTTGTGTGTGTGTGCTTGTGTGTGATGTGTTTTGGTGTATAGCATTCCGTTGTACAAATATATTACAGTTTATTGTTCTATTCAACTGTTGATGTACATTTGGGTTGTTTCCAGAAATGTGTTTTTAAATTTCCAAACATGTGGGTATTATTTCTCTTTGTCACCAACTCTTAATGGTATTTTGACCAGAGAGTATGGTGTGTATCACTGTGATTCTTGAAATTAAGACTTGCTTTACTGCCTGGAATGTGGTCCATGTCTGTAAATGCTCCATGTGTACTTGAGAAGAATAAGCATTGGGCGTTGGATTCTCTTTATGTCACTAAATCAAGCTTGTTAATTGTGTTGTTCAAATTTTCCATACCTTTACTAATTTTTTTACTGATTAGTCAATCGATAATGAAAAGAGGTGTTTTGAAGCATCTCACTTCTAAGTGTGTATTGTCAATGTGTTATTTTTGGCTTGTCTCTACCATGTTGCTTTTTGTTTTCAATTTGTCCCACTTTGTGGTTTCCTTCTTGCCTTTTTGAAAAGTAGATTGAGCTTTTGTTTGTTTTCTTATTTCACCTTTCTGTCTACTGATTTGGAAATTATTGACTCTATTCCTATTCCTAGAGTAGGTCCCCTTAAATTTTTGCACTGCACACTTAACAAGGCCTAAATTTAATATTCCAACCCTATTTCCAACAATACAAGGTCCTTGGGAAACTCCAGCTCCAATGGCCACCCCCTTCCTCCTTACATTCAAATTTCATTTTAGTCCTGTCCCTTTTGTTTTCAGCCCCCCAAATTGCCATCATGATTATCATTATGCTATACAATGTTTGTTTAGGTTTATCTCCATGTTTATCATTTTTATTTCCTCAAAACTTGTTCTTGCATCTCAGGTATCTTTTTCGATCATTTTTTTCCTTTCTGAAGTATATATTTAGACATTCTTTTACTGTAAGTCTGTTGGTAGATTTTTTTTAAACTTCATTTTGAGATAATTGCAGATTGACATGCTGTTGTAAGAAATAATACAAAGATTCCTTATACCTCACATCCCCTTTCCCTCAATGGTAACATTTTGCATAAATATAGTGCAATAGCACAGCCAAGAAAATGACATTGATGCAATCTACTGATCTTATTTAGGTTTTACCAGTTTTATACGCACGTGTGTGTGTGTGTTTGTGTGTGTGTGTGTGTGTGTGTGGTTCCGTGCAATTTTAGCACATGTAAACTTGTGTGACTGTCATCACAGTCAAGATACAAACTATTCCATCATTGGAACTGGTTACCCTTTTATAGCCACTACTACTTCCCTCCCTCCAACATCCCAACCCCTGGCAACCACTAATCTGTTCTCTATCTCTATAATTTTTGTTATAACAAGAATGTTATACAACTGGAATCACAGTACACATAACCTTTTGGGACCGTCTTTTGGCTTTTTCTCACCCTGCACAATTTCCTTGAGATCCATCTAGACTGTTGTATCGACAGCTCTTTCCTTTTCATTGCTGAGTGGTATTCCATGGTATGGGTGTACCATAGTTTGTTTAACCATTCATATACTAAAACACTGGGTTGTTTCCAGTTTGGGGCTATTACAAAGAAAGCTGCTATGAACATTCATGTGCAAGTTTTGTGTGAACAAAATGTTTCATTTCTCTGGAATAAGCACCCCAGAGTGCACTCACTGGATCATAACCCTTTGCTTTTTAAATTTGCAAATGACTTTAATCCTCATTCTTGAATGATAGTCTTTACTGGGTGCATGTTTCCGAATGAACAGTTTTTTTCCCTAGGAATTTTGAAGATATCATTCTTCTGACTTCTATCTTTAAGGGCTATTGTTGCAAAATCTGCTGTCTGCCTAATTGCAGTTCCTTTGCACATAATCTATTTTTCCTCTCTGGCTGTCAATAGCTTTTATTCAGCTTTGGCGTTTTCCAGTTTCAATTCAATATGTCCAGGTAAAAATGTCTATTCTTCTTGTCTTTCAACAGCCCTCCATCTTTTCTATTCCCTCTTTCTGGAAATTTGCTTAGTAACATGTTAGATCCTATTATTTTTTCCCCTGTATCACATTCTTTTCTATTTTCCATCACCTTGTCTCTCTCTATTGAATTCTGGTTAATTTCTTCATATCTGTCTTTCAGCTTTCTCTTCAGCTATATCTAACCTACTGTGCTTTTCAAATATGTATATATATATATACATATATATATATATATATTTTTTTTTTTTTTAGGTGGACTCCCTCTTTCACCCAGGCTGGAGTGCAGTGGCATGATCTCGGCTCATCACAACCTCTGCCTCCCAGGTTCAAGTGATTATCTGCCTTAGCCTCCCGAGTAGCTGGGATTACAGATGCCTGCTACCATGCCCAGCTAGTTTTTGTACTTTTAGTAGAGACTGGGTTTCACCATGTTGGCCAGGCTGATCTCAAACTCCTGACCTCAAGTGATCCACCCATCTCGGCCTCCCAAAGTGCTGGGATTACAGGCACGAGCCACCGTGCCCGGCCTCAAATTTTTTTAATTGTGAAATACAGCACAATATGGAAAGGCATATCAAATACAATTGCACAGCTTAAATAACAATTATAAAGCAAACATCTACATAATCCCCCAGGTCATAAAGTAGAAGATGATAGGCACTCCTAAAAGCTCCCTGTGTATATCCCATCACAATCCCTTACTTTCTCTCTTAAAGGAAACCATTACCCTGACCTTATGGTAATCATTGTCTTGCTTACTTTTTATGGCTTTGTCCTCTGTGCATGCCTAAAGATGTGTTTTAACCTGTTTTTGGATTTTATATAAATGGAATCTTACAGTGTGTATTATTTTTGTCATGCTTTCTTACTCTACATTGCATTTTTTAAGATTTATTCTTTTTGTTATGAATAAATATCATATGTTTATTTTCACCACTGTATACTATTCCATTATATGAATATAACACAACTTACTCATACATAGTTTTGTTGATAAATATCTGATTGTTTCCAGCTTGTGGCTATTATAATGTTGTTTCTCACCTGATACTCAGCCCAGACACCAGGTTTTCTTTCTTTTCTTTAATTTCAGTATCTCATTTTCCTTTCTATTGTCTCTATTTAGTTGTTTTTTTCCACATCTACCTCATCACTTTTTTTTTTTTTTTTTTTGAGACAGTGTCTCCCTCTGTTGCCCAGGCTGGAGTGCAGTGGCATGCATGATCATGGCTCACTGCAGCCTCTACCGCCTAGGCTCAAGCAATTCTCCCACCTCAGCCTCCTGAGTAGCTGGGACCACAGATGTGTGCCACCATGACCGACTAATTTTTTTTTATTATTATTTGTAGAGACTAGGTCTCGCTATGTTGCCCAGGCTGATCTCAAACTCCTGGGCTCAAGCAATCCTCCTGCCTTGGCCTCCCAAAGTACTGGGATTACAGGTGTGAGCCACTGTGCCCGCCCTGCCTGATCATTTTTTAGAGTATCTTTTTGCTTGCTCATTTTCGTAATTTGATGTTATATTTACTAAAATATTTTATTCACAATTATGGTGTTTTATATTCCATGTTTGATAAATCCAATATCGGAAGTCTTTGGGGTCTAAGTTTATTATTTATGGTTTCTAGCTGGCTCTCAGTCATGGTGACTTGATTCCTTGGGAGTTTTGTTAACAGTGTGATACAGGTATATACTTCTCTTTCTTCCACACGGAAAACCAGTTTTCCCACCACCAGGTATTGGAGGGAATTGATTTAAATGCCACCTCTGACATAGGTTGAACTTCCAGTCTGCATAGCTCTGTTTCTGAGCTTTCAGCTCTATCTCATCCAGTTATTTGTACATCCCTCTACCAATACCTCCCTGCCTTAATGACTTTGGTTGTATACATCTTGTTATGTGGAGGGTGATTCTCCTCGTTTTGTTAATTTTCTTCAAAATTACCTTGGCTACTCTTAACTATTTGTTCTTTCATATGACCTTAGGATAAGCTTGACATGTTTCCCAAGATATTAATTTTAAAAAACTCTTCTTTGAACCTCTTATTGAAAGTAAAATAAATTTATAGGTTAATTTAAAAATAACATCTTTACAATTAAGTGTTTTCTTCTATGAGCAAGTTATACTTCTCCATTTATCTGGGTCTCTTGAATGACCATCAAGAAAGTTTTAGGCCAGGCATGGTGGTTCATGCCTGTAATCCCAGCACTTTGGGAGGCTGAGGTGGATGGATTGCTTGAAGTCAGGAGTTCGAGACCAGCCAGGCCAACATGGTGAAACCCCGTCTCTACTAAAAATACAAAAATTAGCTGGGCATGGTGGCAGGCTCCTGTAGTCCCTGCTACTCAGGAGGCTGAGGCAAGGGAATCTGTTGAACCCTTGAGGCGGAGGTTGCAGTGAGCCGAGATCGTGTCACTGCACTCCAGCCTGGGCAACAGAGCAAGACTCCATCTCAAAAAAAAGAAAAAGAAAGTATAATTTTCTCCATAAAAATATTGCTTATCTCTTAGGTTTATTCCAAGATATCCCATAGTTTTTTTTAATGCTTTTATAAATGGTGTCTTTTATAAATAGCATTTTATGTTTGTTGCTTAACAGCTGGGATGTGTTCCGAGAGAGGATTTTATTGTTGTGTGAACATCACAGAGTGTACTTACCCACACTTAGATGAGATAGCCTACTACAAGTACACCTAGACTACGTGGTACAGCCTGTTGCTCCTAGGATACAAACCTGTACAGCATGTTATTATACTGTTACTGTAGGCAATGCAATGGTGAGTAGCTGTGTATCGAAAAATATTTAAACATAGAGAGGTTACAATAAAAATATATTATGAAAGATTTTTAAATGGTACATCTGTATAGGGCACTTACTATGAGTGAAGCTTGCAGAACTGGAAGTTGCTTGAGTGTCAGTGAGTGGTGAGTGAACGCGAAGGCCTAGCACATTACTATACACTACTGTAGACTTTATAAACTGTACACTCAGGCTACACTAAATATGTTTTTAAAATTTTCTTTAAAAATAAATTAACCTTCGCTTCAGTAACTTTTTTACTTTATTAAAACTTTTTGATTCTTAAAAACTTTTTGCCAGGCGTGTTGGCTCATGCCTGTAATCCCAACATTTTGGGAGGCAGAGGTGGGAGGAGGCCAGCCCAGATCCTTAGCTGTCACAGTATTGTGGATGCTGGCAGAAGACTTGAGAGTCTTGGGTCAGAGACAAAGGACTTTATTACTCACAGCCCAGGAAGTAGCATCAGTTTCATGTCTGAGTCAATAGTTTCACTTGCCCCCCAAGTCCCACAGTGATGTTGAGGGCAGTGGGGGTGGTATAGACAGATGACGCACATTCAATGAGTTTGCATAATAGCAGAGGAACCCTGAGTTTAGGGAACTGAAATCCCTGATCTCTGCTACTGTAAAAGTTATCAGAATCAAAATGGAGTCACTTCTGTTAAAAGTGACAAATAGAGCTGGAGAAGGTCATGAAGAGACAGCTCTCACGCACAAGTTGCCCAATCACAAGAACTATCCCAATTAGCCAGGCGTGGTGGTGCATGCCTGTAGTTCTAGATACCTGGGAGGCTGACGCAAAAGGATCACTTGAGCTTGGGAGGCAGAGGTTGCAGTGAGCTGTGATGAAGCCACTGCACTCCAGCCTGGGCAACAGAGGGATACCCTGTCTAAAAAACGACAACAACAACAAATACTATCCCAAAAGACTGCAACAACCATCACAATCTTACACACAAAATACTGCAAGGCTATCTGCTCAGAAATTGCCTGTCCAACCTCAGACTAGTGCCGTCCTTATTGTTGATCCTTGTAGCCAAGGATAATTATCTTGAACAATGATGGAATCCTCCTCATTTTTCCCTCAAAATCTTTTGCCTTTATCTCCATGAATATGCATATAGTATACTATGGCACACATATTCCCATTGCAATGCCTATTCCCGAATAGATATCATTTTCTTTTAGAGAGCCTCTTTCTCTGTTTTTTAGGTTGACATCACAAAGGGAGACATTATTAGGCCGGACAGTAATCAGTCTCCTGTTCAAGAAGGACACACTAACTATATGTTCCAAAGATGGTTGATATACCAACATCCTTGAAGACAGTCCAGAACAAAAGGGCAGTTAGTGCCTCTGTGTGCAGGGCATCCAGAAACGAACCAGACCCATGGAAAATTCTTTCTCAACATGAACCTTCTCAACAGTTTTAATAGTTTGTCTGTAGAATCTCTTAGATTTTCTATGTAGACGATCACATGATCTATAAATATAGATGACCATTTTATTTCTTCCTCTCCAGTGGTTTATACCATTTATTCCTTTTTTTTTTTTTAAGACAGAAGCTTGCTCTGTCACCCAGGCTGGAATGCAATGGCATGATCTCAGCTCACTGTAACCTCCATCTCCTGGGTTCAAGCAATTCTCCTGCCTCAGCCTCCCTAGTAGCTGGGATTACAGATGCACGCCACCACCACCTCCAGCTAATGTTGTATTTTTAGTGGACATGGGGTTTCACCATGTTGGTCAGGCTGGTCTCAAATTTCTGACCTCAGGTGATCCCCTCATCTCAGCCTCCCAAAGTCCTGGGGTTACAGGTGTGAGCCACTGCACCCTTCTGATAACCAAGGTTTTCTGGGCCAAGCTCTCAGCTTCCTGCTCCTTGGTCCGTAAGAAAAATTCTCTCTTCCAGTAGTCTCTTCAGCTCCTGCAAAAACTCAGTCCACTCTGTCAATGAGGCCAGACATACCAGGACTCCAAGAGTGGTCAGGAGAGGCATGACCGAGGCTGTGAGCCCATGACATGGGGCGTGGGATCAAGTCATGCTTGTTAGTAGGTAGTGAGGCTGTGACGGGGTTCAGCTGGGAAGACTCTAGCTCTTGTCCTCCACTAAGGCCCCCACTTTATATCATCAACAATAAAAGGGCTATTGTTCTTCCATAACCCGTATTTTGCTTTCTTTCCCAGCATGTCAGAATCTGGGTGAGGAGAAAAAGGACTATTTAAAGGAGACCCCCTTGAAAACTGGATATCCATATACCGAAGAATGAAACTAGACCCCTATCTCTCACCATATACAAAAATCCAATCAAATGAGTTAAAAACTTTAAGACCTCAAACCATGAAACTGCTGCAAGAAAATTCCCCAGGACATTAGACATAGGAAAATATTTCTTGAATTATATCCCACAAGCACTGGCAACCAAAGCAAAAATGGGCAAATAGGAATACATCAAGTTAAAACAATTCTGCACAGCAAAGGAAACAATCAACAAAGTGAAGATACAACCCACAGAACAGGAGAAAATACCTGCAAACTATCCATCCAACAAGGGATTAATGACAAGAATATATAAGGAGCTCGGCCTGGCGCGGTGGCTCACGCCTGTAATCCTAGCACTTTAGGAGGCCAAGGCGAGAGGATTGCCTGAGCTCAGGAGTTCAAGACCAGCTTGGGCAACACGGTGAAACCCCACCTCTACTAAAATACAAAAGAAATTAGCCGAGCATGGCAGCGTGCGCCTGTAGTCCCAGCCACTCGGGTGGCTGAGGCAGGAGAATTGCTGGAACCCAGGAGGCAGAGGTTGCAGAGAGCTGAGATCAGCCACTGCACTCAGCCTGGGCGACACAGCAATACTCCATCTCTACAAAAAAAAAAAAAAAAAAAAAAAGGAATATATAAGGAGCTTAAGCAACTCTATAAATCTAATAATCTGATTAAAATGGGCAAAAGACCTGAACAGACATTTCTCAAAAGAAGACATACAAATGGCAAACAGGCATATGAAAAGTTGCTCAACATCAGCAAACAAAGTTATCCCATCTTCATTCCACCTGCCTTGTTCCAGCTGCTGGCGGCCGACAGGATGGCATCCACCCACATTGAGGGTGGGTCTTCCTCTCTCAGTCCACCAATTCAAATGTCAATCTCCTCTGCCCACACCCTCACAAACACACCCAGAAACAACACCAGCCATCTAGGCATCCCTTTATCCAATCAAGTTGACACCTAATATTAACCATCATACCATACATAAGTACATAACAATAAAGTAGCAAGAAGATGCCACAAAAATTGAGATGTGGTATAAGAATAACAAAAGTTTAGAAAATACTCAAGTAAAAGCCTAGTGAGTAACAAGCCAGTATTTGCCATCAACACCCCACCCCCTAACAAATGCAGACATCTGGAACATACAGGGAGGGGAGAGATTTTTAAAGAGAGGGAACAGCTTTCTAAAAAAATTAAGTCATCTTGGACAGTCACAGTGGTTCACACCTGTAATCCCAGCACTTTGGGAGGCTGAGGCAGGCAGATCACCTGAGGTCAGGAGCTCAAGACCAGCCTGGCCAACATGGCGAAACCCCATCTCTACTAAAAACATAAAAATTAGCCGGGCATGGTGGCACGTGCCTGTAGTCGCAGCTACTCAGGAGGCTGAGGCAGGAGAATTGCTTGAACCTGGGAGGCGGAGGTTGCAGTGAGCTAAGATCGTACCACTACACTCCAGTCTGGGCGACAGAATGAGACTCCGTCTCAAAAAAAAAAAGAAAAAAAAAAGTGAGTGATATTTTTCCTAAGGACTAGAGTGCCTACAGGGAGTGTTGATGTCTAGAGTAAATCCCTCCTTATGTGGCCCAGGGTGGAGGCTGGAGTGTCTGTTTGTGTATCTGCCCTCTGCCACATACCCTAAGCCTGCTGGTTCATGCTCACCAACTCAGTCAGTGAAAGGACAACCTAAAGACATTTTCAGACATGCCAAGATTCAGAAAGCTTTCCTTCCATGCACCCCTTTTAAAAATGTTATTTGAAAATATACTTGAGATAAAGGGACATAATTCAAGAAAGAGAGACATAACAGATTCACAAAACAGTGGAATTAACCCAGTAGCACAGTGAATAGAAATACCAGAGGTCCATAAAGCCATCCATCAAAATTAGAACAGGAAGTCAGAGGGTTTGGAGAAGAACGTCTTTAGGAAGAAAATGGGCTTCATTCAACAAATAATGTAATTAAGAAGCTGGAAGATTTTAATGACTTGACTTAAAAGGCATATGTTTCTTCTCTCAAGGAGAAAAGAGGAAAGCAATTAGAAACTTCATGAGAACAAGAAATTGTGTAAGAAAGTCATGGTCCAAATATGAAGTGAATTAAAATGTCTTATGACTCTGAATAGCTGAGGGAGTGGAGGAGAATAGACTTGAGCTTGAAGCCTGGATCATTTCTCTTTGAGCAGTATTTAAACTGTGAGATTATAGTTCCTTCTCTATGTGTCCCAGGATTCTATTTGGCTCTGTAGAGAATAATGTTTATATAATCATAATATTGTTTAAGAACACTTTATTGATTTTCAATATTTGAAATTCAGAGATAGACAATACACAAAACTAGAACATTTTAATTATGGATATAGAACTAGATGCAAATGTAGCAGTTTAGCAAAAGGAATTAGGAGAGAAAGCAAGAGTGATGTCTCGTCTTACACAGTGGGGAGTTAACAGATAGTGCATGAAATTAATGGCACAAGAAAAAACAGCTGGAAATATTTGTATCTAACCAAACTCTGGAGGGAAGTTACCTTTGCTAAGTTCATCTCTTTTCTTTCTTTTTCTTTTTCCTTTCCTTTTTTTTTTTTTTTTTTTTTTTTTGACAGGGTCTTGCTTTGATGCCCAGGCTGGAGTGCAGTGGTGCAATCACAGCTCACTGCAGCCTCAATCTCCTGGGCTCAGATGATCCTCCCACTTCAGCCTCCCAAGTAGCTGGGACTACAGGCACCTGCCACCAAGCCCAGCTAATTTTTTGTATTTTTTGTAGAGATGACGTTTTCCCATGTTGCCCAGCCTGGTCTTGAACTTCTAGGCTCAAGTGATCTGCCAGCCTTGGCCTCCCAAAGTGCTGGGATTACAGGTATGGGCATTACAGGTGTAAGCCACCACACCCGGCCATAAACTCGTCTTTCATAGTAGGAATTGTTTCCGATGCTGTTAGTTCTTCAATAACCACCCCTTCCTCTATCTTTAGTCACAGAACTCTTACATCTCAGCTGGACACCACCTGACATGGCTACCCAGACAAAAATTATATTTCCCAGCCTCCATTGCAGCTACATGTGATCAGGTGACCAAATTTAGGTCAACTTGATGTTAGCAGAAGTGATGTGCCTTTCCACTTAGTTGAATTATGGACGTGACCAGCCATCTCTGACGTAAGTTGAGAGTTTTTTAATTTTTGTGACAGAGTCTTGCTGTGTCACCCAGGCTTGAGTGCAGTGGCATGATCTCGGCTCACTGCAACCTCTGCTTCCCAGGTTCAAGTGATTCTCATACCTCAGCCTCCTGAATAGCTGGTCTTACAGGTGTGTACCACCACACCTGGCTAATCTTTGTATTTTTAATAGAGACAGGCTTTCACAACGTTGGGCAGGCTGGTCTCGAACTCCTGACCTCAAGTGATCCACTCACCTTGGCCTCCCAAAGTGCTGGGATTACAGGTGTCAGCCACTCCACCCAGCCTAGGCCAAGAGTTTTGCCATAAATATTATAATAGTAGCTAACAGTTATATACATGCTAAGTATCCATCAGGCACCTTTCAAAGTGTTTTGCATGTATTAACTCATTTAACCCAATGGGGATATGTAGTCACTTCCTATTGCTGCTGTAACAAATTAACCACAAACTTAGTGGCTTCAAGCAACACAAAGTTATTCTTCTACAGTTCTGGAGGTCAGACATCTAAAATCAGTGTTTCTTTCCTTCTGGAGACTCAGGAAAATCCATTTCCTTGCCTTCTTCAGCTTCTACAGGTCACCTGCACTCCTTGGCTTGTGGGCCTTTCCTCTTATCACCACGACCACTTGCTTCCATCCTCACATCTCCTATCACTACTCTGACCTCTTGCCTCCCTCTTATAAGGATCATTGGATTTCATGGAGCCCACCCAAATAATCCAGGATAATACCCCCAACTCAAAATGTTTAGTTTAATCACTTCTGCAAAGTCCTTTTTGCCACGTAAGGTAACATTCAAAGATTCTAGAGATTAGGACTCAGACATCTATTATTCTCCCTACCACAGATGGGTACTATATCATCCCCTTTTACAGACAATGAAACTCAAAATAGAGAAGCTAAATAGCATGCCCAGGATCACACAGCTGGTAAGTGGCAGATCCATGGTTTAAACCCATACAATATGGTCCTAGAATCTGTTCATGTAACCATGATACTCTTCTATCCTGGCAGAATTCTGGCTTTCTGATGACATTGGAGTTGCCTGACCAGCCCTGGAGAGAGAAATACACCTTTTTTTTTTTTTTTTTTGAGACCAAGTCTCATTCTGTCGCCCAGCTGGAGTGCAGTGGCATGATCTCGGCTCACTGCACCTCCGTTCCCTGGGTTCAAGCGATTCTCCTGCTTCAGCCTCCCGAGTAGCTGGGCTTACAGGCACAAACCACCACGCCCAGCTAATTTTTGTATTTTTAGTAGAAATTTTTTTAGTGGAAAACTTTAGTAGAATTTTTTTATTTTTGTACTTTTAGTTTCACCATGTTGACACCAGGCTGGTCTCAAACTCCTGACTTCAAGTGATCCACCCGCCTTGGCCTCCCAGAGTGCTGGGATTACAGGTGTGAGACACCTCGCCCAGCCAAGAAAAACACTTTCAACTTTCAAAGCCACTGTCATTTGGTGGGGCTCTTTGTTACAGTCACTATATTCAAATAAGGAGTCAATAGTAATCCACAGAAATAAAAATAATGCTTTTCATTTATTCTGAATGGTTTGAATATTTTACAAGGAAAATGTGTTATTAATTTCAAATCTGCTTAAGTTGCAGGACAAAACTGCCGACCTGTCTGTGTCGCACCTGGGTTAAACCCTCCCATCATCTTTGGGATAGATTGAGTTCAAGCACCTCAGCCTGCCCTGGAGGCCAGCGTTTCACCCATCTTTTTGTTTCTCATTGCTCCTCTTCATGGGTACACTCTCAGGCCAAACTAGTATTTGTGGCATACTAGCTTGCAGCAGGCCTTTCACCATGTCCACCCCATGCCTGTGCTCATGCTGTCCCCTCTACCCGGAATACTGCCCCTTCTTCCTCTCCCACTCCTGCCTAGCATGTCTCATTCAAAGGCTAGCTGTGAGCTCCTGTTCACCCCTCAATACCTAGCCCAAATTGCCTCTGGAAATTTTTTCTGTTTATCTTGGTCTTTCTCTGCCCTGCTAAATATTTTCCTTAAATGTCTGGTGATCCAGGTTATAGTTTGAAACCCCAGCTCCCCACCTTTCCCACCACACACACACACACACACACACACACACACACACACACACACTTCCCAGGAAGAACAGGCCCCTCCTCTTTCCTTCCCCCACTTGTGTGTCCCTGTGTCAAAATAATCATACCAGCACACATTTACTATGGCCATTGTTTATTACTAATATTATTTATTATTTTAGGGTTTAGATCTTTTGCAGCCCCCAGCACCAATACATGGCTAAAAACAATACCAAATGCCACTTAAGTGTCACGATGTCTGACAAATGATGACCACTTGGACTTCTTAAAATGTTAAATTATTTTTAAATATGTGCATGTGTATGATTATGTCTGTCTGTGCCAGGACCCTTAATTTAGCCACATCTGCAAAGCCCCTTTTGCCATGGAACATAGCCACATGTTCTGGGGGTTAGGACGTGGACATCTTTGGGGGCCATTTTAGCCTATCACAGAGATGAAGGAAGTGACCAGCCCAAGATCACCCAGTAGTAAGCAGCAGAGTGGCAGTCTAATCCCTGTCTTCCTGACCCCAAAGCCTGGCTCCTGACCTCTCCTCAACACCAGGGGCGGGGTGGGGGCAGGTGGGAGGAGATGTGTTTTCTGTGGTTTCTGTGCCTTGTTGTTGGTGCTGTCCCATTCTGCCCCCACCCTGCCTCCACAGGCTCCATCCTGATGCATTTCACACCACCCCTATCCACTCGTCTCCATGAGGGTCTCCCTAGCCTAACCAGGAGAGTCTCCGTCTCTGCAGCCTACCCAGCCTCCGAGTTTGTTTGTTGAGTGAGTATACGGGTAAGTGGACAGACAGAAGGCTGCCAGCTCCAGCCCCTTCTTCCTGGCTCCTGCCACTGGCTTGAAGATGCTCTCTAGGCCAGGAGTGGTGGCTCACACCTGTAATCCCAGCACTTTGGGAGGCCAAAGCAGGAGAATCACTTGAGCCCAGGAAGTGGAGGTTGCAGTGAGTCATGATCGTGCCATTGCACTCCAGCTTGGGCAACAGAGCAAGACTGTCTCAAAAAACAAAACCAAAGAGGAAAATGATCTCAGCTTTGGGAGTCACAGAGAATGCCTGACTCTGGGTCCTGTGCTCCTCCTCTCCTAGCGGCTGCCTGTCTCCTTCAAGCCACCCAGACCCTGAAGGAGGGGGCCCATCCAGAGGAGAAGAGGCACAAAGGCTGAGGACCTGGATATGGGGAACAGGAGGTCTCTGGGTCCCTCCCTGGGCATGAGCTCCCAGAGGCCACTGCTGTTGGCCCAAAGACAAAAACACCACAGCCGCTCAGTGGCCTCCTAGGCTCCGCCCTCAGAATCCCCCTTTCCAAAAGCACAGCCCATCTCTGCTGGCCTCCCCTCACCCACCCCACACCTCGGCCTGCTGCCTGATCTCTGCTCTTCTACAAAGCACCTCTGCCTTCCCCAGAGTTTTCCTATCCACGTGCCCAGGTCTGTAGCGGCATTAGCAAGAGGAAACCCAATTACATTCCAATTACTCTAGTCCTAGCCAGACAGAGGTTACTGTAAGTCACAGCAGGATCGGGAAGGAGGAGGAGGTAGCACCTGGGGCCAGTGCCTAGGGTGACACTTGAAGATGGATATGACAGGGACCTGTGGCTCAGAGGCTCAGGATTAGATCAACAAGGCTGGGGCTGGCTGGTTTCGGGAAAGAGGTCGTGGGGGCCCCTGTTGACAGACAGCTCAAGCACAGCAAAGCCCTGAGGCCAGCCCTCCCTGGGCAGAGGAGGCACAAGGGCTGGGAGCCCAGCCTGGACATGGAGGACCTGAGGTCCCTAGGGCCCTCCCTTGGACATGGGCATTTGGCCAGGGTTCCCAGAGCCAGTGCTGTTGTGCCCGAGGACCAAAATCCTGCAGCTTCTTGTAGGTCTTCTAGAACACTACTGGTTCCCACCGCCCCGCCCCCAGGATTTTCTCTGAGCATACACCCACTCTCTCTCATGCCCATCTAGGCCAAATAACTGGCCTCTCCCACCCTTAGGCTGTGGCTAAATAGGCCAGATTCAGGACCAGAGGGGCTGCGAGGCCTAGTGCCTCCAGGCCAGCGCCCTGGCTCCTGCTGCTGGCTTGAAAATCCCTGGCCAGCGTCTGATAGGGGAGACAGGGAGATCTGTTGCTTGTGATGGCAGGAATCTCTTAGGATATCCCTTGACCTGGGGAGCAGCCATCTTTGGGGCACCAACGGATAAAGGGTGGGGGAAGGTTGGCAATTGAGATCCCTCTTAAGTGGAGATGGGACTGACTCTGTGACATTGTATACTGGGGGGAATTCTCAGCCATGATTTCCTCCCTACACAGACATGCACCACCCTGTATCATGACATGGGGGAGCCTGGCGAGCCCCTTGCCCACTCCAACCCATGGTATCTGGGAGGCCCTGTAATATGGAGATCTGCACTCTGGGCTAGGTTCTAAGCCTGGGCTGTGCTGGGCTTGGCCAGTGCCTACCGCCCACACAGACAAACATGGATCTGTACCTTCCACACTGCGGGCTGAACCTTGTTTGCCGCAACTGTTATTGGAGTGTCCCCACACGATCTGCCTCCCATCCCCCTACATGCTGCAGCCCCCTCTGCAGCCCCTACATAGCAAACAATCACAGCTCCAGGTAGGGGGGAGAATGTGGGGGGATAAGATGAGTCATTGCCGTGGGAACAGATGTACCAAGTTCCACATATGCACACTCACAGAACCTTACACACAAAGGCATGGCCACACTCACATTCCCACACTCACAGGGAAACACGCTGGGAGGCCAGTGCTAGTCAAAGCCACAGTTGAACATTCAGATCCACACTGAGAAACAGTCATCTCCTCACACATACACATTCCCCATAGACACAAACGCCAAAACACAGGGACAGATCAAGACCCAGACAGACACATCCCACCCAGAGTGACCTCCAGTCATCAACCCAGAGCCCACCCCCTGCTCATATGCACAGTCAGACTCAAACACACTGGATTCCCTAGACACACACCACAGCCCTTACTTGAATTCAAGACTCAAACACAAACACACACTCATGCACACATATGCAGACATGCACACACCCACACATTCACACATGCACACACGCACACACACACACACACACACAGCAGCCCCTCTTCTGAGTCCCTTCACTCATTCTCCTACCTCGGCCAGCACCTAGGGAAGACAAGACATCACACACCATGCAGATGCCATACCTGCCCAAGGACAAAGTTCTGCCTTGGGTTTAGCTTCAGTCCATCCTCCTGTTCTGCAGAGGTTAAGGTCACTGGCCCCCTCCCTTATGCTGCTCCAGTTCCTCTCCCACACCTCCTATGCCTAACGGCGCATCTTCAGAGCCTTTGAAAAGGGCTTTGGCTGCAATGGGAAAGATGGTGGTTGCATCCCAGGAGTCACCTCCCAGGAGGGAAACAGTGTGAGTTTCAGAGGGTGACATGTTAGGAATGTCCTATGCTGAGCTAGGGGATGGCCAAGGTGACTGCATGATGCTCAGGCAGTCACCCTTCACCTACCTGTGATTTCCAGAATCCCCAACCTTCAAACCTTTGCACCTGCTGTTTCCTGACCTTGAATGCCTCTCCTCGAATACCACAATCCCCCTTGCAGGCTACCTTCTTATTCTTCAGGTCTCCATGGAGATGTCCCTGCTCCAGGAAGCCTGTTCTCATGCCCTGGCTGAGTCGGTCTGTCCTCCTGTGCCCCACAGCCCCCAGGGCCCTCACACCCTCCTCACACCACAGGTTAATTGCCTGGGTGTGCACCTGCCTCCCCCACCAGCCAGAGAGATTTTGCAGGGGAGGGAGACTGTGTCTGGTGAGAGAGGCTAGAGGCCTGAGAGGGGCAGAGGCTCAAAGCCCAGCTCTGCCTCTGCTGTGCGACCTTGGGCAAGTCATTGCGCCATGTGGATCCAGTGTCCTTATCTGTAAAATGGGGACAATAACGACCACCTCACCAGGTTGATATGAAGATTAAATGAGAGCAGGCATCATATGCATTATCCAAACGGTAGCTGTATTATTAGAACTCACTGCCTAGCACACAGCTTAATAAATCGTTATTTGTGGAATTAACGAACCCCCACTTCTGTCCCCACCGGCGTCCTTGATTTTTGGGGGGAACAGTAGGTATAACAAAAAGAGAAACTGGGGGCAGATAGGATGGGGGGCTGGGAGATGGGAGAACAGGCTTCTCTGGCATCGTTGGGAGCTAGCTGTTACAGCAGCATCCGGAGCTAGGCTGGAGGCGGTGCAGGCATCCTCTCTGTCTCACCCCTGTGACCCACCTGTGCCATCCTCCTCCTCAGTTAGGTGAGGCAGCAAGGAGAGGCGGGGCTGGGCTCCACCTCTGCACTGTGGCCCTCTGAAGCTGCCAGGCCCGCCGGCACACACTAAGTGCGCCCAGAATGCGGGGTGGCCAGGGGCATAAATGTTGAATGAATGAGGATGGAATGAATGAACGGATGGACGCATGAATGGAGGTGGGATGGAAGCTTGAAGTGGGAGGCTAGAAGGAACGAGCGTCTCCCTCCGCCCTGCGGGTCTCGGGGCTGGAAGACAGGGAGCCAAGACCGTCTGGGGGCTCCCACCCCGCCCTGCCCCTCCCGCCGGCCCTCCCTCCCCGCAGCGCGCAGCCCGGCGGAGCCCGCGCCGAGCCACAGCCCGCGCAGTTGCCGCGGATCGTGCTGAGCCCCGCGAGCCGAGGCAGCGCAGCCTAGGGAGGGGGCTGCCCCGGCCCCCTCCTGCAGTCCCGGCCCCTAGAGGCTCGGCCTTCCTCGCAGGAAGGCGAAGTCCCCGGTGCCAGGTCCGGGGACCAGCAGCCGAGAACGCCCGGGTCCCGGAGCCAACAGGTGCGGGGTGTGGGGGACCCCCAGGCCTGGGATGGGGGTTCCAAAGGACCCGCGGCGAGGGATGGGAGGAGCCAAGAGTCTCGGGGGGTAACCTGGGTGCTGGGAGACTGGCTCCTCGGCCAGCGCTGCTCTCCTCTAGGCAGGCTCCGAGTGCCCTCGCTCCCCCGCGCCTTCCCGGAGCCCCGCCAGCCCCCGAGGTGCAGGAAGGTCCCGCGGACGGAGCGGGCCTGCCGGCGTTCAGTGGGGTATGAAGGCGTCCCCTCCCCTTCCCCAGGGGTCTCCAGGGATCCGCAACCCTCCGGCACCTGGCCGGGGTCGTCCTAGCCCAGCCGGGGGAAGGAGGGGCTGAGTGCGGGAGGAGGGGAGGGGCGGGGAGCTGGGCTGGCTGGATTTATGAATGGAGAGCGACCCGCGCGCCGGAACAGCGGCTCCTGGCGGCCGTCGGGGAGCGTCGCGGCCCTGGGGACCCAAAGGGGCCTCTTAGGGGGCCTGGATGCTCCCCTTGCTCGCAAGGGGTCGTCAGTCCCTCCGCGCACCACCCCCACTGTGTGTGTGTTGTATGTGTGCGTGTCCGCGAGTGCCCACCGGAGGGTCTGGCAGGTATGGCGGGTGGGGCTTGGGTCTCTAACACCTCCCTTGGCCCGTTTTCCCAACCCAAAGTTAAAGCCTCTGAACTGGCTCAAGAAATATTTGCAATCGGGATGGCTTCTCCTCCCAAATCTACGGTGTTTGGTGGGTTCGAACAGACCTGGCTTAAGAGCTTTGTGACCTTGAGCAAGAGACTCAATCTCTCTGAGCTTCGGTCTCATCTGCAAAGCAGGGTACCCTAATAATGGTAACCGGAAACGTCCCCGAAACTACCTTCTCGTACCAGGTTCTTGGTGAAGCACTTGGCACGCATCGGAGCTCATTACTCCTCATCGTGGTCCTGTAAGGTATGTAGGGCTGTCACCCCATTAGACAGATGGGGAAACCAAGGCTGAAAGAGGCCAGGTAAGCTACCCAAGGCAACTGGTGTGGAATTGGGATGCAACCCAGGTCTGTCTTCCTCCACCAATTTCATGACTGTGAGAATTAAG
This sequence comes from Homo sapiens, assembly GCF_000001405.40. Lineage (NCBI taxonomy): Eukaryota > Metazoa > Chordata > Mammalia > Primates > Hominidae > Homo > Homo sapiens. The sequence goes on from NC_000001.11 coordinate 31,618,961, forward strand.
AGGGAACTTATACGCAAAGCGCCTGGCACAATCCCTAATGTTTCCTTCCTTCTCTCTTTTCCCACTCCCTCCTTTCCTTCCTCCCTTCAGGAAGTTTGAGGCTGAGACCCGAAAAGACCTGGGTGCAAGCCTCCAGGCACCCTGAAGGGAGTGGGCTGAGGGCTGGCCCAAGCTCCCTCCTCTCCCTCTGTAGAGCCTAGGATGCCCCTCTGCTGCAGCGGCTCCTGAGCTCATGGAGCCCTCAGCCACCCCAGGGGCCCAGATGGGGGTCCCCCCTGGCAGCAGAGAGCCGTCCCCTGTGCCTCCAGACTATGAAGATGAGTTTCTCCGCTATCTGTGGCGCGATTATCTGTACCCAAAACAGTATGAGTGGGTCCTCATCGCAGCCTATGTGGCTGTGTTCGTCGTGGCCCTGGTGGGCAACACGCTGGGTAGGTCCAGGGCTTGCCCGGCAGTGCTGCCGGCTTTCCCTGGGGATTGAAGGGGGTTGTGTGGGAGGAGGGCTCGCTGATTAGGCAGAACTAGGATGGGTGTGGCTCTGCCACCAGCTTCACCTCGCTGCACCCTGCAGTCTGCCTGGCCGTGTGGCGGAACCACCACATGAGGACAGTCACCAACTACTTCATTGTCAACCTGTCCCTGGCTGACGTTCTGGTGACTGCTATCTGCCTGCCGGCCAGCCTGCTGGTGGACATCACTGAGTCCTGGCTGTTCGGCCATGCCCTCTGCAAGGTCATCCCCTATCTACAGGTGAGCTCTGCCCAGGCACCCCTCACCACTCCTTGTCACGCCTGTAAAAAACCCACGGCCTTGCATAGGTCTCAGTGACCCCCAGACTTGCCTTTCAGACAGGTCAGTGGCTCATGACCCCTGAAGTGTCATCCTCTGCTGCTAGCAAGGGCAAGCCACCAGATCAGACACTCGAGGACACAGACACAACCCCACACACTCACAGAGATCCCCTCCTGGTCACAGCCACAGACATATACATAGACACGTGTGGACATGTATAGTCACCTCCAGGTACACAGGCACACAGTCAAGGAGAGAGGCAACAGCCCACAGTGACACATACACGACACCCTAGGCCTGCTCCCCAATCCCAAAGGGGCAGACGTGAGGGGCCTGATGGAAACAGCCGTCTCCTCTCCCTCCTGCACTGGCCAGGAAAGACCCCAGTGGTGGAAACCAGGATGTCCGGATGGGGTTAGTGGGGTGGAAGGAAGGCTTCTCTCAGTTTGTATCCTGTGATCCACTTCCTGCACCCCAGAGGGCAGGGGGCACCCCTAGAGGCAATGCCCACACACCTCTGACCCAGACTCATCTCTGCCTCCCAGAATGAGGGCTTTTTCCTAACAGCCTGGGGAAGGGATGGCATTCCATGGCAGAGATAAATGCCTCTTGGATTTCCCACTATTTTGAGGCTCCCCACTCAACTGGTTAACTCTGGTGACCCTGAGCATAAAGACAGATGGATGAGGGAATTCTGTGCCTCAGTTTCCTCATCTGTAACAGGGGGGCAAGAGCGCTTTGTGGGATTGTCATGAGGATGATGAGAACAGTGCCCAGCACATAGTAAGTTACGTAGGTGCAAGTTATTATTCACCGGAGGGGTGCACCTACCATGTGCCAGGTCTAAAGCTGGACATTGTTTGTACATGATTTCACTTATTCGCACAAGAATCTTGCCAGGTAGATGGTATATTCCCATTCTGTAGACGAGGCTCAGAGAGGGTGAGTGACTTGCCCACATTTACACAGCCAGTAAGTGGTGGAGTCAGGATTTGCACTGCCCTGCACCTGCCGTCAGCCTCCTCACTCACCTACTCTCACATCGCTGGGTGGCCCCCAAAATGACCGACGTTGTGTCCCCGTGGGGCAGGCTGTGTCCGTGTCAGTGGCAGTGCTAACTCTCAGCTTCATCGCCCTGGACCGCTGGTATGCCATCTGCCACCCACTATTGTTCAAGAGCACAGCCCGGCGGGCCCGTGGCTCCATCCTGGGCATCTGGGCTGTGTCGCTGGCCATCATGGTGCCCCAGGCTGCAGTCATGGAATGCAGCAGTGTGCTGCCTGAGCTAGCCAACCGCACACGGCTCTTCTCAGTCTGTGATGAACGCTGGGCAGGTAATGGTGGAAGCCTCAAGCAGGCATCCCCTCAGGTGGGCACTTTGGGAGCACGTACCCCTAGGACAGGCATCTAGCAGGGTCCCTTCCAAAGTGGGAAATCCCAGAGCAGGTATTTCCCTAGGGGACACCCTAGACTGGCTCCTACCAGGGATACTCCCAGGGTGGGTGCCTCCCCTCATGTAGACATCTGCTCTAGTGTAGATGTCCTTCCAGGAGGGACAACCCAAGTTGGACAACTCCAGGGTCTCTGTCTGTCATGGTGGCTGTATGGGGTCCAGCTGCTCCTAGGCCTTGCTTTGGCCGTAGTCAGGACAGGGTGGCATTGCTAACCAGGGCAGGGTGGGGCTCACGGATTGGGCCTGACTCTGCATCTCTTGACCCCTGCAGATGACCTCTATCCCAAGATCTACCACAGTTGCTTCTTTATTGTCACCTACCTGGCCCCACTGGGCCTCATGGCCATGGCCTATTTCCAGATATTCCGCAAGCTCTGGGGCCGCCAGGTGAGGCCCACTCTGGGCAGGGGCTAGGCCAGTCACTGTGTGGGCTGGGGGTGGGAGGGCTACTGGTCTAACTGAGTAGGCAGTCCTCTGCCATCAGCACATGCCATCTTGGCTGCAACCAAAGAGAGGGGAAGCCCAGAGACACGTCAAACTCAAGGCCAAAAGCACCAGTGGCTACCCTGGAATGGAATAGTAACACGTCCTTCTATTAGTGGTTGGCGTTTATTGAAGTATCCACTCCCAGATAATCTTGCATCCTCTTAGCCACCATATATTACCCACATTAAATATATGAGAAAACCGAGACCCAGAAGATCAACATAACTTCCCCCAAACCACTCAGCTAGTGAGTAGATCAGGAACTAAAGCCCAGATCTGTGAGCTCCCACTGCTCAGTTTAGTACCACTGCAACAATAATAATAGCAACTCCGTGGTGCTTGCCAAATTAGGCACTTTGCATCCAATGTCTTAACAACTATCTAACAAAAGAAGCAACATTACCCACGTCACAAATGCCAAATAAGGGCAACCAACTTGCCAGATTCAACAGCAGCAGAGCCTTCTGGTTCCAGGGCCTGTCTTCTTTCCTGCATTACAGACTGACCCACGGTGGGTTTCTTAGGTTTTTGGGGGGCAGGGGTGGTCAGAGGCCCTTGGCCTAGCGAGTGGGAGTCCTGGATTGGCGTCTGGGCGGTGAGAAAAGGCAGGCCAGAACATGACCAGGCTCAGGAAGGGACTCTCACACTTGGGGATGTCACCTACATTCCACAGGAAGTACTGGCTTGCACCCAGGCCATGCCGGGCAGCGGATGGGGACACGGACTGGCTGTGACCCAGGTCCTGCCTTGGAGGAGCACCCAGTCCAGTAGGACCCTTCCTGACTGGCCAGCCCTGTAGTCCACCAACACTCATCATCTGCTCCCCACAGACCCCCCAGCCAAGCAGGACACAGGCACGATCCTCCTCATTTGACAGATATGAAAGCAAGGCTTAGAAAGGAAAATGAGGTGGCTAAGGTCACATAGCTCACGAATGGCTGAGCTGGCTCTAGACCCGCGTTTCCAGAACTCCAGCCCCATGCCCCTCTGTGGTGGGTGATTTGAGTGTCCGGTGGCAGGAGAGGCTTCTCCAGGAGCCCAGAACCACCCCAGGCTTATGGGCACTGGCCCAGGCCATTCGATGCTGCCCACCTGCTCACCCCTTGCCCAGGCCTCCTCATAGTCTGGTATGATCCAGGGGAGGCACAACTCACCCCCACCCCTACCCTCAAAGATAGTGTTGGAGATTTAGGGAGGATGGATGGGCAGTTGACAGGATGTGGCCTGGGGTCTTGTCAAGGTTCCCCACCTCTTTGAGTCTTAGTTGCCTCATCTATACCTAAGGACCAATAATATCTTTCCACAAGGCGTGTTGTAGAGGGTTTCACAAAGAGCTAATGGAAAATGAAAGTCTAGGCTGGGCGCAGTGGCTCACACCTGTATTCCCAGCACTTTGGGAGGCTGAGGCAGGCGGATCACCTAAGGTCAGGAGTTCAAGACCAGCCTGGCCAACGTGGTGAAACCCCATCTCTACTAAAAATACAAAACTTAGCCCGGTGTGGTGGCGCACACCTGTAATCCCAGCTACTCGGGAGGCGAGATTGAAGAGAGCCAAGATTGCACCATTGCACTCCAGCTTAGGTGACAAGAGTGAAATGCCATCTCAAAAAAAAAAAAAAAAGAAAAGAAAAGAAAATGAAAGTCTATCGTTCACTCTCAAGTCCAGAGTGTTAGTCTATCATAAACATTAGATTCCTTCCTCTTGCAAGGGTTTTATCCTTTTGCCCATCTCCACCCTGCCCGGGGTCCAGCCTGGAGTAGGCCCCACAAAAGGCAACCACCCTCCCAAGGTGCTGTACCCACCACTGCTGTCTCTATGTGTGCTGGACAGATCCCCGGCACCACCTCAGCACTGGTGCGGAACTGGAAGCGCCCCTCAGACCAGCTGGGGGACCTGGAGCAGGGCCTGAGTGGAGAGCCCCAGCCCCGGGCCCGCGCCTTCCTGGCTGAAGTGAAGCAGATGCGTGCACGGAGGAAGACAGCCAAGATGCTGATGGTGGTGCTGCTGGTCTTCGCCCTCTGCTACCTGCCCATCAGCGTCCTCAATGTCCTTAAGAGGTGAGAGCACGGGGTATGGTTGGGGTGGGGAGAAGTTTGAGGTTGGGGAAGGAGCTCTCCTTGCTTGGGAGAAAGACCTGGCTCCACCCCTTCTCCACTATGTGATCTTGGGCAGGCCATTTCTCTTCTCTGAGCCTCCATCTCCTAGGGCTATCGTGAAAATTCACGCATTCATTCACTTAATCATCACATTTTAGGGGGCTGGAAATACAATGAACAAGTGCATAAGACAGACAAAGTCCCTGCCTTCATGGAGGCTGCATTCTAGCAGGAGAGAAGGGAAGTAAATAGAAGAATCAATGTATATTATAATGTCAGGCAGTGATAACTGCTGGGAAGAAAAATAAAATAGGACAGAGAGTGACAATGATAAGGGTTGGTGGGTTTTTGCTTTTGCTTTAGATACAATGGTTTAAAAAAAGCAGGGGGCCGGGTGCAGTGGCTCACATCTGTAATCCCAACACGTTGGGAGGCCAAGGAGGGAGGATCGCTTGAGGCCAGGAGTTCAAGATCAGCCCGGGCAACATAATGAGACTTCGTCTCTACTAAAATTCAAAAAATTAGCCAGCCATGGTGGCATGTGCCTGTAGTTCTAGCTACACAGACTGAGGTGGAAGAATAGCTTGAGCCCAGGAGGTTGAGGCTGCAGCGAACCATGATTGCACCACTGCACTCCAGCCTGGGTGACACAGCTGTCTCAAAAAAAAAAAAAAAAAAAAAAAGCCTTTCCAAGGAAATGACATTTGAGCAGAGACTTGAAGGAAGTGAGAGAGCTAACCATGCACGTGTCTGTAGGGACAGCCAAAGAGGGTCGCAGGGCGCTGGGGAGAGAATGCAGGCTATTGGACAGAAGACAGTTTCACTTTGAGATTGTGCTTGGCCACTTCCTGGTTGTGTGATCTTCGGCATGTCACTTTACTTCTCTGAGCCTCAGTTTCCTTAATGGAAAAATGGATGATGTCTATGATTCATCATGTTGCTGTGAGGATGGATGAGAAAGTGGATGGGAAGCCCCAGGGGATCCGATGGCCAGGAGGCTAGAGATGCCCATCACGGTGCTTGATACCCTCCATGCTTGAGAACCCCAAACCCTGGCCAAGACCTCAGGTACAGAAGGCCAGGAAACGTGGACAGAAGTGGGCAGTAGGAACTCTTGCACTTTACAGCTCAGGTTCTGTGAGCAGCACTCCCCCAGTACATGCATACGCAGCTACCCCATTTCTGACGCTCCTCCACCCTGGGCCTAGGGTGTTCGGGATGTTCCGCCAAGCCAGTGACCGCGAAGCTGTCTACGCCTGCTTCACCTTCTCCCACTGGCTGGTGTACGCCAACAGCGCTGCCAACCCCATCATCTACAACTTCCTCAGTGGTGAGCAGGCTGGGGATGCAAAATGACTGAGGGTGGCCAACAGTCCACATGACAAGTCTCCCCATCCCCAAGCCAGGGCCCAAATAAAGGATGGTGGGTGAGGATGTACCTGCTGTGGGCACAGTGATCCTGCTCTGGGAGGACCCACCCCAAGCGGCCCTGGCCTGAGTGGGAGACGGGCCACACTCCCTACAGTGGCTGGCACCCAGGATCCAGTTTTGCAGATTCTGCAGACCAGTGAGTGAGTGGAAGGGCAGGGGCTAGGCCAGCTCACCCCCAACTCCCACCCTGGGTGCAGGCACAGCAAGACCTCCAATCAGCTCAGGCAGAGGAGTCCATCCTCCCCGGAGGGAGTCAGACCTGTGGGAGGAGGGCCCTGGAGCCCCTGCCCGAGGAAGGATTGCACAGTCCAGGTGTCAGGGCTAAAGTAGGGTCACTCTGAGAGACAAGCCAGGCCCAGGGAAGGGCTTCGCCGGCTCAGCTAGACACACTGGCAGAGTGACCGGAATCTCAGGGGTTGTCCCCTCTGGAAGTCTTCCTCCCCTGCCACCCCCACTCCCACTCCAGGCCTCTCCTCTCTGCTGTCCCACAGTGCCCACCCCCTCCCTCTACCTCCCAGTCTCAGGGTGGTAATGGCTCTGAGGCTGAGCTCAGCAGAAGTCTGACTCACCAGCCCTCTGACTTTGGGAATAGACTTCTAAAGAACAGGTCCAGATGACTGTTGAAGCCTGGACAGAAATAATCTTTGAGGAACTATTAAAAGGTTAAAGAAAGGATCAGGAGTCAATAGTATAACCCTCATTGAGACTCAAGAATTACTCAACAAGGCTGGCTGCGGGTTTCCAGGTCAGAAAAGAGAATAGATGATGAGCTGTGTGGGGAGGGGAGGGCAGACAGACTTACTGACACATATGCCTTTGTTTGGCCTATGTTTACTGAGCACCTACTATGTGCTTGACCCTGTGCTGGGCACCAGAGAGGCTGGCAGCCTAATGACACATGATCAAAGGGGCTTCAGCCTGACAAAATCTGTTTCCCTGGTATACTTGGGCTGAATAATGTGGTGTGGTGGTCCCTCCTTCCCTCCTCCCCCTTGAGAAGGGCTTTGGAATTAGAATTGGGTTCAGCTTCTGGCTGGGTGGACTTGGGCAAGCCACTGTACCTCTGTGCATCTCATCTGTGAAGTGAGGATAAAGGACTCCAGCCTTTCAGGGTGCTGGGATGCTCTGGCGGACAGAGGCTGAGGCGCCCAGCACAGCGTGACTGCCAAATGCAAAAGGGCTGCTGCTGCCGTCATTTTCATCATCAAAGGGCAGAGAGGACACAAGCCTCGCAACAGATAGTGACCCCCACGTACACACCAAGGAGAGCAGAGGTGACCTGAGGCCCCCGAGCCAGACACCACGTTTTGAGTCAGCCTCCGAGCCAGAGCACAGTCAAGGAATCAGATGGCAATTGCGTCTCTCCTTGGGAACCCGCTCCAGGGCTTCTGTCCTCTCTCTCTGGCGGTGCCGAGGTTGCCTCAGGGCTCTCCCTCCCAGCTCTATCCCTCCCTCCCTCCCCGCCCCCTCATAGGCAGCTTGGCTGGAGCTGCGTGGGTGTCCCTGGGCTCAAGGCCCCTTCCTGCTGCATCTGTCTCCTTATGGCTGTGTCTTTTGTCTCCCAACCAAGGCAAATTCCGGGAGCAGTTTAAGGCTGCCTTCTCCTGCTGCCTGCCTGGCCTGGGTCCCTGCGGCTCTCTGAAGGCCCCTAGTCCCCGCTCCTCTGCCAGCCACAAGTCCTTGTCCTTGCAGAGCCGATGCTCCATCTCCAAAATCTCTGAGCATGTGGTGCTCACCAGCGTCACCACAGTGCTGCCCTGAGCGAGGGCTGCCCTGGAGGCTCCGGCTCGGGGGATCTGCCCCTACCCCTCATGGAAAGACAGCTGGATGTGGTGAAAGGCTGTGGCTTCAGTCCTGGGTTTCTGCCTGTGTGACTCTGGATAAGTCACTTCCTCTGTCTGAGCTTGTGTCCCCTAAGCAGGGTTGATGTGAGGATTAAGCATGCTGAAGCAAGTGGAAAGCTCCTTGTAAACTGTGAAGTGTTGTGGACATGATTATTGTTGTACTTCTCTCATTTGGCCATACCCCACAGTATAATCTGTCCCCATCCTCCTTCCAGAGCTTGGTCATCCTCCTAAAGACCCCTTTCCTACCCAATTACAGGCCTTCCCTGGAGTCTGCTCTAAAGGTCCCAACAGGCATTTCCATCTTGTTCCATGGCTCCCTGAAGCCCAGGGCTGCACTTGGCCAGCTGTTCTGATGCCTGTGTGAACTAATCTGGGCCCAGCCTTTCTCCAGCGGGCCACGAGCACAGCCCCACCCTAACCAGGTGCCAAGGGCACACACCACAGACCCGACCTTGTTGGCTTTGTGGTGTGATAAAACACTCTCCATGGCCACTTGGCAGAGAGGCCAGCAGCCCGAAGCAACTGTAATTAAAAGCCTGGCACTGAATGTTCCCTTTCCTTGTCATTGCACAAAATCTGTGCTGCTTAGGTTAGGAGCAGAAGAAGGTGGGGAAGCTGGGGGGAGGGAAGACAAGAAGGCACTAGAATGCTCTTATCTGCTGACCTCCCACCCCCACCACACGGGATCCCAGATGGACTCAGCCAGGCCTCGGCACACGTGGTGCTGCCTCCTCATGCGGTGCCAATCCTGTGACGCCGGGACCTCACCCCTCGACACAACTGTCTGCTCACAGGCCCAGTGGCCTGGGGAAGGTAAGGGGGGCCGGGTGGGCAGATAGCGGGTTAACAGGCTGATTTACTGTTATCTTCATCTTCTTGGAAACCAAGGCTTGCGCCTATTTTCTATGAACTCACAGGATAAAAAGAGAAAGCCACAGACTTGGCCAGACATGCTCCGTCTGCCACCGAGATTTTAAGGCTGCCAAAGGCCCTGAGCCTTGTTGCCAGAGAAGGACGTGGAGTGCAGCCTGAAGTGCTACTCTGCTGAGAGGAACAGGGACATCTGGCAGGGGCCAGCTCTGCTATGCATACCACCAGGTCTGCTTAACTTGATTAATAGAGCTGTGGGCTCCCTCTGACCTCAACCGTCAAGAACGTGGGCAGAGCCCTGGTGCTGCCAGGGGCCCAGCCCAGGAGTGTTGAAGCACTGCTCCTCCTAAGCACCCCGCTTTACCCAGAGCAGGTGGAATGTGTGGTCTAAGTATGCCACCTGCTCTCCACACGACTTACCAGCCCAGCTCTCTGTGGACGGGGCAGAGCTCTAGCTGCTGCCAGGAGGATGGGCTCTCCTGCCCATTCCACACTCCCACTGGCCTTAGGATCCAAAGCGGTTGGCACAGTGCATAGGTAGGCTTGGAGGTGAGTGTGCAGAATGAGGTATGAGGGCTGGCCCCCAAGCTCAGAACCAACCGTGCTTACAAGATCAATCCAGGTCTTGGGCTCCTCAGCCTCAGCTGAGCACAAAGGTGAGAGACTACAATTGGCACCATCGGGTTTCAGCAGACACTTGGTTCAGTGGGAACAAAGAAACAACAGGCGCTGCTCCTAATGGCTGCACGCTCTGCTGGCTGAACCCAGCACCATGGGGGGCCTCAGCCCTCCACTCTGGGGGACTCAGATAAACTGAAGAAAATTCAGGGGAGGTGACCAGGATGCCAAGGGCAGAGATGCTCAGCGAGGGACTGCTCAAGAGCCCAGGGCTATCTGGCCCAGGGAAGAGAGGACTTGGGGAAAATGTGGTATATAGGGTAGGCTCCACTATATAGAGGGTTGGCATGCATAAAGGGTGATGTATGTCCTGGGTGGCCCACAGAGAAAACCACAGCAAATGGTGGTGTCTTCAAGATGGCAGGATTTAGAATCCACATAAGGAAGATGTTTCTGCCAGTCATGGAGGAAATGGGCTGCCTTGAAAGGCACTGAGTTCTTTGCCTTTGGCGAAGCAGAGGCCAGACTCACATGGGGACTATGAACGGAATTTTAGCTCTGGATGGGGGCTGGCCTCTGGGAACTGGATTCCATCTAATGCGGGGATTCTAGCACTACAGCAGCCCAGAGGAGAATGCAACTGACCTGGCTAAGCCCGACACACTGCTGGGCCTCACTGACCTGCAAAACAGTCATAGTTACTTCCAACTACCCACTGCAGGGAGGAGAGCCCTGCACAGGGCCTCAGAGCTCTTTATCTCAAAAAGCCAAAAGATAATCACCATTACCCAGAATAAAGCCCCCTGGCAAACTAGAATGTCTGGTGTCTTTGGCTTTTGATTGAAATGTGGTCAGCTCATTAGAGACACTCGGTGTAGACTGGGTATTATGCTGATCTAAAGATCTGACTTGCAAGTACAGATGTCTGTGCTTAATAAAAGTGGGGAGAACGTTATGACTTAATAAATGGAGTTTGTCTGGAAGATAAAACTAGGGCCTGAGAAAATAGAAAAGGCCAGGCTATGAAGTTTGAGGTAGCTGCTTTCAACCCAGAATGCCAGCCCTAAAACTGCTATGAAATAGCTTCCTAAATAGACCTTCAGGCCATACTGAACTGAACCCGGCAGGCCCCTCAGCTGGCTACCCTATACTTCAACTTCCCTCTGGCAGTGGAGAGGAGCCCCACATAGGCAATGTCCCCCCAAGCTGCTGCTTTCTGCATGGCGTGGTGTATAGGATGTACTTAAATAGTCACTGAAAGGATGAGTGGATGGACCTGTAGCTGAGAAATCATGGTGGAAAACATGGAACTCCAGAGTTTCATCCTTTTATTGAAGCTTACAATTTCACTGGACTTTTGGCCCCAAATGAAAAAAAATGCAAATTAAAAAAAGTATTGGCAGGGAGAGGTGACCACTGTCTCCTGGAGACTGAAGCCGAGCAGAGCATGGCAGGCAAGTGAGGGGTCCCAGCTGCAGAGGGCAGAAGCCTGGCCAAAGATGCCCAGGGAGCAGATTTGTCTGAGCAGGGCCAGCCCCAGGCAGCTAGAAGTTAACACACAAGGATTTATGGGTGTGGCAGAATCCAAGCCACTGGTCCCATAGACAGATCTCTCTCATGCTTGGTCAGATTCCACTTTGGAGAAAATGGGCTCGTTTGACAGGATGGCCTGGTGAGGGAACACAGGTACTAACGGTAACAGGCCGATGAACACTCACCACTGGCATCAGGGTGGAGCTCAGCTGACTGGACACTAACTCCATTACAAGGACCTGCTCCTGGTGCCAGGCTGTGCCACTCAACTGCTCATGGCCATCAGGACATTCAACTTCTATCCTCTCCTCCATCAGGCCCCTATCTGTGTGGCCTCAGCCCCGGTCCTCACTATTTGGTGGCTATGATGCAGGACTCTCCACCCTCTTTTGGAACAGTGTTGCATCAAGCAAGGGAGAATGTTCTTCTAGAGGGACAGGAAAAGAAGAGATGTCCACATACTTCTCTCACTCTAAGAAGCCAGGAAAGGTCCCTGGTGCACTCCACTCTCCACAGATGGTTGGGTCATAGCATCCGAGAAGCTGTCATGGTGACGAAGTCCTCGAAGCTGAGCCGAATGTTGCCTTGTACAGCTGTGTCCTTCTCCCGGAAGGCCTCTGTCAGCACCTGCAGCTGGGTGCACACCTGGATGAAGCGGTCAAGCTGCATGGCAGGATTGGCAGAGCGTGGGCAGTAGCGGGAGACCAGAAGCTGGGTGAACTGGGGGCTCAGGTTGTAGCCCATTTGGGACAGAGCTGGAGAAGAGGGGCACACAGACCAGACACACAAAAACCTGCCATGAGCACCTCCATCAATCAGGAATACTGGATCACAACAGTTCAAGGAACTTCGAGAGGATGGGCACAGAAGCACAAAGAGGGTAGAGAAATCCCAAGGGTCTGTCTAAGATGTCAGAAACACAACAGGGACCGTGTCTGGATGCTCCCCTTAGGTGGAAGGCCCTCATCCCTCTTTCTCCAAATCTCCATTATTGTCTCTTCAACTGAGGCTCAGGGGATTGCAGAGACGACAACGGACTATCCGCAATCATCTCTGATTCGTTTGCATTCCAAAAGGAAGCCTGAGCTCCCAGGACCACCTTGCCTGGGGCAGACATCAGAGGCAGTACAGCAGAGGTATGAGGACCTGCTCTGGAGTCAGCCACTGGGCAAGTTGCTTAGCCTCACTATCCCTATCTTATCATCTCTAAAATGGGGATAATACTTAACTTGTAGGTTCTAGTAAGGATTAAAACGGGTGATCATGTAAAGCACTTAGCACAGTGACTGGCACAGAAAAAGCACTTGGTAAATGCTATTTTAATAAAGTCACTGTCACTCCAAGGTCTCTTGGAGCATCCTGTCTCTTCACTGGGATGCTTCCTTCCTTCCTCTGTTCAGAACTTACCAGGCCAGGCTAAAACCTCAGCTCTCCATTTGTTATGCGGGCCCTTGGGCAGGTTACCTACACTAAACCTCAGTTTTCTCACCGGTAAAAGGGAGATTATAAGGGATTCTTCATTGAAGGGTGTGGAATTATAAATAGTACCTAGCACATGGGAAGAATGAATTACATAAGCCTATTAAAAATAGCAAGCATTCAGTAAATACGTTTTGTTGTGGTTAATATCACCCTTACTAATATCCACGACAAAAGCTGGCAAGAGTAGGTGATTACTATAGGTCATCTCCCCTCCCTTTTACTGGGGGCAGATGTGGTGCACTCACTCCTGCCCACAGACCTCCTTAGTCTGAATGAAATCCACAGCCTGGGCAAAGGACTAGACTCTCTGGGGAGCCCTTTCTCCCTCCTGGGTGGCAAAGCTCCCTCTTGGGTCCTCCCCCAACCTCTTACTAACCTGCCTGAGCCCAAACTGTGGCCTTCTGCCTTACACAGTCAGTTTGGAACCAGACCTGGGGCTGTGGCCTCAGGTCATCTTCCCCAACTGCAACTTTTAGAGTGCTCAGGGTCCCAAAAGTTGGGAAAGAAACTGTCCACTAGCAGAGGTGGCAACAGACCCATCTTTCTGAGCCCTGTTCAGGGCTCTTTCCATTCTACATGCTAGAAACTGGAGAGAAAGGAGTCACCCAAGCCACACACACTGGTCTCATAGTCCTTAAGGTGCCAAGTTTCCATCCTTAAGGCTCCCTGTGGCTGGGGCCGTCTCACCCAGCACTCCAGGGTCCAGCCCTGATTCTGGACCCAGGTGTTTCCTTGCCCTGGCTCTTGGCTCAGTGCCCCAGCTGGGTCAAAGAAGGGGTGAGGGATGCAGGCCTGCACTGAGAACAGCATTTTGTAGTGCAGGTGGACATTCGGTAACAAGAGGAAACCCCTTTGTTGTATCTTAGGGTGTAAAGAGAAGAGTCTAGCTCTGTCCTGCCCATCGTGCCCCGGCCATGACCCGCACCTTGCTGCAGCTCTGTGTAGCTAATGGAGCCCGAGCGGTCCCGGTCATACTGCTGGAAGAGGTTCTTCCACTGCTGGATGAATTTCCACAGGGCTGAGAAGCCGTAGACATCGATGCGGCCTGACTTGGTCTTGTCAAACATGTCTGAAGGTGAGGAGGGAAAGGAGGGGAGGAAGGCTTCAAGACTGAAGGCCAAGGGTCCCCCTCAGGACCCATTGAGGCAGCCCTTCTCTCCAGGCTGGAGTAGGCGACTTCACAGAACCAAGCCCTGAGGCCCAGATGCCTGCACCTGAGACACCCACATCAAGCGTTGCACCGTCCTCCTACTCTGGACACCTTTAGCCCCACCCCATCCAGAACTGCATTTTCTCTGCAGGCTTGGCACCTGACCCCTCCCTGCTGTTTCCTACAGGGGAGGGAGTACCATTCTACAGAAGAGGAAACTAAGTTAACCTGTAACTAGGCAGGGTCTAGAACTTAAGAAAGATCTCAGGAAAAGAGCTCTCAGTCTAGGGGATCTCACCCTGAACCTAGCTTCCTCCCCACAGTCCTCCCTGGTCAATGAATTTCTCTTCAGAATGTCCACCCACCCACCTACCCACCTACTGTCCACTATCAGGTGGCTCTGCCCCAGCTCAGGCCCAAGGGCAAGGCGGAGACTCACTTATCATCATGAGGCAGGTCTCATCATTGAATGAAGACCAATTGCAGTTGACCAGGGCCTGCTTTAGCTCCTTCATGGAGATATAGCCACTGTGATCTGAGTCCACCGACTGGAACCAGGAGTAGGCCTCAGGATCCACATTGGGAGGGGCGCCACCTGGAGGAAGGGGTGTGAAGGCCATCAACAGAAATGCCAGGAAGGGCCAGCCTCAGTAACTTCCTGGCTACAGGTTTCTCCTACACACGAAGCTTCACAAATTCACCTTCCCTGTCTTCCATCAAGCTGACATTCTTACTCTGATGGAAGAGGACCTTCAGTGAAGATTCATGAGTATTTGCAGTTGATTTCTATTCCATGAGTCCTCTGGAGTTCTCGTATAGTGTTCCAGACACTACTCTTAATTGATTTTATGTTTTTAAGGAACGGGGACCTGTACCCCTGTAGCATTTCAAGAATTCTCTGGAAAAGGTAAACTGCGAGATGGGGGAATGGGTGGTAGATAAAAGTGTAGAAGTGGCCAGGCACAGTGGCTCACGACTGTAATCCCAGCACTTTGGGAAGCCGAGGCAGGCGGATCACCTGAGGTCGGGAGTTTGAGACCAGCTTGACCAACATGGAGAAACCCCGTCTCTACTAAAAATAGAAAATTAGCCGGGCATGGTGGCACATGCCTGTAATCCCAGCTACTGGGGAGGCTGAAGCAGGAGAATCGCTTGAACCCGGGAGGTGGAGGTTGTGGTGAGCCAAGATCACGCCATTGCACTCCAGCCTGGGCAACAAAAGCGAAACTCCATCTCAAAAAAAAAAAAACAAAAAAACCCAAAAAAAACAGTGTAGAAGCTGGTAAGTCTGTCTACCTTAGGACACTGAGTTAACTGGCCACAATCGGGGTCCCTTCACACAAAGACAGCCATGGGCAGTTGTGGAGGACAGAAACCACTGCCTAGTACCAAAGCCCAGTAAGGACAGAGGGAAAAAGGTATGCCTGACTTAGGGATTAGTCTGACTTCCTTGGAAAAATCCGGGCAGGTTCTAGCCATCTTCCTAAAACATCGGTGTCATAGGGGAGCAAGGGCCACAGCCCCAGGGCAGGAGAGATTCTGTGACATGTTTGAACTGTGTAGTTTGTATAGAAGGGCTCAGGCTTTGGAATCAAAGCAGACCTGGATTCAAACCCTGGATCTGATCCTTACTAGCTTGTGTGACTTTAGGCAAAATGTACAATTTTCTGAGTAATGATTTTCACATTTCTAAAATGAACCCATTTCCCCAGAATTGTTGTGATGATTAAATGAGATAACAGCAAAATAAAATCCTCAGCAAAGAGCCTGGAATGTGTGTCTTCTGAGATATTTTCACAGAGAAACGGATATTTAAACTGAGTTTCTCCCCATGGTAGGCTACATTATCGTCTCCTGGCTAATAATCTCTAGCCAGGAGACACAGTCTGCACACCCACAGACATTGTACTAATATGGTACAATGGTTTAAAAGGCCAGTTCAATAATCTATTATTAGATTACTTGCTAATCTCCCCTTCCCTATAAGAGCATTGTACATCCTCTCCCACTGCCTGGTGGCTTGCAGAGGGGCATCCTTTCCCATCCTACTGATGTCAGTCTTGATCAGGGGGTGCTCTGGCCAAAAGAATGCAAGTGGGCAAGACATACAGTACTTCAGAGAAGCTTTAAGAGGCATTGTGCATTCTTGCTAGCTCTCCTGCTCCTTCTCTCTGCCACAAAGATAACATATCCCAAACAGGAGCTGCTCCTTCAGCATGTATCCCTGAATGAAAAAGACACAGGGAACAGAAACTCAACAGCCAGCTAACAGCTGCTGACATGTAAGCAAAAGAAAGTAAGCATGAGCAAGCAATACAAATAAATGCTTGCAACAAAACTAGCTGACAAACTTATCATTTTGAGGATACACACTGAAGCTGGAAGCAAGATGCTAAGGTGCCAGAGACCAGGCTGCCTGCACACCCACAGGAAGGACAAAGGCTGGCCATGGATAACTCAGAACCACGTCAGAGGTACCCGGAGTCCAAGATTACTACTTACCCTGTCCATAAAGCCCAGGCTGCTGGGCACCGTAGGAACTTGGAGGTGGCTGACCATAGGGGCCCCCGGGAGCTGCACCGCCATATGGTCCTCCTGGAGTTCCAGAGGGGAACATCCCAGGATTGGGGTGTCCATAGGGCCCTCCACCAGCTGGTGGTCCATAAGGCCCTCCAGGGGCAGGACCCCCATAACCACCACCAGGGGGTAGCCCACTACCATACTGCCCTCCACTATTGGGGGGTCCAGGGTAGTAGCTACCCGGAGGGGCTCCTGGTGCTTGTCCTGCAGCTCCTGGGCAGCCCTGCAGGAAGAGCAAGATATCAGTCAGAATGATGAGGCCAGAAACTAGGCAGAGTATGGCACTTTACAACCATAAAGCACTTCCACCACCATCCTTTCAACTGATCCTATAGGTAGGGTTGGAATTATGATCTCACTGCTCAGATGGGCAAACTGAGGCTTCCAGAGGAGCAACGAGTTACCCAAAGTCACCCCGCCAATGACCTGCAGAGTCAGGGTTGAAATCCTCCTTTCCTAACTCTCCTTTCCTGCACATCAAGGGGCTCCACAAGGGCTAGGATCCTGTCTGGTTTGTCACTTTATCCCCAGCTCCCAGTGTAGAATGGATACTTGGTAAATATTTCCTGTATGAATGAATAGGCAAATGAATCAAACAGAATTCCAAATGCCCATCCTGTGGTACTCCCATCTCTATCTGCAGAACTCATGGGGCAAACGCAGTCTCTAACACACACCCCTGACCCTCATCAGTCACAAATGACATAGCTATAGCATGGATTCATCCACAGCATGTCTTCCTTACCCTGATGTAAAAACATTTCCCTATCCTCACTCACAACTCTGTGAGGCAGGCAGGGGAGACCCTATTCCTAAGGCAATACGATACAATGCTTTCAAAGGCCAGTTCAACAGCTAGGCGTGGTGGCTCACAGCTGTGTAATCACAGCACTTTGGAAGTCTGAGGCGGGCAGACTGCTTGAGCCCAGGAGTTAGAGACCAGCCTGGGCAACACAGAAAAACAACATCTCTACTAAAAACCTGGGCAACATAGAAAAACTACATCTCTATTTAAAAAATACAAAAATTAGCCAGGTGTGGTGGCGCACACCTATAGTCCCAATGACTCAGGAGGCTAAGGTGGGAGGATCACCTGAGCCTGGGGAGGTCGAGGCTACAGTGAGCCATGATCACACAACTGTACTCCAGCCTGGGTGACAGAGTAAGATCCGATCTCAAAACAAACAAACAAACAAAAAACAACCAGTTCAAGAGTTCAAGTTCAGGTTCTGCCATTTACTAACTGGACTGACTTATCCTCTCTAAGCCTCAACATCTTCTGCTATAAAATGGGAATAATAATAGCTACCTCTCAGGTTAGTTTGTGAATGAAATGAGGCCAGCTATGTGAAGCCCTTTGACATTGGGCCTGACACAAATTAAGCACTCAATAAACACTATTAATAATAGCCTCCTACAGAGGACAAGACTCAAGTCCAGGAAAGTCACACACAGGCTGTGTGGAGGGGCTGGGACCAGAACCTGGGTCTCTTGGCTCTATGTCCAGGGCATTTGTGCATTAGAGCATACATGGGGGCATTCCCTCTCTCATCCATCTTCCCACACCAGTAGCCCTCGGAGTGTTCCGCTCCATCTCCCTAAATGGCTAGCACAGGACCCAGCAGAGCACAGCCCCAACACATCTGCAGACAAGCTGAGCTCAAGGGCACAGACAGCAGCTAGGCCCAGCTCCGAGAACGGCACCATCTAGATACGTTCTAGATCAACCTGTAAGTGCACCAGTGGCCAAGCCACTGAGAGCCTGGGCTTTCTCTTTTTATTGTGTTTGATAGCTTGAAATAATTACTCTTAAGGCTAAGGCCAAATTCATGAGGTTTTTTTGTGGGGAGGGCAGGAAGCAGGCCCTGTCACCCACTCAGCAATCCTTGGGAGCTTTTCTACCCTAGAAGCTGTCATAGCTACTAGCAAGACTCCTTCACAGACAAGAATGGCTCACACAGATCTCAATTTAAAACTCTGCTCCCATCAGCTAAGTTCATGACTGTGGGCCCGTGGCTTCATCTCTCTGAGCCTGCTTCCTCACAAATAGAACAATTCCTTCCTCACTGGACTGTTCTGCAGATTATAAAAAATAAATGCAGCAAAATTCTGTCAGTTTAATTTTTAGCTAAAGAATCCTTTGATAACCAACCTGGGCAACATAGTAAGATCCCACCTCTACAAAAAATTTTTAAAAATCAGCCGGGCATGGTGGTACACATGTAGTCCCTGCTACTCGGGAGGCTAAAGCGGAAGGATCACTTGAGCCTAAGTTGGAGGCTGCAGTGAGCTGTGATTGTGCCACAACACTCCAGCCTGAGTAACAGAGGGAGACCCTGTCTCCAAAAAAAAAAAAAAAAAAAAAAAAGAGAGAGAGAAAGAAAGAATCCTTTGATAAAATAAATAAAACAAATACAAGAAAGTTGCTCTGGCTGAAGTAAGGTGGGAGCTCCAGAGCCCCTACAATATGGAACCCCCTCCCTTGCTACATTCTGAGGGGGCTCTGAAAACCCCTCACAGTGACTGAAAAGACAGTCTGAAAACCACTCACATAAGAAAAATAGTTTTTACAACAGTGCCTGGCATAAAGCAAATGATCAGTAAGTCATAGCTGCTATTGCTATATTAATTACTGTTATCAGCAAAGTCCTGGGCCAGGTGAACTGTGCGGGGTGGGGTATAAAGGAGAGTGAAGCAATCTGAAGGCACTCACAGTTAACAAGACTTAACATGTAGACACTGTGTAACGTCTAACAAAACAGCATAAGGAAAACAGGTGTTTGAAATGGAGACATAAGTCATGTGCCATAGGACTGCAAAGGAAGGAGGGTAAAATCAGGGAGTGTTTCCATGAGAGTGGCATTTGAGCTAGGACTTAGAGAACGAACAGGATTCCCAAGGGGTTGGAGAGGTGTGACAAGAGAAATACCCAGAAGACAAGTCACTTAACCTAACCCCCATTTTACAGATGGGGGAGGGAGGGAGGGACTTGCCCAAGTAATGCTGTGAGCTGGAGGAAGAGACAAGGCTGGACCACTCCCTTGCACCCAATGACTCCCCCTGCCTCCTGCTACAACACTCCTTCATTAAGCAATAGGGCTCAGGATTCCAGCATAGGATGGAAAGGGAGTGGGAACTCTGCAGAATCTGGGCACACCCAAAGAACAGGCCAGACACGAAGCCAGAAGTAGCTGCCCCACTATAAGCCCTGTGAGCAAAGCTATAAACCGCACCTGGCACCTAGGAAAACCCACCTAGGAAACCACCTATAAACCACCTAGGAAACATCCCCAGGCCAACAAAGCAGGTGCTGCCAGGCAGGTCTCCTGCCCTTCTGGCTATTGTAGTCTGGCAGCAATTAAACCCTTTCCTTTCTGTCCTGCATTTGAAGACCTCCTCTGTAGTTTACAAAGTACTTTCACAAACACAAACACTACAGGCAGAATCTTGCCAATGGCCTCCTAACAGAAAAAAGGAAGATGTTAGTTGCCCTCTTTTACAGATGAAGAAACTAAGCCACGGAGCTGTTAAAGGACTTCATTCAGCACGCATTTTCAGAGTGACAATATTGTACTAGGCTCTGTAGTAGATCTGAGGACACAAGTAAATGAAGTCCTGCCCTTAAGGGGCCCACAGATAATTGTGATACAATCTGATCAGTGCCATCAGAAAAATCTACTTATGTGCTATCAAGGAAGCTTAGATGGAGGAATTTGTGCTGTTTGCAGAATGAATAAATGAACAATGTATGAAGTGGGTCAAGGAAAGCTTCCTGGAGGAAGTGGCAGTGATATTGGAAATGGTCCTTGAAGGATGCATAGACATTTTCCAAAAGGCAGGCAGGGAAGGACACTCCAGACAGAAGAGAGAAGAAAGACAAACGCACAGACTTAAGAGTGAGCATAGTGCATTCAGGGAATGAGTTAAACCGCAGAGCCAAGAATGCAGTGTGAACCCAGAAAGGCAGGCCCTCTATACACTCGTTGACCAAGCACCTCTCCCCCTGCATTTCAGTTAGCCGTGAGGTATCAGTGTCTAAGAGTAGTTTCTGTCTAGCATCTCCCCCACCCAACAGTAAGCTCCCCAGGGGCAGACACTGCGCCTCACTCATCATGGCACCCCAGGGCCCAGCACAGTGCCTGGCACCTGCAAGCCTCCACAAATATTTGGACAAATGAACACCACTCTAAAGAGTTTTGTTGGGGCTTTATGCCGGAGAAAACAGAGCACTATAGAAGGGTTTCCAATAGGAGAGGAACGTGATGAGAACCTTGTTTAGAGAAGTAACCAGCGGCGGTGTGGAGGATGAGCCAGTGAGGGAGGCAGTAGCCCAGGTGCTGGGCAGGCAGGGCATGAACCAGACAGCACACTTGGGGATGAAGAGAACGGAATGGATTCTGAAGCTATTTCAGAGATAGACCAGACATGACTTGGTGACTAATTAGATTAGGAAAGAGATGGAGGAGGAGTGAGGAAAGTGTTCAGAATGACTCGGGTTTCTAGCTTTTGCACAAGATGAAGGAGGTGGAGCCAACTGAGACAGAATGCAGGCTGCACAGGAAGTTTGGGGAAGAAGATGAGGTGGTCCCCACCTCACAGAGGGTCACCCAGTGTCACTGAGTTGTTAGCAAAGGTCTGAACCAGAAATGAAAAACAGCATCCCTGACTCCACGTTCTTTTACACTACTCCATGCTCCCAGCCCTTTTTAGAGTTTTTCCAAGAGTTATTTCATACTGATAAACAGGATTGTGAAGGCAGGTGGAGGGGAAGGACAGGAAGAGTTCAGTAACTGCAGCTTCTGAAGCAACACAGAAAAACTATCTCTAGGGCTCTGGCTGATTGCAAATAAGCTACATCTGATGCCCTGGGGGGACTGGGGGCAACAAACATTTACTGAGGCTCTGCTAGGTGCTTCCAGTTCAACCAGCTCTCACTAATCCTCAGTCCTGTGAGGTAAACAGTGTCATCTCCATTTTGCAGATGAGAAAATTAAGGGGCAGAGAGTTTAATAACATGCCTGAGATCATGCAGCTAGAATGGGCAAGTTGGGATTCAAGTCAGGGTCTGCATGACTCTACACTACCCCCTTCTGTTTGTTCACTCAATAAATGAGTGAGTGCCTAGCATGTGTCTGTGTGAGGGACTGTGCTAAATGTCTTTGTCAAATATAATGAATTTCTACTGTGGACAGAGGTAGAGGGGAAGGCTGGATTGGGTGATCTCTCAGAGCCTTCAAGCCCAGAAATCAGGGACTCTTAGAAAAATCTCATTCTTTTTCGTCCCAGCACCTAGAGTCACTTTGAGAGCCAAGCCACATTTTGGAAGACACCCCAAAGACTCTTCAGTTCAACCTCTCAGTTAATAATGGAATCTCTGCAGAACCACCTGGAATCTCTACCTGCACTTGCGCAAGCAGTAGGGAGCTTACCTCCTCCCAAATAACCACCTCAGAAAGTCCGGTATTTTTTTTTTCTTTCCAGTTCTGAGGACTCAAGTCTTCTAACCTCAAGACCCCTGTGAAGCTTAAAGGTATCAACGGCTGTTCCAAGCTGAGCCCTGATGACGAATGGAGGAGGGAGCATTGCAAAGACAAGTTTGTACCCCAGAGCTACCCTTCAAGTGCACAGGAGGAGGTGGGAAGCCCAAACTAAGGGGTTAAACAATCACAGGAAGACAAGAGGAACAGTTCAAGCATTCACCAGCAGAGCCACTTGAAATAGGAGAGAAGCACGCAACCAATAAACAATGAGCCAAGAACCATCCCCAGACTTCAATTACCTCTGTGCTCACACTTTCAAATCTTTCCAGCTTCATCACTCCTGAGCTACAGACCCACATATCCAGCAGCCTACTGGACCTTCCCTCCAAACCCATGCCTCCCTGTGTTCTCATCTCAGTGAATGGAGCTCCGTTCTGCTTAATCATCCAAACCTAAGGCCAAGTTTTCTCAAATCTACCTCCCAAGTGCTTCTCAAATCTCCTCTACCAGGTCACAGTTCTCTTTAGCCTAGATTACCTCAATAGCGTCAAAACCGGTATCCCTGCCTCCTGTCTCTCCTGCTTCAATCCATTCTCACAGCACCCCACAGTAAGCACTCCAAAGCACAAATGGGACAAAACACTTCACTGGCTCCCTCACTACTCTTAGGATGAAGTCACACTCCCCAAAAAGGCATACAAGGCCCTTTGGGATCTGGCCCTTGCTTACCTTTCTAGTCTTATTTCCTACCCCTTTCCCCCACATCACTACAACTACACTGAACTTCTTAAAGTTCCTCCAAAATACTAGGCTGTCTTACCTGCTTCATGGGCTTTGTGCAGCTATTTCCTCTGCTGGAATAGCATTCCTTTCTTCACTCAGCTAATTTCTACCAGTGATTCAGTTGTTGGCTTAAATATCACCTCTTTTAAAAATGCACCCCTAGACTGAGTTAGGTATCTCACTCTCCCGTGCTGTACCTTACACTTACTCCCATTGAATACTTATCACATTGCCTCTTCAATCTGCATAACTGCATTACTCCTCCACTTGGAGTATTCTACATGCCCAACACCATACCTAGCACTTTACGTGGATTTTCTCATTTAATCTTTAGAGTAATTCTGAGGTAGATACTATTATGACCCCATTCTAAAGAAGGGAAAACTAGTCCAGGCGTGGTGGCTCACGCCTGTAATCCCAACACTGTGGGAGGCTGAGGCAGGTGGATCACCTGAGGTTAGGAGTTTGAGACCAGCCTGGCCAACATGGCGAAACCCCGTCTCTACTAAAAATACAAAAAATTAGCCAGGTGTGGTGGCGTGCGCCTGTAATTCCAGCTACTTGGGAGGCTGAGGCAGGAGAACTGCTTGAACCCGGGAGACGGAGGTTGCAGTGAGCCAAGATTGTGCCATTGCACTCCAGCCTGGGCGACAGAGCAAGACTCTGTCTTAAAAATAAACAAATAAATAAAAAATTTTTTTCAAAAAAGGGAAAACTGAGTCTCAGACTTTTGCAACAAACTTCTGCAAGGGAGTGACAAAGCAGGGATTTGAAATCAACTCTCTCTGGCCTCAAAAACTAAGCTCTTAAGCACTGAAATCCACCAAGCTCGTTCCCCCATAGGACCAAAGGGTGCTTGAATTTTACTACTCCAATACCCAGTCCCTGCTTGGGTACCCTGGACTGGAAGCAGTGGAAAATTACAGGAATTCTGACTCCTAACAATAGGCTGGAATCCTCCAAAGCTATGTAGTGGGTGGAGGGGAGGCAGCACTGACTGAGATGCTTTAAAACAACTCGTTTCCTTTCTTAGAACACCTGAGACCAGGAGGCGGACAAGGGTATGGTAGGAAAAAAAAACAACATTTCTTTTTCTATTCCAGACTCTTCTCTCTGTGCTCCTTTTCAGTATTTCACTCCAGGAATAGCCCAGGCAGCATGGCATCATGAGAGCAGTCACGGCAGCAAGAGCTGCCACCAGACACTGGCATGTACTAGGCACTAGCAACACGCCAGGCTCCCTGCATTTTAACCTCATTTTAGCCCTTTTCACAGGTATTATTTCTCCCTTTATACAGGTGAGGAAGCTGAGGCTCAGAGCCCTTAGTTTGTCCAGGGGTATATAACTATTAAGTAATACAGCTAGAATTCTAGCACAGTTCTCTCTAACCTGTCACTGCTTTTAGGATGCACACCAATTGTCCCTAATGCTTATTAGCATGTAGATTCCTGGGTACAGAACAGGTCTGAAGTGGGACCCAAAAGTGTGCTTTCTTAAACAAGCTCTCAGCTGATTCTGAGGCAGAAGACCAGCCACTGGGAAACAAGGCGCTATGAATGTTTTTTCAGCCTGTGTTCCTCAGAAATACTAGAGTCAAAAAAGTGACCAGACATCTGAAAAGAAAGCCGGGAGGCGGAGTTTCTATGGTTAGATATGTTTAAGAAATACTGCATATTATATTCCTTTCTGGATGATTTACAATGTACATTAGCAAATTAAGGATTCTGAAATAGCTTGTGGTCAATAAACTTATTCAGCTATACTTAAGAGTATTTCCAAAACTTTAGTTAACTACAGAATCCTCCTATATTAACAATATCTATTAAAACCTCCCAAGACTCAGCAAATGGAATGGACTTTAGGAAGCAACTGCTATGCTACACTTCCTAACTCCAGCCCGCACTGGCCTCTCTCTTTCCTACCTCTCTCTAAGGATGCAATAAGAGAAGTCCTAAGCTCTGGTCATGGCCTCACCCTCACTTACTACGTGTGACTTTTGGGAAGCCACTTAACCTCTTTGGGTTTGCTCCTCAGCAGTTAATTAGGGGTAATAATACCTGCATGCCGATAGGGACTTCATGATTAGGATAATGGAGGTCCAAACACTGTGTAACCCGCACAAGACTGCACTCCCTGGAAGGACTGTTACATCTTTTGGCCTGTGACTAAACTCAGTTGAGCACTGTGTAATATACCAATTGATCTTGTTTTCCCACATTTCGTTTATGGATTTCATCTCCTAAATAACTGTGTGATCGCAGCCCTCTGTGGGCTTCATTTCCTCCTCTGTAAAATGAGGGCTCTATTTTGAGGACCCTCCGGGCACTGGCCTTTTAGAAGTCTACTAAAAATCAAAATGCTAAAGGGCAACACATGTTACACCTCACTATGTACCAAACGCTTCGTAAGCATCACCTCCTGACTCTCCACAACAGCTTTATGAGGCAGATCCTATTATTCGGCCCTATTTTACAGGCGGAAACTTGGACTCAGAAAGGCAAAACAGCTTGCTCAAGGGCTCACAACTATTTAGGTGGTAGAGCTAAGATATGAACCTACCTCTGACACCAAAGTGCACTTCAACACCCTACTATCACCCAACAAAGAATTCTGGCCACAGAATCACCTTGCTGCGGTATTCCTGACTGAATCAAGATACGCTGGGGAAGAGGCATCTGAAGATAGCCCGGGTTCTGACCTCGGCCCTGCTGCCTAACTGCCTGGTGACTTCAGGTAAGTTCTGTGTCTTCTCGGGGTTCACTTTTCTACACGCGAAATGGCGGTGTTGAACTAAGTCAGTGGTCAAACCAGCTCACTTGTGGCGCCTGCTACAACCAGAGTTTCCTGATGACTCTGATGCAGTGTGGGGTGGGTCCGGAAGCCTGGATTTTTATCCGACGCCCCAAATGAGATCGGCGGAACCAGAACTCTAAACCTCCGGTCATGGCTGATGCCCCCGCCCAAGGCCCCCATGAGGGCCTTGGGAGGCTGTGGAGCCCAGGCCAGCGCCAGCCTGGACCTGTGGGGTCCAAGGTCCCCAAATCCTCGAGTGAGCGACGTCAAGGGGGCGCGACACGACCTCGCGAATGTGCGGTCCTTCATGACGTGAGCAGGGCGCGACCGACGGTCCCTTTTCGGTTCTCTACAGCGCAAGGCCTCGCTGAAGCGAACCCATCGTGGGAAGGGCGCGGAGAAAGCGGGGAGAAAGAGCAGGGGGACGTCGGGCCTGCGCCTGGCACCGCCGCTACCTGGATTCGCGGGCCCCTCACACACTCACCTGCCGGTAAGGATAGCTGGCCATGGTGATTCTGACGTCACACTCAGGCAAGGGGTGGGGCTTTCCGCTCTCAAACCCGCCCCTCGTCTCGGCTTTGGGGCTGGGCCCGCATCTGATTGGACGTCCGCGCCTGTCAATCTTGGGTGCTGTCGGCCGACGGAAGTGACGATGGGGGCGGTGGGCGGATGCCTACCCGAGAGACCAGGGGAGCTAAGTGATTGATGGAGCTTCCGGAAGTCTTGGCGGCTGTACCAGCGCTAATGTTCCTCCTTTTCCTGAGGTGGAGTGGGCCGAAGAGGTGGTCAGGTTGGGAAATTTAGTGAGAAGCCTGGGTGGGGTGTTGCTGCGGTAGCCATGTTATAACCTGGCAAATGGGACGCATGATAGTGACGTAATTGCTGGAGTAGCTCCTGAGTTTCCGCAGATGAGCCGCGGGAAAGGAGACGAGGGGCGGTGGCCAGGCGGTTGCCCTGACAACGGGGAACCGACCGACTCTTCCCGGTAGGGAGAGGCGATGGCGGAATTACTCCTCTAATGTCAAGGTACTGGGTACCAGTTAGTACCCTTGTAGTGGGATACAGATCTGTGGTCTTTGGAGAAAAAAACCCCAGATCATTAGAGTTGGAGGAAAATTGAATTATCTAGTGCCTCTTTCTTCATAAATGGGGAAACTGAGGTGCAGAGAGGCAGTTGCCTTGCCCTAGCTCACAGTGGGTCGCCTAGAACCGGGGTCAATGGATGTCCAGTTCTCAGCAGGGAGGTCTAGGTCGGTCCCCATCGTAGGTCAAATCCTGGTGACCGAGTGATCTCAGCACCATGTACTTGCCACTCAGTGGTTCCGTTTCTACACTTATTTGTGTGCTTATTTGATTTCTTTGTCAAGTTCTTTCATGTGGGCTAGGGTTTTGTCTGTTTTTGCTTGTCATTATAACTCCAGTACCTAGTATAGCGACTGACACGATTATTAAAATAAATGAATAAATGAATGTTACGAACTGTTATCCAGTCTAGTCCATCTATCTAACCAAGTGCACTTTCCAAAATCACAGTGCTGATCATGCCACTTGCCCACTACACAGCCTACAATGGATGCTCTTCATCCACGCCTACAAAATAAGGCCCAATCTCTTCATTCTGGTACTCCAGGCCCTTCAGAATCTGGCCCAGCCTCAACTTTCCAATCTTACGGCCCCTTCTGCTACTCTGTATTTCTGTGCTCAGTTCCACCATTCAGCACTTCTGCTTTGGAGGGAGGATCTTTGTTTTATCACTTTCTAACTGTATCACCTTAGGCAGGTTTTTTGTTTGTTTGTTTTTAATTTCCAACTTTTAAGATCAGGGGTATATGAGCAGGATGTGGTTTGTTACATAGGTAAATGTGTGCCATGGTGGTTTGTCGCACACATCATCCCATCACCCAAGTGTTAAGCCCAGCATCCATTAGCTATTCTTCCTGATGCTCTCCCTCTTCCCACCTCCCTCTACGCTCCGACAGACCCCAGTGGTGTATGTGCTCTCCTCATTCAGCTCCCACTTATAAGTGGTAACATGCGGTGTTTGGTTTTCTGTTTCTCTGTTAGTTTGCTGAGGATAATGGCTTCCAATTCCATCCACGTCCCTGCAAAGGACATGATCTTGTTCCTTTTTTATGGCTGCATAGTATTCCACAGTGTATATCTACCACATTTTATTTAGGCAAGTTATTTAACCTCTCTAAATTTCACTTTTCTTAGCTGACAGGAACAAATGTGTAAATTTGAAAATGAGCTTATTATACCTGCTCATGCCCCAAACTTAGGTTCAAACCACTCCTTTCACCTGGACCAGCAGCCCTCCCAACTCCAGTCCTGCAAGGCTCAGTTCCAATTCCATTCTCCACCTAACCCTCCCACATTCCCCTTAGCTCCAGAGTTAGCCACTCTCTCTTGCCACTCCCCCTTTGCACTTGGTACTGTCACTGTGTGGTATTCCAGCCTGCCTTGTATAAGAGTTTTCTTTTGGTGTTTTCCCCAAAACCCATTCCTCTCCATCTCAGAAAATCCACCCAGTCTCTCAGGCCAAAAACCTAAGATCATTCCTGTGTGTCCTTTTTTTCTCCACACACTCCCTCACCTCCCTCATCTCCATTTGCTCTAATTCAAACATGTACACATCTGCTCTTTTCTCCCTGTTCGCACTATCACTGTAGTCCAAGACACTATCATCCGTGCCTGGATCACTACAATAGCCGACTGACCAATGTTCCTGCTCTCACTCTTCTCCCCACGCTTCATTTTCTCCACAGGCAGCCAGAGTGGTTATCTTATTCCTTGGCTTCAACTCCCTGGGGACTTCCCATCACTCTTATAATAAAAGCTAAACTCATCCTAATGACATTCATGGCCACACATACCAGCATCTCCAGCCTCATTTCTTGCTGTTGCTGTCCCCCTTGCCTCATTCCAGCCATGCCGGCCTGGTTGTGCCATTCCTGGAATGTACAGAGCTCATTCCTGGATGTTGGCTTTGGCTGGTCTCTGACTGCCTGCTCATTCCTGCCTCCAGGTCTTTGGACTAGCTTTTCCCTCTGTCTGGGATAGTCTTCCCTTGACTTTTCACTGGTTGGCTTCTCCTTATCATCCAGGTCTCAGTTCAGATATCACCTGGGGTGGGGGGAGTTTCTTGACACTGCCCCCCAAGCATTCCCATCATCTATCTTATTTTTTCATAATACATGTCACTAGTTGAATTGTCCACTTTGTTTACATGTATATTGTAGAATTGTCATTTTCTTATGTAGTCCTCTAACCTCAGCACCTAGAATAGTGCCTAGCATGAATTCAATGTTAGTAGTTATTATTATCATGTATTGAGTGCTTACTAGGTGCCAGACGTTGTGCTAAGTACTATGTGTTGTTTAATTTTCACCACAGTCTTTTGAGATAGAGACTATTACCCATTTATAATGAGGAGCTGAGGCTCAGAGAGGTTAAGTGACCTTCCTGTTATCAAAAAGATAAATGGAGCCCAGGCGCAGTGACTCGCGCCTATAATCCCAACACTTTGGGAGGCAGGGAGGAGGACCGCTTAAGCCTAGGAGTTCGAAACCAGCCTGGACAACATAGTGAGACCCTATCGCTACAAAAAATAGTTTTAAAAAATTAGCCAGGCATGGTGGCATGTGTCTGGAGTCCCAGCCACTCCAGAGGCCAAGGTGGGAGGATTGCTTGAGCCCAGGAGGTCAAGGCTGCAATGAGCTGTGTTTGCACCACTGCACTCCAGCCTGGGCAACAGAGAGACTCTGTCTGGGGAAAAAAAAAAAAAAAAAAAAAGATAAATGGAGAAGTAGGACTTGATCCCAGGTCTGCATTTTTTTTAACTACTCAGTATTTAATAGTTAGTAGATTGTGTCTTCTTTACCTTCCTAACCCCCCAGTTCAAAAAATATTGGTGGAATTGAGCTGCAAAACTTCAGAAGGGAAGAAGGTTGAAGGTCAAGTGGGTATTTGCCTGGAGAGAGAACAGTGACAAGCTGGCCTGCAAACTGGAGTCATGTGACACACACTCATTTATTCCACAAACATATGATCCCATTGGGTTCCCACCTCTTGCCAGGCTCTGTTCTAGGTGATGAGAATCCAACTCCTATGAGAATTATTTGCCCCCATTCCCCTATGCCCAGCAAAGGGCTTAGGAGAACTATCTGTGGGAGGTCTGTGCTATTTCGTGGATGGAGCATCCACATCTTCTCTTAGGGAGTCAGGAACGTGCCAAAGCCAACAGCCAGGGCTGTGCCTCTGAGGACCCACACAGGCCCAGGTATGTTTGTTTTGGAGGGGGCTGGATAAAAGAGAGATCAGGATCTTCCTAAGACTGAAAAACAATCAACTCACTTCCAAAACCTCATCTACCTGAGGCAGACAGAGGTGGGTGGAGAAGTTCCTGTTATTGTTTCACTTGTAGCCCAAGGGGAAAGCATGGATTCCAGACTTTTTTTAGAACACAGAGCACTTTCCTGAGTTCGTGGAAGCCCTGCGGTTGACCCATTAGGGGTGAGGCAGAGCTTGGTAATGAAAAGCCCATCCACTGGAAAATATTGCCTCCCCTAGAGACACAGCCTCCCAGGAGCCACTTGGCTCGCACCAAGCTTCTGTAAGGCTTACTGAGAAGGAATACCAACACCCACCTAATTATTATGGAATTAATTCTCTTTGATTCCAACTAGATCCAGTTCTGAAATTTAAATTCCAGTTGGATGCTGTGGATCAGAGGATGATTTGCAACTTTCCACAGAAGCAACAGAGGAATGAGAACAGCAGACGTGGCAATTTGGCCACACTCCCCTTCCATTATGGGATCATAAGTAGAGTACGTTGACATCGTCTATTCCCATAAACTGTTCAGGACAGCCACAAAAAAGATCTAGTCCTTTGGGATCTCCAGCACCAAAAAAAAAAAAAAAAAAATATCCATGGCCGGGCACGGTGGCTCACATCTATAATCCCAGCACTTTGGGAGGCCGAGGCAGGCAGATCACCTGAGGTCAGGAGTTCAAGACCAGCCTAACCAACATGGTGAAACTCTGTCTCTACTAAAAATACAAAAATTAGCTGGGCATGGTGGCTTGTGCCTGTAGTCCCAGCTACTCCGGAGGCTGAGGCAGGAGAATCACTCGAACCCTGGAGGTGGAGGTTGAGTGAGCCAAGATCGCACCACTGCACTCCAGCCTGAGTGACAGAGTGAGACTCTGTCCCCCCACCTCCAAAAAAAAAAAAAACTAGTCTTGTAAAGGGGTTAACAGACCCCAGATGAAGAAAGAGTCTAATTAGATTCTGTTGAATTTGAGTGACAGAGGAAAATATTATGACAAAAAATGAAGATTTAAATTCCAGAAGCATCAAAGTTTAGATTTTTCTCTGCAGAATAAATACACAGCAGCCTTTTCTCCATCTTATTGAGCAGAGGGTTTCTCAAATTAAGGACCCTCCAGTCCCATCCTTCACACTGCCATCAGCGAACTCCCCACTCGGCAAACCTGACTTGACACACCTTTGTGAGAAACCCACCAGTGGCTTCCAACTGTCTTCCCTGCTCATGCTCCAAAATCCAATCACACTGTCCTGTCTCCCGTCACTCAGCCTGCTGCAACCAGTCATTTCTGGGCCTTGGCACGTGCTGTTCCCTCTGCCTGAATCCATCTCTTCGTCTAGACATGGTTAGGTTCCCCAGCTGTGCACTCCCCTGTACCTGGCACTGCCCTATCATCCCACTTTATTGTAGGTGCTTGTTTAACTGTCTGCTCTCCCTGTGGATGCTGTGGGAGCAGGGACCATATCTGTCTAGTTTGCCTTGGGATCCCCAGAGCCTAGTACAGTCCCTGGGACAAAGTAGGAAGAGGAATGGACTCATCAAGTTAGACTTTTCCAATCTGAATGATCTGTGTGCTGCCTGGAAAGCCTGGAGTAGGTTAAGAAATGAAGACAGAAGGATAATGGGGTTGGAACGTGCAAAAGCTGCCTAAGAGGAATGGACGACACATGCCCCTCCTTGCTTTCTCTTCAGCTTACCCAGCTCCTGAACTGATGAGCAAGATCCATGGATTTCTTGCTGACCACAGTAACAGAAGAGACTATAAAATTCAGCTTTCCATCTGGTTCTTCATGGTCCAAGAAAATACAGCAATTTCAAACTCCGGGGAGACATGCATTCAAATCATGAAAGCTTAAACCTAGCCTGTCGTAGAATCCCTTAAGAGTAGCATGAATTTGACTCAGGAAGAAAAGTGAAGAAGGCATCATTTACTCTATAAGGATCAATTCCCTGGTGACCCTTAAAGGGGATGAGTTGGATGTTTCCTCATAGCAGTTTTTCCCCTCTGGCCTTCAAAGCCAACCTGCTCAATTCCACAGCTGGTCCTTGCGTCTCTTTCTTTCTGCCAGCGCCAACATGCTCCTCATGAGAAGGCCTATCATCAGCTAGTACTCGGCAGACTAGGCTGAAAGAGGAAGCTGGCCTTCCAATGGGAGTGCTTTAACATCTGTCCTCTTCCACTGTCCAAAACCTGGCTGCTACTTCAGTACAAAAATGATGCCTTTGCTTTTTAATGTTTTATGTTAGAACCAGGGTTAACTGAGAATAGCTGGGGAGGGATGAAAAAAGAATCAGCGCCTCCTTTATCTAAAAACATCACATGAGACACTCGGGCATGCTCAGGAGTCTGATTTCATTCTTCTGGCCACCAGCACACCTTTGCTCCTGGCAGGAAAAAAAAAAATAGGGCAAAGGTTCTGAAAAGCCATCAATAGGCTGGTCTCCTGGTATTTGGGACCCAACTAGAGAAGGGAGTTTTCAGAAATGTGCTAGAAATACCAGCTCTGCAGAGATTTGACAGCCGGTTTGAAGGCTTCAGGCAGTTTGGATAAGCATCTAGACTTTGGGTACATTTCTGAGCCTGCTCTGTGAGTCCTTTGAAGTGTATCCAACTTGAATAAACCTTCCAGATAGCTGGGGCCAGTGAAAAAGCTTTCTTTGGAAATCCCCCTGGAAGTGCCTTGTTGCTTTCTCACAGGGCAGCCAGCCCATCAGGACAAGAGATCTAAAAAGTAGAGAAGGAAGAAGCTCAAGAGAGAATGTTTCTATAATATTCAATTCACTGTCTTTTTTCCCCTTCCTAGCCTTTTTTACATAGGGAGAAGGACACAACAGATAGATCACCAAACTCCCAGTGGACTTTGAGGACCGTGAGCTTAGATCTGCTCGTGGCTTGCCCATGAACTCTTTGTACTGATACAACCTGGCTGTTTCTAAAGGCCTAGGCTAAGATGTACAGGAAAAGTACCACGTATATTAGAATAATAAAGAAAAACAGGAGATGTTATTTGCCCTCCAGAAAGTCATTGCTGGAAGCACTTATAGAGAGCTAGTGACCATGCATTGGTACAGGCAGAAGGTTCCATCTCATTTCCCAGAGAAGCATTCCCTGGATGCCTAGGACAGAGCTGGAGCCTGTCTTCTCTCCTGTTTGCACAGGTATTCTAATCACAGAATTACTGGAGCATCAAGAAGTGCCTGCATGCTTGGAAGGGCTTCCAGGCAGATGAACACACCTCAGCACCGGGTGGCATTTTCCCAGGGTGCAACCCGGACCGGCTCTGGGTCACACTGACAAGGTGAAGTGGATGGGCAAAGAGTGGGTGGGGTACTGAACACGGGTTTCTTTAGGGAATCAAATAGGGAGGGACCTTTAAAGCAGGAAGTGGGACCTTCCAACGTGCTTTGGTTCACTTGAGAGAAGAGGCTGAGTGATGCTCCTTCTCTAACTCAAGAGACGTAGGCATGAAGAACAGGGCACAAGATCCCGAGGAGCAAAGGGTCATCAGCTGCCCCCATCCAGCAGAATCTCACAGCACCACTGGCTGACCACAGGCAAGGAGGGAAATACCCTTTATTTTTTAATTTTTATTTTTCGGAGACTGAGTCTCATTATGTTGCTTAGACTGGTCTCAAACTCCTGGGCTCAGGCGATCCTCCCACCTCAGCCCCTTGAATAGCTAGGATTACAGGTATATGCCCCTGTACCCAAAATGCCCTTTTTTGTTCCTGGGACTAAACGGGAAAAGGAGGGCAACAGGGAGCTCTGGCTGCAGCACCAGAGGAACCCACTGGAAGGGAAAGGGCAGATAGTTTTGTTTCTTTATTATTTAAAAAATATTAACAGCAATTAAAAACAACAACAACAACAAAAAAAACATTCACAACCTGTCACAGAGTCCTATAAGCTTTGGCCATTTATTCCCAACGGAGTCTTTCATCCAAAGGCAGGTGGGGAATTTCAGCCAAAAGGCCCCTTCATGGTTTTCATGGGTGGGTACTGCTGCTCCATCGGCATGGCCCCAAAGCAGTCAGAGGGATTACAGTGGCCAGCCTTGCCTGGCTGGCCCATGGGACCCGGGGGCCCAGGGATGCCAGGGATGCCTTGCTGGCCCATTGGTCCTGTTGCACCCATCTTGCCATAGCCTGGAGGACCTTGAGGACCTAGGGAGGGAAGGGCCACAGAGGGAAAATCAGAAGACCCAGATCATAAGGGAAAAGAAGCCATAATGGCATCAAATAATACCTTACATTTGATGACTGTTTCTCAAGTTACCACATGTTTTCATGAAGACCTAGTCTGATCCTCACGTTGATTTAACAATAACAATACTGCTGGCAAGTTTTATTTAGAACTTCCATGTGCCAGGCACAGGGCTGAGTGCTTTTGATGCATTATTCATTGAATCTGCACAATTTCCTGAGAAAGAAGCTATTGTCTAATTTTGTAGATGAGGACACAGGCTCAGAGAGGTTGCACCTCTGGTAAGTTGTGATGCTGGGTCTCAGAGCCAGGTCATCAGGCTTTGGCCATCCTCTTTCAGGCTATATAGCCAAACATTCATCGTAGAGAGCACTTCCAAAGGGCTTAAGTGGCCTCTTCAAGGTGTACAGCCAGTGAGGTGCTGAGTAGAACTTGAACTCGAGTTCCTCATCCCCACCTCCATGCAGCTCTCTCCTACTGCATCATGCTAGCCCAGTTTAGGACTTAAGGACAGGTACTGAGTCTTCCGCCCCCACATCCCCACAGGCCCTGGCAGAGTGTCTTGCACACAGTGGCATTCCTATAAATGTGGTTGACTGGCCTGTCGTTATTTGGAGTTTGACACAGCTGTGTCATAGAAGAAACAGAAAGAAAAGGGGTCTCTGCTGCTCTGGATTCATGGTCTCAAATGGTGGTATTTCCTACCTGGGGGGCCGGGAAGACCATTTTCTCCTGCAATGCCAATACCAATGTCCCCTTTTTCACCTTTGGTACCAGGCAATCCTGGAACAAAAGAAATAAATAAGTCCTATCCCTGAGCAGAAAAATGACACAGCCAGTCAGATTACTTGAAACACACACACACACACACACACACACACATACATCCCATATTCACAACAGACCTCATGGAATACTTAGGCCTGCCCCAAAGAATTACATGTGTCCCTTGGGAACTGTAGGGCAGAGCTACCTCTTACTCCTGGCAAGCCCTGCCGTCCTTCTCTGCCAATCTGACCAGGGAGCCCAGGTGACCCTGGAGCACCTGGCCTGCCCGGAGCACCATCCTTCCCTGGAGGCCCTGGTCGTCCCGGAGCTGCCGCCATCTCCATGGGGAACTGCATCCTGGAGGTGTAGTAAGCCATTCTCTCTGTAAAAAAAGGACAAGGACAGGGACAGGTCAGAGGGTCCCCCAGGGACTCAGAATGACTGCAGATGCTGCATATAGGCCACCAGCATGAAGTCCACAGCAGCCTTCCTTCACAGGGATGTCAGGGCAAGGAGTATGGGGGTGGGTCTCGCAAGGGGGTTCCCACGTCCTGGCCTCCACGTCGCTCCCCATGGAGATCCTTCCAAAGCACAGATCTGACTATGGCATCTCTGCTCCAACACCCCTCATTAGTTCACCGCTGGCTTCAGAATAAAGTCCGCATTCCTTGCTTGGCATTCAAGGTCTGCTTCCCAAGCAAGACGTCCAGCCCTTTCAGGACAGGGCCTGTGTTTTCCCCAGTCCCTGGCACATCAATGTTGGATGAACAAATGAACAGAAAAAAACACTTCAAATAAACCACCCCAGCCATCTTACAGTGCCGCTCGCCCCTGTATTTAGAGCTCACTTCAGGCAGACTCGTTTAATACCAATTTTCTTGTCTGTCTCCTTTGCTCAAGTGGGGGCTCGGGGAATGCAGGAGGGAATCATTTTATCTCTGAACAGAACAGGTGACAAGGAAGGTCTGAAGGATAATTGAACATCTGCCTGTCAACCCCAGGCCTGTGAGTGTGTGGAGGGTGAGAGCAGGAGGACATTGAGCGTTAAGGAGAAAGAGGCCAAGGCAGGGCAGAGAAGTCACAAGGAAGGGCAGACAGCACCCACTGCCACCCAGCTGGCTGCCAGTTACCATCAAACATTTTAATGATCTCTTGTCTGATGAACCTCTTGATTTCATCATAATTCACCATGTCTCCCTGAAGAAAGAGAAGAAAACCTGCCTCAATTATACTTCCAAGCCTGGCATTTTCCCCTATGGAAATAAAGGATGGGGAGGAAGGCAAAGGTCCCAGGAGCCTCCCACAGATTCTTTTTTTTTTTTTTTTTTTTTTTTTTTTCTGAGACAGAGTCTCACTTTGTCACCCAGACTGGAGTGCAGTGGCGCGATCTTGGCTCACAGCAACCTCCGTAGATTCTCAATCCAAAGTCCTAACCACCCAGATATGATACAAAACATTTTGTTCTTAAGTGCATTTTTCTGGGGAGAGGGTCCTATCATCCCCACCCTTCCGCACACAGTTAAGAGCTGCCCTCTATGGGAGCCAGGCTCTTTCCCACAGAATGTCAGCAGGAGCTTGGAAGATGATCCGAGCTCCACCCCACATGCCTGCTCTATGGGACAGTGCCCACAGCTGCCAGCCTTCCCCCTTACCATGGAGCCAGGCACACCAGGCAAGCCAGGGCTCCCCGAAGGCCCCGGAGCTCCAGGGTGGCCTCTCTCTCCTGCAGGGCCCGGTGGCCCAACAGGCCCCATGGAACCACTCTTGCCAGGTCCACCAGGCATGCCGGCTCTCCCCTTCTCTCCTGCCTGGCCCTTCTGTCCTGCAGCTCCTGGATCACCCTACAAAGATAGATACTTAGTGCTGTCAAATTTACATCATGATGTCTCACCAATCTGCTCTTTTCTCTCCACCCTCCCACCAGGCCCCCAGCGTCTCCCTCTAGACTGTGGCCACAGCATCCTGACAGGTCACTCCACCTCACTGCCCCAGAGTGGTCCTTCTAGAAGACAGTTCTCCTGGTGTTACTCCCTGCTTAGAAATTCTGATGGCTCCCAAATGTCCTCAGGATAAAGCACTCATTCGTTGGCCGGGCATGCAAGGCCATTCATTATGTGGTCCTGATCGTTCCTTCCTCAGCCTCCTCTCCCCACCCTCTGCCTCCCACCAGACCTCACTGGTGATGATTCTCTGATTCTGCCATGTTGTTATGGTCCTGAATGCCCTTCCCCTCATCTCTCTCTATCCAGTGCACCCCTCCTGAGCTGAAGTGTTCCTGTTCTCTCTGCAGCCTCTCCGACTCCCCAGGCTGGGTTGGGTGCTCCTCCCTCTCATCCCACAGCGCTATGTCTCATGTCTTCTGGAAAACTTGCCAATCCCTAGTGTAAGTGTGACTGGTCTATTGTGAGCACCTATTGTTCAGGGACCTCTGTTTACCTGAGGCCAGGACAAGGGCCTGGAATGTGAGCAGGAGCAAGGGAGTGCTCGGGAAATGGAAACAATGAATGAATCAATCAGTCAATCAGTGAGTAAATGAACTGGAGATTTCCTTCCCCCCAACCACAGCTAATGACCCCATGTGAGAAATTTTCAGACACTATCCTGCTCCAAGTTCTGCATTTTTGCCCCCTGCCCACTGGCCTTCCTGTGTCTCCTCTCTGTGGCTAAAGCCGTAACTTGCAGCTGGGCTTCATCCACTCGTGAGCTTCTCCTCTCAAGCCCAGCCAGTGCCCACTCACCTTGGGACCAGGAGGTCCATAGAATCCCTGCTTTCCAGGGGGTCCCTAGAGGAAAGCAAAAGTCAGAGGTGAAGTCCGGGCAGCATCTCTGAGGCTCCCTGGGGAGGCAGGTGCAGTGAAGAGGCCCCTTCCACAGCCTGAGGCCCCCAGGTGTGTCCAGCCCAGCTCTGTGTGAGAAAGGAGCGCAGCCTCCCTGCCCAGCTGGAAGGGAAAATAATGTCCTCTGGGGCATGGCCTTGTTTAAGCATGTTGGCTGGGCCCCCATCACAGATGAAGAGAGGCGAGAAGTCAGAATGAGAGGGCCAGTCTGTGGCATACTGGGGGGCCTGGAAAGACCTGGTACCCAGGAGATGTTTGTTTGGAATTTATTATTATCATTATTATTGTTGTTGTTGTTGTTTCTTTTTGACCAGGTACAGGGTTTAAAAAAAAAAAAAAAAAGGTAAAACAAATCTCACTCCCATCCTTGGCCTCAAGTCTCTAATTCCTCTCCCCAGGACAACAGGGTTAACAATTTCCAGAGACAGCCCGTACATAGAAGGAATGTTTACTGAAAAAAATGAAGAGGGGTCAGGGCAAGGCGAGGAGCAAGAAGCACCCCCAAGGAAACAGAGAAGACCAGTACAACTGTACCTCTTTGCCAGCTGCACCATCCGTACCAGGTTCGCCCTGGGGAGTAGAGAGCAATGGAGACATGAGGAGCTCCAACCCAGTTTGGTGTCAGATGCCTCACTTTGTACATGGGGCAAGCCCAGCCCCCTGTTCCACCCAGAGGCCACGATCCTCCAGCCCTCACCCTCTGACAATCT
Source organism: Homo sapiens (assembly GCF_000001405.40). Taxonomy (NCBI): domain Eukaryota; kingdom Metazoa; phylum Chordata; class Mammalia; order Primates; family Hominidae; genus Homo; species Homo sapiens. Next base: position 31,657,209 of record NC_000001.11, read on the forward strand.
GGGCACAGGCCGTGGAAACTTAGACCCCCACCCCATACTCCAGCGTGATCCCAGAGCCCCAACAGCTCCCAGCCCCCGTCTACAAGAGCTTTACAAGGGAAGAACAGACCGTGCCTGCCTTGCTGTGTGCTTGGATCCTGGCACCTTGCACACTCCCTGGCTCTGAATCTATGTTAAACGTTTGCTGAATGAACACATGAACAGCCTGAGCCGGCCCCCTCCCTGAGACCAGCAAGGCAGCCTCTCTTCTGGTGGCTGCTGGGGAAGAGGACTCTGATTGCTAGGCAAGTGGGAGATTCATCCAGGGGCCATGGAGGCTCCTGAGCCTGCAAGGAGGGAGGCAGGGTCCTTGGCAGGAATCAGAGCGAATAGGCGTGGTGAGACTGGGCCCGCCTGGCAGATGGGCTGACTGGAGTCAAACACCCCAGCCCAGGCCACCAGCCCCACGGTCACTGCTGCTGCCCCCCAGAAAAAGTCTGCGTTGATGGAAAGCATCCTGATGGGTCCCAGGAGACCTGGGTCCCTGCCTCTGCTCTCCCAGGAGACTTTTCATCCCTGACCCTGGCAATCAGTTGCACCTGTTAGGGTTCACCTGTCTGGAACTTTTGAGAGAGGTAGATTTGCAGAGTGGCTAAGGACATGAGTTCTGGAATCAGGCAGGCTGGGATCAAGTCAGAGCTCTTCCACTCACTAGCTATGTGACTCCGAGCAACCTGCCTAACCTTGCGGAGCCCCCGTTTCCTCATCTGTAAAATGGGGACAATCAGATCCACTAAATGGGGCTGCGGCACAGATTAAGATAAAATGCACAGCAAGCACTTAGTCCACCATTCGGCACACATCGGTGACCGATATATCAGCGCTCTTAGTGTTAAACGTGAGCTGAGACCAAGTCCTGGTTTCCGAGGACCTCAGGAAGTTACAGTAACAGCACTGCATTTCTGGTTCCTGACATTTAGCAAGATTTTCTGTGGTTACTGACAAGCTCCCCTGGGGAAGGGGAAGAGGCAGAACAGGGACACGTAGCCAAGGGGTCTGCAGAAGGTTGATGCTGAGGCACCGTCATGGGCAGTGACCTCATGTGCAGCCTGGCACAGCACTGCAGGGCCTATCCTTCCAAATTCAGCATGATCCTCAGGCCCGAACGCCACGCTGCCATCCTGCCATGCTGACAGCCTCTCCTTCCTTAGAGACCCCAGATATGTTGTGCTGTGCTCAACAGGCCTTGAGCCAATTGACTCTTTCCCCCTGGGCTATGCTGTAGAATGTGGGATCTTACTGGGGGGCCAGGGTGTCCAGGGGGGCCGGGCTGGCCTGGGAGGCCTGCAAGGCCCCTTTCTCCGGTGGCTCCTCGGTCTCCTTTCAGACCCTAGAGAATAGGAAGGGGGACAGTGAGAGGGGAGGAAAGCAGGCAAAGTGGACTCCCATATAGCCAGAGACAGACACCCCATCGTGTGCCAGGGACTACAGGGAGAGGTGGCACTGCCTGAACTTGCAGCAGGACTCTGAGATGACCTCCAGCCCTCTCCAAAGCCCTCTGCCACATCCTGGAAGGCGAGATCTTTGGAGGCAGGAGAGGCTGACACCAGGGAAGGAGGGGATGAGACAAACTGTTCTCCATCCCCCCAGCTTCCTCTGAATGGAGCCCACAGTCAAGCAGGGCAAAACTCCTGGGAGGGAGGAAGGAGTGGAGCATGTTACTCACCACTGCAGAGATCCCAGCTGGTCCTGGCTGGCCTGGAGGCCCTGGTGGCCCCTAAAGAGAGATGAGTCAGTGGGATAGAAACAGGTTCTAATAGTAAGACCCCTGGGAGGCACAGGGCCTGACAGCAGAAACAAGCTCTAAACTTCAGCAGCTCCATTTCCTCTGGAAACCTTCCTTCGCTCTGGTCTTGCACTTGAGCTTCGGACAAGATTTGCGCCCAGAGCTGAGGCCTGGGGGTCCTGGGCACACAGGACCCTCCCTCCAACCCAGGCTGAGTGGAGCATCTGGGGCTGTGCTGAGGGGGATGATCTGAAAGCCGTGGCCAGAGGCCAAGTGCAGAGGACAAAGGCCTGGGGGAGTTACTCCCTGGCCTAGGTGGCTACTGAGACCCTTGCTTCCCTAAAGGCAGTCTACTTCCTGCTGTTCTATGGAGGAGGGAAGACCAGAAGCTGGGGGTCCGTGTAGCAGGGGGTGAGGGGCAGGGGCTTGGCACTGACCCCGACATCCATAGTGACAAGGAGCTAACACTTGCTGGCCAACACTGGAGCGCACGGGACTCCAACACCCAGACAGTCCCTGCTGCTGCACTAGGGCTGCGTCTGAAATGCCCTTCCCTAGCTCTGATGCCTACATCCATGCCTCTGTGGTGCAAAAGATCACCTCCCTGATCAGAGTGACACCTTCTCTGAACCCCCGGGGCACTTGGGTCTCTCTTATAGTGCTTCCCTCAACACCCCCAGGTGGCACGTTCCAGAGCCATAGCCTCTGTTCTATTCATCTCCAGTCTCCTGGGGTGGAAGTGTCCAGCACAGAGACTGCCACACTGCAAGACGAAGGGGCTGGACACACGGAAGAGAGAGGCGGAACCCTGCACCCCCTCAACCTCAGCCCTACTGAGTCTCCAATGGGGCCACGCTTCTGAGTGCACCTCCCCGTGTCATCTGTAATGTGAGGGGGAACCAGGCTTGATATGGCATTCCCAATCCAGGGCCTCTGGACCCCTTGAGATGCATAAAAATAGTGATGGGGGCCTGAGAGTTCTTTTTTTTTTTTTTTTTTTTTGGTCATGAACTATTTTTAACATTTCCGAAAGCCTCCTGGAAATTATTATGCAGCCAGCCACAACAGGGCTGCAACAAAATGCCAGTATCTTCGCTTTTCTCTGGAGTCCCATCAGCTCAGTGCCGTCACACTGATCAAAGGCACTGCCTGGCAGTCATCTATGTTAGTGATGAGTAAAGTAGACAGGAAATTCATTGTTGCTTGATAAATGTCCTCTCCAAGTCACCCCATCTTGGGAAACACACCACCTATTTACCCAGTTGCCCAAGTCAAATGCAGGAGTCACCCCTGGTTCTTCTCTTTCTGTCACTCTGTCTCCCCAACCCCAATCCAGCTCATCAGCAAGTCCCCCAAGCCTGGCATGGCACAGGGGCTCCACAATTATTTGTTGACTGAATGACCTCCATCTGATAAGTGAACTTGAATGTGCCCAGAAAATAAGAAAATAACGAAAAGCCTGGAAACCACAGAAGGAGTGGCCCCCGTGCTCCCACGGCTGGGGCAGCCCCTATGGCAAGTTCTCTCAGGTCATGACAGCCTATGCACCACCAACCACCCCGCCAAAATGCTAACTCTTATGGAGACAGAGACAAAAGTGGTTCAACTCACAACGTGTCCCGGGGGACCGGGTCTTCCCTGGGGTCCCATGGCACCAGGTTCACCCTGCAGGAGCCAGAAAAAGGAAAAAATGACACTGAAACTGACTTGCTTGCACCATGTGGCTGTCGGATGGGAGGGGGCTGGGCAGAATACATGGTAATGCCAATGGCCAAAGGAGCTGGGCCAATTCCCAGCCTCCAGACCCAAGTTTCCCGGAGAGTTAGGTAGAGAAGGCGGATCCTCAGCCTGAGCAGGCCAGGCCCTGCCTTTTTAGGTTGGTGACCCAGTAACCTCCAGGGAGCAGAACCAGTTACAACCCTTAATAGGAGGGAGAAAGTTCAAGACGTGCAGTGTTGGGTGACACCCCTCCCAGAAGGCTGAGGACAGAAAGCAGCCACTTTGCCAGTGAGCAGGAAGAAGCGGCTGCATCCCAGACTCTGCAGAGTCTGAAGGCAAACTGAAGGCAGCCATGTGGATCCCTGGCCCTCACCTCTGCGCCAGGCCGGCCAGTGCTGCCAGGGGGACCTGGTTTGCCACAGTCACCCTAGAAGAGAGAGGAGCAGCTGGAGCTTACCAGACCTTCACTTGACATCCCTACCCCAAGTCAACCTCACATCAGAGGGACCCTGCCACCTGCCCCAGCTTTGGCCAGAGGCCCTCTGATGCCCTCCAGCTGGTAGACAGAGAAGCCCTGACCCAGTCTGCCAGGCACCAGTGGCCCCAGGAGGCTCTGATGCTGGGATGGCCTCTCTGCCCAGGATAGGCTGCCATGTATGCCTGGGGGCAAGCCTTCAGGAGAGCAGAGATAACCTGCTTGGCAGAGGTCACCAGCCCTTACCTTAGGTCCTGGGAGGCCAGGATGTCCTGTTTTCCCCTTAAAGCCCTGAAAGAAAAAGCAGGGAGTTCTCATGTCCCTCATGTCAGCTGGGGGCCTCTTCCCACTCCTCCTTCCTCAGTTCAAACAATTCAAACCAATCCAAAGTCATAACACGGTCCACGGAGGATCTGGATTTGAGCTGTTGCAGCCACCCAGGCAGAAGCTGCAACTTCGCAGCTTCCAACTCCTTCCTGCAGCTCAACTTACCGGTGGTCCCATGAGTCCAGGGGGGCCAGCAGGACCAGGGTCCCCCTAGGGAAAGAGACGAGGAGGATTGAGACAAGAGTTTTGCCCAGCTTGTATCCAACTCATACCTCTGTCCTCCCCTCTCTCCAGCCCTCCCCAGCTATCCTAAGATGGAGGGAAGAATCCAAGCCTGGCTCAGCCTCTGACTGGCTGTGGATCCTCAGTGACTTCCAGCCCCTCTCCGGGCCTTAGCTTTCCTTCTTTGGGATATATAAGGGGGTTGACTTTGATGTTCTACCCTGTCCTGTGGCCCCAGCCCTTTCAGATTCCCCAGCAAAACCCCAGGAGCCAGGGCTTGCTCAAGTCCTTCCATGTCCACACCCTCATTCTTCCTGAAGCCCAGCCTGGTTTCCTCAGCTGTCTTGAGTTTCTGCATACATCATGCCTTCACCATCCTGCCTTTGGTGAGACCTAGCTCGCCTAACCTGCTTAAGGCCACTAGGAGAACTGGGAAGCCAAGGGGCTGTGGTGCCATCGGGGAGCTGGGGTAGAGGGAGACAGACCGAGGGAGGGCATGGGTGCCCCCTGACAAAGACGGGGATACTTCGGTTCTTTCCATCAGGGTTCCCTTGACTTTGGCTCCTCTGGCAAAAAGGAGAGGAAGGGGTGCCCGCCCTCCCAGCCCATCATCTCACCCTCAAGCCAGGCTTGCCGTCCTTCCCATCCAAACCATCCAGACCGGCGGGGCCCTGGAAACAGGAAAGAGGCATTTCTACATGCTGGTGCGGGAGCCCTAGGAGGTGGGAGGCCTGGCCCAACCCCTCAATTCTCTCCACCCCTCCCCTGACTCCCACCTCAGCACACACACACAGGTGCACACACACACATGCACCACACACATGCGCATGCATCGCACACGTCTGCCACGCTGAAAGGGCACACACTCACCTGAATCCCAGGAGGTCCCGGTGGCCCAGGGGAGCCAGGCAGGCCTGATGGGCCTCGAATCCCTTCGCTGCCCTGGAAACCAGCGCCGCCCCCCCCCCCCGCCCCACAATAAAGTCAGCAGGGCTTTGCCCCACCCATGGAGACCAGGCCCTGGGTCAAGGGTCCTGGTGACTGCTGGAAACAGGACAGCTGGCTTCTGGGCCCAATCTGTCCCTGTCTAACTGCATATGTGCCACACGTCGCCTCCCCAGGAGGATCTGTCTTCATCTGCAAAGCATCCCCTTTCCTTGCTGCCCCATGAGGAAGGGACAGGGCATCTTCTCCAGTGCTGACCCAGGGGCTGGCATGGCAGGGGCTCAGTAGCATGTGCTGAACTGAAAGCACAGCTTCAATCCACTGTGAAAGCTGCCTGTTGTATTCTACTCCATCAGACCCCCTGCCTCCTCCCCACCTACCTCCCTACCTTTCCCCCCATCCCAGCAGACATGGGCCCGGGCTGCACAGAGGCCTCAACAGCGCACGCAGCACCATGTGGGCTCTGATTCCCCAAGATGAAAAAGTGGGTGCCCCTGTCCTCAAGGAGCTCACAGTCCAGTGAGGGTCATGGGCCCAACACAACCAGGGGCAATACAACAGTCTAAGTGTTCTGTGTGGAAAGGGGCTCAGGGAGCTCAGGAGCGGGGAGCAGTTCCCTCTGGCTGGGGATCAGGGAAAGTGTCACAGAAGTGTCACCAGATGCTAGACTCTGAGGATGTCTGGGATTGGGCAGGTGGAGGAGAAAAGTGCATGCCAGAGGGAACCTAAGAGAAGGATAAAGACTTGCAAGTGGGCACATGCCTGGCCTGGCCAGGGCATCTGGGGGAGCCTGTGGGATGGGCTGGCAGGCAGAAGAGGCTGGAAGAGTCACCATGATGAGTGGGGGCCCTGAACGCTGTGCTAAACTTTATCGAACAGTCAGTGGTTTTTAAGCTGTACTTCTCAGAGCACTGGGGCTTCTGGGGGAGCCTAGAAGCTGGGGGCATGAAGTGGGGACTGAAGAGAGGGACTCTAGGACCCCCACCGTTGTCTTAGCCAGGGAATCTCCGCTTGTATTTGTTTTATAGATTGAGGTTTTTACATTTGCTTTTATGTGATAAAAAGACTCTGGGACTACAAAATAAAGTCTGAAAACCCCTGCTACAGGCACTGGGGAGCCATTGAATGTTCAAAGCAGAAGAGTGATGAGAACTGATGCATGGATTGGAATGTTTACCAGAAAAGGCGGGGGGAGGCAAGCAGCATAGCGGGGAAGGTGGCTGCATTCTCCCAGTGTGGAGAGGGTGGCTGCCCTGGATCAGTGGCTGTAGGGTGGTCAAGGGAAGGAATCCCGCTAGAGAGACCCAGCAAAGGGGAAAATGAACTCGGGGGCTCTGTAATGCCACCAGCCACCAGGAGGGGTCAGCAGAGCCCCAACCAATGTTGGCCCCCACTGGCAGTTGGGATGAAGAACCACTGGCCAGAGGTTTGGGATTCTCTGCAATGACCAGCCTAAGGAGAGCAGGGGCTGCCACTCAGGTCCTGGGGAGGGGAAGGAAGGGGAAGGGGAAGGGGAAGGGGAAGGGGAAGGGGAAGGGGGCTAGCAACCACCACTGTCCCAAGCATGGCTGATCAGCATGGGCTCTGGGGAGGTAGTGAGGTGCCCGGGTCCTCCTGGAGCTGGGAAGGAAGTCTCAGCTCTGCTGCTAACACCACTGTGTGCCTCTGGGCTGCCCCAAGCCTTGTGGGTGTCAGTTTCCTCACCTGCACAGTGAGACGTTCATGCGTGTGCTCTCAGGGGAAAGAGGCTCTCCACAAGGCTCAGGGGAAAGAGGCTCCCACCTGTCCCTCTGAACCCAGGTCCCCCGACCCCAAGCTCAGAAGTCAATCTTCGGGCTTCTTACACCACCCACTCAGCACATCTAGGGAGCCCAGAGGTTGGGCCGAGACAGGGATGTCAGCCCCAAGCCAAGGCAGAGCCATGTCTCCAGCATTTATCAAGCCAAAGTCAAGAGCAGCCAGCATAGGAGCTCCGCCAACTGCTGCTCCCCCAACCCTTGTCACCAGGCAGGACACGGGCCACCCCTGCCCTCTCTGGGCCCTTGGGGACAACTGGAGCACGGCTACCCAGGAGGAGCCCATTCCCCTTCCACGTTGGTGTCCTCCTTCAGGACGTGCTTCCCCCTTCTCTCAGCTCCTCGCTCATCCTCCCGCCCAGGAGACGAAGGTGGCCTGGGCTGCCTATCACATTCTACTCCTCCATCAGACCCCCTGCCTCCTCCCCACCTACCTCCCTGCCTTTCCCCCCATCACAGCAGACAAGGGCCTGGGCTGCACAGAGGCCGCAGGCATCCTGGGCCAAGCAGACATCCCGAGGAGCCCACTGGTCCACTGCAAGCCCTGTCGGCCTCCAGTAGTCACTGGGCCCATCCTGGAGGCCTCTTTTCCCAGCCTCAGTGCAACTGGGTCAGTCTTGGAATTTCCTGAAAGCCTGATGCTAGGGGTGGGACAGGGGCATGGGAGCTGCATGGCTCAGATCTGTGACTTTGCCAACCCAGGGTCCTGCTCACCTTCTCTGCTTGAGGGCCAGGTGGGCCAGGTGATCCAACTTTGCCTGGGAATCCAGGGGGACCCTGTATCAACAAAGGGGCAGGCAGGAATGAAAGTGGGGCTGGAGGGGGAGCTCCCCTTCTTTATTCTTCCTGTGCATGATGCACTGTTGTTAATGCAATTCATTTTGACTTCCTAGAAGCACCACTTGGGAGCATTACGTCTGCCTGGCCTGCTGGGCTGGGGCCCACACAAGAGGCTGGGCTCTCCAGGTCCTGGTTCCTGGAATCAGGCCTGGCCACCCAGGCCGTTCTCCCCTGCCTCTCCCCTCTTCTCCCCAGGACCATCCTACCCCAGCCTGGCCTGGTCAGGCCTGCCCCTCCCGATGAGACCACATCAGACAGAGCTGGCTTTGTGTCTTCTTCACTCACCGGTGGGCCCGGAAAGCCTGGCTGGCCTTGAAATCCCTAGGGTGAGAAGCAAGGGGCAGTGTGCTGTGCCACCCCCTCTCTCCTGCCTGGCTGCCCAGGTGGAAAGAGTGACGGGGGGGGCACCCTCAAACCCATGGGCTTTGCCCTCCCCTCTGCCCACCATGGCTGGCAGGTGAGGCTCTGGGCATGAGGTAGGTCACAACCCAAGGACAGGTAGGGTGGGGAGACTAGAGCTGGTGATCACCAGGGACCCAGCTCCTTCCCTGCCTCCCTGCAGCCAGGTCCCAGTCGTCACTCACCTGGTCGCCCTTCTCACCGGAGTTACCTTGGGGTCCTCGCTCTCCTCTGGGACCCTGTCACCCACAGAGAACAATGCAGCCGAAACCTAATCTTCCTGCCCTCAGACCCCAGGACAAGACCAGGACCACATCTCCCCATGCCCTCCTTCACTCACCGCTGGGCCTGGGGGGCCTGGGAGGCCTTCAGATCCTGGGGGGCCCTAAGGATACAAAGGAACAGAATCAGTCACTCCTCCTGGGGAGGTGAAGGATGAGGTAGGGGGATGTGACAGGGGACTGCCCAGAACAGAGGTGGCATGTGCTGGGAGGCCCCTGGGCTGGCAGGCCCCCTCTGCCTGATCTGCTCAGGCTTCCCTGCTCTTGCCCGAGCTACTGAACCAGCCTCCTAACTCGTCCTGCCACCTCCTGGCTCACTGCAAGCCAGCCAGCAAATGGCTGCCCTCTTCTCCTCCAGCATAGCTCTGATTATGTCACTCTCTTGCTCAAACACCTTATGCGGCTCCCTCTGCCTCTGAGTGGGGCGCACACTTTCCACCAACGCTGGTCTTTGAGGCAGCCTGTGATCTGGCACCAGCCACCCCTTCCCACTTCTCCTCCCTCTCTCCTTCTCATCTTCCGCCTTGCTCAGTCAGACTGCTGTTCTCTGACACACTCTATACCCTCACACCCCCAGGCCTTTGCACCCTTAGCACAGCTTTCTCTTCTACCTAGAATGCCCCCTTCCCCCCTTCCTAGGTCCCCTGAACCCTTGCCAAATCATCTGATGGCTGGAAGCTGTTCCTGCAGTGCCCCACCCAGCCTCTCCCTCTGGAATTCCCCAGTACAGACAGCCACAGGGATCCCTCCCTCCTGCTAGTCAGCTCTCAGCTCATATGCCACCTGCTCAGAGAGGCCTTCCTGCCCCTCCGCTTCGATGGTGCCCAAACACCTCTCCAGCCCCTTCCCCTGTCCCATTTCCTCCATGAGTCCCAGTCCTCATCGTTCCTAGGCACTTGTTTATTCATCTGGCAGCTCCCTCCCCCACGGCAGGGCAAGAGGGCAACTGCGCTCTGTTCATGGAGACATCCTCAGAGGGGAGCCTGGCACCCCACAGGCCCCTGAGAAATATCTATTACTGAGTAAATGCCTGATGGAGTTTGCTGAATCCCACTGGGGCCTCACTGAAACTGGTGAATCTGTAAGGCTGCAGTCCCAGTTTGGCTGATCCTAGATCTGAGGTTTGTGAGGTTTGTCACCAGATAGATGTGTGTTCAAGCCCAGGTTCCACCACTACCTCACTCACTAGCTTCAGGAGCCTGGGTGAGTCTCAGCTTTGTCACTCTGGGGGCCCCAGTGTCCTCATCTGGTCACAGCCCAACTCCTGTGCTCAACGTGGGGCCTGGCAGGCCTTGGCTCTGGAGGGTGGCTCTGGGGAGCTGGGGTCCACTGGGGGTCTATAATCCCAGGTCCTCCTTTGTAGGAGGCGGAGGAGTGCTTCTGCGGCTGCCTCCTGGCACCCTCCCCTTGGCAGCCCTGCGGGGATTCTCCTCACAGCCTCCACCTCCACAGCACCCAGCCTGTGCTGCAGGCTTGGGGGCAGGGGGGCAGCAGGGGTCACGATCCTCCCCTTCACAGGCTGCTGCCAAGTCTCCAGCCCGAGACTGTGTGGCTCCACGTGCAGCCCTGCATCCAGCCCCACGCCGCTGGGACTCACCGGCTCTCCTTTCTCTCCCGCTGACCCGGTGTAGCCACGCTCCCCCTTGATGCCCTGACAAGTGGCAAAGAGACAGTGGAATTAGCCCCACAGAATTAGTCCGTCACGGCACTAATGCGAGGAGCGGAGACTGCAGCTGGCACCCAGACTGGCTCTGGGGGAATGGCACTGGGAGGACCGCTGGGTGCTCCAAAGCTGCCGTGCCTCCCATCTGCCACCGTGCCCCCCAAGCCCCCAGTGGAAAGGAGGACACACCCACCCAGCAGCTTCTGTGGGGGTGGCACCTCTAAGCTGTCTCTCCAATCTCCCAAACCCCTCACCCCCAGGAGGCAGATCTCAGTTCTTGCTGTGTCTGGGCCTGGCAGAGTGCTCTGAGAGTCAGGCCTGAGCAGAGTGGTGGGACCAATCCACACTGCCAAGGGGGCCTACAGTGGGGAGAGGGGGCTGCATGGACTTTAGGCAAAGGAGGAGGCTGAAATGCCCGGTAATGGGGAGCCCGCCGAGGGTTGCCCAGCCTGGCTGTGTCCTGACCACCAGCCCAAACCTCTGGTACCTGGCACCCACTCCCCAGCAAGGGTCCCCTTACTCACAGGCAGTCCTGGGGGGCCCGTGGCACCTGGGTAACCTGGTTGCCCTGGAGGACCCTGCAAAGAAAGGCAGACATGATGGATAGCCCCCCAACATTTCTGTTCTCCCCTCGCTGGGTAAGAGGATGGCCAAAGCTAAAACCTCTGGGGCTGCCATCTAGCAGGTGCCAGCCTGCCCCAGCATTGCACACTGGGCCATCTCCCCAAGCCCCAGGTCCCCTCGGTCGTGACCACCACCACAGACCTGGGCTGGGGAGGCGAACCCCAGCCTGGCCCAGACCCTGAGAGCTGAGCCGGAGCAGGGAGCCCAGAGCAGGCATGAGGACCAGGGAAGAGGGGGTGGGCTGGGATGCTGAGTGACAACAGCCGAGGGAGGGAGGGGAGCCCCCAGGGACGCTGCTGGAGGACAGGGGCTGTGCATGCTTCTGGCAGGGAGTCAGGGCACATGGAGATCGGCCTCCTTTGCTCCTGGGGGAGTGTGGAAACCTCACACTGAGGGAATCCCGGCAGAAGGGCAGAGAGTCTCAAGGAGTCCACCTCCCAGCTTCCACTCAGCAGCCACCCTTCAGAGCTCAAGCTCTGCCTCCCCAGCTCTTCCTCCCTTTCCAGCCCTTTCCAGCCCCTGCCAGCTTCTTCTTACCGGCTCCCCCTTGTCTCCAGTCAGGCCCGTGAGACCTCGCTCTCCTTGAAGGCCCTTGGAGAGAAAAATCATGAGAAACTGCAGGAGCCGGCGGTCCCCACCCAGCCCCTGACTCCTTCCCCCTGCCCCACTGCCTTCTGTTCCCACTCCAGGCAAATATGGAGGCCATAGTGGCTCTCGTAGTGTCCCTAGAAGGTGACCCGTAATGGGTGTGCTCCAGCAGGATGACTGGTGGAGGTGTGAACCCCACATATGGGTGCCTCTCAGGAGGATACCCTTCAAGATAGATAACTATAGAGATATGCCCTCCAGCAGAGGTGACTCTGGGAGGGTATCTCTCAGGTGCCCGTCGCTGGTATGCCCTGCCATGGTAACTGACTGGCGTACACCTTTAGGAAGGTGATGGATCAGATGTGTGCTTATTCTGAGGGGCAACTGTCAGGAGAGGTACCCCAGATGGATGCTGCCACCAAAGTGTATCATATCATCAGATACCCAACACTTACCTGTCCAAGTCCCCCACCCCAAGCAAAAATCACTTTCTTGGAGGGAGGCAGGGGAGAGACACAGGAAGGCTGCCTCCAGAGCAGTCCCTGTCACTTTGTAGGGTGAGAGGGCATGTCACTTTCCACGAGAGCTACAGCCCCCACCCCTAATTCCTTACCCCAGCCTTTGCAGGTGCCATGCCATTAAGGGCACCTTTCCTGCCCCCTTCTCCCTCATCCCCTCAAGAGATGACGCCCAAACCTTTCCATGACATAAGACAGATGGCTAGACGGACAGATGGCCCCTTCACCCAAGCAAGCAGAAACAGACAAGGCCCGGCCACAGATGAGGACGTGGGGACAGATGGAACTGTGACGAGGAGGGGCCCTGCTCCCTGAGCCTCCATCACCAGGCCTGGGAGGAGAGGAGCCAGGCCCCAGGAACACAAAACCTGACAAACAGGAGGTTAGTTTCCGTGACCCAGGAGGGAGCAACAATGAGGCTGGGGGTGATGTAAACACACCTGTGACGATGACGAAGGCAGAGCAATTAACGACACCTGGCAGAAGGAGCCGGCCAAGGTGCCGGGCACAGAGGGGCAGGGCCGCACGACACCCAGAAACCCAACTGGCTGATATCACATGCCCCGCCTTGGAGCAGACTGGGACTGGAGCCAAGGAAGAGGAAGCGAAGAGGAGGCAGCTGAGAGTTTCCTCTAGGACGACGGAAAAGGCGCAGGAAGGGCTGCCTTTAAATCCCTGGGTGCCTCTGGACAGCCCTGCCAAGCAGCAGGGCAGCAAACCTGTGCCAGCCTGCAATGTGAAGCCCTAAAGCTTTGGCATCTCTGCTGGGCTCTGAGCCAGGTGCCTGGCAGGGCCCCAAGAACTACTTTCAGCAAATCTTCAGGCAACGCCGAAGGTGGTGAGAAGCAGGAGGCAGAGCGAGAAGGCAGGAATGGAGGGGCCCCCTAGAGGCACCAGCTTAAGAGGAAGGTTCACGAGCTCAGGAGGACTTGGGGGAGTGCTGCAAGATGGTGCGAGAAATGGAGAAGGAAGACAGAACGGGGTAAGAGAGAGAAGAGGAGAGAAAGAACGCAGGAGAGGAGGGAGAGGAGAAAACGGAAAGGAGTCAGAGACTGGGAGGATGTCCAAGCTGCCGGGACCTCAGAGAACCCGTGTCGTTAGCTACCGTGCCTGAAGGGGGACAACAAACACGGAGGACGGAGGTGAAGGCACGACAGGAGGGAGACAAGCAAAAGCCACAGAGACCTGGCTGACGGGGGGGAGGGGAGGTCGAGCAGCGCTAGGTTCTTACAGGCAATCCGGGGGAGCCAACAGCACCAGGAAAACCTGGGGGGCCCTGGTGGGAGAAACAGGCAGGTCACATCTCACAGGCACAGTAACCCTGGGACAGCCTGGAGGGCACAGTCTGGGGCTTGGGGGTCATGGGGAGAGGAGGTCATGGGAGTATTTTCAAGGCAGCTGGAAAAGAGACTCCTTGAAAGTCTTGGCTCAAAAGACAACTGTTCCTCCCCTTGGCTCCAGGAAGAATGGCTCCTCCGTTGACGGAGATGCGGAATGGCTCCAGAGTCAGAGGGCTTCCTGAGTCTTCCGGAGTCTAACTGAAGATCCGGTTGCAGCAGAAGCCCATTTCTTTCAGCCTTGCCCACCATGCCTGCCACCCGACCTCCACCTGTCCCCCGAGTGGGGGGCTCCCTGGCTCTAAGACAGCTCCCACCAGCCATTTTCTTCTCCAGAGAAAGCATTTTCAGTTCTTTCAATCTTTCCTAGTCACTTCTATTTTCCTGCCATGTCAACATCACAGAGGACTCCAGAGTAGATACCCTGGTCTGGTTTTTGTAGATTTACCCTAGAGATGGCCCTACAGAGCAATGGAGGACAGCTCCATCTTAGCCCCGAGCCCTTGTGGGGACTGGAGTCACAGGGGCATGGAGAGGTCTGGCCAGCATGCCGCATGCTTCCCTGGTTGGGAGGCTGTGAGCCTGAAGCCTAGGCCCCCTGCCGAGGGCGGCCTGGGGCCACTGTGGAAAGCGCAGCAGAGGGTGGGGACAGGGAAGCAAAGAGGTGCCTCTGAGGACCTCCCCTAAGCAGGACCGCAGGCAGTAGGCAGAGCAGGGCGGTTCCAGGGCATCCGGTGGTGGGAGAGCACAGTCCCTGCAGATGCTCTGCGGAGGGATGGGGAGGGCAGTGGAAGTTCCCTCCTCCTGCCTTGCCCAGCCTTTTGGGGACAAGGCCGCGGGATGGTGTCTGAGTGTAATGACCCCTTTGAGAGCTTCTCAAGCAGACCAGGGCACCACTGATACTTACGATAGGGCCTGGAGGACCCGGGGAGCCCCTCATGCCAGGCGGACCCTGCAAAGGAAGCCAAGGGAAATGGATGAAGAGGCCCAGGCCCCATAGAGCCCCTGGGATTCCAGCAGCCTTCCTCCCAGCTTGCCAGGGCCAAGGTCAACAGAGGGTGGCTGCTGTCCAAGCAGGACCACTTAGCTGATGTTCGAACAATCTTTCATTTGGCCCATTCGGTCATCCTACAAACATTTAACAAGCAACTATTACGTACCAGGCATTAGTCCAGGGGCTAGGATCACAGCATAAACAAAATAAATAAAAACCCCTGCCTCAAAGCAGTTACATTCTAGGGGAGAGACGGACACTAACAAATAGAACAGGAGCTGGCACATAGTTGGTGTTGAGCTGACACCTGTAGAATGTTCCTGAATGAAGTAAATAGGCAGGATGTTGGATGGTGATGAGTATGATGCAGGCCAAGGGGACTGGAGGCTCTGGGGTTGGTGTGGAGTTCAATTTTAAAGAGGGTGGTCAGGGGAGGTCTCTCTGAGAAGGAGACATTTGAGCCGAGCTGAAGGAGTGCAGGAATAAGCCCTGGAGAAGAGCGTTGCAGGCAGAGGATGCAGCTGGGCACTGGGGAGAAAGAGTGTGTCCTACGCTGGGTCCTGTGTATCCCAGAGAAGCCACGTGCCAGGAGAGCAGATGAGCCCAGAGTGGTAAAGGGCATCAGTCAGGTGAGGCCTCGGAGGCCCCCAAGAGGTCTCAAAGGCAGACAGGGCCCCAGCTCCCTTGAGGATGAATCCCCATCCCTGGTCTTACCTCTTCTCCTCTCTGGCCTGGCAATCCCGGAGGACCAGGTAGGCCTGGGCTCCCAACACAGCCAGGATCTCCCTCACTGTTGTCACCCTGGAGAAGGATGGAGACGGTGATAGTGAGCAGTCAGGGCCTGTCCCTGTGGGGCATGGGGCATGATCGGGGGAGATAAGGCGAGGCACTCACCCGGGCCTCCTCGGCTCTTGGGCGCTCCAGTGACAAAAAGCACTGCAAGGGACAATGAGAGGCACATTGTCTGATGAGGCAGCCAGGGAACCCTCCTGCATAGGGCAGCCCCAAGCCCAGTCCCTTACCTGGGCGCAGTTGTCGAGGCCTGGCACACCAGGGATGCCCTGGTCTCCCTTCTCTCCCTTCTCCACGAGGTACCCTGGGTGGGCCCTCTGCCCCTGGACACAGTCCCCGCAGATACTCTGATCAGGGAGTGGGGAGAGGAGTGGGGCCTGGGTTAGAGATGGGCAGGATGGGCCAACTGGGGAGCCCCAGTGAGAACCCAGAGCCAGGGCTCCCTGCCCTGCCGTCTTCCCTCCTCCCACACTCCCTCCCTCCCCAGCCGCATCCCTGCGGCAGCTTTGCTCCATCCTCGGGGGACCCACTCCCAACAATTGGCTTTGAGTTTCCTCCAGGAAGAAGCTCTGGTACAGCTAAGCCAAAGCCACTTTCCAGACAGGCATGTGGGTGGAGGCGAGGGGCCCGCAGAGGGACCATCTGTCCCGGCTGTTCCTGCAACCTGCACCCACTGCGAGGACAAGCCACGAGGAGTGAGGCTGGAAAGGCTGGCTCCGAACGCCAGCTTCTCTGCCCAAGGGAGCAAAGGAACAGCTGCGGGAGGAGCCAGGCCCTTCCCAGGAGCCCCTGGGACAGATCTCAGATTGCTCACAGGCTCCTGGCTCGGATCGCGCCACCAGAATTGTCTTCCCCACAGGAAGGGCTTTAACCTTCTTTGGGTCACAGACCCCTCTGAGAGTTTGATGGAAGCTATGGGTCCTTTTCTCAGAAAAATCAAACCCACTAGTGAAAACCAGCCTGCAATTTCTGAGGACTCAGGAGCCCGGAGCCTGTTTGTGGCCAGTGTCGTGTCCACAGATGCCCAGGCAGGAGCCCCTGCTCACTTTCACTGCTCACCACCAAGCCCAGTAATAACGACTGGCATTTACTCAGCACCCATGACGCTGGGCATTGTACATAATAAGCCCTGCACATTATCACATGCCATCTTGACGGCGCAGTGAGACAGGGAATCTTATAAGCATTGTGGAGATGGGAAAGCCCACTCAAGAGAGGCGGCGTGACTTGTCTAAGGAAAGTGGGAGCCTGGATTGGCGTGGGCCTGTCCTAGGCCACAGCCAGTGCTCTCTCCCCAGGCTTCCTGGACTATGGGTGCAGGTGGTGGCTGGGGCTCTGGGTCAGCATGCCCCGGGGTGCCATCTGACCCCTTCTCCACACTATGCGCACTTTCTATTTGGAATCCTCTGAAGAGCACTTGATGAAGAAGCCAACAGATGAAATGTTACAGGAGAAATGTCAAATCCTGGATTTGGAGTCACACGATCACTGCCCAGTCATTGACAGAAGCAGAGGGGAGAAGAGCTGGGGGTTTCGTTGCCACAACCTCACTGTGATCCAACATGTAACTGATGCCAAGAGGTTACCCCGACCTCCTCTGGCTGCTTCTGGAGAAATCTGCCGTTCAGAGCAGGGAAGGGGTAGACAGCCCCCATGCTCTGCCCTGACCAAGGCCCATCGGGGTCATGGGATGTCCAGGGCACTAATTAGCCAGTGTCAGAAGAGGGTGGCCAGGATGAGGGGGGGCTCTGGAGGCCAACACATGGGAAAGACCCCTGAGGATGCTGGGCTAGAGGAGAGAAAGTCCAGGAACATAAGGGCCTCCTTCAAAAACCTGAAGGCAACCTGGGGAATTACTGTGCTCTCGTTTCTAGAGGTGACTAAGCAAAGATGGGCTATGTGACTCTTGATTCCAATAGGAACTTCTGCTCAGTTTGGGAAGCCGGCCCAGGCCACAGCCCTCTGGTAGAGCATTAAGGCTGTGTACAGGCCCTGGCACAGGCCGACCCTCTGACCAGGTCCGAAGTCCCCTTTCTTAGACTACCAGAAGTGCTTCTCAAATCCATCTCCTCCCTGGATTCTTTCTGGATTGACTAGAGAACAGCTGAAGCTTTCTTCCAGGCCACACCCAATCTCACAGCCCCCCACCACTGCACTTTCACCCCCTCTGCTTTGCTTTGGAAGCTGCTGGGCTCTGCCGCAGGGTGACCCGGGTGCTACGGGGTCTCATTGCCAGCTGCTGCGGGCAGGCTTCAGGGCTGGGTTCTGCCGACAGCATCTGCCATGTGGGCACCTTCACAGGATTCCTTTAAGCACTCATTCAGCAAATGTTGCCTGGGGGCCTGTTACAAGCCAGGCATCAGCTAGGCCCTCTTAGACAGATGCTTGGAATGCGTATTCCCTGCAAACTGCTGCTCTCTCTGCGAGGTGCCACACAGCTGAGCACTTACTAAGAGAATCCCCTTAGGAGACACCCCCGCCAGCTCACACTTCCCTCCTGGGTACCCTCTTACCTTAAGGAGGTGCTGTTCAATTGGTAAGGATCCCTGCAAGAGACAGATGTGTGGGCTCAAGCAGGTGAGGGGAAGGAACATGGAGACTTATGGGATCAGGGAGAGCCTTGGGACACGTCATGCACCTTCCAGCCTCAGAAGTGGGAGAGAAGAGGGACCCCCACTGCAGCTACCGGGCCAGCTTCATAGCCTGAGCAGCCCTGGGAAGGGCAGGGAAGGGGCATGCACAGGGAGTCCTGGCCAGTACCCACCAGTTCTGCAGTGAGCCCAGGCTGTCCTGGCAAACCGTTGTTTCCAGGCACTCCCTGTAGCCAAGAAGAGACACGAGTGAGTGGGCTCCATCTCTCTAGCCTGCTGGTCAGCCTGTTTCCTTCTCATCATCCCCGCCTCCTCTTCCCCTTGTCCTGCAGAGCTGAGAGCCCTGGCTGGCACAAGGCTGACATCTATTCTTAGCTCAAAAGCCTCTCGACCCTTATAGGGAAAGCCAGGGAGGCCCAGAAGAGCGACCCCCCAAACCGTCCAACAGCAAGTGTTTTCCCCCCACATCAGAGGGAAGGTCAGAAATTGAGCAGAGGGTCTTCCATGGAACTACTGTTTATTTCTGTGCTAAGTCGTTTTTCTATATTTTCTCTCTTTCTTTTTCCTTTCCTTTTCTTTTTTCTTTTTTTCTTTGTAGAGACGGGGTCTCACTCTGTCACCCAGGCTGGAGTGCAATGGCATAATTATAGCTCACTGTAGCCTCAAACTCAGCTCAAGCGATTCTCCCACCTCAGCCTCCTGAGTAGCTGGGACTAGAGGCGCTCACCACCATGCCTGGCTAATTCTTTTGTGTTTATTATAGAGACCAGGTCTCGCTGGTAGGCTGGTCTCAAACTTCTGGGCTTAAGTGATCCTCCCCGCTCAGCCTCTCAAAATGTTGAAATTATAGGCGTGAACCACCACACCCAGCCTATTTTCTCGTTTAATCATCACAGCTATCTTGTTGAACTAGGTGCTGTTATCTCCATCTTAAAAATAGCACAAAGAACCCAGAGGAGGCTGGGCACGGTCACTCACACCTGCAATCGTAGCACTTTGGGAGGCCGAGGTGGGCGGATCACCTGAGGCCGGGAATTCGAGACCAGCCTGGCCAACATGGCGAAACCCCGTCTCTTCTAAAAATATAAAAGTTAGCAGGGCATGGTGGTGTGTGCCTGTGGTCCCAGATACACGGGAGGCTGAGACAGGAGAATCACTTGAACCTGGGAGATGGAGGTTGCAGTGAGCCAAGATTACGCCACTACACTTTAGTCTAGGCAACAGAGGGAGACTCCGTCTCAAAAAAAAAAAAAAAAAAGAACCCAGAGGAGTAAGTAACTTGCCAAAGGTCACAAGTTGAGCAAGGCACAGAGCTGAGGTCCAGAGCAAGGATCACTGGCTTCTAACCCCTCTCTTAACCACAATTCTAGCATCATTCCTCAACAGACATCCCCAGAACATTCATGTACACAGCAAGGGTGGGTACTTGCCAGTCAGATTCATCTAGATACAAAATTCTGACTACCTGTATAACTTTTGGCAATTTATTTGGGGGAAAAAAATTCTATGCCTCAGTTGCCTTATCTATAAAACAGGGATAGTTTATGGTGAGGCTTCAAGGAGACAATGGCTGCAACGATGTTTACATTAAATCCATGCCACCCGGACAATGTTCCCCTTGCAGATTCGTGAGGCACATTTGCATATTAAATACTCCATGGAGGCAGGGAGTATGTTCCATTTTGAATCCCCAGCACCCAACATGGAGGAGATGTGCAGTAAGTACGTGTTGAGTGAATGCACCGCTGCTCAGCCTGCTCCTCCCTGCACAGGATTTCCTTGGCGCACTCTGAGATCTGGCCTTCCTTCAAGTCCCAGCTCCCAGCAATGGAACATATCACCAGCCCCCGAGCAATTTCCAGGCAGGCTCTACCAGGCCTGGGTCAGACCCGGAGCCAGCCACCATCCAGGCCCCCTGGCACCTCTGTGCACCATCAGGGCTTAGAGCAGTGCCTGGCACAGGGAAAATGCCTTGAACATGTCAATTATTATTTTTTATTTATTATTATTATTATTATTTTTGAGATGTATCACTCTGTCGCCCAGGCTGGAGTGCAGTGGTGCAATCTCAGCTCATCGAAACCTCCGCTTCCTGGGTTCAAGCGATTCTCCTGCCTCAGCCTCCTGAGTAGCTGGGATTACAGGCATGCACCACAAAACCCGGTTAATTCTTTTTGTATTTTTAGTAGAGACGGGGTTTCGCCATGCTGGCCAGGCTGGTCTCGAACTCCTGACCTCAAGTGATCTGCCGACCTTGGCCTCCCAAAGTGCTGGGATTACAGGCGTGAGCCACCACGCCTGGCCCGAACATGTTAATTATTATGCCTTAAATCATTATTCATCCCTTGCTCCCCTCTCCAGGGCCAGTGTGATAGTTCAAGCCTGATACTTTGTAATTGTTTTCCTGACCTCTCAGAACTAAATGTTCTACCTGTTGTCCTACTGCGGAAGCGAAGTGCAGCCAGAATTGAAAGCTGGGCTCAATGACCTACTAGTTGCCTCAGGCATCTTTCTTAACCTCAGTGCCTCAGCTTCCTCCTCTGTGGAATGGACTGAGATGAAATGAGATAACTAAGCACTGGGACAATACAGCCTTGGATGAGTAAGTGCTGTACATCCCTGAGCCTGTTTCTATACCTGAATAAAGGAGCTGCTTGGCCCTCCTGCATCCCACCTGGCATGGGGCAGGTACCTGTGAGCAGCAGCCTCGGCTTGGTCTCAAGCACTGGCACTAGGTAAGGACTCTGGTGCCTGGGACCAGACTCAGCAGTCACTCTTTTCTGCCTCATTCCCCAGCATGTCTTGGCAGGGTTTACACTACATCAGCTCTCGCTTATTAATGGGTCACTTTGAAATGACTCTTACACTTCCCCAAGCAAACTGCAAGCCCTCTGCAGACAGATTCCTGTTTCCTGGCAGTGTGGCAGGAAGCCCCAAAAGCCCCAGACACTCGGCAAATGTGTGGCTGCAAATATGTGGCGTGGGCTCTAGTTCAGCACTTCCAATAGGGTAGAGAGAATTGGGATCCTGGCAGAGACTCCCATCGGCAACAGTGGCTCACTAGAGCAGACTCCCAGCCCACGGTGGCAGGGGAGGTGTGCCAGGGTGGCGGGGGTGGGGAGGGAAGATACAAAATCTATCAAATCATTGGGGCAAGGAGGAGTAGCTTGTAAAAAGCTTCCATGTGATGCTGCCCTGCTTCTTCAGGTGAGAATCACTCTCTTAGGAGCTGGGAGCCAGACACACGGACAGTGGTGTCTATGCCACCTAGAACCTCTGGAAAACGTGGCTTGCTAGGCAAACCACTGGGAACTGTCCTGAAAGGCATCAGAAGAAGGTAAAAAGTGCTTTGCATGGGGAAGCCCCAGTCTAGCATTGTCAATTCCTAGTCGGGCGGCCTTAGACAAGATACTCCATCGCTCAGAGCCTCAGCTTGTCCAGCTGTGACTTAGGAATAATAATACTGCCTTCCTTTTGGGGCTTTTATGTAAGGCTCAAATGAATAAAAGAATGGACGTAAAATAATAATAGTACTCATCATCATAATAATGATAGCTAATGCCTTCTAAGCATTTGTCACATAAATAATATATAATAGTCATGGGTACAATTCTATACCCTTCACATGCATTAACTTGTTTAATACTCACAAAAGCCCTATGAGTTAGGCGCACTTAGCAGAAGAGGGCAGTGAGACACAGAGAGGTTAAGGAACTTGCCTACCGTCACACAGCTAGCACATGGCAGAGCCGGGATTCAAGTTCAGGCTGCCTGCCTCTGGAATGTACCCTTTATTCACAGTGTCACACAGATCTTGGCTCCTAATGCTCTTCCCTCACTATCTCTGGCTTCCTTGCAATTCCCCAAACACATCCCACCTCTGGGCCTTTGCACCGGCTGTTTTCTCTGCCACAAAGGCTATCCCTCACAGCTTCTCATCTCTTTTAAGTTTTGATTCAAACATCACCTTCTTTTCAGTACATTTTGCAAATACTTCTCCTGCCCTCATCCCATTTTCTATACTCACTCCCTGCTTTACCATTCTCCTTAGTATGTATCACTTTCTAACACACTATATTTTATTTATTTATCTTGCTTATTGTCTGTCTCTCTTACTAGAATATAAGCTCCAAGAGGGCAGGGACTTTTATTTTTAGCCACTACTGTATTCACAGCAGTTAAAGCAGTGCCAGAAAATAGCAAATGTGCAAAAACACATGTTGCATGAATGAGTGTTGAATGCTACTCCAAAACAGTGGGCCGGGCTCTGTACCAGGGTAAGGGATTTTTATCTGACCCAGATTGTGGGTGCCTGACAGCTGACGCAACAGTGCATTGCTTGAAACAGTGCTGGGAGTGCAGAGCCTGGCCTAGAGGCTCAGTGGGCCCTCCTTGCCACCCTGGGAGGCAGGTAAACAGAGGAGTGAGAAATGGCATGTCTGTGTTTTTGGGGTGGGGGAGCAGCATCCTTGGGGTCCAGCCGGGAGCAGCCATCCTGACCCATGAGCTCTGCCACCCAAGCTCCTCATTCTCTTCTCCCCCTTTACCTGCAGCCCAGGTACTCCAGGGGGGCCTGGTGGTCCGGGAATACCTGGTGGACCCTGAGGGAGAGAGAAAAGAGTCAGAGCCAGCAGAGAGCTCTGCCCCATGGCCGAGAGCAGCTGTTTAGGGTGGACAAGCCGCGGGGCGCTGGCGGACAAGAGGAGACAAGCGACACACCTGCGGGCCCGGCTGCCAGGAGCTGCCCATCCAAAGTCCCGGAGCACCCTGGGTGGGAGTGGGGGTCGCAAAAGAAGGGGAGAGGTTATAGGCAACGTCTACACCAAGCGCGGGGCTGCGTGGGGAGGCGGCTGGCTGGGGTGCGTGGCCCTGCGGGGCCTTTGCACACTGGGCACCAGACGAGGCTGAAGCTGGTCCTCTCCCCCAGTTGGGGGAAGGCTCTCACAGCGCCACTTACCGGCATGCCAGAGAAGATGAGGTCTCCTTGAGAGGGGCAGGAGCACTCCCCTGGCTCACCCTGAAAATACAAGAGCCTTTGTGAGACATGGATGAAGACGAAGGGCTCTCTTGAAATGGACATCCGAGAGGCACGTGGGCTCTAGAGATGGAGAGGCCAGGGTTTCAATCCAGGATCTGCCTCTTCTAATGTGCCCTTAGGCAACCTGTTCAAACTCTCTGCACCTCAGCCTCCTCGCCTGTAAAATGGGAACAATAATTCCAAGCGCATGGAGTCTCAGGAGGACAAAATGGATTCGTGTATGCAGGGGTCCTGTCGCATGGTGATTATTCAGCAAACGATGGTCCTGCTGTTACAGTCGTCAGTTATAACCTTCTCTGCTGCCACGCAGGTAATCTCGCTTTCAGTACAACTGCAGCCCCACTCCTCTGGGCCCAGCCTGGCTTCCATGCCCTTCGCTCGGGAGCCCCTCACCTCTCTGCCCTCTCACCACTAGTCCTTTCCAGCTCACTTCCTGCCCCATCCTCTGACTCAGCCCCCATTTGAAAATGCAGCTGCCCTCCTAAGGGGGCCTTGGAGTTTTCCAGTCTCCCATAATCCTGGTTGAGTCCCAGGCCAGCAACCAGGTGAAGCTGGGGATACGTGGAGCCCCTGAAACCAGAAAGCTGGGGGTAGCAAGGAGCCCAGGATGCCTCCTCCACCCCCATCCTCCAGTCCAAGGCAGCTTCATGTGCACAGGCTCCCCTGGTTCATGGTGGGAAGGCTGGAGGGGCTGCTAATCCCCCAGAGTACGGGTCACAGGTGGGAAGGCTGGAGGGGCTGCTAATCCCCTAGAATATGGGTCACAGGCCCTTGGAACTCACCTTCTCTCCTCGTGGTCCTTTTTCACCCTGCAGGGAAGAAACACAGGAAGGTGAGCAGATAGGGGTGCCGAGGCAGGGCCGGCCATGGCTTCCTGCTGCCCCAAGGCACTGTACTCACTGGTGTTCCTCTGAGTCCCGTCTGTCCTTGCTGCCCATCACGGCCCTGAAGAGAGAGAGCCCAGAGTCAGAGGGTGAGACTGGGCAGCGGCCAGCCATCTGGCCTGCTGCAGAAAAGGGGTGTAGGACAAACAGAAGCAGCGCCAGGTTCCCCTGGAGCCCAGGGCCGAGGGCCCACGTTCCAGAGGAGGAGACTGAGGTGCCGGACAAGGAAGAAGACTGGCATTTCCTGAGCACGTCTCAGTGCCAGCCACTGGGCCAAGTACCCGTCGGGGAACACTGAATGGAATCCGCTCTCCCAGCCCGGCAGGACGGTATTGTTCTGGTTTTCAGGTGTGGAAACTGAGCCCTGAAGAAACTTCATGACAGACCCAACAGCCAGCTGCAGCCAGGCGTGTGTAGCCTGAAGTCTCTGCTCTCTCCTCTCTCCCTTTAGTGCTTGATACACTTTCTCCCTATCACAAAAGTTACATCTGTTGACCTAACTGGGAGAAAGGGATTTCAGCCCCTCCAAGAAATTGGAGACTTTGAGAAGCTGTCACTTGCCTAGGGTCACGCCCCTAGCGAGTGTGGGGCTGAGGAAGGGAAGCCTGCTGGATGGAATTCAGCATGAGTAGAGGTCTGGAACGTTCTCCTGAAAAGGAAAGCAGTTTGGGCAACGGCATGGAGTCTGCTCAGGCCAGGAGAAGCCAGCCTGGCCACGCAGAGGCTCGTAGCTCTGTGCTCATAGCTCCTTCATGTGGGCTCCGCCACCTTCACACGTGGGACTTGAAGCCCCTGAGGACCTGGCCCACATCTCTCCTTTTGCCTGGGGCTCCCTGGGACAGGCAGGAACCCTGGCTGTCCAGCTCTGAGGGACAATAGAGACCGGCTGTGTGGGCTTGGGCGAGTCCCTGCCTGCTTTGGACGTTGGTGCACTCTCCTATCAGTGAATCCCAAACTGGAACTAGAATTTCTCCAGGGATCCGCAAAGACAGAAGAGGATACAGTTCACCTGGGCTATTTTTAACATTACCAAAAGCCCAAGACAAATTACGCATTTGCCCACCGCCTGGCATGGAACAGACTGGCTGAAAGGTAGCATGCCTTTGATTTTGGCTGCAATTAGATTATCTGGTAAAATTCTAGCGGGTTCATGTGGAGTAGAAGCTGACGACTATACAGGTCTTTGATGATTAAAAATGAGAAAATGCACTTATGATTACTTAATCCGTGCAATTTGTTCAATAGACATGTCTCTTAAAACGTGGGAGCCACTGGGTGAATAGTACAAAGGGAAGGTCTTTCCAATTATACTGGAAGTAGTTGCTGGTCTGGATCTGTGCCGTCTGATACAGTAGTCCATAGCCACATGGGGCTATTTAAATTTAAATTAATTAAAATTAAATGTCACTTAAAATTGAGTTCCTCAGTCACACTAGCCACATTTCAGGTGCACTCAACAGCCACCTGTGGTTGTGCAGAACACAGCGTTTCCATCCTCATAGACAGTTGTACTGGGCAGCACCGGTTCACATGTCCCTAATGACTGGGGATGGGCTTTGGTTTGAGTCAGACAGGCCTAGGTTGAAGTCCCTGGCTCTGCCTCCTCACCCTCTGGCCTTCAACTTCCTGATCTATGAAGTGAGTTCCCTTACAGGGCTGATGTGAGGATGACATGAATTTCTGTGTTTAGAGCTTAGCACAGGGCCTCAGCATGATCACTGCTCAAAAAATGGTGGTGATCATTATTGTATTATTCAAGCATTCCCCTAAAAGAGTGAGGTTTTCCTTGTCTGAGGCTGGGCTGAGGCCTCTCTCCTCCCATCCCCTGTGCTGCTGGGATGGGCAGGGTCAGCCCTGTGCCCTCTTCCCAGCAGAAACATCCTTGGTTCCAGCAACACCACCAGCATGGAGCACAGAGAAGACTTACCGGAGGCCCAGAGACACTGGCCCCAGGAGGTCCCACAGGTCCGGTGGCTCCTTTCACCCCTGGAGATCCCTGTGTAAGAGAAGGTACAAAGGTCTCAGGGGCAGAATTGGAAGCCAGCTACAACCCAGCAGGTAAGACACATCTCAACAGATCTTAGGCAGCCCTCTGATAGGCATCACTTGGCCCCCATGTCCCCTGTGCCTGCTTCTGGGACACTCTGGAATACTGCAGGCCCAATACCCATGGAGGCAGAGGCTCACCTGGGCACCCTTCTCTCCAGTGGGGCCAGGTGGTCCCCGAGGTCCCGGAAGTCCCTGCAGATGGAAGCACAGTTAGTTAACCCATATCCTAGAATGGCCCCCTCCCCTGCTATCCTCCTTCAGGACTCAGGCAGACGTACCTGAATGCCAGGCAAACCCGGGGCTCCAGGCTCCCCCTGCAAGTCAGAAAGGGCAGACTAGGGCACAGCAGCCACAGCCAACCTGCCCCACTGGCCCTGCCGCACCGGCAGACCTGGTCTGGGTGGGGTATCTGCCAGCCCAAATTCAGAAGAGCTCCCCAAGGAGACCCTGAGGGTCAGAGAGGCTGGGGTCAAAGGCAAGTCCCTGACAGAAGCAACAGCAGGCCAGGGCTGCGGCCTGATCCCTGGTCCCAGAACTAAGTCCTGTGCCTCTGGGGGCAGGCAGAGCCCTGAAGTTTGGGAGTGGATGGAAGTAGGTAGCTGGCTAATGGAAGTGCTGAGAGGACAGGCAAAGGCAGGGCTAGAGACTCACCTGGGGTCCCTGGACTCCCCTTCCTGGAGGCCCTGGCTCTCCCTGAAGAGGCAGAAGGACAGTCCCTGGCTCGAGGTTCCCCAGTCACCCTTTCCCCTTCTCCCCAGCCCCTTCTCCTCCAGCTTCTTCCTGCCCTGCACCCTGCCTCCATTTCCCACTCCAGGCCCACTGCCCCCATGGATCTCCCTATCCCACCCCTGCCCTCACGTAGCTACGGCCCAGGGCCCCAAGACTCACACATACCTGCACGCCCTTCAGTCCTGGGGGCCCTTGAACTCCTGGTAGACCGGGTTGGCCCTAAAAGGCATAAGGTGGCCCATGGAGTCCCCACAGGAGAAAGGGGGACAGGAGGGAGAGGAGGCAAAGCCCAGGCAGGGAAGGGCCGGAGGGCAGGCAACTCACGGGTTTACCAGGTCGGCCCACGCCTTCGGGGCCCTGCTCTCCTTTGGGGCCGGGCTGCCCAGGCCGTCCTGCCATGTCTGTCACTGTCCCCTGCAGGCTGGGGCAGGCAGTGCAGCCATCACCCTGGTCAGAGATGGGTACAGCCAGGAGCCCATGAGCCGGGGCTGGCACCCAGGCCAGGACGCCCTGCACCCCTCTGAACACTCTGCCCCTTGAATGCTCCCACGTCAGCCTGGGAAATCAAAACAGGCCCCTGACACTCCTAGCAGAGGAGAAGCCCCGAGGAGCCTCCGCTCAGTGACTCTGACAGCCGTTAAGGCCCCAGCTGGCCCTGCAGTCCTTCCCTCACTGGTGCGACACCTGATTTTTTTTATGCAACAAACTCCCCGACCCCAACCACCCCGCCTGACTAACCTTTTCTCCTTTTGGCCCCGCGGGGCCCTGAACTCCAGGCTCTCCTGACAGTCCTGGCCGCCCTGTGGTGCCCGGCGTTCCAGGGTCTCCAGGATTCCCAGCATCACCCTGTAAGGAGTGGGGTTCAAGGAAAGCAAGGATGGCCCAGCCGGGGGCAGGTTGCCCCCCTGGGACTCGCAGGCACTCACACTCCTTTGCCGGGGCTGAGGGTTGGGGGCTAGGGAGGGAGGAAAATGAGGCAAGGAGGGGATCTGAGATGATGCCATGCCCACCCCCGTGCCCACGGACGCCCTCTCACCTTCTGCCCCTTCAGTCCACGCTCTCCAGCCTTGCCCTGAGGAGAAAGCATTTCCAGCACCCGCTCACTCATACCAGCCACCCCAAAGTGCCCGGCACCACATCAGGCTGGGGCATACAACAGTAAACAAACAAACAAAATCTCTGCTTTCGTGCTAGTGAAGCAATCTTGCCCAGGTGCAGAGCAAAGATTTGTGCCAGACTCTTTGCCTGGGTGACATGAGCAAATTAGCTCATCTATCTCCGTACCTCAGTTTCTTCAGCTGTCAAATGGGGATGATAAAAATAGTATAGGCTTCTGCCCTGTAGGGATCCTGTGAGGTTAGACAAGCTAATATGTCGTGTGCAGCAGTGCCTGGCACATAGTGTCCACTGTGGTAGTGCTGGCCGTTACTGTGAAAGCAGTAACAGTGATAATAACCACAGTGGTAACTGCCATTTCCCCAGTGCCCATGGTGTACCACTAAGCACTTCACACACGCCATTACTAGGCTTTACTCTGTGCAGGAAACAGAGGTGGAGAGAAGGTGACTTGCTCAAGTCAAAGACTTAGTAAGAAGCAAAGCTAAGATTGGAACCCAGGTCTCTCTGCTCCTAGGATGGCGTGCTTTCTGCCCACTCTGCCATACTCTGTCCCAGGATAAAGGGCAGAGACCTGTGAGGGCCGCTCCTGCTGGAGACAGAGGCTCTGACCCCGCCACACCCTCCCCACTACCCCCAACTGCCCAGGGAGTCAAGAGACCCAGGCAGGACCCCTCCCCTCTCCTTAGCCCCGCCTGCATCCCCCGTCCAGAGGCCCCTGCCTATATCCCACCTCACCTGTTTTCCTGGCAAGCCAAAGCCTGGAGGCCCAGGTTCCCCCTTCTCTCCGGATGGGCCAGGCAAGGCCACCACACGGACATCCCCATCCTGAAGGTTGGACAGGGCTGGGCACGGCTCACAGGGCTCCCCCTGCCAAGCAAGGACATTGAGTTAGGGGGTCCCCCAGGCCCTAGTGCACTTGAGCGAGGTTTGGAATCTAGGGCTGGGGAATGTCACTGGGTCTGACACTGCACCTCTGCTGGGTGAGGGGTTATCTTGGGAAAGATGAAGGGAGAACAGGAAAGAAACAAAGGTGGAGCTGAGTCATCAGGGGTCTCCATGCCTTGCTAAGGAGTCAGACTCTGCCCGACAGACAGCAAGGAGCCCCAGAGGGTTCGAAGTCGAGCAAGACGAGTGTCTATCTAGGAAGCTCACCCAGGCTGCAGCACGGAGAATGTCCCCAGACTCACCTTCGCCCCTTTGATGCCTGCTGGCCCCACTGGTCCTGGTGGCCCCTGCATGTTAAGACGCTACAGGTAATGCCCAGCATCTGCCAGGGCCATGCCTATCAGCCCCTCCCACCTTGTCCTCTCCCAAGCTGTTGCCATCCAAAACATACTTACTGGACTGCCAGCTGGCCCTGCCTCCCCGAAGTTACCCTGAGAGAAAGCACAGAAACCATGATTAAAGAGGGGATGGAGTCTGGGTGCTAGAGCAATCCCAAACCCAAAACTGTAAAAGCAACCCCTTCAGATGTCCAGACTACCCTCTCATGTCCAGAGAGGAAGAGGGCTTTCTCCAAGGTCCCCAAGGGAGTCTGTAACCAGCCAGGGGCTAGAAGCCCTATTTCTGCCCCCAGCTTCACCTCATGGAATCCAGCCCACCCTCAGCCATGTCTCAGCACACAAAAATCACGAAGGCATTTTTCCAACAGCCTTTCATTGGACACCTTTACAGGCGGAGCACTGGGCTGAGGCACTGGGTAGACAGCAGTGAGCAGGACAAACAGCAATGCCTGTTGAGCTTGCACACGCAGAACTTTCTAAATCATCATTTTAAACAGTGGTGAGTACTATGAAGGAAATCAACAAGGTGATGAGACAGAGTAAGTGGAGGTGGTCAGAGAGGTGTTAACCCTGATTATTACCAGAAGAATGAGAATAAGGTCATCCAATGAAAGAATGGGGGAGGGTAGAGAGGAAAAACATTCTGGATGCTTCTAGTGGGAACCACAAGTACAAAATCTGACGGGTGGGAGTAGTCCGGACATATTCCATAATGGAAAGAAGATCCGCACGGCTAAAGCAGAGTAAACCCGAAGAGAAGGGGAAGAAGCGGATGAATTTGGGAAGGATGGGGGCTGGGGCATCCGGGGTCCTGTGAGATACAGTGGAGCTATGTTAGAAAGTAAGTCACAGAGGGACTCTAAGGAGGGAAATACTGATTCTTCTACAAAGCCACATTAAACTACCGGGTGAAGGCTGGGCACGATGGCTCACGCCTGTAATCCCAGCATTTTGGGAGGCCAAGGAGGGTAGATCGCTTGAGGTCAGGAATTTGAGACCAGCCTGGCCAACATGGCAAAACCCCGTCTCTACTAAAACTACAAAAATTAGCTGAGTGTGGTGGTGCACGCCTGTAATCCCAGCTAATTGGGAGGCTGAGGCAGGAGAATCACTTGAACCTGGGAGGTGGAGGTTGCAGTGAGCAGAGATCACACCACTGCACTCCAGCCTGGGCAACAGAGTGAGACTCAGTCTCAAAAAAAAAAAAAAAAAAACCAACAACGCACAGACACACACACACACACACACACGAAAAACTACCAGGTGAAAACCGGACTGCTGCAGGGCTACAGTGGCCACGGGCAGGCCAGAGGAGGTTCCACCATGCAGGAGAGAGGCCATGGGGACGCAGATTACTATGGCAGTGGTGGGCGTGGAGAGAAGTGGAGGGGGTGAGAGAGCCATCATGGGCAGAACTGTCAGGACTCGCTGGGGGGCTAGAGGGAGGGGGCAGCGTCAGGAGTGAAGGATCTGAGGACGACCGCAAGGCTGGGCTTTGAGGGGCTGGCTGTGAGCTGATGACTGAGATGGGGAAGCTGGGAAGAGGCGGCAGGTGGGGTGGGGGTGCAAAGGCCCCACATGTGATGTGACATGTGGGCTTCCCCTGTTAGGGTTGAGTCTGCACACATACTTCAGTGTTTCTCACACTTGAGCACTCGTACACCCACAGAATTTGGGTAACATTTGGGTAACACTGCATTAGAAGTTCAAGCCTGCCATTTGTCTCCAATGCAATCATAAATAGATACGTTAACACAGGCACTGAAATTGAGTGACCCACAGGCGTAGTGAAGATTACAGTCTCTGGAGCCAGGCTTCCTGGGCTCAATCCCAGCTCTGCATCCAATCACCTGGCAATTTACTTGGCCTTTGTGTGCCTCCGTTTCCTCATCTGTGAAATGGGAATAATGGAGCACATACCCCATAAACTCTGGGAGGACAAAACAAGTGAATATACTTACAAGATTTGGAATAGTGCCCGGCACATCATAAGCAATAAAGAAGTGTTACATATTATAAATATAATAAGGTAATCTTGAATGTGCTTAATAGTTTTAGAATATCATCACAGCTACACTAAGGAATTCTCTTACAGAACATGAGGGCTCTCAGAAATAAATTCTTTGACTCAAGTCTGCAAAACACTAGTAAATTAATTTCACTGTGAATTTACCGTCTGAATCTCTTGTTTATATTACCCTTATTCCCCGCCCGCACCACTCCTCCCCTGCCTGCCTGCCAAGAAACTCCAGTGTCCCTGACATCTAACCCAGGTCTCACCTTCTCTCCTTTCAGCCCTGGAACCCCAGCTCTACCCTGAAAAACAACCAAGACAGAGTCTCAGCATCTCCCCACTCCCACCTCTCCAAGGCTCCCCGGGTCCCAGTGTCCAACCAGAAACAGAACGGTAAGATAGGAATTATGTCCTTCAGGTAGCTGGACAGTTTCTTCAGTTAGACAACTGAAGCTAGAGGTGCTAAGAGGAAGTTCCAGGGCAAGGAGCCTGGGGCAGCACAGGGACGGAGGGAGGGACCAGGAGACAGGCCTGGGACACCTGCCTCTTCCCCTCCCTCCTGATCCCTGCCCTGAGACTTGGGATCTGAAAAGCCAGGGAGATCAACAGTATGGCAAGGATGGCTGAACTGGGCTGGGCTGGGAGAAAGTCGTCACTCACCGGAAGGCCAGGCAGACCAAAGCCAGGGGAACCCACATCTCCACTGGCCCCTGTGGAGGACACAAGATGCTGGGCCCCTACAACCGAGCTGCAGGACAAGCAGGGCTCCCCCTGGGGAAAGAAGAGGAAGGATCAGAAATGCTTCCAGGTAGGCAGAGGAGGGCAGCCAGGAGAGCAGGGTTCCCTCACCTTCTCTCCTTTGATGCCTTGGATGCCAGGGTCTCCCTGCAGGGTAAAAAGGTTTGTGGGCTGAGGCAGGGCACGATGGGGCACCCCCAAACTCCCTGGCAATATGCGAGGACAGCAATGTCACACACGCAAACCGTCCAAACACCTAGGGGTCCCATGGGGTCCAAGGCCAGCACCCCAGAGGCAGGGTTCATCAACCCACATAACAAGCAGGAGCGTGGCGGGGGGAATGACGCCAGGTTAAGCTAACCCAGTGGGAAGTTCCTGCATATACCCAATCACCTTTTTGTCTGACAGCTCCCAGGTGCTCCTGAAAGAGGGGGTCTGTGAGAGAGGGGGCTAACCCAGTCCTGCTCACTCCTTTCCTCCACCCCCAAAACATACCCAATCCTAGGACACAGCCTCACTCACAGTAAGGGTGGGCTCCAGCCCAGCTTGCCCAAAAGGCACCCTAGAGTCTCCTGGAAAGCCCTGGGAGGTTGCCATGGAGACCGGAGGTGGCACTCTAGCCCAGCCCTGAGTTCTATGGTTCAGACCCCTTACCACAGTAAGAGCCTAGACTCTCTGCCCATAATCTCTCTGTAGCCACGAGAAGTACCCAGCCCCTCTGCCCAATTCCTCTCTATGATCATGTCCCCAGGTTTCTTTGTGTGTTGGGGGAGGTCCCTCAATGGTCACCCTGGGCACTCACCCTGGCTGGTACAGGATCACCAGGCTCCCCTTTGGGCCCTGGCTTTCCAGGAAGTCCAACAAAGTTCTGGAACCCTTCAGGCAGTGTTGGGCACACTTCACAGGGGTCACCCTAGCAGAAGGGAGAGGCAGTATGTGGACAGGGTGGGGCTGAGACCCCAGGGAAGGCAAGGGGCCTCTTGCGCAGACCAGCCCTAGACATTGGGTCCACCAGAGCCCCACCCCCAACATCAAAGTGGACAGCAGGAATGCCGCTGGGGCTTCCTGTTCAACTGACTCATTCATTCACCACAAGATTCCAGGGTGGCGCAAAACTACATCCTCGCCGTAAGCCTTAAAACATGACTGTGCCCCACTGACAGACATGGAAACTTGGGCTAAGAGAGAAGCTAATTGATCTGGCACATTCATAACCATGTGTGTGGTGGAGGCAGAGTTTGAACCCAGCTCACCCCTAAGCCAGGTTCTTTATGTACTCACTGCACATGGACATCAGAGGAAGAACGGGTGGGGGTCCCCTGAGGAAGGTCCAGCACCCCTAGGCCTAGGGCCCTTGATGCTCACTGTCATGTGCAGAAAGGGGGTCCCGTTCCCACCCCGATCTGGGCAGCCAGGCCTAGGACTCACCTTCTCTCCCTTCACACCTGGCTTCCCCTGTTAGAAAAGAGGCAATGGGCATCAGTGCCAGGGCAGAGGGCTGGTGTGCCAACTGAGGGCCGGAGGACCTAGCCCCTCCCTCCAGAGGCCTTGGAAGAGCCGACCCTCCCCCGCTGGATTGGTGTCACTCACAGGTTTCCCACCAGGGCCTTCCTTTCCTGGGATCCCCGAGCTGCCCTGTGGTCAGAAGAAAGGATAAGCGGGGAGCCTTCTGGCCAATGCAATCTCGGTGCGTTCCCCCTTCCCCACCCGTGCCCCTCTGTGATGGCAGAACAATCGTTGCCAAATCTCTTGTTGCCATTTGTTCCATTCGGTCGGTTCCTGTTGCCTGCCCTCCGTGTCTAACCCAAGCCATTCTAGGTTTCAAAGGAAGGGAGAAAATGAAGCTTCTGTGTGCCCCTTCACTGGTGCACAGGTTAAGAGGTGATCCGCGTGACCCCAGCAGTCACAGACAGAAATTTCCAGAGCTTTCTGCACATCCAGGCACAAGGCTCTAAAATGAGCTTGGGCCCTCCAGCAAAGTCCACTTTGATCTTTACAACACTTAGGTCTGCCCATCCCTATACCTGGAACACAGGCGGAGGTTGCAGTGAGCAGCTCAGTGAGCACTGGGATGGGGACAGGACGCTCCCCGCCAAGGGGCCTGGCCAAGCCGAGCCCAGCCTCCTCCTCCAAAGGCCCGGCCTCCTCCCTGGGACTTGCTTCCCCTGTGGGAAGCTGCCCCGGCCCCTTCTCTCTCCTCCTGTCAAGCATGGAGCTCCCCACGTGACCACACTCCCACCTATGCTCACCTTGTCTCCCTTGGGGCCTGGTGGGCCACCTGGATCCCCCTGAGGGCAGAAACAGAGTCACGTGGAAGTTTCCAGGGACCACTCGCTACAGCGAGATCTTCTACCCTCACCCTCTCCTCCAGCCAGGATCCCTGGGACAGAGCCTTATCTTCCCCCCGTTCATTCCCTGGCCAGGGTGGGAGAGCGGTCTCTGAGAAAAGCACAGCAGGAGAAGCAAGGGGGTACTCACCGGGGTCCCAGGCAGTCCTATCCCAGGGGGTCCAGGGAGGCCGGGGGGCCCAGGCTCTCCTGCCAGCCCCTCAGGCCCAACAAAGCCAGGGTCTCCCTGGCACAGACATAAGGTGGGCATCAGAGAGCTGCCACCCCAGCCCTGCCACCCCATCTCCACCCCACAAACATCCACAACTCACCTTCTGCCCTTTGGGCCCAATGACACAGATCTCTCCTGGCCGGCCCTGTGGGGGGATAAGGGGGAGGGTGTACAAACAGCCCTGAGGCCTGGCACCGCCCCACTGGGAGAGGTGAATGCCCACCTGTCCCACCCTCCCTGCCCCTCCCCCAAACCAGAGCCCACCCTGGTGCCCCAAGGTCAGCACATGTCAACCTTATGGTGTTAGAGGTTCGGGGCTCTGAGGCTGGGAGTGAGGGGGCCTGGGCTCAGGTCCTTTTCTGTCCCCTTCTTGCTGTGCCTCCTGTGGCACAGCCCCTCCCCACCCTGTCTGAGCAAGGGGAGGGGGCTGGATTCCCGAAGGTTAAATCCCAGCATTCTCAGACCCCGTGCTGTGGGTTGTGGTGGGGAAGGGTCCCAGGCACCTACGTCCCGGCCTGGCTTTCCCGGCACGCCCTTGATGCCTCCGTCGCCCTTCTCGCCTTTCTGGCCCTGGGGAAGGAAGAAGCAGAGTGACCAGGATGAGGGAAGGGCCTGGGACAGCTGGGCAGCTCCATCTGGTGGAGGGACAACTGCCTTCTAGACCCCTGGTCTCTGTCTCCCCTGAGGGTGAATGGCTTCAATCACCACGGGAGGGTAGACAACAGACCAGACAACAGGTAGAACTTCCAAACCAGCCAGGCCACTTACTGGGGGAATCTGTGGCATTTCCCTCTAGGTCGGCTGGGTATTTGGACGAGGCAGGGTGACTGGGGTGGGGGAGATGGGGGAGGGAGGGTCCTGCCAGCTCTGTGCCCACTGACACCCTCTCCTCAGAGAACCCCGACTCCTCCTTCCTCATGGCTGTAGAGCCTGCAGACCTCCCTGGAAATCCCCCCTCCAAATCCAGGCTTGTTACCTTCTCGCCTGTTGAGCCTGGGAGTCCTGAGGGTCCCTGAGATGAGGAAGGGAGACAGAGGAAGGGAGGGTAAGGCTGGGCCCTGGACCCACCATCCCTGCCCTATCCCTGGTCCCACACTCACCAGAGCTCCTGACTCCCCCTTCTCTCCCTTCGGGCCTTCTGCACACTGAACAGGGGAACACAGTGTTGAGAGGGGCAGAGGGTCACCTGATGGGCTGCCAAGCGCACAGTCCCTCCCCAGGGGCTGGCCCCATATTGGCCCTGAAGCAGGCATCACCTCCAAGTCTTACCTGAAGTGGGGCATCCGGGGAGATTCGAACACAGTCATTGCCCTGGGAGTAGGGAACAAGGGATCAGGGGTGGGAACTCCTGGGGAAGTCCCCTAGATGTGTTGTGAGGAGGATCGGCCCGGGAACCCCATAGTCCTAAGTATCCCTAGAAAAGGGGGGCTTCTACACCCAAACCCCTAGAAAGACCCTGGCCCTCACCCCCCTCCCGTGATCTGGGCCAAGCTGCAGGCTTTCTGCCGGGATGATGGGATGATGGCTCACATCCCACCTCACCCCAGGGCACAGCTGGCAAAGGTCCTGCCACGGGCAGGGCTGGGACACTTACCCGTGCTCCCTTCTCTCCCTTGGAGCCTGGTGGACCAGGCAGGCCCCGCTCACCTTTCCCTCCCTGAGAGTGAAACCAGAATGGAAGATAGGACCAGAGGGGGCACATGGGAGCCTTGAGAAAGCTCTCCCCACTTCTGGCCCCCTCCACCCATCCCCCCACACACGGGTACGCAAATACGCACACATGTGAGCAGTGTCCTGCCCCACGCCTCCCCCCACCACACACAAGCATATGGATTCCACACCTGTTCATCCACATGCCCTCCCACCCCAAGATGCTATATTTGGCAAATCTACAGTCTCAAGCAGGGGGGTATCCCATCCCCCACACCCGTACCCAAGCACATCAGCTCACACACAGCACAGCCGGAGGCATATGGACACACACATGCACGGTGGCAGAAACCCATGCTGGCTGAGTGTCAGGCTGCCTGACTTCAAATCCTGTACTTGCTAGCATGTCACTCAGAGCAGGTCATGTCGCCTTTCTGAGCCTCAGTTTCTTCATCAATAAAACGGTATTGACGAGCACACACAAGCACAACTCACAGTTGCATAGCTTCGCTCCCCATCACTCACAAGCTCTGCAGCCTCGTTAGGCCCACAGGTATATGGGTTCAACTCCAGCCTTCGTGTGCCACACATATGCAAACATGTGTCCCAGAGATGCATGTAGCCACACCCACACATAATCATTCTAACACACCCTGTCAGACATATGTGGGCACAGCTGGGCCTCAGTTTCCCCTGAAGTAAAATGATAGCACCCACCCTGCAGGCTGACTATTGAGAGGGTTCAAAAGGGTAATAAGTGTGCATAGGTGTGGCCTAAGGCCTGGTGCACAGAAGGGCCTCAGAAAAGGGCAGCTCTTAGCATCTTTGCACACACACAAACCCCTGCTTTCTTTACCACGCATACACTTAATCACCCTACACACATACAGGCTCAGGTGGCCCTGATAGAAACACACAGCCACAGGGTCACATGCTGTGGGAATGGCTGGGGATGCTAAAGAGGACGGGAATGTCCCGTTCTCCATTAGGACTCACCTTGGGGCCAGAGGGAGCAAGTGTGACCTGAGGGGACAGAGGAGAGGGCATCACACTTCCGGTAGAGAGAGAAAACCAGGGGCCCAGAGAAGTCAAGCAATTTAGACAGGGTCACACAGCATGGTAGCAGGACCAGCAGCCTGTATCCCAGCCCCTGCTCTGCTTCCCAGGCAAACTAGCAAGCCGATTCCATTTCCTCAGCCTGTAACATTTGCAGAGGGTCTAACCTACCTCCTCTAAACTGCCTGGCTTTGGTTAGCTCCGCCTCCCAGTTGCTGGGATAACATGGCTGCTTGGTTTCCATGGTAACCTCTGCACATCTGGGGACCATCAGTCTTAACAGATTTGGTGGGGGACTGGATTGAAAGAGGGAGCAGGGAGCCTAGGAGGTACTCCTGATGTCCCCCAAAGTCAGGGGGCTTAGAGCTGAGGGGAGCTGGGGTTGTGCCCTTGGTGGACCAATGTGGCAGGTCAACTCAGAATGTTAGGCCCCAGAAAAATGGTGACTCATGCTGCCTATGGAAGAGGCACAGTTGGGTGCCAGCTGGGCTCACACTGAGCCCCTCTCCTTGCCCTTCTGGACCCCCATAGGAAGGCTGGACCAGGGCCAGCTAGAAAGAGACAGCAGGCCCTGAACCAACGCTGTGGGAGCCCTTGCCGTGCTGAGCCAGCTCTTCCCCTTCTCTAGGCCTCCAGGAGAATGAAGGAAGCCTCCACCAGGGCAGGGGGAGAACTTGCAGGGAGTGCAAAGCTGCGATCAGCAACCAAGGCGCTGGTCCTGCCGGCCACCATCCCGTGCCCATGCCCTGAACCCGAACACACTGCAGATGACAAGGCAGGTCACAGGCTTTCTTCCACACAGTCCTGGCTTGGTGGAGATGGCAGTGGGGGTTAAGCCCGGCTCTGGGAGATGGGCAGGGAGCGAGTGTGAAAGTGTACAAAGACCCCCTTGTCCTCACCCAGGAGGCTGCCAAGCCAGCTCTAGGCAACGTCCACTCCCGGCTCTTGCCCGCTCCACCCTGCACACCCTCCATTCACTCACATTGCTGTCCCGGGCACCATGGACACAGGGCGGACACTGAAAGGGAAGAGCAGGCGAAGAGGTCAATTCTGAGCCCCTGGGGTGAGCCCTCCCCACCTCCATCACCACCAGGCCCACAGAACATCACACATATCTTGAGTGGAATCTGAGGGGAGCCTGAAGATAGGAATCCTATAAAACAAGCCTCACCCCTCATTTCCCACCCACCCAGCCCCACAGCCATTTTTCAGATGGGGAAACTGAAGCCCAGAGAGGAATAGCAATATGCCCCAGGTCACACAGCATGCTGGGGCAGAGTACGGCCCAGAATCCAAGGGCACCGTGGCTGAAGGCTGGGCTCTCCCCATGATGCCCGTGGCCATTTGCTGCCAACTCAGCAGGAGTGTCCTCCAGGGCTACCTACCCCCCAACCCAACGAGAGGCAGTGGACAGACAGGGCCCAGCATCAGGCCCTCAAGGAATGCCAGGAGCTGTGTAGTCAGCCAGCACCCCTATGCTGAGGATCCGTGCCCAAAGCCTGGTGCAAAGGGTTCATGCTGGCACCTCCCCTGCTGCCAGTCCACTGGGAGGCTTACCTCATCGGCTGCTGTCTCCTGATGGACCTGAGGAAAGGGTGGGGGGTGTGGGAATGGGCAGGGAGCTCAGGGGGCCGAGCACTGTTTCCAACACCCCTACCCCCAAACCAACAGGAGTGGGCACTCTAGAGAGTGCCAGGCACTGCGTCTGTCTCACCCCCATCCGTCCTTCTTGATCAGAGCTGGCACCTACATGTCCTAAGCTCTGTCCAGGAGGTGGGAAAGGCGGGAGGAGAGTGGGAGTGGAGCACCTTATCCCTGGGGTTTACAGGGGCACAGAGGGCAGACTGAGGGCAGGTAGGCTCCTCCCCCCACCCCCACCTCTACCTTTGCTCCCCTTTCTGCCTTCTGGCTGATTCTTCCCGTCAGCTGGGCATCCACCTGGGCAGACAGAGCAAAGAGAAACCCTTGAGGAGGGGGAAGTTCTGGGGTCCAGGCTGGAAAGGGGCACCCAGGCAGGGGGCATGGGCCCCAGGTAATCCTTCAGCCTGGCATCTGGCACCTCCTGGGGCATCAAGGGCCTGCTCAGGCCCCTGTGGCTGCCCCAACAGGTCCCCCTCCTTCCCCCCCCACCCACCCATGTGATGTCAGAGCCAACAAGACCATGCATCAATGGGATCCTGTGTTCCTGCAGCCCAAGGCTGGGCAAGATGCCCGAGCGGGCAGGGAGAGTGCCCAGCCAGGGGGTGGGGCTAAAGGAGGAACCAGGCTTCCATGCCACCTCTAAAGAACCTGAGAGTGGGCAGACAGCTGGCCATGGTGCTGGGTGTAAAACCAGTCTGGCCCTGGCCGGCGCTGGGCCCAGGAGAGTGAGCCATCCCTGGGGGGAAGCAGTATGACCTGACCTCTGATCCCAGGTATCTCTGTTCTGGAGAAACTGGCTTTGAGGGACAAGCCTGGTCCTGCCCTCATCAGAAGAGTCTGGATGGCATCCGTGAGGGTCTAGGCAGTGCCAGAGCTAGATGGTACCACTCTCAACACCCATAGGTAGGTGGGCACAGGGCCACCCAGTGGTGGCCAGTGGGCTGTCTCTGCCTCCCTGAATCATTTAGGGGTGGCGTACAAATAGGGAGGGCTTCCAGTGCCCCTCCTGCCCTGGGCCCATGGCCAACTGACCCTGGTGGCAGACGTCAGTCAGCTCAGGGGAGGGGTATCTCACTTGTGCCTGCCTGTGCTGGCATCCACCTGTCCTGCCCACCCACCTCGCTGTTTTGAGGCTCCTCCAGGCAGAAGCAGCGGGTGTAGACCTTGCCTTCAGACTGTGGATTGATCTCAATGAGCTCATTGCTCTGGGTGTCCCGGCGGGCCTTGGAGGTCTCTGGGGGGCACTGTTTGGTGGAAGAGCGGGGCTAGGGTCAGTACAGGAGCAGACTCCTCCTAAGACCTCCAGGCATCACCTTCCAGACCCTCATCTCCAGCACAGTGTGTCCCTGGGCAGCCCAAGGGCCGGGCCACTCACCCCTGCTGGTAAAATCTCACAGCAGCCCTCCTCCAGCACGAGCTCCGGGTCACAGTAGATGTGCACCTGCTGAAGGTCAAACTGCAGGAGACACACACATCAATTTCACTTCATTTTATCAAATAGCTCTGTGTCCTGGCCCCCCAGGAGGCACAGAGATGTCTCTGCCCCAGGATGTGACCTCAGGGTGTTTCCAGTCTGGCCTGGGAGACATCAAAAATAGAGTTGTCACCAAAGGCAGAACAAAACTGCGCACACAGGAACGAGGGAGAGGAGGCCCAGAGGAACAAAAGAGGAGGAGGTTCCATTCATGCTGGGCTTTGAAGGGCTGGTAGCTACTCAGCGGATGAGTATGCAAGGAAAGGCATTCCAGGTGGAGGTAACAGCGTAGGCAAAGGCACGGCAGTGTGAAAGCACTGGGTGCGCTGGATGGCTAGGATGGAATTGATCAGAGCAGAGCTGCACGGAGAGATGTAAAGGAAGATGGTGCTGCAGACACTTATAAGGACCAGATCATGAAGGGCCTTGAATGCCAGGTGAATATGTTTAGGCTGCATTTGGAGGGCAACAGGAAAGCAGGGGAAGATTCTAAGCAGGAGAAGGACTTGTTCCGATACGGATTCCAGGAAGCCCACTCAGGTTCCCAGAAGGCAGGAACAGAGGTCAGGGCCTGACCTAGCACTCACCGAGACAGGCTTGCCCTGCTCAGCATCCAAGCCTAGAAATACATGGCCCACAGGCCTCATGGGTCGTCGGGGCCCCAGAGGCTGGGAGGAGGCTGAGCTGCAGTCCACGTGCACAGAGGCCACACGTCCAGCCACACTCAGCATCAGCTTGTGCCAACGCAAGTCGAAGAGCTGGGGCACTGGGAAGATGCAGGACACAAAGTCGCCATCCTGGCCCTGGGCCCTGAGCTCCAGGCTCCGCTCTTGGCTGTTGACTTCCAGGGATATCTGGGTAGAATTTGGAAAGGGAAAGGACAGAGATTCAGAGCTCCAGAGTCACACCATGGGCACGTTCAGGGACCTTGAACTCATTTCACAGGAGGGGAACTGAGGCCCAGAAAGAGAAGAAAGCCGGCTGGGGTCAAGGAGCTATACATCCTGAAAGAATGAGGTAGGTACTGGTGGGCTGGGGACAGGCTTGAGGGTAGGCACAGGATGGAGCAGGGAGACCCCAGAAGTCACAAGCCGGGATGAAAGGTGGGCTGGACTGGTGCTACCCAATGCCCTAAGAGGCAATCAGGGCACAGGGGAGGTTCACCTGTGGATACCCATTTGCATCGGTCACTTGAAACAGATACCACGTCTTCTGGTGGGTGTGTTTCTTCAGCAGTAGTGTCAGCACCAGGGCAAACTCCTCCGGGAGACCCCGAGGGAATACTCTTCTGGAGATGGAGCAGGGAGGGTGCCCTGAGGCTCCAATGAGGACCCAAATGCTGCCCACCCTGAGCCCTCAGGACTGCTGAGCCTACCCAAGACATCCACAGGCACACATCTTCCATCATATACATTCATTCACTCTCCATACCTTTACTGAGTGCCTTCCGCGAGCTAGGTGCGGGTCTGGCTGCTGGGAATAACAGTGGTGAAGGCTGGGTGCGGTGGCTCATGCCTGTAATCCCAGCACTTTGGGAGGCCGAGGTGGGCGGATCACCTGAGGCCAGGAGTTGGAGACCAGCCTGGGCAGCATGGTGAAACACCGTCTCTACTAAAAATACAAAAAATTCGCCAGGTGTAGTGGCAGGCGCCTGTAATCCCAGCTACCCGGGAGGCTGAGGCAGGAGAATTGCTTGAACCCAGGAGGTGGAGGTTGCAGTGAGCCAAGATCACGCCACTGCACTCCAGCCTGGGCAACAGAGCAAGACTTGGTCTCAAAAAGAAAACCAACCAACCAACCAAACAAACAAACAAACAAAAAACCCACATACACAGTGGTGAAAATACAGAGGCACTGCCTGCCTTCATGGAGCCTTCACGTCTGATGGGGGCAGGGAGGCCATGAGCAAAGAATCCCCAGAATGACTATTTCGCTATCGCATTGCAATTTGAATAAGTGCTTCCAATGAACCCAGAATACCCTAGGTGAATAACTGGAGCAAGGGTGGAAGGAGAGATACTGAAAAAAAGATGGAAAGGGTTCAGCATGACCAGAGCAGCAAGAGATAAAAAAGAGCATTTTGAGAGCTGAGGTTGAAGAGGCAAGCAGGGGCCAGGCCAGGGCTTGTGGGAATTTGGACTTCACACACATGGGTGCACACACACGCATGTGCGCACACACACACATGCACACACGCACATGACTCTTGCCAGGTTCCCGCCCACATCCTGTGTTCTCACAGTGCCCACAGGATGCAGACCTGTTCCCACCCACTGCTGGCCAGAGACAGGGGAAAGACAGAAGGTAGGTCTGCCAGGTACCACCTCTCAGCCCACCCTGCAAGCCCAGGGGTGGAGACCAGGTTGACTCCTGGCAGGGGCTGGGATGCAATGACCCACAGACAGGCCCCTGGGCTTAAGCCCCACATCTGGAGTTGCTGAGGAGTGTGGCTGAGGTCAGTGTTGATTCTCAGTGGTCACATGGATGCATTTACCGCGTGGGCTGGGTCACGGGGGCCGCCCCCAGGCGCAGGATGAGAGGCCCCTTGGGGTTGCGGATCTTCTTGATGGCAGACGTCTTCATGAGGCTGAGTCGGTGGATGAGGTTGAAGCCTTTGGGGGAGACATCAGGTGAAGAGCTCAGCTGAGCAGGTGGAGAGGGGTACAGATCACTCCCAGAGGAAGGTTGCAGGGACGGCGCGATGAGATGGTTGGGTGCTCACCAGTCACGTTGGCTGGCAGGCTACTACTGTGTTCCAATTTGAGTCCTTCCTGCTGTGAAGGTGGGCATTGTGCACCTAGAAGAGAAGGGGCAGGGGGGCATTAGGTGCGCTCAGGCCAAGGTTGCTGCACGGCTGGACGCCTGGGGAACCTGGGAGGGAGCAAGTTTATAGTCCTCACTCTGGACCATCAGCTAGATCCTGCCTTCACCACCTGCCTTCTGACCCTGGCTCCCCAGGAAGCCTGGAGGCCCCCAACCCAGCATACAGTTTGGAAGACTGAGGTCCAGAGACTGAGGCCCAGGCCAAGGTCACTAAGTGAGCCAACAGCAGAGCAGGCCCAGAACTCCAGGAACCCAAATCTCCCAGCACTCCAAGTCAGGAGCTAGGCCAGCAAGGGAGAGAATACACGAAGCTCTAGGTGGCTCTCGAGCACAGATGGAGTGGGGAGCTGTGTATTTACACATGTGCCCCCTCCATGACATACACCCAGGTGGGGGGCAGAGGAGCTCTTCAGGGGTAAGGAAATGTCAGAATCATGCACATTGTGTGTTATGTACAATTATATGTACGTGTCTGTACATGTGGGAGTTGTAGGTGCCCATGCCACGAGGGATGACATGTGCAGCTGGCACACGTGTTCTCAGCAATAGGAACGTCCTACATCCAAATCAGACAAGCAGGCCAGACACAAGTAGGAGCCAACAGAATGAATATTTACCTGAATAACCACCTTGTGAAACAGCGAGAAGAGACTGAGGGTCTGAGGGGACCACAAGCTCAAGGGTACCACCAGGGCCTTGGAGCTCCAGGAAGGGCATATTAATGGGTTAGGGCTCCCAGAGAAGGAGATAGCTTAACTCAGGTTTCCAAAGCCCTGAAAGAACAGGTGGGCAGCCATGGGCCTCCCTCGCCCTGGGGCTGACTGAGCAGAAGTGTTGGGGGAGGTGCTACAA
The DNA here is from genome assembly GCF_000001405.40 of Homo sapiens. NCBI lineage: Eukaryota > Metazoa > Chordata > Mammalia > Primates > Hominidae > Homo > Homo sapiens. The sequence continues at coordinate 31,700,994 of NC_000001.11, forward strand.
CAGGAAAGACAGAGGCCAGAATCAAAAAGGCCTTCTCATCAATGCAGAGGGATAGGTGGGAGAAGACGGTGAAGACAGCTCCTAGAAGCTGGCCTTGCACTCTCTGGCTAGACTGGCTGGAAGAAGGAATCCTGGGGCCCTGGGGCCCGGTGCCAATGACCCCACTGCACTCTCCCTCCCCCAGGTCTGGTCAGAAAGACCATCACTGTCTTCAGCATCACAGCAGCAATGGGTGACTCACCCCTTGGCAATGGGCCCAGATTCCTTACAGATGTTGAAATTATCTGCCCCATCCCCCCCAGGGGACCCAGTGAGGGAGAGGAGAGCAAAGCTCACGCACACACAAGCAGAAACACATATGTGCACATACAAGGGGCAGGCGGCCACACTCACCCTGGGTCCACAATCCCTTTCACCTCAGCTTCTTGGTTTTTCTGCTTTTCCTAGCTGGGTTTGGGTCCTAGGAGTTCTGTTCCTGCTTGGCGAAGCAGCTGAGCTACTGAGCCCAGAGGGCACCCAGCAAGGCCAGGCAAGTTGCCCGGTCAACTTCCCCTGGCTTTGGGCCCTGGAAAGCTGCACCCTCTGTCTCATCCAGAGTCTGGGCCTCGGGGTGGGCCTTTTATTAGAGATTCAGGGCCAGCCGTGGAGGAGGAGAAGCACGTGAGCTAGAGGGATGGAGTCTCCACCATGAAAAGGATCAGCAGGACTTGGGGTTCTCTGGGGAGGCGGCGTCCTTCTGCAGGGAGAGCTCACTGCCTGTTCCTCCCCACCCCACTGGTCCTACCAGCAATGTGTCCACAGGATTGGCTTACGTATTGGGGTGGGAGGTTGTTCTCTTACACACAGAGACACAGGAATACATACGAATGCACAAAGCCAGTCTGAGAGACAAACACAGAGATGCTCAGAGACATAAACGTACGAAGACACAGGCACACACACTCTCCAGCTCACTGCACACAGGCTCAAGGGTGCCAACACCTCAGATCACCCTGAGCCCAGCCCCTAGACTCTGCTATAACTGCCCACACGACCACACATACATGGTCACATATGTGCAAGGACCCCAGCACCCCAGGATACCAGTTGCAGGCCTGTGATACTGTGACTCTCCTGTGTCATCTCACCTGTATTTGCCCCATGGCCGAAGGTAGCCCAAAGACCGAGCAGCCACAGGCCAGGAGCCCAGGATACCCACATCCCGGTCCAAAGAGGTCAGCTACAGCCACAGCACCTGAAAACCACAGAGACCGGGAAGGCGGATTTCTGAGTTCACACAGCACAACTCCACACGTGGGCAAGTCGTGGACAGCCTGTGGGGCCCAGGCACTGGTATTGGGGTGGCAGGAGGTCTGGCCAGGCATCAGTCTCTCTCAGAGGCCCAACCACAGCCCTTGGGCTAGGATTTGAGCAGAGGCGATATTCAAAATATTTAACCACCGGTATGGCACGGATACCAGCTTTCAGGCAAAGCAGAAAGCTGCCTACTGCACTGAAATAGTGTCCAGGCAGCATCTGGCTGTGCCAGTGGATACTTGCTGGATTGGGAGAGGTCTAGAAGGTCTTAGAAGGCCAGAGAAGTTGGAATAGTGATGAGGGCTTAAAGAAGAGGCTATTCTTCAAGACACGTGGAAGTATTTCAAGTCTAGCATCTTGTGCACTGTCCTGGTATATATACCAGCCTGATACCTTACTAGCGCACCCAGCTCAGCCCAGGAAGCCCTCCCAGGCACCCACAGGGTCAGGGGCTGGTGACTGGGCTGAGATTGTGGGCCACAGCCTTCCATAGGGCTGTGTGGGGGCCAAGGAAGCTTTCCCCATAGGTATAGTGGGCAGGAGAGCAGGTCTCTAGGGCTCAGGACCTCATTGCCAGCCACCCCCGCCCCCAGCTGATGGATGCTTGTCTTTTAGTTTTATTAAACCCTGATGGATGGGCCCAGATAAATCGATGCAGGCTCAGCAAGTGGCCAGCAGAGCCATACATCGTCTGGCCTCCCCCAGGACAGGCAGCTCACGTGCACAAACACAGAGCCATGCATGTGTCAGCACAGCACATGCAGATGCGCAGGTACATGTACATAAGGACACATATGTGGTACCAGTGTGCATACAAAGCTATCTGCACACAGGCATGCTCACGGAAACATATGCTCGCTGATATACCCAGACACACCAGCTTGCATATACCCACATGCGCACAGCCAGCCTATGACCACTCCTCCTGTAGGTCTTCCTGTTGGGAAGTTCTAATGCAAGTCTGACTGCATTCCTTCCAACTCTAATGAAATCCAATTTTCCTTCCCTCAATCATGGATAGGAAATGAAAACAGAAAGGACCCCTTACCCCAATATATTTGGAGATAGGACTCCAGCCCCCTTCTCCCTGGGACAGAACTGTGCCCCCAGCCTGCCTATTCATCCCCCATCCTAGTGATATACACATCCCAGCTCTCAAACCCTATCCTGGTCTTCCTCCTGCCAGCCAATAGAAGGGCTGCCAGCTGTGGCGCCATGTGGGTGCATGTGGAGGCGTGAGGATGGATGTGATCCTGTCCCCTTCCGGCTCCTAGTCTCTGGTCGCCACTCCTCAGGCTCCAGCCAGAGTGCAGGGCTGCAAGGACAGAGCCAGAGAAGCTTCCAAGGAGACGGCTCACCCCAACACAGAGGCATAGATTTGGGCGCAGGGAGTCAGAACCAGGATGGAGTTTAGAGCTCATCTCGCTCTAGAGAAGACGACCAAGGCCCAGAGAGGGAATGCCACTTTCCTCAGGTCACACAGCAAGTCTGGCAGAAAGGGCCTCTCAGCCCAGAGCCCTGAGGCCGCCCACTGTATCCCTACTTACCGGTGGCCGGGGATCCCCCCACCTCACTGAGCAGTCCAGGCAGCAGGCGGAGGAAGCAGAGCCCAGGTTCCTCAGGTCCGCTAGGGGTTCTCTATCTCTCCGTGACGGTCACGGGTCCCCAGCTTCCTGGCGCTCGAGCTCTCCCGGCTGTCTGCTGCCCGGCGCACGCCTGCCGGGGACTGCCGGCCACTCCGGGTGGGGGAAGAGAGGCGGTTCCAGGGGGCTGGGGGCCTGCCAGGGACACTAATGGAACACAGCTGGACCGGCCCGCCAGGGAGGAGGAGGAGGAGGGCCTAGAGGGGGCTCCAGCGGCACCAGAGGCGGCTAGACTGCGGGGTGCACAGCCCCGCCCCGGGTCTGGCCGAGCTCCCAGGCCCGCCCCTCCTGCCTCACCGCCAGGTGAGCGATCCTCGAGCTAGGCGGGACCCTACGTGCCCAGAGCTGCCCTGGAAGGGGGCTCCTGCGGGCCCTTTAAGAGTCAGGCCTGGAGTTTGAAGAGCTCCCCCTTTCCATGTCCCTGGCTGGGCCCCCAGAAGGCTGCGGGGTGGGGGGGCGGGGAGGGGACAGGGGTGGAGGGAGCAGGGTAGAGACCCTCCTCCCAAGTGCGTGGCACCCATGATGTGGCTGCCGCCCAAGCCTCGGTGGTCAGCTTTTTCCAATTCCTCTGCCTAACATTCCCAGTCAGTCTGTCCCTAGGTCTGTCTGTACTGGGAGGAGGAGGGTGGGAACCCCCTCCCTCCTCCGTGCTAAATTAACCCCCTCTGCTCTGGCCTGACTCCCAGAGAAGTGAGACTGAGGGAGTCCCCTTATTCCTCCTTACTCCATGAGGTTGGAAGGGCTCAAATCCCTGGCCCCTGCTCTGGCTTTGCGGTTCCAAATGTGCTGTGTAACCATACTCCGTTTTCTCATCTGGAAGATGGGATCGTGAGAGTATATGCCTCATAGACCTTTGCTGTAAGCAGGAAATGGGCCAAAGGCTGTAAGCGCTTAGCACACGGTCTGGCACATGAGAGGAGCTCAGTAAATATTTGCTGCTATTATCGTTATTACTGTGATCCCTGGCAGGGGACGGGACTGGATTTCAAGCCTTTACACCAGCACTGGGGAGGGACCTGCTTTATATTCACGGTCCAAGGACGCAAGAGGAATTGAGCTGGGCTGAAAGATTGGAGCTCTGAGGAGGAAGGAGCCGGTAATGTTCCGAGTTCTGCCCAGAGGCAGGGCCGTTGACCAAGGTGGAATCCCCACCAAGGGTCTCCTCCCGCTGTAGACCGAAAGCAAATTTATTGGCACCAAGGCTGAGGATCCACAAAGTAGGTTCAAGAGGCCATGAGATGCTGGGCTGAAGAGGGAGAAACTGAGCGTCCCCAGTTGAGGGGGGCTCTGGGGGCTCTGTGGAAGCAACGCGCCTAGCCCTGTGGCCTCGGCTAACCCGGGGTAGGGGGAGGTTGTAGGGGCAGGCCTGGGATTTCCCGCCTCCAGACCCAGAGGCGCTGAGTCAGCGGAAACCCCAACCACGCCACAGAGGCGCCCCACTGTGGTCCCAGTGAGGAGCTGGCCCCAGATGTGGCTGTGGCAGTGGTGGGGCCTGGGAAGTGCTGAGCTCAGCAGGCGGGAAGCGGAGGGGGTGGGGCCTTCTGAGCACTCTGGCCTGCGGGGTGGGTGGGCACAGGCCCCGCCTGCCCTACCAGAGGGTGCTGCCCCAGCAGTGGGCACTCGGGAGAGGTGGGAAGCGCATATAGGTCAGGCTCTGTGCTGAGAACTTCACATATGCTAACTCCTTCGATCTTTACAACAACGCCTTAAGGCAGAATTCCATTTTTATTCCCAAACCTGCAGCACAGGAAAAACACAACTTGCCCGGGATCCCACAGCTAGTCAGTGGTGGAGCAGAACTCATGTCCAGCCAGCCTAGACTCAGCACGTGCTCTTAACCACCATGCCATCCTGACAGCTCCCACCCGTGCCCCAGACAGGGCAGGTGGCTGGGCCAGGGATGGAGGAACCTGAGAAGGGAGAGCCAGATGCCTTCCCACAGCACCCCAAGGGTGCTCACAGGAACAGCCAAGCCTGGGACACACCTTACGCCTAGAAACACTATCATAGACAGTCTAGGAATGTGCCCATGCCCCTTCCTCCCTTCCACACATACGTGCACACATCCAGAAACACGCAGTCAGGTAAAGTTCTAGCACAGCACTTGAGTACGCAGACTCCATATGCATGTATAGGCACTCATGTTCACACAGACACACCCTGGCCCTAGAAACAGTTACACACAGATGTGTAGAGACTCAAGATACGCCTCCACATCAAAGATACACAGAAACACATGTAAGAGCCCAGATTACCCCACAGAAATATATCCCTGGACATATCCAAACACAGGTACATAATTCTCAGAATGCCTGCATACAGCACTGTATATACTCGAATGTGCACACACAGACACATGCCTGTACACATAGACATGTGTGCACATAAACATACATGTGACCACAGGCATAATTACTCAGATATGCAAGCAGAGAAGCCTGCAGACCTGCAGCACATACATGTGTGCACACAGACATAGATGGCCACACAGACTCGGCTCCCAGAGAAACAGCCACTGGGACATGCACACACTGACACATGTACACACATGCATACATGCAGCTGTGCTGACACTTTTACATGCAGTCAGTGCCAGAAAGCCCTGCACGCCAGCAACCCGGGTATCCCGTGAGGCTGGGCTCAGCGCCCTCACCCCAGATGGCATCACCACGAGGTAATCAATGCTGCTAATCACCACCAGCTGCCCTGGAGCCTGCATGCTGCTGCTGCATGGGGCTACCAAGGCCTTCTGGACCTGGGGTAGTATGCCCAGATGTTGGCAGTGCCCAAGGGCCCTCCGCCCCCCACTGGGGAATCCCTGTCTGGCAGGGGCAGCCCCTGGGGCTGGGGCAGGTTGAAGAGCCAACCCAGGGCCTGGTCCCAGGACAGGTCCGGGAGCCCCCACGCGTTCAAGCAGAGATGGTGTAAAGTTCTGAGGCTTGAACAGTGGACCAGAACCCCCACATGTACACGTGCACACCTGGGCCCTGGCATATGCGCATACGGGCTCACACGCAGACACATCACACATGATTGATTACTCTTCACAGATATGCCCTTCCTGACTTCCTCATCCCTTTAAATGCCACGATAATTCATTCTGATGCTCAGGTAAAAACCTGAAAACCTTGGCTCCTTTCTTTTCCCTACCACCCCCATCCAATCCTGTCAGTTCTACCCCCCAAATACAGCCCACGTCCATCCACTCCTCCCCACCTCCACAGCTGCAACCCTCACCCAGACCATGATCATCTTCTGCTGGGCTGTTGCAAGAGCCCCCAGCTGATCTGCCTGCTGCCTTGGGGCCCCACCACCCACTTACTTCCCACCTGGTGGCCAGTAAGACCTTTTCTTTTCTTTTCTTTTTTCTTTTCTTTCTTTCTTCCCACCTGGCAGCCAGTAATACCTTTTCTTTTCTTTTCTTTTCTTTTCTTTTCTTTTCTTTTCTTTTCTTTTCTTTCTTTCTTTCTTTCTCTCTTTTTCTTTCTTTCTTTTTTCACAGAGTTTCGCTCTTGTCACCCAGGCTGGAGTGCAATGGCGCAATCTTGGCTCACTGCAACCTCTGCCTCCTGGGTTCAAGCAATTCTCCTGTCAGCCTCCCAGGTAGCTGGGATTACAGGTCCCCACCACTATGCCCGGCTAATTTTTGTATTTTTTAGTAGAGACAGGGTTTCACCATGTTGGCCAGGCTGGTCCTGAACTCCTGACCTCAGGTAATCCACTCACCTTGGCCTCCCAAAGAGCTGGGATTACAGGCGTGAGCCACTATGCCTGGCCAGTAAGACCTTTTCAAACCCATATCAGCTGGCTTCACTCTGTTGCATCCGTCTTCCTAGAATAAAGCCCCAAATCTTTCCCTTGGCCTTGCCAAGTCCTTCATGATCTCGCCTCTGTCTTCCTGTCCAGCCACCTCACCGCAAAAGCTGTAGCCACCCACTCACTTCCTTTCTCAGCCCTGAATTCACTAAGTTCACTTTCCCCTCAGCCCTTGTGCACCAACTCTTCCCTCTGCTGGCGAGGATTTGCCCCTCGTCTTTGCCAGGCTGGCTTTTTGATATCCAGGTCTCACCTCCTAAGTCAACTCCTCAGAGTGGCCTTCCCTGACCACTAGATATGAGGAGCCCCTAGTTGCTCCCCATCACATGATCCTGTTTTGGGGTTTGTTTGGTTGGTTGGTTGGTTTAGTTTGTTTGTTTTTTTTTGAGACAGGGTCTCATTCTGTCACCCAGGCTGGAGTGCAGTGGTGTGATCATAGCTCACTGCAGCCTTGAATTCCTGGGTTCAGGTGATCCTCCCTCCTCAGCCTCCTGAGTAGCCAGGACTACAGGCTGGCGCCACCACTCCTGGCTATTTTAAAAATGTTTTTGTAGAGGCAGGGTCTTGCTATGTTGCCTAGGCTGGTCTTGAATTCCTGGCCTCAAGTGATCCTTCTGCCTCCGTCTCCCAAAGAGCTGATATTACAGGCGTGAGTCACTGTGCCCAGCCCGACCCTGTTTTAAATCTCTACATAGCTCTGGTATTTGTTTGTTTGTTGTCTTTCTCCACTAATAAGCACGAAAGCTCCATGAGCGTCCCTGTCCACCGTTAATACCGTCCTTCAGCTGAGCCTGGCATCCTGCAGGCACCCACTATTGAATGAGTGGCTAAATGCATGCAAGCAGTGTCCAAGCACACAGACACAGCCTTGCACCGCAGGAGGTATGGCATAAGCACACATGAGTATGCACGTGCGCTCTCATATGCAGACACAGTTGCAGCTTCGGGGTCACAGAGGAGAGACTGAGACCAGAGGATCAGGGCTCTCTCTGGCTGCTTTGGTTTCTCTGAGTGTGTCTCTCACTGTCTCTGTCCTCTGTCTGTGTGAAATCTCTGTGGCTCTTTCTTCCTTCTCAGCAAGTCTGTCCCCGTCTCCAGCTCTCTCTTTCGTAGGTCCCTCTGTTTTCCTCTGTGTTTGGGATCCTGTGTATCTAACTTGGCGTCTCTATGTCTCTGTGTCTCTGGTCTCTTTTTCTCACACTTTCCGCATCTTTACGTTCCTGTCTTCTGTCTCTGTTTGTCTCTGTCTTCCCCGTCACTATCTCTCTGCGCATTTGTATCTCTCTTCACCCTGTCTCTGTCTCTCCTCACCCTGTCTCTGTCTCTCCGTGTGTGTCTCATTCATTCTCCATCTGCTCGTCTCTGTTTCTGGGTCTGGTCTCCATCTTGCTGGCTCTAGATCTCTGCCTCTCTGTCTTTCATTCTTCCTCCCTCTTGTCCTAAATCAGCTCGGCCACCACGTCTTCACGGCTGTCTGCGTCCCTGTGGCAGGGAGACCCATCTTTCACTTCTGACTGGCAGCTTTATGGTCATAGTGGGAAGGCCAGTGCTCCTCTCCGATAATGCCCCATCTCCCCTACGGGGCCGTGGCAAACTCCTCACTGAGACCTGGGTCCTGGCAACCTTCCCCAGCCACCAGGCCCAGCCAGGGCATCTTACTTCAAGCAGCTCATGTTACCAGACACCTGCTTGGTTTGACTACCCCAGAGCTGCAAGAGAGGTGAGCCCAGATCCTGATGGACACTGCTGTGGATGTGGCAATGGCCAGGGAAGGTGGACACGGGATACCAGACACTCCAGGTATCCTGGGCCCCAGCTTGGCTGCCCCTGGACTCTGCCCACCTGTTTTGAATGACTCACAGAGAGTTGTGGCAGGCACAAAAGACCTGGATTCCAGTCTTACCTCTAGCCACTGTGTGGCCCTGGACCCTGGTCCCCATGTGTCATACAATCCCAGTTTAAGCTACCTAGCCTGGTGTGTTATGGCATCTAAAAGAAACAGGCCTAGGCCAGGTGCGGTGGCTCATGCCTGTAATCTCAGCACTTTGAGAGGCCGAGGCAGGTGGATCACAAGGTCAGGAGTTCGAGACCAGCCTGGCCAACATAGTGAAACCCCGTCTCTACTAAAAATGCAAAAATTAGCTGGGTGTGGTGGTGCACCCCTGTAGTCCCAGCTACTCGGGAGGCTGAGGCAGGAGAATCGTTTGAACCCAGGAGGTTGAGGTTGCAGTGAGCTGAGATTGCACCATTGCAGTCCAGCCTGGGCAACAAGAGTGAAACTCTGTCTAAAAAAAAAAAAAAAAAAAAAAATGAAAGAAACTGGCCTAATTATTCTACCCCAGTGGTTCTCCACAGGGGGCAACTTTGCTCCCAGGGGACATTTAGCAATGTTTGGAGACATTTCTGATTGTCATAATGGGGGAGGGGTTGCCACTGGCATCTGGAGGACAGGGGCCAATGATGTGCCTACCATCCTACAGTGCCCAGGACAGCCCCTCACAATCCGAATTATCTGGCCCCAAATGTCAGTAGTGCTGAAGGAGAGAAATCCTGTTCTGGGCCGGGTGCAATGGCTCATGCCTGTAATCCCAGCACTCTGGGAGGTGGAGGTAGGTGGATCACTTGAGGTCAGGAGTTGGAGACCAGCCTGGCTAACATGGCGAAACCCTATCTCTACTAAAAATTAGCCCGGCATGGTGGCGCGCACCTGTGATCCCAGCTGCTTGGGAGGCTGAGGTAGAAGAATCACTTGAACCCGGGAGGTGGAGGTTGCAGTGAGCTGAGATCACGCCACTGCACTCCTGCCTGGGCAACAGAGCGAGACTCCATCTCAAAAAAAAAAAAAAAAAAAAAAAAAAGGTTTAAAGCTGGAAAGTCAGGTGGGCCAGAGATTGGAACTTGACTCTGCCTAACACCAGGGCCCATGAGTTTACTCAGGTCACCTGCAGTCCCCCAAGTTCTGTAAAGCAGGAGGGTAGGCGTTCTCAAGCTTGGAGGACTTGTTAAACACAGGTTGGCAGGCCCCACTCTCAGAGTTTCTGATTCAGTAGTTTGCATTCCTAACAAGTTCCCAGGTGATGCTGATGTTGTGGACCCAGGGACCACATTTGAGAACCCCTGCGGGAGAGTATGATGTTTGATTATCTGCATGTGGGTTCAAATCCAGCCCTTACTGAGTCTATGACTTGGGGATATCACTTAACCTCTTCCTCTGCAAGCAGAGATAACAGCAGTGCCTATCACGTAGGGTTGCTGGAAGGATTAAGGGAGATAGTGACAAAGAGAAAGCCCCTCACGGGATGCTGGCACCTAGTAAACTCTCAGAAGTGCTCACCAGCGTTAGGATTCCCAACCCAGGCAATGCTCCCCCTTTCCAAACAGAAGAAGCTCCCAGTGAGCAGAGAACTAAAACAGCCTCTTCTCCTGCCTATCAGATATCTCTCCAGGCCTAGTAAGAGCAAGGCACAAGATGCCAAATGACATAAGCCCAGGCGGGACAGTGGGATGTTGCTCACGTCTGCCTAGGTATTCCCAGGGACTCCTGCCCCATAGCACAGGTTCTCCTGGAGCAGAGGTGAGGGTGGCACATAGTCAGCAGTGAGAACCCCCAGACTGGTGTGGCCCCCAGACTTCCTCCAGACCCAATCCCACACCTAATGACCCTAGCCTTTTGGGGTAAGAATGGCATAGCTTGCCACCACCACACCTTATCCAAACATCCCTTTGGCCACCAACCAACACAACTCAATCCTGCTGTGCTGTGTGACCTTGAGCTAAACCCTAAGCTCCTCTGAGCCTTACTTTCTTCACCTGTAATAATCAAATAAGAGCCAGGTATAGTTGTTCATGCCTATAATCCCAGCACTTTGGGAGGCCCAAGCAGGAGGATCACTTGAACATAGGAGTTTGAGACCAGCTTGGGCAACATAGTGAGACCCTTGTCTCTACAAAAAATTTTTAAAAATTAGCTGGGTGTGGCAGTCCATGCCTGTAGTCTCAGCTACTCAGGAGGCTGAGGCAGGAGGATCTCTTGAGCCCAGGAGGTTAAAACTGCAGTGAGCTGTGACTATGCCACTGCATTCCAGCCTGGGCAACAAAGCGAGATCCTGTTTCCAAAAAAAAAAAAAAAAATGCAAATAAGACCTCAGCATAGTGGCTAAAGGAAGGGGCAAGGGGACTCTAGTTCCAGGGTAACTGGGTTCAAATCCTGCCTGTACCACTTACTAGCTGTGTGACTTTTGACAAACTACCCCATCTTCCTGGAGTAAGCCTCAGTTTTCTCGTTGGTGAAACAGAATTGTCCCTACCTCACAAGGATGCTGTGAGGGTTACCTGTGACAGGACATTTAAAGTGCTGAGCTTGGTTCCTGGAACTCAATGAACACCAGCTATTCTAGATGTACAATGAGAGTGTGTAACCCTCATTGCCACCACAAAGAGAGTATGTAATCTTCACCACCACAACACACGCAGTCCCTTGGCGGGCTTCCCTCCCCTCAATGTTTAGCTTTGAGGCTATGTTCACTTTCCTTCCCACTTGGAGGTGGGGAAGGAAATTGGAAACAGGCCCCAGGGCGGGTAGATCTTGGCAGAAGCTTGGAGGAGGGAGGAGGATCATCAATTATTAGCCATTGATTTGCTTGAACGTCTTTGTGTCCTGCTAAACCAGAAGTCACAAAAGGAGCTGCTTTTGTTACCATTTCTCCCTAGAGCCTGTGACAGAGACTAGGTGTTTTAAAAATAGTTGCTGCATGAATGAAAGAGGGGGTCGAGCGCCTTCTGAGGACAAACTCCCCTCCATGAAGTACAAACCAAGGAGTCTCCTGGCGGATGCTTGGTGATGAGGGGAGTATTGAAGGACTCCCAGATTCTTTCTTCGCATGCAAGAAACTCAGACAGTTGGTCTCATAAATTCTTCGAATCCTGGAATCTCTGGGTGGAGAGAAGCTCTGGCAGCTGCCCAGCTCCTCCTCCTCCCAGCAGTGCCTGGGCTGGGGCTGGGCAGGAGAGGCCTGGTGACCTGGCTAGAAAGAAGGCTAAGGGAGTGAGCAGGGGAAGGGAAAGTTCAGGGAGAAACCCCAACTGTTTCACCAAAGCAGAAAATAAATCAGAGATCAAGAAAGGGTGTGATCCTGGCTCTGCTACTTCCTGGCTTTATTATCTTAGGCAAATTCCTTCACCTCTGTGAGGCATACTTTCCATATCTGTAGAAGGGGGGTGATAGTAATAACACTAACCACATGGAATTGTGAGGATTCAATGAGATAATGCATGAGACTACGCCAAGCCCATAGTAAACATTCAACAATGCTCATTCTTATGTACCTTATTTTTATTTGAGCAGACTCTTGTCCTGCATCTTACACCCATGTTCATCTCTGACATTTCCTCCTGATCCCCCATTTTATTATTTACATAGCTGGTTTCATGTAGCTTTAAGAGCTCAGTGACATTTCTGACAGACATAAGACCTTTTTCCGTGAAGTGGCCTAAATGATAATATGTAAAGACCGAAAACCAACTGGAGTATTTGTTTGTCAGCCTTGACCATTCAGAAAAGGCCTGACACTGGTGTGTTCGAACGAAAGAGGACAGGTGATGGGAGAGTGGGAGAAAGAGCCTGGGACTGGGGGATTGGCAGACTGGGGGCCTAGGTTCAAGGCCGAGGTCTGCCTTGATGCATTGTTTGGCTTTAGGAGGCTTCTTGCCTTTGGGAAACTAGGGAAGGCTGAACTTGGAGACTCTTGAGCCCACTCCATTCCTCCCAAGTCTGAGGGTCTTAAGCCTGTAATGAGCCAAATATGTCCCCTCCTTGAGATGGGGAAGGGGAATGGGAGTGGGGTGAAGTGAGCCAGACCTGTGTGAGGGCCAGGGTACCACCCTCCCGCTCACCCCCAATTCAGGCCTCATACACGCCTCAGTTTACCAGGTGTTCCAGATCCATCCAAGTACCCTGTGACCATTCCCCATACCACCTTAGCTAAGTCCTTCCAGGAAGAGGAGCCCACCACACCACACCCATTAATCCTCCTCTGGAAGGAGAGAAAAATAGGTGTTGGAGATGGTAACTTGCTGAGCGGGACTGAAGCCAGGTGTGTGTGACTCCCAATATGCCACGACTGCTTTTTAAAAAATATTTTGGCCGGGTGTGGTGGCTCATGTCTGTAATCCCAACACTTTGAGGAGGCAGATGGATCACCTGGGGTCAGGAGTTCGAGACCAGCCTGACCAACATGGTGAAACCCCGTCTCTACTAAATACAAAAAAAAATTAGCTGGGCCTGTTGGTGGGCACCTGTAATCCCAGCTATTTGGGAGGCTGAGGCAGGAGAATCGCTTGAACCCAGGAGGTGGAGGTTGCAGTGAGCTGAGATTGCGCTGTTGCACTCCAGCCTGGGAGACCGAGTGAGACTCTGTCTCAAAAAAAAAAATTATTTCAATCATTAGGACAATCCCAAGTATGTCTCATTCCCAATTGACAGGGGAATGGGCCATAAACCTGGGTGTCATCCTCGGGTGGAGCACCTACAGTAGGAAACAGGCCCTAGGAAGTGGAGTGAAATCCAGAGCTGTCACAGGGCACTCTACTGTGCCATGGGCCTCTTCCTCTCTTTGGAACTCGGTTTTCTCATCTATGGAATAGCAGTGTTTGCTCCAGAACCGCTAATATCCAGGTCGGGACTTTGTGTTGCTGCGAGCCCAGGTCCCCACCCTGAAGTCTAGGACAGACCCATGAGCTTGGGTGGGAGAGAAGAGCAATGCAGACGTGACTGTCCTGCCAGGCGGGGGCGCCGCCGCCAGACGCACGAAAACAACCAAATAAATCAGGCCCAGGAACTCCTAATCCTTCCCGGCTGTGGCTGCTACCGCTTGCCCCGCCGGCACCGCCCTGCCAAGGGCGCAGAGTCGGGCCAGCAGAGCCGGAGTGATGCCGGGCCATCGAGGCGTCCTCAGCCCCCGAGGTGGGAGGTGGTGGGGGGGCGGGGAGGAGAAGAAGAAGGCTCTCCCGACACGGTGACTCAGGCCTCCTTGACCCGCTCCTGGGTGGGCACGTTCCTGCGCCCCGGTCTATTTTTAGAGCCGGCTCTGGGCCTGAGCGCAGACTGAAGGGAAGGGGGGCCTCGTGGGGGGCGCAGGCGCCTGACCAGCTCCTCCAGCTCGGGGCTCAAGCCCCAGGCCCTCCAGCTGTCTACTTGGAAAAGGGTGGAAGCACATGGAGGGTGGGTGTCAGGGTGTGCGGCGCAGGCCCAGAGAATGCGCCCCCCTTCCCCACAAGGCCTGGCAGTTCCAGAGAACTGGGCGCGGCCTCCCAAATAACGACCTCTGTTAAGTGGGACCAGGAGCCTCCCGATGGTCGCTGTGTCTGCCCATTGGACCAGGGGCCAGGGCGGGCGGGGCTTTGGGCGACAGAACTGGCTAGGGTGGGAGAGGAGAGGAAGCTGCCAGGTTCTGGGGATCCCGACCCCACCCCGCCGACAGCCACGCCTCCAGCCCACTCTGGCCACGCCACTGGTCTGCCTTTGGACCACACTCATGGCCGGGTGCCTTCCCTGACTCCGCCCTAGGCCCTGCCTCCTATCTGGCTCCGCCCAGCCCTGGCCAACCTTAGAACCTGTCCCAAGGTCCAGAGAGGCCTAGATGAGGGGTAGCCTGCCTCTGAGAGGCATGGAGCCCTCCTCCCGCGTGGGGTCAGGGAATAGAAGGGCGTCGAGGGTGGCGGGTGAGGGAACGTTCCTGGCGCCGCGAACGGGAAGCCTCCAGGCTGCAGGACGTAGCTGCGGGGACCCGGCAGTCTGCGAGGCTGGAGTGGCCGAGGCCGCCCCGAGCATAGAAACAGCCCTGTATACGTGGGCACAGAAAGGCCCAGGGAGGCGCCTGGGCAGAAGTGTCTAGGACGATGCCTCTGCCACGGAGCCCTGGAGTGGGGGCAGCTGATGGCTCAAGACACATGAGCTCTGGTGGCGAGTACAGGGACGCGGGGTTTGGGGAGGCCCAAGTCAAGGTCCATCCTTCTGGGATGAGGGGCGGAGGATGGGAGGCGGAGCCCGGTCTCCAGGGCACCAGCCCTCCACCTAGCGGGAAGCTTGGGAATCGCGGAGTGCAGAGGTGGGGTGCGGAAAGGGTTCCACCGCGCCTGGGCTCCTTTTTCTCCTTGGAGGTCCCACTGGCGCCTACCCACCACCATCCTGCCCAGTCCGCTCCATCTCGGGGATTCGCCCCAGATAGAAAGGGGAGTCATTCTAACATCTATCTTCCCTTCTTCCCCCCATCTCCAGGTCCTATCCCCTTCCCTTCTTCCTTGCAGTTATCCCTGGGAGCTGCCTCTGCCGGTTCCAGTCCCTGGAACACCTGACAACTGCTCTTCCTGCCACCAGTTTTACCCTCTCCCCCATCCATTTTTCATAGCCATGTGGTGTTTCTTTTTTTCTTTTCTTTTTTTTTTGAGGCAGAGTCTTGCTCTGTGGCCCAGGCAGGAGTGCTGTGGCGCGATCTCGGCTCACTGCAAGCTCCGCCTCCCGGGCTCACGCCATTCTCCTGCCTCAGCCTTCCGAGTAGCTGGGACTACAGGCGCCCGCCACCACACCCGGCTAATTTTTTGTACATTTAGTAGAGACGGGGTTTCACCGTGTTAGCCAGGATGGTCTCAATCTCCTGACCTCATGATCCACCCGCCTCGGCCTCCCAAAGTGCTGGGATTACAGGCGTGAGCCACTGCGCCCAGCCGCCATGCGGTGTTTCTAAACAGGAATCTGGTTGTGTCACTTTCTTGATTAGAATCATTCAATAGCATCTTATGGTCCAAATAGACTCCAAACCTTGACTTGGGACTTGAGCTCTTCACCATCCAGCTCCACCTCCCTCAGCCCCAGTCCCTCTCTGGGGCTTTCTGTGTTCCACCCATACAGGAGAACTGTCAGCTCCTCATCCCTTTTCCAGGAACGCCCTCCCTGGCCTCATCCTTGCTGTCTTCAGGGCTTAGTCTGGCAGAGACTCCACTTCTTGGGAGGCCTTTCCTGAACCCCAGGTCTTAGTTAGGTGCCCCTTGTCTGACCTCCCACCACCCCCAGTATGTGCCTGCCTCTCTCAGAGCAGTCACTGCCTGGGTCTCTAATGACTTATTCACTCCCGTGGCAGGACAATTGATTGAGATATTAATTGCTTTGTTCTCCTGTAGTTTCCCCTCCCACTTGCAAGCTGGTAGCCAAGCCCTTTGATTTTTCTAGCCTCAGGGAACTGTGCAGGGCCAAACGCAAAAAGCTGCTTGAAGTCTGATGGCTTGTCCTGAGTTTGGAAAGAGCTAAACTTCTGGAAGCAGGCGTGCCATGTGTTCCCAAGGGATGGGGAGAAGAGGACAGAGAATTGAGAGGCAGAAGCTAGCTGCAGAGGGTGCAGAAGCTGGGGGTCCTTTGGGTGGTAGGGACCTGTGTCTAGCTCCCTTGACAGCTGATAGCTCCCTTGACAGGTGACAGGAGCTGTGGGGATGTGTGGTAACGCACCTGGGGTGGCTGGAGTGCAAACACTTGGGAACCAGCTTCAGTGCTCCAAAGTAGCAGGGGAACAGCTTAGTCACTGAGCCTCAAGGGACCATATGGACTACTAGGACAATGGACATCTCTGTGTGACCAATGTAGACTGAAGACAGGAGGCACCTCTTCTGTGCCCATGTGCAGGGAGGGCCAGCAGCTCCTTGCACTCGCCAGTGGGAAAGGTGGGAGGGAGCCTTCAGTGATGGTTGAGATTAAATTTTTTGCCAACTCATAGGAAAGCGTTTAGAGTGAGTCAGACTGGAGTTGGTTTAAAGTGAATACAGAAACAGGGTATTTCTTGTTTGTGTGCCAAGCTTCCTCCCTACTACACCTGTCTGTGTGTCTCTTAATACGCTGCAGAGCTGAGACTGTATGTGCCTCATTCAGAATTGTATCCTCAGCACCCAGCGTGGTACCTGGCATATATTGACTGCTCAAAATGTATCGGTTGAATTCGCTTTTCCTCCGTAGCTACAGAAATCCTTCTAAAACCCAAGTCTGCTTCCGTGGTTCCCCTCTGGCCCTCAGAATAAAATCCAAACCCCGATGATATCCCACAAAGCCACTGTGATCTCACCGCCCCGTATCCGCAGCCCATCCTCTCCAGCTGAACTGCACTATTTGCAATTCCCCAAACTTGCCAAGTTGTTTCATGCCTCGTGCCTTTGCTTATGAGGCACCCTCTGCCTGGAGTGCCCTTTCCCCTTTCTCTGCCTGCTGAGCTTTCAATTAGTCTTCAGAGCTCAGTGCAAGTGTTTCCTTGTCTTCCCTGACACCCTCTTCTGAAGGCAGAGGAAACTTCTCCTGCTCTGCAGCCTAATGCTCAGGCCCATGTCTGTCTCCTTCTTCCCCAAGCCTGGTTTCCTGGACTGTGGGCTTCTCTAGTAGAGTGAGTTCCCCATGCCCAACATGGTGCCAGGTACACCACAGGCTCTCAATAAATGCTCACTGTTCACTGGGCTTTAGCCTTGATCCTCCAAGGACTCATGGTGTGACCTCGAGCAACCTCTCCCTTCTGAGCCTCAGATTTCCTTTCTGCACAACGGGAGGAGTGGAACTGAATGTTCTCTAAGGGCCCTTTCTTCCCTCAGTTGAGCCTGGAAATGAGAGCATGTAAAACACAACTCACCTGTGTGCACGGCAGGCCAGCTAAGGGCAGAACATGCTCAGACACAGAGCTGCCCATAGCATCCATGCATGGCCACCTGGGAGCAAGCCCTTGCCCAGACAGCTGCACGTGACAATGTCACACAAAAGTGCATGTGGCCCTCTGGACGTGGATGTGCTGTCCTCCCAACCCCCATCCCCCATCAACCACTGGCCCTGACAGTGAAAAATTCAGCAGCAGTCAGGGATGCCAGTCTGGCAGTGAGTTAATATTCAAGGAAGGAGCCTTCTGCAATATGCATGCCCTGAGGCTGGTGTCCTATGGGGCTCTCCCCTTCCCAGGCCTGCACAGGCAAAGCCCTCCCCACCCCACCACAGGCACAGACACAGACAGTCTGCCTGCGGCAGGGCACTGAGAACTAGACCTTCAGCTCTAATTGCTTCCTGGACAGCCCCCTCCCAATGTCTCCTCATTCATTCATTCAGCAATATCTATGCAGTTCCTATCCTGTCCCAGCAACAGTATGAATGTATGACCCTGTTCTGCCCTCAGGGGCTCATAGTCCAGTGGGGGAGACAGACAATAAATAGGAAACAAGTGATATAAACTCAGATCAGGAGAAATGATACTGTGGAAAGGATTAGGTGATGTGATTTTTAAAAAATGACTTGGTGGGAGAAAGGGGTAGTCAAGGAAGGCATTTCTGAGGAGGTGGCATCTCATCAAAAGACAAGAGCCAGCACAGCAGACAGCCAGGGAAGAGACTTTCAAATTGAGGGCACAGCAAACACAAAGGCCCTGGGAAGGGAGAATCCATGAAATGTGTTTGAGGAGCAGAGAGGAGGCCATGGAGCTGCTCAGACAGTGACAGCAAGTGGCAGGACATTTGGACAGAGCAATGGGCAGGGACCAGAGCATGCCGAGCCTCCTGTGCCACAGTGAGAGCCTTTGTTTTAGTCAAAGAGCAATGGGAAGCCCCTGGAAACAGTATCCATCCCTTCCCCCAGCTCCTCCATCTTGGGAGCCTTCTTAGAGACTATGCCTTCCTCATCTTTACGTTGTCAGTGCCCATCCCAAGGCCCAGCATGGGGTTGACATCAGACACCATTTACTGATAAATAAATGACCAATCAAGTTCTCCTGGCTCAAGGCTTGATTCAATGGCTCAGAGTAGGTCAACAGGGCCAGATTAAGACATTTACATGCCATCCATTGGGAAGAGTCTGGCACTCCCATACATCATTCACAATAGAAATAATACTAATCCATGAAGCATACTTCTTTATGCACATGCTGGAATGAAAACCACTTCCTTTTGGATTTTCAATTGCAAAATTCTGGATTAGTTCATGGAAGCAGAACTTCTTCTTCTTCTTTTTTTTTTTTTTTTTTGGTTTGTTTTTTTGAGATGGAGTTTTGCTCTTATTGCCCAGGCTAGAGTGCAATGACGTGATCTCCGCCTCCTGGGTTCAAGCGATTCTTCTGCCTCAGCCTCCCAAGTAGCTGGGATTACAGGCACCCGCCACCACACCCAGCTAATTTTTGTATTTTTAGTAGAGACGGGGTTTCACCATATTGGCCAGGCTGGTCTCAAACTCCTGACCTCAGGTGATCCGACCGCCTCGGCCTCCCAACATGCTGGGATTACAGGCATGAGCCACCGCACCTGGCCTCAGAATTTCTTTCTGCTTATCTGTGTGTGCACGTGTTGTTACTGTCTTGCTGGCATCCTAAACTGAACTCAGTCCGCCCATTGATCACCCAGTGCTAGATGGCAGGGCTTGCCCAACCATCCCCTCAATGACATGGTCTTGGCTTCTGCACTCTGGATAACGAGGAGGACCAAGGGTGCCGTTGTGGCCCAGGCCTAATTGACAGCAAGCAGCCCTACAGGTAGGAAGAAGGCAGTAGCACTGTCAGCAGGTTTTGGGAGCTGCTCATTGTGAGAACTCTGGGAAATAACCCTCCTTGGACCATCAAGCTTGCTCCTGCCCATCCCTGACCCTCTAAAAACAGTACCAAGTGACCAAGGTCCAAGAGGTCTCTCAGAGGAGGTATCTAAGGCTCAGAGAGGTTACTTAACTTGTCCAAGGTCACTCAGCAAGTTGGAGATGGAGTTGCAGTTGGGACCCAAGCCTGGCCCCTGAAGCAGACTGGAGGCATTCCCTCCCTGGGTGAGCCGGGCTGGGGAAGAATGCTGAGGGGCCCCTATCTGGATCCACAGAACTGATGAGAACAAACTGGAAGTTGGACCCAGCCAAGCCTTTAAATGGGGTCTGCCCTTACCCCAGCCCCTCTTTCGCTACCCAGCTGAGCCCTAAACCTCTAAGCTCAATGCTCCCTCAGCCTCCTCTCTGGGTCCTAGAGATGGACCACATCTCAGGTCCCCCATGTGACTTCCACAGCATCACACAGACACAGAACTGGGCACCCAGGAAGGATCCAGAAGCCGAGTCTCAAATTTGCTCTCACTTCTCTCCCAGTGGCCTATGTCACAGGTGCTAGCCCTCCTTCACTCAGTCAACCCCCAACCACACCTGCTCTATGTATGGCCCCAGAAGGGAATTAGACTCAATGTGGGGGCCTGGGAGAAAAGTTGACCTCCCCTCCCCACTTCACTGACCTCCCCAGGGATGGCACTTAGGAAACTCAGACAAAGCAGCTCAGTGATTCTCAGGGGATTGGAAGCTGGGTGGTTGAGGGGAGCACCTCCACATGCAGGCCAGTTTTCCCAGGCCAAGTCCAGGCTGAGCTCTGCCTCTACTAGGCTGCACCCCACCCCACCCCCAGTGAGTGGGAAGTGACAAATGAGCCTGAGGAAGGAGGAGGGAGCTGGCGATCGATGGCATTAACATGGTGCCCAAATTAAATATTGACTTTCTTGGTTGACTCTAGGGACACTTGGATTGATGGCTGAGGCTTTGCCATGCCACCACAGGGGATAGGCACATAACAGCCTGGAGCAGGTCCATAGGGAAGCTGAGGCCTGGAGAGGAGGGGCTCACCTTTGCTTCCACCTGCTCAGGAGGAGTAGAAGTGAGGGCTTCAGGGAGCCCGGAGCACCGTGCCTGCTTCTCCACCTTCCCCATGGAGTCCAGAGTCCCATCCGTCCCGAAGGTCTTGGAGTCCAGGCCTTGTTGAGTGTCCCCCCAACCCCATTCCCACCTCCAGGAACTGTGGCTAACCTGAAGTGCAACAAATGAGCAGAATCAATCTCTGTGATGATAACCATTACTGGGTCTCAGGACCCGGCCTCCCAAGGCGGTAGGGCTGGTTATTTCTGATCATTATGTAGGATCTTGGAGAGGAGGTAGGGACAGCCTCTCTGTTCATGGAAATCTCCCATCATCCTCTCCAGCTAACTCACCTTCAGAGACTACAGTAAGCCCTGAGCTTTCTCTCCCTCTTTTCTCTTTTTTTTCACCTGTCCTGAACAAAGGGAGTCTCCCTCTTTTCAAAGCTCCACTTTAAGAACTGTCTCTAGTCCCTTGATTTATTCACCTCCCACCCTACTCTACAACCCACCTCAGTGCTGGTTCCTCCCATAGTAATGACTCCAGCCCAGCCCCTCATTCTGAGTTCCAGCCCTGTGTGTTCAACTACCTACTTTCCACTTGACATCTCCCCTTGACCATCTCAAAGTTGACATGCCTGCTATGGTTTGAATGTGTCCCCCAAAAAGCATGTGTTGGAAACTTAATCCCCAGTGCAACAGTGTTGGGAGATGGGGTCAATGGGGGGTGTGTGTTTAGATCATGAGGGCACCGCCCTCATGAATGGATTAACACTGATTATAAAAGAGCTTGAGTCTTTGAATTCAATCTCTTGCTCTCTCTCTCACCCTTCTGCCTTCTGCCATAAGATGATGCAGCAAAAAAGACCTTGCCAGATGACAGCCCCACAACCTTGGACTTCCCAGCCTCCAGAACTGCAATGAATGAATCTCTGTTCTTTATAAATGACCCAGTCTCAGGTATTGTTATAGCAGCACAAAATGGACTAAGACAATGCCCAAGGCCAAATTAATGACTGTCTCCCCCAAAGCTGGTCCTCTTCCTGTACCTCTATGCCAATGACACGGTCATCCATCCAGGTGTGTAAGACAGAAGCCCAGGTGTCATCCTTGGCTCCTCTCTGATACCCAATCCACACCAGGAGCTGAGTGCTGACAATTCTACCCACTACATATATAGAAACTCCATTCCTCCTCCATAGCACCCTCTAAAGTCTCCTTCATGCAGATCATCTCCTTGCTGGTCTCTCTCTCCACCCTCACTCTTCAGTGTCCCTGCCCCCACCAATCCATTTTCCATCCACTCAAGAGAAATCGTGTTGATATAGAAATCTGATCATGCCAGTACTCTGCTCAACACTCTTCCTTAGCTTCCCACTCTCCTTAAAGGCCAAAACCCTCAGTGGAGTCTCCTCTGCCTTAGACACTTAGCATGTGTTTTGAGGGCCTGAGAGGGTGGAAGTCTTCCCAGAGTCAGTGGCCTTGGAGGAGTGGAGGGAGGAATATGATGGGTACTGGGGACTGGATTAGAAAAGCCCCAACTGGGGGACCCCATGAGGTGCCAGGGTGGGCATGAAGAAGCCTGAAGGGAAATGAGTCCTGAGAAGCAGAAGTCAGCAGCATCCCGCACCCAGGTCCTCCCTCAGGCCACCTAATTTCCTTTTAATTGGTGCCTAATGGAAGTGATTTAAGCCCAATTAAGTTTTAACGTGTCTGTTCCAGTCTAGCCTCAACTTGCTTCCCTTCTCCCAGAGTCTAGGGCTGCAGGGGTAAGGGTAAGGGTGAGGGTAAGGGTGACCCCTTCCCCTAGTGCTGCTGAGGGAGGCCTGATACCAGTCCACAGGTCTCCTCAGGACCTTCCCCTACTTCCCCAACACCTCCTCCCTACCCACCAGTATCCCCAGGATATGTGGAGCCCAGGAACCCTGGCTTTGGACCTCCCTTGTGCGGGCACTGTGCTGGCAACTTTCCCTCCATCACCTCCTCAAGCCCTCTCCATGGCCCCATGAGGCAGGCTGTGCGGAAGTACCTCCTTTTCACAGAGGGCACTGAGTTCACTTGCTCAAGGTCACTGCCTTTGTTCTGCCTAGAGCTGTGCTGTCCGACATGGTAGCCTCACGGGAGTACTGAGCAGTCAGAAGGTGGTGAGACTGACTTGAGATGCACTGTAGCACTGTATGTATAAAACACACACGAGATTTCCAAGACTCCGTATAAAAAAAGAATGTTAAATATCTCAGTCATTTTTTATATTGATTATATGTTGAAATGATCGTTTTTTAATATATTGAATGAGATATATTATTAAAATGAATTTCACCTTTTCAAACTTTTAAAGAATGGTTACTAGAAAATTCTAAATTACATATGTCGTTTACATTGTATTTTTATTAGACATCTCCCAGGGTCTGTTCTCATGAAGGTAGGGATGGTCTGCTCATCCTTGACCCTGCCAGTCTGGAAAGCAAGAAAAGGCTGCAGCTGAGCTTGTGCGGGCGGGCCTCTCAGTCTTGTCTCCTCATCCTTTGGGTGAAGACAAGTCCCTTTCAGCACCCTGGACAGCAGCCAGGGCTGGCTTCCCACTTGGGGTTGAGGAAGGAATAACTGTGGGAGGAGTAGATTAACACCTATAAAATGCTTCCCATGAATCATCTTAAGTCATGCTCCGGATATCCAGTGAGGAAGACTGGGTAGGAGTTGTCATTATCCCAATTTTGCAGATGAGGAAATCAATGTTCAGGGAGATTTGTGTATTCCACCCTTCACCCGCTAAAGATTCACTGATGCCTGCTTCATGTGGGCCTCTGAGTGCACAAACCACAGCAAGGCCAACACAGATGACAGCAGTTCTGTGTGATCAGTGCAGTAGTGACAGTGCATGCCAAGGCCTGTGGGGGCCCAGCGAGTGCTGACTGCTGGGCCAGGGAGTTCAGGGACAGCATCACACAGGGGGCTACTTGGGCTGGGTCTGGAAGGCTGAAGGAGAGTTTCCCCTCTGTGAGGAGGAGGGAGTTTCAGGCAGAAGGAGTGGTGCATGCACAGGCATGGAGGTCAGAGAGATGGGCCAGAGGAGGGAGGCAAGGGCCACATCACCAAGGGCCTTGAACTCTAGGCTAATTCCAGGATCCACAGAAGGCATCTGAGCAGTGGCCTGGCCAGATCTGCATTTTGGAAAGATCACTTGGGCCATGTGGATGAAGGGCTGGAGACTGGAGGCAGAGAAAATGAGGGCAATGATGTGAGAAATTTGAGTCCAGGAAAGAAATGACAGGTTGTTAGATATTAGCTCAAATGGAAGGGAGATCGAGCCAACTCATTTTACAGATAGGGAAACCCATGTCAGACAGGGTCCAGTGGCCTGTCCAAGGTCACGCAGCAAGTCAGTGCCTGGGGGAGCAGGGACTGAGGGCAAGGGAGGGACAAAGCCCCCACCCCAGGAAAGCTAAGTGGCTGGTCTCAAAGCCAGCAGAGGCCTCTGCAGGTAGCTGTGGTTTGTGTTTGAGCAGAATCAACAAGGTAAATACTAAACTTCCTCTTCAACCAGATGCAAAGCAAGAATGGACAGGAGGGCAGGGACGTGCACATCACACCTCAGCCCCAGAGGGCCCCAGAGGTGGTGACCAGCGGAGCCTAAGACCAGGAAGGAGGGAGGTGCGAGCACAGGACAAGGCATTAAGAGGGCCTTTAGGTGATGGTCAGAGGAAGGAATGTGGAGTAGGATCTGCTGGTACATGGTCGGGCTTTGTTTGTGCAAACCCCCTTTTAGGAACAGGCCCCCCTTTCTCAGAGACCTGCTCCCTCTCCTCCCTCTCCCTCTCCCCCATGGTTCCTGATGGGACTGCCAATCACAGTGCCCCAGCCTCCTTCCTGGGGCCAGCCAGAGCTCTTCCTTCCTTGGGGGTTTTCTAATTGGAATTCAAGAGAGAAAGTTTCTTCCCCTCTAGGGGCAATGCTGAGTGATCGAGCTGGGAGGAGGAAGCCTGGCAGGCCCAGGGGGAAGAGGCCTTAAAGAATGAAGCCGACACACATTCGAGAGAATGCCAGGAGAGGATGAAACATGCGGTGGCACTCCTGATCCCGGGTCCCATCACGAAGGCCAGCCGCACTTGCCCACTGCTGTCCTTGCGGCAGCGCGCTCCTGGGTGAACAAAGCTCCCAGGTGCCTAAGCTGGCTGGTATCGGATTCTGCCACTCCCAGCCACAAGTCCCAGTCACAAGCTGAGCTGTGGGAGCTTGGGAAAGTCATGTCCCCTCTCCAAGCCTCGATTTACTCATCTCCAAAATGGGGCAGTCACAATACCTACCTTGAAGAATCAAATGAGGTAGTGCTTGAGTGAACTCTGTGTACACTTAAGTGCTGGGGCTGCCCGAAGGGAGGGAGGCGGAGGAGTGAGTCGCAGGAGCTCCAAGGGTCTAGAAGCACAGTCCTGAGTGGACTCTGCCCGCACGGCTCCTCTGACCAGGTCTCACAGCAGGCAGGATTGGAATGAGACCAGAGCAAGCCTGTGCCATCAAGGCCTGCAAAACTCTGAAGAGGCCTCCGCCCCTCCTCCAGCACCCCTGGGCAGGCCATTATCTGTGATACCCCCTACCCCAGCAGCCAGTCACTTCTGTCACTCCCACCCAGGCTGCTGCAGCACCTAACCCTCCCTCAGCTCTCCAGGGACCTGTCTGTGTCTCCGAGTCCCTGGGAAGGGGCCCAGAGGTGCCCATGTTGCTAAATGACCAGGCAAGAAGGACCTGTGACCCTGCTAACCGTGCCTCTGCTCCAGCTGCTGCCTGACTCCAGAATATGTTTCCAGATGTAATCCTGTGCCCCCTCTTTCTGGGGGCCTGAAAACTGAGCAAGGATCCGCTCACTCAGGCATGTAATGAATGCAACTCAGTACAAGCCTCCAGCCCCTGGCACCAAGCCAGCCTGGCTCCCACACCCCACCCCAGCCCTGGCCCGGTCCAACACCTGCATCTCCACCACAACCCAGCATCTGCGGCTCCCCTGCAGCCATGGTCAAGTTCCAGGAAGCTGAGCTGAAGCCCCACCTCCATCAAGCGTGGGTTTGAAGTCCCAGCTCTGCCTCTGACTGTGGCCTTGAGCCGGGCACTGCCCATCTCTGGCCTCATTTTCCTATCCACAAAATGGGCAACCTAAAACCTTCCAACAGGGTTGTTGTGAGGGGCCAGGGGATATGTGTGTGAAGCTCCTAGCTTAGAGCACTGCATGAGACTGGTGCCACATGGTCACAGCTAACCCTTCAAGAGCTTATCCTGTCCCAGGTATTTGCTGAACACTTTACAAATAGGAATTTGTTTCATCCCTGTAACAACCCTGTGAGGTGGGCACTGTTACCATCCCCATTTCACAGATGTGAAACCAAGGTCACTAAGCTCTGTCTTGGCTCTAGCCCAGGAAGTCTGGCCTCTGTGCCCCAGTGAATGGCAGCCACGACCATCACAGCCACCAGGAAAAGCCAGCCATAAGAGGTCCCCTCCCACACTCCCAATCTGCTTCCCACAGCCCAGATCGGGGAAAGGATGAATCACCCAGAGAGTCAGGGACAAAGATGGGGTCAGAGCCTAGGCCGCCCCCTCCCAGGCAGGGCTGGACTGACCCCATCACATCATCTGATGAGATCAAGTGAGTTCAACCCAGGAGACAGAAACAAAGTCGGGGTCCCAGAGCTGGGCCTTTACCTGAGGGAAGCAAACAGCTCAGCAGCAAAATCCACAGAGTGAAGTTTATTCCCAACAAAGTTCCCCTCCCCCCTCCCCAGCCCGGGACAGGGACGGACAGGCTGGGCTGAAGATGGGGTTCCAGTGGCTGAGGGGCCTCTGAGAAACAAGGAAGGGCCCTGGGACCCCAGGCCAAGCCATGTCCGGCTCCCCCAGCCTGGCTGAGTCCACGGCGCCTCCCTGCCCAGCCCTCGGGAGAGGGGAGAGGGCGCTGGCTCCTGGGTAGTTCCAAAGTGGAGTGTGAAAATAGAGAGATATATATATTTATATGCAGTGGGCAGTCCAGCGTGGCACTCACACCTCTGTCTGGAAGTCACCATCCGGTGGTTCTGTGGGCTCCCAGGCTGCTGCCCGGTGCAGAGTCAGCCGTTCTCGGGGCTTGGGGGGCAGCGAGCCCAGTGTCATAGATTTGAAGGTGCTCCAGCTCTGATGGCGCCGATGTTGGGACAAGCTGGGGCGCTCCCCAGGGCTGGGCTTATCCTGTGGAGGGAGCGGGAGGGGCCGTGGAGATGGGCCAATATCCTTACCCATTGTACAGACGATCAAACTGAGGAGTCCCAGAGAGGGCTGGTAATGCCCAAAGTTATGGAGCAATCAGGTGTCAAGCAGAATTCAAATACAGACCTGCCTGGTTCCAGGGTGGGGCTCCTGACCCCTGTTCTCAGTGGCCCCCAGGACATGTCTCCTGCTGACCACTCTCCCTCCCAATCCTGGAGGACCTCCACCCCTGTTCGCCATCTGCAGCACCTTCCCCACCCCCAGGCGGCCCCAGACTGTTGCCCATGCCGTGGGGGAGGCCCTTGGTGAGACAGGCTGGGGTTGCCTGGGAGGGGCAGGAGGGCAGGGAGGGCACGGGTCCCTCAGGCCCACCTCACCCCACCCAGCCCGGGGGGACTCACGGTGCACACGCTCCGCTCGGCTGCCCCACCCGAGGACACACTCCACCGCTTCTCCCTCTGCAACGGGGGCCACCGGTCAGGCTCCAACCCCAGGGGCCACTGCACCAGGTCAGGCCCTGAGCTTCAGGGCAGGGGCAGCCACGGGAGGAGCCCTCACCTTGGCCGTGGACTGGCTGCGGTAGCGGTCGAAAGTGTGGAACTTCTGGTTGAGCTCGTGGTAGAGTTCTGAATGCCGTTTCCGGGTGTGCATCACCTTCTAGGGGCCACAGGGCATCAGAGGGTCGCTCCCCGGGGCAGCACCATGATCCCCCCTACCCAGGGCACTCAGCACCCCAAGCCCCCCACATCCCTCCCTGCTGCCAGCCCCTCTGGGACAAGACCTAGTTCTCTCTTCACGTTGGTGCTATGGGCTTGGGCAGGGAGGGAATCATGGGAAGATCCCACGGAACCCCCGGGCTTGGGCTCCTGGGGTCAGGCTCTGCAACAGAGCTTGGACTACTTTTAGGAGTGAGCCCTCCAGGGACAGACACCACAGCCAGATGTCCCACCGCCCAGCACACACATGGCCCTTACCTCAAAGTCCAGGTCTGAATACCGTAATTTCTTTCGCTGGGAAGGAGCAACAAGGAGGCAATGGAGGAGAAGAAAGCTTTTTACCACCGGCAGGGGCTTTAGAGACAGGAAGCCTGGCATCCCAGGGGTCTGCCCGCTGCACCTTCCCCCCAACCCAGGCCCAGAAGTTGCGGACCTTCATGGGGCAGCTTTTCAGGCCTCACTGAACACACACACACACACACACACACACACACACACACACACACACGTCAAATGGCATGGTGCGGACTTCCAACATGACAGGCCCAGATGCCCACATGGAATCAGAGCCAGTGCTCATTCTCTGTGCCCTAGAGCCCACCCTGCATCCTTCCCCATCTTGCCCCATTCTCTCTGCCAGCCATAGCTACCCCTCCCCTTGGAACCTTCCACTTGTCC
Organism: Homo sapiens; assembly: GCF_000001405.40. Taxonomy (NCBI): domain Eukaryota; kingdom Metazoa; phylum Chordata; class Mammalia; order Primates; family Hominidae; genus Homo; species Homo sapiens. The sequence continues at coordinate 31,729,018 of NC_000001.11, forward strand.
TGCAAACACAGGTATTCAGGCTTTCAGAAACCTTCCTTTGACCTCACACTGCCCCTTTTCCTGCCAAACCAGGCGCTGCCTCCCTGGCCTCTCTGCTCCCTCATGCCTCTCCTGGCCCTCCTTGTCCCAGACCACTTTCAAGGCCCCAGTAAGCTGTACTGTACCCAGTGCTACTCAAGAAAGAGGCCTGAGAGTCTTAAAATGTCAGCACAGGGAGACCCATGAAGCCAAGGCCAACTTTCCCAGGTTACAGATAGGGAAACTGAGACCCAGGGAGGTGAAGGGAATTGCTCCCAGGCCTTCGAAGGTGATACTAGGACCACCATCTGGATCTCCCAGGCCTGTGGGCATGCTCACCACCATGGGCCCATGGCATTCACTCTCCTGGTTTTCCTCTCCTCTCCCTACCTGCTTTCTCTCCGCTGCCTACCCTGGCTTCTGTAATACTAGGCACTCACACTCTGCCCCGGCACCTTCTCCTGCCTTTACCACACACACGTGTATCCTCCCCAACCCAGCCACATCTCTCTTTCTGGGGGCAACAGGGCACCTCTCCCTGTCTGATGCCCCACAGGCACTGCACATGCAGCTCACACCAATGGAATACACTTGTAATTCCCTACCCAGACCTGTTCCTCCGCCCATCACGGTTGCCCACGCCCGAATTCTGGATGTCATCCTTGACCCCTCAAAGCGCTGCTGCATTTACTACTGCCTCCCACACAAGGAGCCTGATGTCCGCCCTCAACAGTGGCCGGCAGGCAGGTGTCCACAGAACAAAACCCGCCATGACGCCAAGCGCGCCCTTCTCCGACACTGGCGTTGCATTTTGTCTTTGTTACGCCTTCCTGTTTTTGCCATCTGTGGCAGAAGCAGGCACCAAATGTTCCAGAAACACTTTGGGAGAAAAACTAAACTTGTGAGCCCCGTAGCTACTAACTTAATTTTCGTCTTGTGGCGGATGGGGAGTGGGTTTCTGAGGCCGAGCAGGAACAGCCAATTGTGGCTAAGCCACGACTCCTGTCCCTTTCCTTAACCACATCCCCTTCATGACTCCAATAAAGTTGCAGAATGTTCTAGAGTTCCACAGCAGGCCACTACTGTCTGTTCTCAGTGATCCTCTGCAGGGAGCAGACCTGAGGAGGCCAGCGTGAAGGTGAAGGATTCACAGAACACACACAGGCAGGGACCCGGAGGGGTTTGCTTTTCTCCGGAAGAGAGGGTCAGTTACCACAGGCCTGTGGGCAGCATCTGCAGCTGATTTCAGGGGTGCTAACAGCAGCAATCCCCAATTATCTAGCACTTTCTACTTGCTCCACATAAATGTTTTACATCACTCAATCCTCAAAACGACTCCACAAAGAGACTGCTACGGTATCCCCACTTTACACACGAGAAAATGAAGGCTCACTGATCTCACTGCCAATCAGAGTCCAGACTGGAACTCAGACCTGCATGACGCAGAGGCCCAGGCTCACACATTGCCTGAGCCACAGTCTCCTGAAATGAGGACTCATCCTAACCAGTCACCCCAAAGTAGGCCCTAAAGCAAGTGTGAACGAGTCGAGAAGTACAATTCTACTGTGTGAAGTCCCAGCCTGTCTGAAGGATTCACAGACACCACGGAGCTGCCATGAGCAGAAACAGAGAAATGCTCAGTGTATCCACTCCCAGTGACTTTTACGAGAGGCCGCTCTGGGGAGGATGAGGCTGTCCCCTCCTGGCTGCAGCCTGTGATTGACACAGTCTCAGACACACACCCCATTCCCTACAGCCCCTCACCTCCAGGGAGCCCATCTTCATGGTAGAGCCGGGCACGGTGCGAGGCATGGTCCGGCTGCGCTCCCCTGGCTCGGGCACTTGGCGGGCGCTGGGTGTCGGCGGTGGCGGTTGGAAGGTCATTCCATAGGGATTCTGGAGAGATCCATAGGCAGGGCCCAGCCCCAGGCCCGAGTGGTCCACGGACAGGAAGCTGGGGTAGCCTTCAGTGTGGGCCACTGTCTTGGCAGCTCGCCGGGGGGTCCCCTCCGGCCGGGCCCTGGGGGCATCCTCACCACCTCCACCCCCACCGCCAGGCTGCAGGCTCAAAGTCCGCCGGGGCAGCACCATGTAGTCTCCCTCAGAGCCTGGCTCAGTGGGCCGCAGCCATGTGAGGTCCAGCTGCCGCAGGCCACCCTCCCCACACATGTAAACAGGGTTGGCCTCCTGTGGGGGCGGAGGCTCCCCCAGCCCTGGTGAGGCTGCCATGGGCACCAGGATATTCCCAGGCAGTGGTGAGAAGCTGAGGCTGCCCTCAGGGCCCACGAGGCAGGACTTGGGCTCCTCATCCTCATCCAGGGACAGGCGGGATAGTGTGCCCGTGATGGTGGACGGGTTGCAAGTGTTGACCTCCTTGAACAGCACTGGGGGCAGGAGTGGGAGGGAGGGGGTGAGTCCTGAGGAGAAGGAACCTCCAGATGCCATTGCCCAGGCTGGGGAGGTACCAAGCTTCTGCGCTTGGACAGGAAAGGAAACTGGGTCCTGGAGAGATGGCTGGGTGGTTGGTAATCTCTCACATATAAGAGGGGTTAAGAAGACAACGGCTCCAAAGTCCCCACATTGAGACAGGGCAAGAAACAAAGGCAAGGCCCAGCTCCCAGTGTCCTGGTGCAGGTCCCGACTTTGACCCCACAGCCCCACGGCTGTCAAAGGGCTTTGTCTTCCCACCTCCCTGTGCATCAGCTCCCCAGGAGACAGAAATGGAAAGATTCTGGTAAGAATCTGGAAATGATATAATAACGTAACACTCTGTGCCATGGGTCCTGCTAAGAACTCGATGTCCCCGAATTCATGCATGCCCCTAAGCCCCCCACCTGCCCTGGGAGGACAGTATTCTCTCCTTTACAGGTGTGTTAACTGAGGCTTAGAGAGGCAGGTTGTTTGCCCAGGGTCATACAGTAAGGGACATTCGCAGCCTTGCGTCCAGCTCAGGGCTGTCTAACTTCGAAGCTGGACTCCAGCAGCCAGAACTCCATCAGGGCCTCCCATGATGGGGCTCAAGGCCTCCCCTTCTTCTCCAACCCCAGGACCATTCTCAGTTCTGCCACGGCACACTCACCTGTTTGACAAGCCAGATCCACATCCTTTTCAAAGTCTGACTATAGGCAGAAAGGGAGGGGCAGGTGGGCAGAGGGAGGATTAATGTATCAGGGTGGGAGGAGGCTCAGGCCCTCCCCAGCCAGCTTTGCCCAGTCTGCCTGCCTTAGGGCTGCCCATGGCCCATAGCCCATGGCCCAGCAGAGCCCAGGCATGGCCTACCCCAGCCCACCTGATGGCTAGGAAAACTGAGTGGGGGAAGGACTTGCCCAATGCCACCCAGGTGTTAGTGGCTGAGCCTGAATCAAACCCAATCCCTGTCCCAACCCTGCCATGGATGGGGAAGGTAAATGGTCTAGGGCAGGAGGATTGGGGTGGGGGGTGCCCAGAATCTGCCCAGGCCCTGCCCAGGCCCCTAACTCACCAGGATCTGCAGCTGCCCGTTCTTACACGAGTCAGGGGAGTCTTCGCTCTCATCAGCCCGGCACACCCCCATCTGGCACTTCACCACATCCTGGACCTGGGGACAGAGGGCGCCTGCTGGGCCTGAGGCCACTGCAGGGCCCCCGACCACAGATGGCTGTGCTTCCCACCCCAGATGCCCAGGCAAGTGTAGAAGGAAGGCAACACATCCAACCTTGGGGAAGGTGATGACACCTGGGCAGGGTGCAACGGGAGGAGGAGACCCAGGAGGCCAAGGATAAGCATAAGGGACAGTTGCGGGTACCCCGGGCTATCAGCTTCCACAGTAAGGGCTGCCCAGATGGGGCCTGGGGCACCCTGGTCGGGGCCTCGATCCTCCCGGTCTGCACAGTGAGGAGAAGCCAAGGGCCTGGCAGGTGTGGTGGGCACACACAGGCGGGAGAGGCCCAGCCCCACCTCTCGGCGCAGGAAGCAGTGCACAGCAGTGATGACAAAGCCCTGCGCGGAGTTGAAGACAGCAAAGAGGGCCTGGAAGAGGACGGAACGGCGGTCTGTCATAGCCAGGACGGCAGACATCCAGGTGAGCGCCAGCAGGGGCAGCACCACGCAGGAGCTCCAGAGTGAGGCCCTGAGGGGACAGTGGCAGAGCCCATCAGAGTGACACTCCGGGGGACAGGATGGCTTGAGCCTAGGCCTCCACTCAGCTGGAGCTCTTCAGCTGCCCAAGACTGGGAGGGCCCCAAACCCCAGGGCCTCAGTAATGTCCCCAAGCAGAGAGGGGCTGAGGAGCCAGAGCCAGAGAAACAGAACAGAGACCGAAAGCAGCGAACTACGGGGTCAGAGCAGGGACCAGGAAGGTGGGGAAGGACACGCAGACACAGTGGGACCGAGCCACAGACAGTGGAAAGGGACGGGGAGAGAGAAGAGGAGGCAGACAGATGCACAGAATCACCTGAGGAGCTTTTTAAAAATGCACGGGGCCGGGACGGCATCCCCAGAGCCTAACTGGGTAGGCTGGGGAGGGGGACTGGAAGAGGGACAAAGCAACAACAACCACAGTGAGAGAACGCATGCGACAGAGACACCCAGACAGAAAGATTAAACAGGCAGAGCACGCGGGGGACATCCAGAGCACGAATCCTCAGGGAGAAGACAGGGGGCCAGGACCAGTGAAGCAGAACTCCCCCCACACACAGAGAAGACGCCAGGCTCCCACGGACTGCTCAGAGCCTTGGGCAGAAGGCTCAGAGCTGGGGCTAAAAGCTGGGGTCGGGCCAGGCCTACACCTCCCTGGCCTCCCTGCCAGGGGAGGGCAGAAAAAAAGCAGATGGGGCCTGGCATCCAAGCCATTCCCACCCCTCCCTAACCTGCTATAGCACATGAGGGACAGCCAGGCCACCATACCCTCCCGGGCCAGGTGCCACACTCAGCCCACTCTCCTTCGCAAACACCCCCAGTGGGAGAGTCAGGCACAGCTCTAGGCATGGCAGAGGGTGGCACCATTCCGCAGAGACAGCCGGGGGAGGCCAAAGCAGAGAGATGGGCAGGGGGCCAAGACCTGCCCTAGGAAGTGCAGTTCAGGGCTGTTCAGCCTGGCAGGGGGCAGGCACAATGGACTCTGAAGTCCCCGGAGGTGTAGCCAAGACTAAGAGAGGGTCTAATCACAGTAATAAGAGCTACGCTGATTAACCACCAATTCTCTACCAGGCCCTACACTGAACACTTTACATATATTACTTCAAATCATGATCAAAACAACTCCAATTAACAGGCATGGGATTATTATCCCAATTTACAGATGAGGAAACTGGAGTGAGCCCAGCTGGGCAGGGAGAGGCACAGTTGGGATACAAACACAGCTTGACCGACTCCAAAGCCCAAGCATTGAAACAGCTAGTGCAGACGGGGTGAGGGAGGCAGACGGCAGCCCAAGACAGAGGGAGCTTCGTGGTGACGGTGCCAGCTGCCTCCAGAGGCCCTGAGCTCCCTGACCCTGCAGGTGTGCAAGATAAAGCTGGACCTCACTGGGCATGGAGGCTTGGGTGGATTTCCAGACCTGGGTGGGAGGTTGAGCCTAAGGTCTTTGTGGATTTGTTTTACCCTTGCATAGCTGGGATTTTAAGATTCTCAGATGCTAGGGCGGGGGTCTCAGTGAAATAATTCTCTACCTCTGTGATTCTCTGTCTCCAATTGAGTGTGAGATTCAATGCCTCTGAAATGCTAAGTCTCAGATTCTATGACAGATGATAAGACTGGATGATTCACTCATTCTAACATTCTTAGCTTCTGATTGTCTTATTCTAAGATTCTATCATTCTAATTCTAAGGTTCTATAGCTCAAAAATTCTAAGGCTTAAGATTGTCTGAGCCTCTGTAGGTTGGGGGTGTGGGGCGGTGCAGGATAGAACATTAGCTGGGAGTGAGGGCAGGGGCGGGATCCAAGGGTGGGCGAAGGAACCGGGCACCTGTGGGAGGCACAGACATCCACTCCTCATCGCCTTGGCCACCTCTTGCCGAGCCCTTGAGAGTGTGTGGTGGCTGGCAGGAAAGGGCAAGCTTTCCAGGGCACTGGGCTGATATCCCTCCTCCTCCCCCCACCATGGGCACTGCCCCCCCCAATTCCTTTGCCCCACCCACCCCCACCGCCCCCCAGGGGGCACGACTAACATGGCGTTCCTGGCCGAGGCTGAGCTGAGCAGGGGGCTGGGGACCGCTCCACACGCTGAGCAGGGGAGGAGCAGGCTGGCCCAGGGGCACCGCTCCGACCTCGGGGGCGGCACAGACATGGGAGAAGGAGGGGAAACACATGGGAAGCCGGGAGATGGGGCAGAATGAGCCCCGAGTGGGGTGGGAGGGGAGGGCAGACGAGAGAGAGAGAGCTGGGTTAGGGTGGGTGAGGGGCTGCGGCTGAGCACTCCGGGTGCCCACCTTGCCTGCAACCTTGATGCACCAAGGTTGGGGAGCCCCGGTCGCATCATCGAGCCCTGAGTCTCCAAGAGCACCCATGTCCCTCCCTCCCTGCACCATTTCCAGAAAGGCCAAGTCTCAGAGGCCCCCCCCTTACCCGGCCCTCTGCTTCTTGGATTTGTCGGAGATGCCATCACGTGCCATGAGCTTGTTGAAGACGATGATTCCGATGAGCATGTTCACCTGGGGGCCCAGTAGAGTGGAGTGGGGGAGACAGGATCACCAGGTGCCCTCCTGGCAGGGAAATCCCCATGTGGGAGCTGGAGCGCAGGGAGGAGGTAGAGGGAGAAACAGGATGACCCTCTGGGGCCATGCCCCTTCCAAGATGCTGAACGGGCACATACCAGGACAATGACGGCTGCAGGGCCCACAAAGGCGTAGAGCAGGCCGCCCTCCAGGGAGAGCCAGCAGCTGGGGTGGGGGAGAAGAAGGGTGTCAGACACCCAGCAGCCTCCCTCCCCACCCTCAAACACCATCCCTCAGTCCTCCCAGGCTGCCATGCCCGCATCACCAGTGCAGTCTGAGCCCCAGACGGTGAGAGTGAGCCACTGGCTCCTGCTGAGCCTCGGTTTCCCCTCCAACAAAGGTCCAGAACATTAGGCTCATCCCCCAGTGCTCCCATGGGGATGAAGCAAGGCTGACTCCTGAGCTAAACAGTCCCTTAGGGATTACCCAGTCCTAGCACATTCCCTCAGTCAGGGAAACTGAAGCTCAGAAATGGGGAGGAACTTGCCCAAAGACCCAAAACAGGCATGGGCTAGGATTTCAGCCAGCTGCCCAGTCCGATTCCCTAACAGATCCACTACCCGCTACCACCCACCACGGGAGGCCCACGTACTAGCTGGATGTACCGTATCCTTTCGTTCGGGTAAAGCCAACAGACACGGCCACCACCAGGGCAGGCAGACCTGGGGGAGCAGGGGTGCCAGAGTGAGATGGTTGCTGGTCTTCAGGGACCCCTTGTTCTCCCAGACTCCCATCCCAGCTGACCCCTGTGCCCAGAGAGCTGGGCCAGGGCCAAAGCTGAACCTCTCTTGCTGCCCCTGCCCACCAAGGCCCAGCAGCAGAGTCCAGCACTGGCCCTGCTCACCCCAGCCCAGGCAGAGGAAGCGCTTGCGAACGAGGCGGGTGCGCATCCGCCCAATGACAGCCAGGTAGGACTGCCAGGCCTCGGTAAGCACCCAGCAAAAGGAGGAGAGAAAGAAGAAGTGCAGGAAGGCAGCCGTCATGGTGCACACGCCCTGCAGGGAGAGGGAATGGGAGGGAGTGGCCCTGAGCAGCCGCCAGGGCAGGAGGCGCCGGGCTTCCCACGCCCGCTGCTGGGCGCTGCCACAGCCGCCCACCTGAGCCCCGCCCCCCACAGAGCCCTGCCAGGCACCCCCGCCTTCCTGCACCCACACACAGCACGACACGGGCCTGGTGACACACACACAGCACTCGGCATCCAGGGAGGCGGGTGGGCAGGCTGCCCACGCACAGACGGGGCTGGCAGGGAGGGGGACAGACATGAGCACCTGCCACGTCACAGCTGGGCAGGCCCTGTGCCTGGCATGCATGGTGCTGGCACTGTGCAGAGAAGGCCAAGGGGGCATAGGGAAGAGTCTGCACAGGTCGTCCACAGGTAGGTGGCAAAAGGAGGCCTCACTCAGGCTTCCACACGCTCACAGACACAAGGAGGCCCAATGCCACCTGCCCAACACACACCCAGCGCTCAGCTCACACACACATTTACTGATGTTCACAGAAGTTCCTCACTTGAGTACACACCCCCTCTCCAATGTCCTCACATATGGTCTCACACACTATTTCATACACACTCTAATCCCAACATGGGGCACACATACACCACCACTAATGGACGTACAAGCAAACACACACACTGCGCTCTCCACCCTCACCCCTCCACCCCACTCACACCCCTGGCAGCCCTGGAAGTCTGCACCTGCCTTGCTCAGCACCCGGGACTGGCCCACGAGGATCAGGATGTTGGATGCCAAGATGGACAGGCAGAAGTTCAGCAAGATGATGGAGCGTTCAGATTTTATGAACCTGCCGGGGCACAGCAGGCAGGGACAGAGGCGCTGGCTGCCCCATCCGACCTGGTGTGGCTGGCCACCTTCTGCGCCTGCCCCCCCTCCCCCAGCCACAAGAGCCAGGTGTCAGACCTACCTCCAAAAGGCGGCATAGATGGCGAGCAGGGTGAGCAGCGCCATGCACGACACTGCACAGCCGATCACCAGGGGGACCGAGGGGGAGCCCGCCAGCTCCAGGGTCTGGGGAAGATGGGCAGACAGTCAGATGGGTTCCTGGGAGGGGGGAGCTGCAGGGGTGCCCTGTCCCCTCATCTACCATAGACTGGCATACCCACAGGCAGAAGGGCAACACCTTCTTGCTGTTGTACTCATGTATGCACAGAACAGACCCGGGTATCTATGTGGACACATATTTATGCTCAGTCACCTGCACTCTTCTACACACAACCAGACACACACATGTGCACACACACACACACAACTGGCCACTGCCGCATACCCCCAGGCAAATATCATTGCTGTGAGCACAATCCCAGGGGCACAGACATCCACGTACAATCCCACAAGCGCACCTGCAGATGCACATTCAGGATCACCCAGGCGCCTGCCAACACCATCACTGATGGCTGCTGGAAGCCCAGGGCCTCCTCCCTTATTCAGCCCAGGCACCTCTGTTCCACTCACCAGGTCCTTGGGCGGCTGGGCTAGTACAGCAAAGGTGGACAGGTGCTGGCACTGGCAGCGGGTGTGAGCTGCCTGGGTCTCCAGGGTCTGGCAATTTTCAGTGTCCCAGTCTCCTGAGCTGGCATCTCTTGGGTAGGGGAGAGATTCAGTGAGCCCCAGGCCAGCTACGTGGCCCTGCCCCCAGTCCTGGCCACTGCCCAAGGACAGGCTAAATCCACAGTAAGGCCACATCCACGAGGCAACAGCAGGGAGTCCCAGGATACGTTCTTGACCCCTTAGGCTAGGATGGCACCAAAAATCCCTCTTGCCTTTTAGGCAGGAGACCCCTTTCTGGCAAAGGGCCCTAGGGCTGCTCCCTTCCTCACCCAGAGGAGCCACCCAACTCACGCTCTGGAGTAGTCCCAGCTGGCGCAATGGGGATCCGTGGTCCCCTGGGGAGCAAAAGACATGAGTGCAGTCTAGGGAGGGAAGCTCACCACACCCCACCACTGCCCATGCCATGGGGGCCACAGCAGCTCCCACACAGGTCCAGGGTTCAGCCCACCATCAGGGACAGAGTGCTTCCCACCAGCCAGGCCTCTGGCCACCCAGGTTGAGGTGCACCCAAGGTCTCTGCATGGATCTCCACTCACATTGATGATGTAGGAGAGCTCCACAGTGATGAGGGGCTCAGCTGGAGGCTGGGTAGGGGGGCGCACAGTCACTGTCATCACCCGGGATGTGACGGCCAGCGGGGGCCTGCGGGACAGGTACCGAAGTCAGCTCCTGCCAGCGGGTGCCAGCCCCAGTCAGAAACCCTGAAGCCGCTTTGGATGGGTGTGCAGAGGCTTCCAAGGAGCCAAGGCCCAGGGGAAGGCCTAACTCAGTGGGGTCCAGGACTTCAGGTGAGGTCTAGAGCTCTGTCCCTCACCCGCTGGGTGGCAGCCCAGCCTCTGAGAGCAGTATGGATAAATTTGAGAAGCATGTGTCCAGAGCCAGGCAAGGGGTTCCTGAAGGTGGAGGAGGCTGCCATGGATCTCTCTGCAGCCAGCACTGGCTCAGTCCTCCTTCCCTTACCTGGGCCTTCCTGGACCCTCAGCAGCCCCAGCCACCCATCCCCAGGACTCACCTGGGAGGCGGCAGGATGAGGCCAAGGGTGCGGTAGAGTACAGCACCGATCACAAAGTAGGAGGACTCATCAGGGTCTGCTGGGAGGAGGCGCTGGTGGGAGTGGCCTGGGCCAGGAGGCACCGTTCCTGGGCCCCTCCCCCTGCCAGGGCTGCCTGCTGCCCCAGATGTGGCTGGCTTCCCTGGGGAGGAGAGGCTGAGCACCTCCTTGGGCAGGAAGAGGCGGTCCTCTGAGTGCCGCACCCAGTCCTTCATGCCCCGGCGGCCCCGCATGGGGAACGTGATGTCACTGGACACAGCTGAGACGGGCTCTCGCTGAATGCTGATCACTGCAGTGGGAGGAGGGTGGACAGAGACAGACAGAGGGGCAGAAACAAAGGGTGGCAGACCAGGGGAAGAGACAGATGTAGGGGAAACACGTACCAGGAAAGGTAGATGTGGACACCGAAGTTGGTACAAACACAGAGACAGACATACACAGAGAAACAGACCACACATAGATGAAGGAGAGGGTAGAATGTGGACAGAAAGATACAAATACGGGGTTAGGTAGAGGAAAGACAGAACGTCTTGAGTTCTGGCACATTCAGGACCCCCACCCTTGCCTGACTCCTTCTACCTAGATTATCTGTGACAATCAGAGAGCTCTGGAAGGCCTTGAGAGCATCGCCCACCAGGTGAATGAAGTCCTCCACGACACGGAGCAGGTGCACAGAGCCAGGGGACACCTGGGGACAGAAAGTGTGTAAGGGTCCAAGGCAGGGTGGGTCACGGGAGGAGAAGCTGGCAGCTGTGCCCCGCACCTGCTGAGCATCGTCCCACTTCTCCTTGTTTTCCGCATCCACCATGAAGCTCACCACCTGGAAGAAGCGCTGAGGAGAGAGCAATGAGTGGCAGGGGGTCCTAGCCCCAGGGAACAGGGGGCTTCCCCCACTATAGCCACACTTGCCGCCTCTACAGCAGACTCTGCCTAGGGGCCTGGCCTCCCGCTTCAGTTTGGGCCTTCTCCACCCTCCGCCCTCCTTCCTCCTAGGCAGTACCTGCACATCATCAGCCGAGGGCACGTAGGTGGCCCTCTTAAAGGTGTCAGTGACATTCCTCAGAATGTCCACAGAGAAGAGCAGGTCCCCACTATAGTAGGTGCGCCGGGCCAGTAGCTCCTGCAGGCTGCGCACCACCTGCGACATGCCCTCGCCTGCCAGCATGCGCTGCCCCTTGGCCAGGTGCTCCCTAAGCTGTAGGTGATGAGGGGGCCACAGTCACTGAAGTGTCAGGAGCTGGAACCAGACCCTGGCCCATCCCACTCCAGTCCACCCACTGCTTGCATCCACGGGGAGAGAAAGGGGGAAAAGGTCAGAGAGGCTCAAAGGGGCACACAGGGGAGACAGAGTCCGAGAAAGAGACTCATAGAGAGAGAGAGAATCCCAAAGGGTACTTTAAAAAAGACTGAAATAGAAACACCTAGAGAAAAAAGGTGTTCAGATGTACATATAAAAGATATAAGCACAGTATGGGAACAGGGTACCTCCCCATCCCAAAGGGGTCATGTACATTCTGGAGTGTAATGAGCATGTGTGTGGGCGCGCGCGCACACACACACACACACACACACACACACACTGTCTTTCTCTCTCTCACTCTCTCTCAACACAAGCTCTAAATGCATTCACACAATTAATACCCAATTACAGTCAAACATGTACACACATTCACTGATGCTACTCTTACCCCATGACTGGCCCTGGGCTGGATGCTGGGGACACAAAAATAAATTCAAGGAGGCCCCAGTCTAGCAGCACACACAGACACTTGGATGAGCACCTAATGACTGAGGAGCTCATTCTGCAGGAGCGCAGAGGTAGGCACCAGGGATAAAAGAAGACACTTGAGAGTCAGGCCTTGAGGTATGAGTAGGAGCTTGCCAGACAAGGAGAGGCACAGCCAGGCAGAAGTGGGCACAGCATATGCCAAGGCACGTGGGAACGAGCGAGAATCACGCTCCCTCCACCCCCTAGCAGAGTCTGAGACAGATTCTGCTGTGCCCCAGCCCAGCAGGGTGCACTCACTGACAGATACAGGTAGCGGTACTCATGGGAGATGCAGCGAGCAAAGCTGGGCAGCCCCCAGTACGCCACGCCTTGGGCACTGAGGAGACAGCGGCGGCTGGCAGACCCTGCAGGGCAATAGGACAGAGGTCTGGGCATGGGGGCCGAGCTCTCACCCACACTCCTCCGTATCTCAGAGAGGCTGGGGGCGCAGAAGGGGGCAATGAGAATGGCAGGGGTGGTGGTGGTGGGGAAAGCCACCTGCCCCTTACCTGAGGCATTCGGGGGGCACTTGTTGTAGATGATCTCGCCAGCAGCTGCCTTCTTCCACGTCATCAGCATCACGTACTCATCCCTGCACATCTCATGGAAGGCTGTGGGTGCAGGGGTAAGGTTCAGCTGGGTCCACACATGGGGCCCCCAGCCCCCAGGGTCATTAGGGCAGTACCTGGACACCTCTTCTCACTACAAGGCTTCACCTCCTCTCCGGTGCCCTCGCAGGGGTAGCCCTGCGTGCCCGTGGCCTGGCACATGCGGAAGCGGCGCTGCCAGCCTGTGTCACACGTCTTAGAGCACAGGCTCCACGCATTCCATGGCCCCCACTTGCTATCAGTGGCTGTGGGAGAGGTGAGGCATATGAGTGGGCCCAGGTACCCCCATGGTCAGAGCTGCAACTTGCCACCACTGTGCCAAGCACTCACCCGGGCACTCGAGGTTGCTGCACTCCCGGGTGTCAGTGAGGGCACCCGTGCATGTGGCCCAGGCTGGGCCCGCCACGCTGCACTTCCGGCTGCGCTGTTGGGTCCCATTGGCACAGGACGTGGAGCATGGGCCCCAGGGACCCCATTCTAACCACTGGCCTTCCACTGCATGGGGAGACACAAGCAGGGGTGGCTGTTGAGCAGGATGTGTGAGGGCTGGTGGTGTGGAGAACCACAGGAAGACCCAGAGCCTGCTAGGCATTCAGATTTGAGCCAGGCCAGACCCACTGGAGTGGGGAGGGGAGGGGGTTATGAGGAAGGCTGGAGTGAGCAGGTGGTGCCTGGGCCTCATGCTGCCTGCCTGCCACCAGCTCCAGAAATACAGGACACCTCTCCTCTTAGCACAAGGCACAACTCACTTCTGGCTAAGGGAAGGGGCTGCAGGGGTGTCTTCTGATCTTTGCCAGCACTTCAGCCCAGCTTTGTGTCCTCTCACAGTCCAGCTGGCCATGCACCAAAATGCAAGGGCAGCCCAGGGCTTGGAGAAAGAGCTGTCCCCTCTTGATGGCGTCACAGGGTACTAACTCATGTCAGGGCTAGGGGTCAAGTCAGGGCTAGGGGGTCACCTCGCACACAGGCAGGCATACTTCTCCAGTCTCCCCATGCTTGGTCAAAGTTTAAGGGGCCCCCAGGGGCAGGTCACTGGACCTGACTGCCTCCCCAGGTCTCCCGACCCCCCACCGGGCTGGGCAGCGCCCTCATGGAAGCCCACGGGTGCTACTGACCCGGGCAGGCAGCCATACTGCAGAGCTTAGTCTGCAGCTCAGGACCCTCGCAGGCCTTGCCGCCGTGCTGGGGGGGCACGCAGGTCCGCATCCGGCTCCGGGACCCCCGCCCGCAGCTGCGGGAGCACAGGCTCCAGGACCCCCACTCCTCCCACACGCCGTGCACTGCAAGGAAGCACGTGGCCGGTGGCTGGGCGGCACCATGGCCCCGCCCACCACCGGCGCCTGCCCATCCGCCCACCAATCAGGAGCTCCGCAGCTCTGCGGCTGCTCCTCATTGGCTCTGCCCCGGGATCTGTTGCCAGGGGGATCTCCCAGGGCCCCACCAAGGCGCGACCCTTTGAAGGGATGTGCAAGACACAGGCTTCCGGTCCTAATTCACATAGGACAGCCCCTGTGGACGCCTGGACAAGGGGGCCAGGACCAACAGGAGGGGAACCAGGGGTCCTCCTCTCCTGAGGGCACAGGAAAATTCAGGAAAGGACCCAGGACCCACGCCATTCCACCCCTCCCCATCCCACCCACCCCTAGACCCAGAGCCTGAATACAACACAGCAGTCCGGGGGCAAGAGAAGCGCCCTTCCCAGCCCCAAGCGCACAGACACACAAATAAACATGAACCTCTACATGGACACCGACACACCGAGCTCACACGCTGGAACACAGCTTTGCCCCAGGCCTTTGCAAACTCCTGCCATACCCCCAGGTACCAAGAGCCCTTCCCAGGTAGGCCCTGCTCTAAATCCACAGCACCACTGGCATGGCCTAGGCCTCACTTCACCCACTCAGGGAGCAAGGAGCAGGACTGGCTGAGGCTACCCTGCCCTTGCCGTCTCAAGCAAGCACATGCATTTCCTTAACAACTACACACTCAACTGAGGGAGGCTTAGGGGAGGCTCCCTTGAGAGGGGGTGTCCAAAGGAAGGAGGGGAAGGTCAGGGAAGTGGCGTTTGTCTTAGATCTTGAAAGACAGGCTGAATTTGAATAGCCAAGGTCAGGGAGAAAGGATAGGACAAGAATCAGCAAATGCAGGGAGGTGGGAAAGTGCGCAAGCTACTGATATGGCCAGAGCGGAGTGGGTAAAAACACGAGCCTTGGTTACCAGGATGCAGGCACTGGGGGAATGATGTGCCCAGAACCGGGCCCAGTAGCATGGGCCCTGGTCTGATCCATCTGTGCCCCCAGTGCCCTGCACCGGGCTGGCATGGTACGCAGAGTTGGGCATGGTGTGGGGAACAGCCACATTTGTTGAATGAAAGGAGGAGGCAACCAACCATTTTGGAGATTAATCTGCCCAAGTCCCAGGCAGGACCTAACCCTGCAGGCAGGTGGGGTGGGGAGGAGGATGGGCCTACCTGGGCAGGTGGCTGAATTGTTGCAGGGCCTGGTCTCCCGCAGGGGCCCGCTGCACAGGGTCCCATAGGGGGAGGACACACAGGAGCGGGTCCGCACCTGCAGACCCTGCCCACACGTCAGGGAACACACGCTCCACGGGGACCACTCCTCAGCCGCCGGGTCGCCTACGAGAGAGGGACAGCGTCGGCGGCAGGGGGCACCTCCCAAGCACTCAGTCTCATAGGGATAGGGGGAGTGGCAGTAAGGTGGGGGCAGGCATCAGAGGGCTCCTCCTACCCTGACCCCAAGTAACAGGCTCTTCAGGAGGCCACCCAGCCCTTCCCACAAGCTTCATGTGGCACAGACGCGACTGAACTGCAGGACAGAGACAGACAGGCACACACCAAGCACACACACCACCAGACGCACACAGTCGGGCCCCCGCCGCAGAGGAAGGGAGGCGGGCCCGAGTTACCTGTCTGCGCCATGTATAGCCCAGGCTCATCTGCAGACCTCGGCCACTGGGTTTTCACTTTCGGTTCCTCTTCCGGCTCCTCACCTGGAACACGGAGGTGGTGGCAGGGGCTCAGCAAAGGCCAGCTAGGTTCTGTTACAGTGGCACAGTGAAGGCAGCCTTCCTTGCCCTCCGCCTGAGGGCCTGGAACCAACTGCATGATGCTCTCTCAGGATCACATTCTGCCCTCTGCCCCACCACCACTATTTCACAGACAAGGAAACTGAGGTTCAGAAGGCTACACAGGACTAGGCCCTGACCTCACAGTCATCTTTTCCACCTCTTGCCTCAGCCAGATGTGGGGGAGATTTAAGGGGCATGGCTGCCCATATGAAAGAGCTCTGGGAATGCTTCTGTGCCAAGTGCGGCCCATAACCCTCTCCTTTAGTCCTCTCACTGGAAAGAAGAACCATCATCTCTGTTTACAGATGAGGAAACTGAGGGCTAGACAGGGGAAGTGCCTTGTCCAAGAGCACACAGCTGCATTTGCTCCTCCATTGTACTGACTCCTAGGGGCTGAAAAAACATCCAAGCTGAGCTGCTGCAACCCTGGCCCCGAGCCTATCTCTGAGATACAGTTCATGCTCCCCAAGCAGCACTGGACTGTGACCTGGAGGCACAGGTCAGAATGCCACTCCTCTGAGACCCAAGGGGCCTAGGACAAGTGCCCACATCCAACAGACCTTTCTCCTGCTGGCCCTGAGGCCAGGAGAACAGCAGGTGCTCGAGGAGGCCAGGCTACCTTGACCCTGGCCCCACCAGGCTCTCAGCTGCCCTGATTTATGTGTCTGGGCTAGGCCTTGGAAGCACTACCAGCCCTGGTGGCTTCCATTCTCCAAAGCCTGGCCCTCCTGCACAGACATGAGCTCATCAGGGCCCTCTCCCACAATGGGGTGTCAGGGAGGGGCAGACATGGGCACAGAAGGGAAAGGCCCAGCAGCCTCTGCATGAGCAGGTGGGACTGGAAGAGCCTTTGAGGATGGGCTCACCCCATGCTATCCCCAGACTATTAGGTGCTCCTCTCCCCCACCTCCAGGCTCCTTCCTATCTCTAAAAGCCAGCAGTACTGGACAGGCACGCTGAGTGTGAAGGGACCCACCAGGGCTGCCTCTTCCTGCCCCCTGCTGCCCAGCCCGGGCTCTGCAGCTGAGAGGAAGCTCTTTCTCACCAAGCATGAGGAGCAGCCACCCTGAGCAAATCTGCTGCTGGGGGCTCAGAACTGCCACCCAGCCCAGCCTCTGGTCTCATCCACTCTGGGGCCTTTCCCTCCACGTCAGTCACCAGCCCCAGGGCCTGATCCACATGATCCCTGAAATTTCTCCATCTCTGAAACCTGGACTCCCAGAAGAGCTTTGGAGTGAATTAACCCTGGATCCCAAATGGGGTGTGGACATTGACCAGCTGTGTGGCCTCGGGCATGTCTCTTCACCTCTCTGACCCTGCTTTATCCTCTGGAGAACAACATTCATTATACTCCGCCCCCAGGACTCACGTGAGGACCCCCTGCCAGGAGGGCCTTGAAACCCTCAGCACCCTGCTTGGCACACGGCAAGTGCTCAGAAGACAGTCATTCTCGTTTATTTTTATCATCTCCCTTCTCTTCACAGCCTCCACCCCTTCCAGCCCCTCATGTGCCACCCGAGCCTACTCCCTCTGAATAGCATCTGCAGTTCCACTTGGCCCCTGCCTCTCTTGGGACCACAGAGGAGGTGGCAGGGCCAGGCGTGCCAGCTCCTCGATCCCCTCCCCCAGCCCTGGAGCCTTGTGACAAGCTACCCTCTCCACGCCCACCCCCAGGCTGCTGAAGAAATCTATGGCTGTGCCAACTGGCACCATGACAGCTTCAGGGGCTCCACATCCGCTGGGCGCCCGGGACTTCTCAGTGGCCCTTCTTGGCTCTGTTCCTTCCTCATTCCCCGCTGTGGCCATACTGCACCTTGTCCTCTCTCCTCAAGCTCATCTCTGCCCACTCTCTCAGCGATGACCTCAACATCGGGAGCCCCCAGCTTCTTGCCCAGCCTCTCCAACTACCAACTTCCCTGCAGCCCTTCTCCCCACAAAGGCCAGCCCCGTGGCCTGGGCCTGCATCCCCCTCCTCCAGCCTTCTCAGGAGGGCTCCACCCATTATCCCTTCTCATCGGCACCCTGTCAGCATTCTCCCCTTGCGGCAGCCCAGGAACAGATCCAGGCCTCCTTCGCTCTCGGAGAGGCCCTCCTCTGACCCTCTGTTTCCCTCCTCCGTCAGTGACTGCTCTGCAGCCAGCACTCTGGTTTTTCACCTGACACTCACTTCCTGGCTCAAATATCACCTCCCCTGTTAATCCACTGCAGTCTGGCTTCTGCCCACATCTCTCTGCTGAACGTGCTCTTGATAAAGTCATCAGTGTCCTCCTTGTTGCTAAATCCTGTGGATACTTTGCAGACCTGGTCTCACTTGACCCCTCAGCAGCATTTGGTCCTGCTGACTCGTCCTCCCTTGAAGCACTCTCCTGGTTTCCCACCTCTCTAGCTACTCTGTCCCCATCTCCTTGAGGGGTCTATTTTCCTGCTGTTTCCCATATCAGGAGTCCATGCTTTGTCCTGTTTTCACTGCACGTGCTCCCCACCAGGCTTAATTAACCCCCTCTGAACCAATGCTCCCAAATCATCATCCCCAGGCCCTGCCTCTCCTGTGCTCCATTCCTGGATATCCTCCTGCCTCCTGAGCAGTTCTCCTGACCATCAAATTCAGCATGTCCAAGAAGCCCACCATCTACTCTCAAATCTCTACTTGCTTGTTTCCCCACCCTCTTTGCCTAGAAAACTCCTACTTGACCTTCAAAACCCACCTCAAATGACCTCTCATCTATGGAAACTTCCATATTGTCAACTCCCCAGGCAGAGTTGGCCACCCCCTCTTCTATGTGCCCTTTCATCACAGATGGGTCCATCTTCTGACTGTCAGAAATACCCCCAACTCTCTACCATAAGCCCGTTGAGGGAAGGCTGTGAGTCCTCTCCTTGACCCCCAGGGAATGCCAGCACAAAACTCAGCCCAGCGAAATACCAAGAAATAAGCACCAATGAATACATTGTTCCCAGCTTCCCCCACAATGGGGCTCACGAGGAATGGTCATTTGTAATCTTGACTCCCCATGCAAAGTATCAGCTCCGTCCCACAGCACCAGCATTCAGATTTGATATGCCAGCCTGCACCAAAGGGACCACTAAGACAGGCTCAAAGACAGAGCTCCTGGCCCCTATTTATTCACAAACACTTTGGAGGTGCAAATCCAGCTGAGAGTCCTCCCATCCAGCTCCTGTGTGGGCTTCCTGCCCATCGTCGTGTCTGGGGCATCTACCAGTCTGGCATCCAGTGCCCACCAAATGCGGACACGTGAGAGACCAGCCTGACCTGCTTGTCGGGGTCTCACACTGTTTCCTGTGGTCCCTGCTCCTCTTCTAACCACTCACAGACCATCTGCTGGCCAGCCCCACAATGTAACAGGAGGGGCAGGGCGAAGCGGGAGTGGGTTGGGGTCAGTGGTTTCCAGAATTCACCCTATTTGAAAATCAGAACATGTCCGAGGTTCAGTTTTTGGATCCCTTTTCCGGCCTCCTGAGCTGGGCCAGAGAGGGGAAGGTACAAGCCCAAGGCCACACAGCCAGGCCCTACACTGCCTGCCTGCCCCTCCATTCCCACCCATCCCACTCAGAGGAGAGGAGAGGCCAGCAATTCATTCCCACACAGGGGAAGGCTGGTTCTCCCTGGAGGGGGAAGAAGACAGATAAGAGCAGAGGTGTCATTTACTGAAACAAACACTTAGTCAGCACACACTGTGTGCAGGCCCCAGCCAGCCCTGAGGCCAAAACAGGGCAATCCAAGAGGAAGCTGAGCCAGGCAGGGTCCAAGAGGACAAGGAGGGGCCCCCAGAAGGGACGTGAGTACCCCCAAGAACTCCTGAGTGTTCCACCCAGTGAGCTCAGCGGCTTGTGGGCCAGGTGCCCCAAGGCCTGCAGTCCTGCAATCTATCAGCTTTCCCGTCGGGCTGCCAGTCATGGGCACAAACAGATGTGCTGCCTGGGACACACTTCCCCACTTGACCACCTGATAACCTCATAACTATTCTGTTCTGAATAAGGCAACGTTTACTAAACAACTCCTACATGCCAGTCACTGTGCACTCAGCATCACCTCATTTCATCCTCATCAGGGCTGGTTTCCCCCATTTTACTAATGAGAAAGGAAGCTCCAAGGTCTCATACTAGAGAGAGGCTGAGGTGGGATTCAAACCCAGGCCTGCCTGACTCCAGAGGCCGTGCTCTTTCCACTGTACTACACTGGCTCTGACAAAATGCCACTCAACTTGGACCTCCTCGGAGACACCTTCCCTAATTTGCATGGGACCCCGAGTCACTCCCCGCCTCCATCTAAGCCCCTGGTCCTTGCCCCTCTTATCCTGTTTTCGTGCTACTGTTTAATTGCTCCTTTGCACACCTGCTCCCCTTTCCCCTGACATGAGCCTGATTCTCCTCTGTGTAACCTCCAAAGTGAGCCTCGGGGATCCCAGCCCCAACCACACCACTCCCCAGCTGAGGAAGTCTTCAGCGGCTCCTCCACGGCTACAGCCAGAGTGTGAAACTCTGAGCCTGGCATGCTCCGGCCCCTGCTGACCTGTCCAATACTGTTTCCCACACCCCACTGGGCAGCCAAGCACACTGCAAAGCCATATGGACCTGTGGAAAGGGCACAGATTCTAGAGCCAGACACATGTGGGTTTGATTCCCAGCTCTGCCACCGTCTTGCTGTGTACCCTTGGGCAAGACACCTCATCTCTCTGAGCTTCAGATTCTCTGAAGGTAAGGAGGACACTTTCTACCATATAGGTTCATTGTGAGAATTCAGTGAAAACAGAGATGTGGACTGTCTGGAGCACAATCCGCTCTCAATGAAAAGGAGATGTCAGCTGAATGAGGTGGCTCACGCCTGCAATCAAGCCCTTTGGGAAGCCGAGGAGGGCGGATCGTTTGAGCCCAGGAATTCAAGACCAGCCTGGGAAACATGGTGAAACCCCGTCTCTACAAAGAAATACAAAAAAATTTTAGCTGGGTTTGGTGGCATGTGCCTGTAGTCCCAGCTACTTGGGAAGCTGAGGTGGGAGGATTGTTTGAGGCCACGAGTTCGAGGCTGCAGTAAGTCATGATTGTGCCACTGCACTCCAGTCTGGAAGACAGAGGAGTCCCTGTTTCAGAAAAAGAGAGAGAGAGAGAGAAAGAAAGAAAGGAAAGAAAGAAAGAAAGAGAAAAAGAACAAAAAAGAAAGAAAGAAAGGGAGATGTAACCCCTTTTCATTATCCCTAGAATGTACAAATGCTTTCCTCCCTCCACACATCTGCTAACACTATTCCCTGCCCTTGAAATACCCTTCCCTCTATTGCAATCTGCCAAAATCATCTACATGTCAGTTGCCACCTCCTCCAGGAAGCCTTCCTAGACTGACAATACAGTGGTTTCGATATGCTGGTCCTCTTTTCTATGGCCTAGTCCCCAGGCCATCTTCTTCTATACCTGTGAGGATCTTGGGCTCATCCCTCCTGTGGTCCCTGAGGAAGGGTCTCAGTCTCCCATGCTGCTCTTGTTCAGAGGGCCTAGCTTCTGGGAAGACAGGCATTCAGCAAACATGGGCCAGATATTGCTGGGAGTTCCTCCACCCCAACCACAGAGAGGCCCCTCTTGCTTCACCCCTGGTGCCAGCAGGCGGGGTGAGCACAGGCTCTTTGTCACTTGCACAGGACTGCAGATACCTGCTATGCTGTGCTTCACAGACCCCTCCCCCCAAACTCCACACAGTCCTGTGCCCTCAGCCTACTATGGTATGAATGTGTTAAAAATAACCACAATAATCATCACTTCCACAGGGAGAGAGCGCTGTGATTTACAAAGCAATCGTCCCTTCCCTGGGCTCCCTGCTTCCTTCCTGAGGCTGGTCCCAGAGCCCTGAGCAGGAGCCGACTGATCCCCTTGACACATGCTCTGTCATGTCCCCCCATGGCACCCCATCCCCAGCAGTGCTTCTTGCACCCCACAGTGTATCAGAATCACAGGGCGCAGTGGGGGAAAGAGGTGGCTTTTGAAAGGCACAGGCTCTACCCCTGCAGTCCAATGAAACTGGGTACCCCTATGAGATCATGTACCTAGCCAGAATGCCAGACCGCCCCCCCCAATAATTCTTCCTCCCCAGGCTGCTGACCTATCTACTCAGCCTCCCACCACAGAGAGCTGGGTCCCTGCCACCTCCCCCATGTGGCCAGAAGCTCCTCGAGAGCAGGGATCGTGTCTGACTCAGCCTGCTTCCCCCAAGACGCCCAGTTTCTTGCTGCCATAAAGCCCTTGGCCAAGAGGATGAGGCCCCAGTGTCCTGGGATGGCAGTCAAAGCCCTGGCCCCGTCTCCCTCCACCAGGGCTACCATCCAGCAGCTCCAGTCTCTTTATAGCTCCTACCCCCGGCGTGGTTCACACCTCCACGCCCTTGCACAGGCTGTTTCCTCTACCTCGAAAGCCCTTCCTCCTGAGAGCTTCCCCAAAGCATGGGGCGGAAGATGACTTGGGGCGGCTCACAAATGTGCCATTAAATGACACTGGATCCTGGACTGAGGATGTCAGGCTCTCCCAGGTCTCTTCATCAGTTTGTATGGGATAGTCTGGTTTGTGCCTGTTGTCCTGATGTAATTGATGGTACCCACCTCTTCCCTTTCATAACCTCAGATGTGTCACAGTTTAGATGATAAATTACATGGTCACTTTAATCCTTCCAACTGCATGAGAGATAAAGCCTGTGCAGTTCCAGACTTTAACACATCCCCAATGTGTGCTAATTCCTCTCTCTAACAAATGGAGAGGTAGGAAAAGCATCTAGCTAGAAGTTAATAACGGCGCTTTGTTTTCACTGTGGTTGTTTCTTTGGTTATCTTCTATTTCAGATAAATGATACTCTTTCCATTTAGGATATGAAACTTATTTTTAATATATTAAATTTTAAAAATGATACAATTGAAAGAGAAATTTCACAGGCTAGTGAATTCCTATTCACTCCTTAAAACTCAACTCCAAATCACCTTCTTTAGAGCACCTTCCTCCCCTTTGTGGTTTAATCCCTTACTCTTCCTCTTCCTTTGACATCTGGCAGGGTCACAGTCGTACCTATTACACTAAATTATGATGACCCAGCTACTACTTTGTTAGGCATCTACCATGTGCCAGGCACTGGGCACTTACTCTCATCCTCTCACTGAACCCTCCCCACAGCTCTGTGGAATAGCTCTCACTACCCCCGCTTTACAGGTGATGAAGTGGGAGTGAAGGAACTTATCAACAGTCACTCAGCTAGTCAGTGGTAAGGTCCAAAACTGAACCCGGACTGGGCGACTTCAGTCTGTGGCCTTGACCACCACTGTCCTAGTTAGTGCTCTCCCTCCCCCACCGGTGGGCAGACAGTGTGCCTAGCTCACCTCCTACTCATTCAGAGCCAGCCCTAGGCCTGGCACAAACTCTACTCTGATAAAGACATGAAGATGTGTGTGAGGGATTGGCTGGAACTCAGTCCCTGCTGAGATGTCTGGGGATGTCTGGGCCCCGCTCCCCACCCTATGGTAGAGCACACAGAGCCCCACCAGCACAGATCTGGGCTGGAAGGACCTTCCAGGAAATACCACCACCGTGTGTGCTGGGTCTCCCCGCCCCCACCCTGCCTCCTCACTGCCTGGGCCCCCAACAGGCAGGGAAGGCCCCCACTTCCTGCTGCCAGACCAGGATGGCCGAGAGAGCAGCAGGGTCTGAGCGCTGGGAGGGAAACGCCAATCTTAGGACAGGGCTGGGCAAATCAGAGGCAGCTTCCTAGAGGGGACAGGGCTTGAGCAGTGCTTAGAAGGATGCAGGAGTTCTGGATAACCAAGGGCAAACACCATTCGAGGAGCCTCAGTTGAAAGGGTGGGGGAGAATTCGAAAGAAGGCTCAAAAGCAGGTGGTAGCTAGGTCCCGGGTGGGGCTTGGACACCAGGCTGAGGAGTTTCAGTAGCACTGGGGATTTGCTGGGGGCTCGATCAGGGGGTGACACACAGATAACTGGGGGTTCTGAGGCCCCAAGATGGGCAGCACCTTGTCCAAGTCACAGAGCAGCAGTGGCAGGTGGGGTTTTGAGCCCACTCTTGCCTCCCAGGAGACCCCAGGTTCACCTGGTGGCCACACCTCAAGGATGGAGCCTGATGATGGGGAGGGTGAGCCTGCAGCAAGCAGCCAGGGGCAGGCCAGTGCCCACAGGGGAGGTAGGGATTGTGGCCAAGGAGAGAGGCGTGCATGAGGCGGGGTTCTTTCTCCCAAGTATCACTGGGCACAGCCATTCCCACTGCCCAGTGCCTCCTCAGGATTAGAGGGTCAGTGGGCAGGAACTGCAGGCTGGCACTGGCCATCAGGAGCTGAGCCCTGCAGCTGGCACTAACTCTGCGGCCCGCCTTCCAGCCCTGACCTCAGCCAGCCTCCGTGCCAGTCCTCCACCAAGCTCCTTCCTGCCTGCCTTTCTTTTCTTCCTTTTCCCCCACTTAACAGATTGCGGCAGCAAGATGGCACAAATTTATGGCTCAACTCACCAAAAATAACAAGAGATCTATCAAAGGCAGTTTGCGTGAAATTAACAGGCGCCTGTACCCTCTTGTCAAACTCACTCGGCTCTGAGGCGTCCCAGGCACTCCGCCAGTCACTGCCCACCAGCCCCCAGCCCAGTGCTCTTCCGGTACCAGCCCAAGCCCACCCTGCTAGGCCTCACTGTGGATCTTCCTCGGGGGTGTCCCAGAGAAGATGAACACAGCTTCCCTGCCCTGGTGCCTGGGAGAGGGGCCAGGACAAGGGTCTCACCCTTCCTGCTCACTACCATCCCCACGAATCTTGCTCTCAGTCTGGCAGCTGCAGGTGCCAGTCCATTCTCCTGCAGCCCAGTGGGGAGGAGACAAGGGGAGGAATGGAGGGGGCCAAAGGCTCGGCAAAGGTGGTGCTGCCACAAGGCACAGACGGTGCCACGGACCCTCAGACATGCCCTGACATGTGGAACAAACAGTCATGTGCCCGCTATGTCTCACACCAGAAAGGTTGGGCAGGAGGGAGGGGATGGCAGAATAGAAGAGCTTCCTGCCTGCCAAGGGAGGGGAAGGGGCTGTGCCAGCCCAGCTCTGGGCACCAGTGTGCCATGTGAGCCCACTTATGACAGCTGATGCCACATCATCCCATGCCAACTCCCTACAGGGGCCCTCCCTAAAAAGCAACCCCAAGGAAACATGCCAAGTAGGACAAGGGGCAAGAGCAGAGGTCAGGCTTGGGAACAGCTGGGAGCCCCAGCTCAGGGCTCCCTGCTCAGAGAGACACCTGGCCTCATGCCCAGGAATAATCAGGCATCCAGTCTCCACCCATCTCTAGCCCCAGAGGCCTCTGCAGAGGCTCTGATGATGGTGCCTTTCCCATCACCGGCCCTCTCTGATCCCCAAAGACACCCCAGCTACCAACCAACTCCTGCTTCCGGCTTCAACCAAGCCCAGCTGGCTGCTCCTGGCTCTGTGCTCCACATGGCAGCCCGCCCAGATGGTGCCCGCCCATGAGGGCAGAGCCTTGCTCCGTCCACTGCAGATCACTGGACCGATGGACCGCAGGGAAAGCCAGACAAAAGAACCCGCCTGCAGCTGAGCACGATGGGGGAGACCCCCACAGAGTGACAGGCAGTGGTGGCCATGCAGGAAGAGCCATAAGCCTCCTGATATACGCCTGGCGTTCTCCGCCGATGTTCAACAAAGAAGCAAAATTCAATTTCTTCCTACAGGCACTAAATCCCAGGCCAGCCTCCAGGGCCTGTAACCTACCCGCGGCCCGGCTGTCACTCGGACGGCTTCATTGACCGCCGTTAGAGGCCAAGCTAGCCTGGGAGAGAGGCCACAGCAAAGCCACCGGGCACTTGCCGTGGATGGGCACGATGTCAGATGTCTCATTGGAGAAGCCAAGAAGGCCCCCATCGAAAGTACTGGGTTAGGCTACTTTCAAGATAACTACCCCCTCTAATTAATTCAGGGATACCTCCCCATTCTACAAAGAAACCACTGCCCACCAAAAATAAAGGGATCAACTCAAGGTAACAGTCAAAGGTAGAGGCCAACTCCAGGGCTCTAGCCAGCAGAGCAGGGCTGGGGACAGGCCGCTCTCCTCCAGCACTCCTAGCAGCCCTCACATGATACCCTGTCTCCTTGTAAACACTCTCCCAGTGAAATCCAGATGCCCTTTCCATCCTCTATCCCTGCATCCTTGATCCTCATGAGGATAAGCCAGCACCTGTATCCCAAATGGGGAAACTGAGGCCCAGAGAGAGGAGAGGCCTCCCTGTCGGTACCAGAGCTGCAGACCAGACCCCAGACCTGCCTCCTTCCCATCCCCATGTCATCAGTCCCTGTTCCCTCCAGGTCTCCTGGTCAGTCCCCGGCCCAGCACTGTTCAGCGGGCACACAGGATCCAGCTGAGGCCCTCAGGGCCTTGAAGCTGCAGGAAGCAGGGTCTGTAGAAGGCAGCCGTGGCTGAGGGAGCTGGGGTGGGAGCGGGAGCAGGCAGGACTCAAGGGCTCGCAGAGCTTTTGCCCAGTCAGCAGGAAGCTCTAGCAGCTGGCGGCCTCGGTCCCAGAAGACATGGGTCCTGAGGGGGAAGACGGGACACTGGGAGCTGAGCCAGCCCAGCCCTCCAAGGCAGCCTGGAAGCTCAGGCCTCTTCACCCAGGGACACTCTTCCTTGCCTCTCTCTGCCCTGACCCCGGGGCAACTGCCAAAACTCACTGACCTGTGTGGACAGGAATGCATCCCTGCTCCCTGCCTACTCCAGCCTCCAGGCAAACTTGTCAACTTGCAGCGCCAGGGCCTGCCACGATCATTCCCAGCCTTGGGCCTTTGTGCACCCTTCTTGCTCTGCCTAGAATGCCCTCATCTCACTTCTGCTTGTCCTTCAGGTCTCTGTTCCTGTATTACTTCCTTCAGGGAGCCTCCCCTGGCTGCCCAGTTAGGAGGTCCCTCCCTGGGTTTATATATCACCCTGCATTATCTGATCTGTGCCCCCATTCATCTAGCCAGTCTGCAAACTCTTCAAGAGTGAGGTCTCACTGCCATGCATTTTGGTGACCGCAACATTTGGACAAGGCTCAGCAGAGGGGTGACATCAGTGAACAGCTACATGCATGGCCGAGGATCTGCCAGGATGGACACCAGGGACACTGTCAGCCCCTGCAGACCCCGCCCCACCCAGGCCCTGCTGAGACTCACCATATCTCATCTCGGTTGTGAACAGATCATTGCTGCTCCCCGAGTGCAAATCGGCCTCAGCAGGTGGGGCTGGGCCCCCGGGCACCAGGGCATTGGACAGGGTGTGGGCAGCAGGAGGGCCTGGAGATGTGGTGGTGGTGGAGCCGGCCCCCGCCTCTCCAGGGCAGCTGCAGCCTGGCTGAGCAAAGCCGCAGGCCCTGCCGGCAGCGCGGCCACACTCCTCACTCCAGCGGCAGAGCACACCACAGGTGAATTGGCTAGAGTTGTTGTTGTTGATGAGCAAGACCTCGACAAAGCGGAAGGCTAGGGCAGCGGGCGCCAGCAGGCGCGGGGCCTCGGAGGGCTCAGCCGACAGGCACAGCTGCACGAAGTTCTTGTCGAAGTGCAGGAAGGTAAAGGGGCCTGAGCCGCTGCACAGCTCCAACCCCGCTGCCGCCTCTGCCTCCTCCTCTTCTGGCCGCCCCACCTCTGACTCCGCCTGGGCCACCGCCTCCTCGGGGCTAGGCCGCAGGCAGGTAAAGTTGACCAGGTAGTGGTCCAGGGGCAGCAGGCGGGGGGCAAAGTGTGCGCACACCTGCTCCTGGCGGTTGAAGCGCAGGTAGAGGGAGTACTTGGTGGGGTCAGGGTTCTCCAGGGTCCAGGAGCAGCCCGAGGCGATGGTAGGAAAGAGGTCCTGCAGCGAGAAGGCCCCGTAGAGCACACCCGAGGCCAGGGCAGAGCAGGCACTGGGGGCGGGGTCGAAGGCGGTGGCCAGGCGCAGGGACAGAATCACAGACAGTAAGAGGGGACAGGCTGGGGTCATCCTATGTCCCTTGCCCTGTGGAGAGAGACAGTGGTCAGCGGGCCCCCAGCACAGCCAGCATGGGCTCTGAACCTTCTATGGTGAGCTGCGGGAGTGGGCCTCATAAGTTAAGACCCTGGTCTTTGAAGTGTCACCTGGGTCCACCTGTGTGAACTTAGACAAGGGACTTGACCTCTCTGAGCCTCAGTTTCCTTACCTGTAAAATGGACCAATGATAGGACCTATCGCACAAGTTTCCTACAAGGGTGAAATAAGTAAGGGAAAGGACTCGCGAGAGTGCCTGGAATCTTGTGAGCCCTGAAGAAACAGTAGTTGTTGTTGCCATCGTTCTGTTTCCTCAGAGTCAGCCCATCAACTACAAGCATATTCGCCTTGCATTCAGATCCAGCCCCAGCCTCACCATCCAACCTGTATTCTCCATAACTCTTGCTCTCCATCCCCGTGTGTCGTGATCAGCTGTGAGGCATGTCACCGCGTAATCCTGTGGTAATTGTCAAAGTGGTGATGTTTGACTATGATTTGCTTTTTTATAAATTAGAGCAATTTGAGGTTATTCCTGGAACAATGTCATTCTCACTCACTTGCTTTACTGAGAGGGAGAGAAAGGGGCGGAGTTACAGCCAGTGTGCCAGGAACTGCGCACAACCTGAGCCATGCCCACAGGAGGGCACTGTCAGTGTGGACGTCACATGTATCACTGCTGTGGATTTCCTGGTTGGAATAAGGGGGAGAGGCACCGAGTAAGGGGACATTGGGCTTGAGCCCCAACCCAGCCAGCCACCTGCTGGTGGGTGACCCTCATGAGTCTCAGTTTTCTCATCTGTAAAATGGGTGCAGAAATTCCCCCTCTTACTTCCCTCTTCCCCTCCAGCTCCATGGGATTATCTTCCAAGGCCTGGTTCAGGGCCTGCTACCCCACCCCCCACTACCCACCTGTGAAGCCACCAGCCAGTCGTGACCTCTCTCCTATACTGTTTCCCCAAGGCTAGTTCATTCAGCTTATGGGTCTTCCAGTTCCTAAGAGTGGGGACCCAAGCTTGTTGCTTTCTACCTTCCCTTAAAGTGCTGCCCTAAGCTGAGCTCCCAACAGGTGTGAATGTACTCCAGGTGTGGGTGGGCACCTAGGACCCAAGCCCGACCCATACAGACACACAGAGCAGTCAGGCCAGAGTGGGTAAGGGCTGAGGATGGGGGGAGCTGCAGGTGCCCTCCCACCCACCAGGCCAGGGCTGTGTCACTGCCCACAGCCTGCGCAACCTCTACCCAACTGCCCAGAAAATGGAACCTAGCGCGTGGTCTGAATCAGCCCCACTTCCAATCCTACCCCCCAAGTAATCCAAGCGGCCTCCCTCCTGCATGCCACAGGATAGCTCACAGCACTGCATGGGCCCCCTAGAGCCCAGCTGGTCCTCATCAGAGGAGAAAAGATGGGGCTAGGAAAAGGGAGACAACCCGCTCCAGATCACACAAAGGTGGCCACAGAGGACGCAAGCCCAGGATCTGAGGCCCAGCCCAGGCCTGTCTCCCTCCACCAGTAGCCTCTGCTCCTTCCCTAGGCTTGCTGCTCAGGCTTCAGGCCAGATGGACCAGCTATTAGCTCTGGGGACTGAATCAGAAACACAGGACAATTCACAGGTATGACTAGATTCTCCCAAGACACAGTTGCTCCCAGGGAACAGACTTCCCCTTGGGTCTTCAGGAGTCTAAACAGCAGGCAGAGGGGGGACAGAATTTAGAACCCCAACTTTCCAGTCCCTGTGCAGCATCCATGGAGCTCCCCACTGCTCCAGATCCCACATCCCTTCATGCTGCACCTCCAAGCCAGGCCCAAGCAAGCATCTTCCCCTCCCAGCCATACAGGGGCTGGGGGAGATGGTGGAGTAGCTCCAGGCAGACCTACTCACTGCAGAGGAGCCACCCCACCCTCCTCCCAAGACCCACATGGAGTTATTCGGCGGAAGCCAGACAGGCTGTGCCTCTCCCCCCAACCACCCACCCTCCTCCTCAGAGCTGAAAAAGGGATCAGACCCCTGGTCTTTCCCACCCTACATCATGCCTGTCCCACACTGCTCAGCTCGCCCCACCTGCTGCGGCACTAGCCAAGCCAGCGGCTGATGATGAGTGACATCCAATCCCCCTGCTGCCCCCAATTATTTTTAAGCCGCAAAATTCAGGCCATGGCTGCGGCTCAGTGGAGGGGAGGTAGGGGCTCATTATAACCGGCCTCCCCTCCCCCACTTACAGCAGCTCAGGGAACCTCCCCTCACATACACACCAACACACATGGGTTTGAACACCCTTGTGCCCTGAGGACACACACACCAAAGCATGAGGGCACAGATGTTCACAGGAGTTCTGCATATGAATGGATACATATGTACACGGACATGCACACAGGTGAAACCCACAGATTCATGCTGTCACACACACTCAGGAGTTAACACGCACACACAGGGGTGTAGAGGCTTACACTTGTACACATGCACAGAGGTGCACACGCATTCTCGACTGAGAACACACATGAGTATCTGGCCCTCTGAGGCTCAGCATATGACAGCTAAGTGTCAGGCAGGATCCTCTGCGGGGTCTTCCTTTGCATGTCTGAAGCTGGATCTCCCTCCCCTACCCTGCTCCTAGGCTGCTGCTCCCTACTCCACAGCCCCGCCCCATCAAGAAGCACAAGGTCCACATCCTTCAGAGCCACAGGCTGGCTTCTCCAGAATGGAGTCACTTTTAACCCAATCCAACCCCCCTCCTCCCCTCAGTCTCCTTCAGACACCTTCACGCTCATTCTGGGATTTCGTCCTGGACATGCGTAACCCTCACTGTGCCGGCTATGACATAAGACCTTTTGGGGCGCCTTTTTATATTACTTCCCACCATTCAAAATAAGGCAAAGACCCAATTCCAAGCTGGGTCACAGACAGCCACTGGTTCATTGAAGACCCTCCTGCCTGTGTATAGCCAGGCCTGTCCTCCTGGGGGCACTGATGACCCAGAGGCCTCTCCCTGAGCCACCCGGGAAGGGGACCTAGAAGGATGATCCTTGCCTCACAGGCAGCCCAAGTGGCTCTTAGTCATGATTAACCCCCCTGAGCCTGTTTCCCTCTCTGTGCAATGCAGACCATGAGCCTTGCCCTGGGGATGGCAGACACCTCATCAGCCTCCCAACAAGTTCCCAGCACAGAGCCTAGCTCACAGCCCTGTCTCCTCTCTGTCTTTTCAGGACCTCATAAACGCTGCCCTCTTGCCTGCTGAGGTACAGGGCACTGCCTCTGGGAAGGCTCTTTGGGTTGAACCATAAGTGGCTGGCTACCTCCAAACCCAGGAAGACCACAGACCCATCCCTGCACAAGAGTTAGATAGGAGAGGTACTAAAGTCAGCTCTGAGGAAGAACTTCCTGGGCCAGAGGTGGCTGATAGAGAGGAGGATCAAAAGGCCTCCTGCCTCAGAGATGGGTGCGGAGCTGGCTGAAGTAGTCTCCCTCTCACTTTTAACCCTACCAAGGCCCCTCCTCTAGGGGGCTGGGGGCTGCCTTCACCACATGCCCCTGACCCCAGCAAACCCAAGAATCTCACTCTGCCCAAACACACTCAAGTCCCCTTTCTTTCCACCCCTCAGGGCTCCCCAGCTTCCCTTCTGCACCAATAAAGGAATTCAAAGCTTTCAGCAGCTGAAAGGGCCAAGGCAAGACTGTGGGGTAAGGGGCAGAGCAGCGGGAGAGGGGTGTCTCAGGCCCAGGGCCGGTCCGGGATTCCCAGGATGACTCCCATTCACGCTGGGTGGCGGGGGAGGGGCGGGCCGGGGGAAGGGGCGCGGCGACGCGCACATCCGTCGCGTTTATCCACCTGGCAGCTCCAATTCGCCCGCCCGTCACTCACCCTCCGCCTCCCCGGCGCTCGCCGCCCGACCTGCCCAGGCCGCCACGCAGGCGGTGACCCCCACTCGGTGGCTTTGGGTCCTCTGCCAGCGCTCGGACCCAAGGACAGGGTCCTCAGGAGCCGCTCTCCTAGAGCTCTGTCGCCCTGGGGGACGCACACCCTCCATCCTGCCTCCGGAGCTGGGGACTGGGCCGAGGGGAGGGAGCGACCCCCTCTGTGCAGTCCTCCCGCTCCGACTGCCAGAGAGGGTCGCTCTCTTAGGGGAGGGGGTTCCTCCTTAAGGAGGAAAACGCGGGCAGAACTGGAAGGGGGACAAGGGGCAGCCCTCGGCCCCTGGGGGCGGTGCCGCGCGGGCGGCGGGGGAGGGGGCGGTGACTCAGCCGCCCTCCGCCCGCCTCCCCGGAACTTTGCAGCAGCTGGAGCCGCCGTTGCTACAGGAACCGAATGCTTTTGTTCCCCAATGTCAGGGCTGCCGGGGCAGGCGGGTGATGAGGAGGCTGCCACTCCCCGGTGGGACCCAGGTCCGGCCACACTACCCAGAGGACTTCCAGCCATCACAGGTTCGAGTCCCCTTCCTCCGTGCCACCTTCCCTGCCCCCAAGCTACTCAGGCCAAAGCCAGGTTTCTTCAAACTCCTCAGGCCCTCAGGCCCGGTGGCCCTGCTAACTCTGACCCAAGGCAAAGGGCCCTGGGAAATTCCTGATGGTGTCTGACCTCCTGGGGTCAGTAGAGGCTCTTCTGTGGCTGAGTGATTTCCCACCTGGGCTCCCCCTAACAGGCTGCCTGCCTTCGGGGACTCTGACTGGGGTTTCTTCTCTGTACTTCTCCCACCTCTGCAGCCTCTACACTTGAACCAAGACCCCAGAGACCATGGCCTGGCTTTCACTAACATCCCTCTGGCCAGAGCTGATCCCAGAGAAATATAGTGGGAAGTTGCAGGACCAAGGAGGAGATGAGGGAAACTGACAGTCACTGGCTCCCCCTGCACCCATACTTTGGGGGAAAAGTGGAGACTGGGGGCTAAAGGTGTTTCTGTCTTTATTATACTGGGGGTTGGAGTGAAGGCACTGGAACCTGTTTTTCATTTTTCTCCTTTGGGATTAGGAGTGGAGTGGAGAGGGGCCTGACCTTGGCCTTGAACAGAAACAGCCCCACACCCCTATCAATATTGAGCATTGCTAGGTGCCAGACACTCTATACAAACAACCTAACTTCATTCTCCCAACAGCTATATGAGGCAGTGATCACTGACCCATTTTATAGAGGGTCAACTGAGGCTCAGAAAGATTAAGTAGCTTGCCCATGTCACACAGCTTTTGAACGTAGGTCGTCTGACCGAAAGCTGAATTCCTAACTACTTACTCAGCTTCATTACTTGGGGGTGGGAAGGGAGGGAGGGATGGGGGCAGATACCAGATGGAACCTCACTTTGTGTTACAGAAATGCAGACCACGCACGCACACCCCAGACTAGACATGTCCTTTTGAAGAGTGATACAGAAAGGGGGCAGAAGAGAGAGCGGAAGGAGGAGAGAGGGAAGAAGAGGGGAAGATCTCTTCTCTCAATCTTGGTCCAGAGAAGACCCTCCCTAACCTCCCCACTACCATCACCAGGACATATCCTGCGCAGAGTCCACACTGCCCCTCACCCCAGTAGCAGTGCAGAGGATACTCCCCAGGTGCTTGCTCTGTCCCAGGGTCAGGTGGATTCCCCCACAACCGACTCCATGCGCAAGCCAGGCAGAGCCCACCTTTGCCCCCAGCCCTCACCTCATGGGAAATGCCATGGGGTAGAGGCTCTCTGGCAACACCTGACCAAGCACAAACAAGCCCAACCAGGCGTCCTGGAGCCCGCGGCCAATCCTGCTGGTCTGTACGTGAAGGCTCAAAGGACTCTTGACTTGCTGCTGGGGTGAGCCCTCCACCCCACCCCAACCCATCCCACCCCCAGAACATATGGCCTGACAACCAGGAGTGTTTGGGCATGGCTAGCACGAGGAGGCACCTGGCCTGGCCCACCAATCTCCTCTCCCCAGGGATTTCCCAGCGTCAGTCCTGCAGCCACCGCTGATGCTCTGGCTGCGGAAACCCGGGGTTGCCCGCGGGAGAAGGGGTGGCGGGTCCCAGGCTTCGGGCAGGGGGCGCCAGAGGACGCCCAGGAGCCCGGCCGGCAGCTGGCGAGGCGGGCAGGCAGGCGGCATCTCTCGGCCCGGGCGCCCCTCCCCCCGGCGGGCAACAGACCCGTCGCCTGCTCTGCACGGGCCGCGGCGCGGAGGACTTCCCCCGGCTGTGCCCTCGGACCAAGCTGACTGCGGGAGTGGCCGCCAACTTCACAGCCTACAACCCCCTCCGGATCATGCCGGCCCTGGGGCTGCGGGAGGGTGCGTCTGGTGCCCAGCTCTATGACCAGGGGTGGGAGGATAGGGATGGGGGATGGACAGATAGACTCCGGCCAAAGATGGACACGGGAGTCAGGGATGCGGGTCCAGTCGGGATCTCAGCTGGAGGGGAGGGGGCGCGGAGCAGACACGGGGGACACGGCCCCAATTCCAAGCTGAGGGGAGGGGACTTGCAGCAAGATTGGCGAGGGAAGGCGGGACTCCGGTCAGATAGATATGGGGGAGGGGGCGCTAGGGGCAGAAATAGAGAAGAAGCATGGTCGGGGTACAGGCGCGGGGGAGGGTAGAAACTATGGGCAGACATGGATGGGGACAGGAAAGACTCCGGGCAGTGATGAAGTGGAGGAGAGGAGCAGGGTCCGGCATTCAGACCGTGACGGGAAATAGAGGGGGAGACACAGTTGAGCTGCAGGTTAATGGGGGGGCTCTAATAAAGGTGGGGGGCACACTGCCCGGATCCAGGCCGAGATAGGGAAAGACTCGAGACAGCAAGCACGGTCTGTGTCAGAATTCTGGAGGGGGAGACTTTAGCATAGATGGGTAAGAGGGTCGGTCCAGGCTGGGGGAGGGGGGGGGCCGAGATTAGAGATTCACCAGCGATTAAGGGGGCCTCGGCCCTAGGTTTGGGAGTTCCCCAGAAGATGGGGGTGGGCGAACGCTGAACGAACTCAGTTCGGGCTGGGGGAGAATTCAGCAGAGACGGGTTAGGAGAGCGCCCCGAGTCCGGGCCGGTGCGGAAACTCGGGACCGCGCCGGCAGGGCTCGGTGCGAGGCCAGGTCGGGGTCTGGGGCCGAGCACTCACCTGGGCGCCGTCAGCAGCAGGAGCGGGGGCCGGCGCTGGCGGGGGCGGCCACGGGGCGCAAGTTTGCCATCCCTAAGTCGGGGACCGGGCCGGGCGCAGGGTAGGTAGCTGCAGCCGCGCGGAGGGCCGAGGCTCCCGCTCTCCCGGGCGGCGGGTGCAGAAAAGGCGCCGCGGAGCAGCGCGGGGCGGGCGGGCGGGCGGCGCCGGGCCGGGCGCGGGCTCCTGCCGCCGCCGCCGCCGCCGCCTCCTTGCCGCGCCGCCCCCCGCTCCCCCGCTCCCCCGCCCCGAGCACCGCCCGCGCCGCGCGCCGCCTCCTATTTGCGGGCGGCGGCCGCAGCCCCGGGCTCTGAGAGCCGGTGCCGCATCCTCTTCGGTCTCTGAGCGCCGCCGCCGCTGCCGCCGAACCCGGTTCCTCCGGCCGCTCCGGCCGCTGCCCGCAGCGCGCGCCGGGCCGAGTGACGGCCGAGGCGGGACGCGGCGCCTGCGCGGGCCGGGCCCGGGAGGGGGCGCGCGCCGGGCCGGGCGCGAGGAGCCGCGGGAGAAGGGGCGGGGGCGACGCGCGCCGCCTCCTGTTAAAGGGGGAACAGCGCCAGCCGAGCCGATCGTGCCCCCCACCTCCCCGCCTTGGGCCCCAGGCGCCGGCGCGGGAGAAGCCCTGGGTAAGCCCCCGCCCAGCCCGCTGCTTCTTGGACCGCAGAATGAGGCGATCCGCGACGCCCCTCCAGCTATACCCATGCCGGAGGCTTGTCGCGCCGCCAGGGTGTCCCGGGCCCTGCAGGCTGAAGCATTTGCTCACCTTCCCATGTGCATTGCATATTGCATGTCCCTGTGCATGCAGGTGCCAGTCATGTGCGCTGAACTTTGCATATGCATACAGGTGCCCTAAGTGTGCACTGCCATGTTGCCTGGGTAGGTGCATGCAAGTGCCACACACATGCACGGTGTATTAACATGTGCCCAAGTCCTGAATGCATGTTGCTTGTTCCTGTGCGCAGGGATGTTATATGTATGCAAGCTTACAGGTGCCACATGTGTGCTGAGGACTGTGGGTAACTCATGTAGCAGCCACATATGTATACTGCAATGTGACATGTTTGATGCATACTGTAAACTGCAATGTTGCACGTCCTTAGGCACGGGGATGCTACACGTGTGCAGTGTGTTACATGTTTTCCTGAGTCCCTGTCTATTCCCACAAGTGCCTTTCCCTGTGCCAGGGGCGCCCCCATGTTGCATCTGTTTGTGTAGAAGCAGCAGAGATGTACAGACCCACCCCTTCCCCATCTTGGCACTAAGCCCAGAAACAGTTGGGTGGGGCCTGAGCCCTCATGGTTCAGGCGGTACACAGGGAGATGCCCATGGTTCAGGGCTCTGGTCAGGCAGTTTGTGGCCTGGGCATGTTGCCATCAGTAAGGTAGGCCGACCAGGGACGCACCATTGCAGCCAACACAAGTAGGTTAATCCCATGGCTTTGGTCAGAGGAGAAACCAGCAGGGGGCAGCTTTGCAATAAGGGTGGGATGGTTTCAGCTTTGCGATGAGGGTGGGATGGTTTCAGGACCATACTTTTTGAAGGTTCACTAGCCAGGAAGGGCCAAATTTTCAGTGCAAAGAAGTCCTCATTTCAGCAAATACCAACCCCACCTCTCCACTGATGCCCCTTAAGTTGTGGCACCCTCAAGATGGGGCAAGAAGAGAAAAGCCTACCTCTTCCCAGGGGCAGTACCAGGAAGAGGCATAGAACCGCCCTCTTTTCCCTCCTTCTGTCCCTCCCACCTCCAGCAGCCTCGGTGACATTTGTTGTGAGTGATTGTGAGAGATTATCAACTTTAATGGAAGGAGGTAATAAGGGACGATGAAGGAATCTCACCTGTCACCTTAAGAGAATTTATGAGGCCTTATGAGGCAGGGAGGAGGGCTGGGCCGGCACCTTCCCTTTCGCTGCGGATGCCCAAGGAGGCCTGTGCCTTGGGCCTAGCACTGGCAAGCAAGGCTCCTAGGGTTTGCTAGGCACCCTCAAACACAGTCAGACATCTCTGGATTTCAAGGCTCAGCTACTATGTGAAAGCCAGGCCAGGCAGGCCTTGCCAGCTGCAAAGTATGTTGAAAGCCACCCCAGGGCAGTGGGAAATCCGGGCCCCCTCCTTACATGGGCACTGGGAGGGGGAATGGGGTTGCTAGACTGGGGCTTCAAGGAGGTAGGCAAAAGTGGGGAAAATGGTGGAGACATGGGTTGCCCACAAGGATGCAAGCCCCTTAGAAATCTCCAGGACCCTGTCCAAAGCTCCAGCCCCCTCCTCTCCTACAGGGAGCTTGCTTCCCTCTTTTTGAATATTCATGATCATTAGCATATTAGATCAGAGAAACCTAGGCAGGTCTCTTGCAGATGTGATGCAGCTGGATGCCTGAGGCCCCCCCTCCTCCTTCCCCAGGAGGCAGCTGGGTGAGAGGTGATGGGAGGGACTGGCCCCAGATCGACAGCAGCGTTTTTGTCTGTCTCTCTGTTCCTCGCTAGCCCTCTGACTTCTTGATCCCTTCTATCAGCCACAAAAATGTACGCCCAAGGAAGCATAGGTAGACAGAGTGAGGGACTGACAGAGATGGTGTCCCTTAGCCGGGGGCTCAGTAGGGGCAAGGTGGGGAGGTCAGCAAGGCAAAGGGGGTTGTGGGAGCTGTGTGGGGAGAGCAGGACCTCCCCAGGGTTGTACAGGAGTGAGCAGGCGAGACTAGGGCTGACCTCTGGAAGGCTCTCCCTGGAGGCACCTCTCTGCATCAGGGTTTCCCCACCTCCTTTCCCAGGAGCCCCTGCCCTTCCAGACTCACTCTGGTAATAATGCCGCCCAGGAGGACTTGGAGTAATTACAAATCGTTTCCATATTCAAATCCAGCTGGTTGAAGATAAATTACTTCTCTGATGCTCAGGCGGGGGTGAAAAGAGCAAGCCTTAGCCCCAGGAGGGGCCTCCAGGGAGCCTGGGGCAGAGACTGGGCATGGGAAGGGGCACCGGCCAGAGCTTGAGCACAGAGGGCTTGAGCAGAATAAAGGGACATCCCTCTGAACCCCCTAAGCTGGACCAAGGACAATCACTTCAGCCCTTTAGCCCCATTGGGGCCCCCTCTGGAACCTCTGATGGGATTATGGGGATCCACTCCACAAGGGCAACTGCCTTGCTGTCACCCTGCCATGCTAGATGACCTTGAGAAAGTCCCTTCAGCTTTCTGGGCCTCTGTTTCCTTATCTGGGAAATGGTATAAATGATCTCAGTCTGTGATCCAGTGAGATAAAAGATGGATTAGCAAGGGTTACGTCCCTGAAGGGGCCTTTGTAAGTAATTATTTTATTACCAATTAATTAATATTTTTGTCAACAATAACAACCATCAATGGCCCAGTTGGAAGGCAGACAGCCCTCAAGGCCTAAGCCGGTGGGGCTGCTCAGGAGAGGATGGTGTGTCGAGGAAGGGAGCTGCCCTGGCCTCACCCGCTTGGCCTCAGCCTTGCCTCCTGCTGGGCTGGCCGCTGCTATGCTTCGTTGCCCTTTAAACAGATGAGAAAATGTTCTTCTTCCCTTCCCAATGATTTATTTGGCCCAGAGCCTAGGCAGGTTTCCTTCCAGCCAGTGGGACCTAGGAGCACCCCTCACTCAGCCCTGTTCACCACTGCCGTTCAACTAGGCACCATCCAGGGCCACCCAAAGCTGTGGGTGCCAAGGTCTCCTTCCAGTCCCGCTCCTACCCCATACACCTATCAGGCGCTCATAACCTGTCCCTAAAGACACCCAAATCCATGTGACAATCTTCTGCCCCAGAGTTCCTATGACCAACACCTGAGAGCTCTGAATGGCATGCATCCTGGAGGCCATCCTGGAAAAGGTAGACTGGCCTTCTCTGCCTGTGGGAAATCCTTCATGTCTAGCTTCCATCCTTCCTGCTGCAGATGCCAAAGGGGTTAGGAGCCTGGGGCAACCCAGGTAGGGTGTTTGTCATTTTCTTGCTGCTGCAGATTGGGGAAAGAAGAGAGGATGCGTTGCTCACTAGCCAAATCTTCCCAGAAATGCCTGGTTTGTGTGCAACTCCTTGAGCAGCACCTGCATTCTCTGGCCCCTGGCCCCTAGGGCAGAGGATAGAGCAGCCCTTTAGGGTCTTGGGTGATCTTTACATACATGCCTTATACCAGAGGATGCACACAAGTGTATATAGAGCCTGGCGCCTTTATTCATTTATTCAACAAATATTTATTGAGTCTACTATGTTCTAGGCACTGGGATCCCGGCCATCAGCAAGTCTTGTTGCTTCTACCTCCCAAAATATCCCACATCTATCCACTCGTTACATCCCCACTGCCAACAGGGGAGTCCACGCCACCATCATCCAGTGCCCAGATTCTCCCTTACTTAATTTCTGGGCTTCCACTCCTACCTCCCCCACCTCAGTCCATTCTCCTGGAGCCCACTGAACTGAGCCATCTCTTTAAAAGTGTAAATCAGGGCACCTCTTAAGCCTGCTAGTGGCTTCCCACTGCACTTGACAATGTGGCCTTCCAGACCCTGCATAGCCTGGCCCTTAGCAGCCTTTCAGACCCATCTCCAGTCCCCTACCCCCACCCCACACCATGCTGCAGCCACAGAGTTCTCCTTGCTGCTCTTAGAAAACTCCAAACCCTTCCCCCGGCAATTCCCATGGCTGACTCCTTATCAAGAAGGTCTCAGCTCCAAGGTCACTTCCTCCAGGGAGCCTCCCCTGACCACACCTCTAAAATAGCCCTACCCCACCCCCAGTTGCTTCATCCCATACCCCTGTTATATTTCCTTGGCAATACTCATTGCTCTGAAAATATGTTGTTTATTTACACACATGTAACTTGTTGCCCCCCTGGACTGTGAGTTCTGTGAAGTCAGGGACCTTGTCCATCCATTCACAGCTGGGGCCCGTGGCACCCACCACCAGGTACAAGGTAAGTAGTCAGCAAATATTCACTGAGTGAATGAATGGTGAAATGGCAAGCAGACACCTTGCCCTCACAGAGCTTTTGATCTGTGACTCTTGACTGATGTTTGTGCAGTAAAACACTGGTTCACAGTTTCCCATGTGATGAACCAGAAGACTTCAGGCTCCGAAGCCACACAGATCTGGATTCCTGCCTCTGTCCCCTCACCGGTTGTGTGACCTTGGGCAGATCACTTATGATATCCAAGCCTCAGTTTTCTCTTCTGTAAAATGGAAACAATGATTCCAACTTAGCAGAGCTGATGTGGGTCATATCAGATGAAAAAGAGGAAGTGTCTCACACAGTGCTATGCCCAGATGTCATCTGCATGTAGATGTCATCTGCATGAATGTGGGCCCGTTTCAGACTTACTAGGACTATGAGCTGTTCCAGGTTCTGGGGACACAGAGATAACTCAGAATTGGGGCCCTGACCTTAACACCTTCCCAGCAACCCCCATATCCCCAAAAGGGAGAGAGGTGTACCAGTGGGAGCTCTTTTCTGCTGAGATCATTGCAGATAAGGAGGCAGGAGCCAAGGTTTTGCCAGTGTGATGGGGACAGTGTGTGGGGGGGATCCCTGCAGAGAAACTGAATCTGGATCCACTTCTCTGCAGCACCTCTTCTCCTTATTTGGAAGTTCCTCTTCCTTTTCAGCCTTCCATGTCTGTGTAAACACACACACACACCATTCATGTACAGATAAAGCCATATCTACACACTGACACAGTTGCTGGCCCATAGACGTATACACTTGACACAACCCCAGGACATAAGTCCCCTCCATTTTTCTGGTCCGATGGGTATCTCTCTGGCTTATTTATTAGTCCCATCACCTCTGGCTCTAGACTGAGGTCAGACACAGTCCCTCACAGGAGGGAGCCCAGGCACTCCCCCTTGGTAAATTCTTCCTGAGGTCTAATCCCACACTCCCCTGCTATAGGTCTTAAGGTCAGTGAGCCCTGGCAGCCATTCCAGACGGCCGGGGATGACAGCACCATACCCTGTACCCACACCCGAGGCTGGTGGATATTCAGGGGGGCGGAGGCGCCTGAGAAGAGCTGCTCCCAGCTTCCTGCCATGGGCGGGGGTGAGGAGCATCCCTCAGGGAGGGGCTGGGACGCTCTCAGCAGGCATGGGGCACGCTGGCAGTGGGGGAGGGCCCGTGTGTTCCACCGCCTGGGATGCCCCAGGTCCTCTCTCCTGGGCTCTGTGCCACCTGGATCCTGCTGAACTGGGCTTGTGCCAAGCAGGACACATGGGCTTAGCAGGCAGGGGTGCAGGGACCTAGAGGTTTGGAGGCACTGGCTTATCCAGCCAAGCCCCTCTGTGGGCCTGACACTCTTCCAGCTGCTCTGCACCTATTGTTCAAATGATCCCTCAGAACAACCCTTGCAATCGGTCTGGTCACCCGCATGTCACAGATAAGGAAGCTGCTTTACAGAGAGACTGAGACAAGAGCCAGGCCTCTGCCCCATTCAGGGTTTGCTAGAGGCCCTGCTTCAGTTCTGCCTCATCCTGCCTCGGCCTGGTCCTCCTTGCCACCTCCCAGAGGACAGACCAAGCACCAACTTTTGAAACAATTTATTTCGGGATTAGAGTTGATCTTCCAAAGAAGACCAGCTCCCTCGGGGTGAGAGATTTGGTCGGTGGGGGTCTGACTCCCAGGGCTCGACACCTGCTAGAAGAGGCTGAGGCTGGACACCTAGGTTTTGGGGGAGGCAACCAGAGTTGCTGAGGGTGCTGAGAAGGACAAAATGCAGGACCAGTGACACCTACATGCCTCCTTGGTTGGCACAACCACACTTCTTACAGGACCACACGATGACACACCCCAGGAGGACATCTGTCCCTCTTGCTGGAGAGAAACGTACACTAACTCATGCTGGCAATAAAGCAATCACTGCAGGGTTGTGGGGGTTGCTTCTGGCTTACCACCAACCCTGGCACAACTCTGACCTCAGAGGGTCCCAGGCTTGGGGGTGAAGCCTGTGGATGGGGTGGGGGTAGGGGTGTAAGATTCCCGAGCCTTGTGGTTAGAGGGAAGGGCCCTGGAGCACCTCGCCAAGTGAGTGTTCTGTGTGTCAGAGTGGGAGTGAGTGGGGCTGAGCTCCGGTACACGTGTGGGTGGTTGTGTGCGTCAATGTGTAGGGGGAGAGTCTGTGTGTGTATATGGTGTGCCTGTGTGCAGGTTTCGTGTGTGTCTGCCTAGGCTTTGTACGTCAGAAGCCTGGACCTGGCTCTGGGATCTCTGCTGCGTGTGCGTGTGTGTGCCTTTGTTTGCAGGGTATGTGGTGTATTCATGCATTTCTTTCTGTGTCTGTGCGTGTGTGTGGTGTAGAATGCATACACACCTACGATGCTGGGGTTTGGCATCCACTCAGTGTCTGGGCGAATGTGAGGTGTATTGACAGGGCAGTGTTTGCGTGTCATTGGAGTTTGTGTGCAGCCAGAGTGTGATGTTTCCTGGGGTTCAGTGTGTGCCTGAACCCGTGTGTGTGTGTGTGTGTGTGTGTGTGTGTGTGTGGAAAGTGTTTGCAGGCCTGTGTGTGTCTGTGCCTTTGGTTAGTCAGGGTGCCTGGCATTTGCAGGCCCAAGTGTGACTGCGTCTGCATGTCAGTGGTATGTGTCTGTGCCAGCCTGTGGTGCGTGTCTCTGTGTGTGCCTGGCAATGCTGGCAGGCCCTCGACTTCCAGTGAGGTCTGTGTGTGATACTGTTGGGTATGTGTCTCTGGGTGTCCTATATCTGTGTCTGGATGAGGGGTTTGGATCCACTGTGGTGCATGTCTGCAGATCTGTACCTGTGGCCTTGGGATTCTTGTCTTTGGAGACTTTGGGAACTAATCCTTCCCTGGAAGCCCCCCACCCCCTCCTATTCCCAGGCCGAATCCTCCATCGGGCCCTCCCTTACAACAAGATTGGCCAGCTTGGAGCCTGACTTTCCACTGGAGGTCCCGCTCCTGAGGGAACCCTGAGGCTGCACAGCCACCGGATCAAGGTCACATATGGGGGGACAGAGGCTCCCACTCCTATGGTGCCCTTACCCCTTACCCTCACAAAGGGCCCCACCGCCGGAAGCCGCCCGCGCTCCCACACCTTGTGCAGGTCTCCCCTGAAATGAATTTTAATTTCCGCTGAGGGCAGGCGGCGTCGTGAGTCCTGAGCCCGTGGCGGCGGCGGCGGCGCGGGTGTGGGGCCGCGCGGCCGGGAGCGGGCGGAAGAGAGCGCGAATTTGAATTTCAAAGGCATCTGGAACCCAAGTGCTTCTGCGTTGCCCGATTGTGTGTGTGGCGCTTTTGTGTGTCCGCGAATGCGCGCGTGCGTGTGTGGCGTGTGTCTGGGTGTTTTATGACTGTCCTCCGTGAGGCCGTGTGTGAGCCCTTGCGTGGGCCGTGAGTGCGGCAGGGAGCGCGGTGTCCGGGGGCCGCCTGTCGGTGTGTCTGTGCGTGCTTGTGCGCTAGCCTTTGCCTCTGCGAGTGCGTATTTTTAGGACCGAGTCTGTCTATATGAGCCTGTGTCTGTGTGTGTGCGCTCCCGGCCCTGCGTGTGTCTGTGAGCGTCTGCCGGGGCGCGTGTGTGCTCGGAACCCCGCGGTGGTGTGCGGGTGTGTCCGTGTGTCTGTGCACGTGCAGGCGAGCGTTCCCATCTGTGTGTGTGCATCTGAGTCTGGGCTATGTGTGACTCAGGGACCAGTCTATGAGCCTGCCTGTGCCTTTGAGCCGATACCTGTGTGTGACTCAGGGACGAGTCTATGAGCCGATACCTGTGTGTGCTTGGGTGTCTGTGTCGTGGTGTGTCCCTGCAAGCGTTTGTGCCTGCAGGTGCTGGAGTGTGTAGCTGTGGGAATGAGTGCGTGTGAGTGTGCGGAAGGGGCACCGCGCGAGGGAGCGCCGGTGCGGAAGGCTAAGCGAGCCCGCGCCCTCCACGGACGGTGCCGCCACCCCCTCCCTCCGCCCCGCGCTATGTGCCCCTGTGTGCCCGCGCCGCCGGGGCCGTCTCTGGGCTCCGGGAGGGGGCTGAGCGAGCGGCCCTTTCCTCCCAGGGACCCCGGGCCCGCCGCCAGCCCTGGGCACACCCGCCCCTTCCTCCAGCGGCCCCGCTCGCTGACCCACGGGCACTCGATGGGCACTCGGGAGGCAATGGCCGGAGAGGATGGGCAGTTAGCGGGAGGGACTGAGTGGCGCCGGCTTCACGCTCATTCTGCTGAGGGCTTGGGGGCAGCTCATCAGTCTTCCGCAATGGGCCTGCTCGCTGTGAGATCTTCGCTGTCTTGTGGCTGAGCTGGAGACTCAAGCTAGAGTGCAGGAGGGACCACCCGCGTCCGAGGCAGCGCCATCCCTGAGCAGATGCATGCACACGCTGCCATAATTCAGACACACCACATTCCCCAGCACAGTTGACCCAGCACAGAAGTCTGGGACAGGCCCCTAACATCGGGCTCAGGGACAAGCCCACCAGTGCACACCCAGGAGTGCACACATACACACACACACACACACCCCTGACCCAGAGACTCAGCAAGTCTGTGCACACCCCACACTCAAACAACCCCATTTCTCCCTGGATCTTGGACCCTGTGGGGTGAAGAAGGCCAAGACTCAGAAGTCCCAGAGAATAAGGGCAGCCTTGAGTCACTCAGTGTCCCCTCTACTCTGATGGGCTTTGGAGAACCAGAGGTGGTTCACCCTACATCCTACCTCCCTGAAGCTCTCAGTCAAGGGTTAGCAGGAAAAAGCAGACCCCAAATCCAGTCATTTCCATCAGGTGCCACACCACAGCCAGAAGCAGGCAAGGGTCAGGGGCTGCCTCTTCATGGGGATGCTCCCCCCGCCAACCCCCCGCCACAGAAAACTGTCTGGG
The DNA here is from genome assembly GCF_000001405.40 of Homo sapiens. Taxonomy (NCBI): domain Eukaryota; kingdom Metazoa; phylum Chordata; class Mammalia; order Primates; family Hominidae; genus Homo; species Homo sapiens. The sequence goes on from NC_000001.11 coordinate 31,773,727, forward strand.
CACAGGGAGGTGATGTCAGGATGTCCAAAGGACAGTAAAGGAGGAACTACAGATGGAATGATGGTTTCGCGGCCTCCTTCCCTGCCAGATTGGGAGCATTTCGAGAAGAGGTGTGGGCTGACTCCTCCCAGTAATGCTCAGCTACAGGCCTGGCACCAAGGGTCTGCTCCATTTAAAACACTTATTGACGGAATGAAGGAAAGAAGTCAATGAGTCAGAGAATGCAGGACCACTTAAGAAGGGAGTGAGCACTGTACAGAAGAGGCAGAAATAGTATACCCAGGCTGTATGCATGGCTGTGTGCGTGTGTGTGTGTGTGGTGCTTATGCTTGAGGGAAGATGTGCGAAATGAAGGTTAGGCTGGAAATACATCACTGAGGGCCTCGTAAGCAAAACCAGAGGTAGATTTTATTCTGAAAGCAAAAGAGGTCTATGAAGGGTTTTGGACGGGAATGAATCATAGCCAAGTTTGTTTCAGAAACAACTGGGGCAATGGAAGGTGGATTTGAGGAGTCAAGATTGAAAAAGGGGACTGGATGGAGGCTCATTCATTCATTCATTCAAGTAATATTTATTGGGAGCTTACTAAAAGTGTCCAGCACTGAGTGAATCGAACAGACACAATCAGTCGAACAGTTCCAAGACTCCAAGGAACTTCTAGAACCTGACCACATAACTGCTGTGTTTATCTGGAGTTCACCTTCTAGTGGGGAAAGGGAGGCAGACACAAACACCTAAATATATGGAATGCATGTGTGGACAAGTGCAAAGAGGGAAAATAGTGTCCAGCAAGGGTGCAGAAGTGGTGGATGAGAATGGGGGCTGTTTTAGGAAAGGAGGTCAAGGAAGATGTCTCTGAGAAGGTGACATCTGAGCAGACCCCTGAGGTACGTGAGGGATATTTAGAGGAAGAGCTGTTCAAATAGGGGAAATTGCAAGTGCAAAGGCCCTGAGGGGGAGTGTGCCATTTACTCAGATGGGGAAAGACTTGTGGGAAGTCGATGATTTCTATTTCAGACATGCTGCATTGAGGTGCCTTCAGGACATCTAGAGACAGTGTCCAGGAAACAGGAGAGATCTGGGTAAAGATAGGGATTAAAGAGGCCGGGTGCAGTGGCTCATACCTGTAATCCCAGCATTTTGGGAGGCCAAGGGGGGAGGATCACTTGAGCCCAGGAGTTTGAGACCAGCCTGGGCAACATAGTGAGACCCCTTCTCTGCAAAAAAATAAGATTAGCCAGGTATGGTGGTGCACCTTTGTAGTCCCAACTACTCAGGAGGCTGAGGCAAGAGGATTGCTTGAACCTAGGAGTTCAAGGCTACAGTGAGCCATGATCACTGCCTGGATAGAGTAAGATGGTGCAGAGCAAGACCCCAACTCTAAAATATAAATGATAGGGAGTGAAGAGAATTGAACCCTAGGAACTGACGCAGAGGATAACTGCAGGCAGGGGAAGAGGGAGCAACCTGAGGTGTGAGAGTCAATTGTGGGGAGACTGGATGCTAGGGATGGGGAGTGGGGAGTGGAGACCATGTGACTAATGTGGTGTCCCCAGAATGGTCCTGAGAACAGCTGCTCCCCCTCCCAATCCTACCCAGCTGCCGGGGATAAAGCTGGGGCTATTTCATCACATTTCAGACGGGTTCAGTGGTATGCTGGTACAATTTAACAACTGGCTTGGGGGCGGGGAAGTGCAGCCCTGATTTGCAGCATTTGCCAATTTCCATGGTGTAAATCCTCCCATGATGGCCAATTTACATTACCAATGTGAAGTTAACTGGCTGGCAAAATTCCTAAGAATTTAACAGTCAGCTCTCACAAGCTGGTATGGGCTGGCTCTAGCACCTTCTCCAGACCCTTTCCAGAGAGATGGGGAGAGGCAGAAAGCCTAGGGTGGCGGTGGGGGGATTTGCCTTTCAGTTGGAGGAAAGCATTCTGGCCTCCCCATCTTCCCTCTCAACACCCAAGTCATTCCCCAGAAAGAAGCTCTGGAAACCTCTTCTTTGTTCCCACTGCTCCTCCAGTTCTAACTAACAATTTGGCATCCTGCCTAGGCCCTCTTTCCATTGCATTTCCTACTTAAACTATGGGCTGGGCTGGGCGTGGTGGTGCATGCCTATAATCCCAGCACTTTGGGAGGCTGAGGCAGGCGGATCACTAGAGCCCAGGAGTTTGAGACCAGCTTGGGCAACATGGCGAGACCCCGTCTGTAATAAAAATACAAAAATTAGCCAGGCATGGTGACGCACGCCAATAGTCCCTCCTACTTGGGAGGCTAAGGCAGGAGGATCATTGAGCCTGGGAAGTCAAAGCTGCAGTGAGCCAAGATCACTGCACTGCACTGCACTCCAGCCTGGGCAACAAGAGTGAGAACCTGTCTCAAAGAAAAAAAAAAATGTGGGCTGATACCACACCCCCACCCACTCTCCCTGCTTCCCTTCTTTAGAAGCAGATGCCGGAGAGCCACGGGCCATGTCATCTTCACCCACAGCCAGAGCACCGCTCTGGTCAGTGTAAACAGATGGCCTGGATGTTTGGCCCAGCTCTGCCACCAGCTCCCAGGAGGTTCCTCGCCCTATCTGTTATCAGTTTCCCCATCTGTAAGGTGTTGGCAAGTGCTAGCCTCTCCAAAGACCCTTTCAACTGTGAGATTCTGCAATTTCTATCACTCCCTGTCTCAGCCCTGATGGCAGCTCGGGGCCTTCTCTCTCAAACAACCATTTCCCCAGCCTCCTAGACCCTCCCTTCTCCAGCGGCCCCCCACTGCCTCTGACTCCCCAGGCTCCCGGATAAGGGGCCCAACTAATTACATTAGGATTTCATGCTAATTAGCAAACAATTACACGGGCAAATTGGTGCCTAATTTGGAGCAATAATGACAGCTCCATTGGCCAAGGAACATAGCTGCAGACAAGACTGCTCCCCTGGCCTGGTCCTATCAGGGCCACTGGAGGATGGGAGCCAGCTTTCGGCTCTAATCTGAGCCAAGGCCTGCAGTTCTCCTTGTAGGATCTTTAGGCAGCTGTTTATGCTGATTACATGGTCAGCCCAGGCCTGTGCTAAGTGAAGAGGGTAGAGGAAAGGGAGGGAAGGTGAAAGCGGGGATGGAGGGGCACTAAGGCCTGCAGGGCTCACTTCAGTGAGAAGATGGGGAAGATCTGGGGAGGCAGGGCAGAGGGACAACAGCATGGGGAAGGGGAACAGTAATTAATGTGAACAACGGCTTGGATGCTAGAATGAGCCATAGGAACTTATGAACAGCTCCTATGGAGAAACCAGGTGGGCCAGAGCACAGGAAGGTAGGGGAGCTGAGGTCACAGAGGTATATAGGGCCAGACTGGGACTGTCATTCCAGGAAATTTAAACATTCTCCTGGAGGCCTTGGGAGCTACCGAGGCTTCAGGGTGGAAGGAGTAGACTGTGCTGGGACTCATCTTAAACTCAGGATCTTGGATCACCAGCAGCCATCCATCCCACCTCCAGCCTGCCATGGGGTCCCATTTGGTTTGCCCTCTTAACATCTCTAGAACCCACCATCCTTGTTCAGGACCACAGATACCATAGCAGTAGCTGCCAGTCCTGTCCCCCCACCATTCCTGTCCGTGTTTTCTCCACGTGACTACTCTATGGCACAAACCTGCCTCCTATTCCTCCCCTGCTTAAACTCTCAATGTCTCCCCAGTGCCCTCAGAATAAAGTTCCAACCCGCCGTAGACTGCCCAGCTTTCCCTCCCTTCTTACCTCTGCATCCACCCTGTTCCCTGGGAGCTAGACACCGTTTACAGATCGTGCCAGGCTCTTTCACACCTCCAAGCCTTTGGCCGTGCTGTTCCCTCTGCCCAGATTGCTTTCCCAGCACCCCTTTTTTGTTACCAAATGCATCCTCCCGGGCCCCCTCTTCTGCCTCCCAGATTTCCCCAGGAAGTATCAATTCTTCTCTCCCCTGGGCTCTGTTTGTAAACTCCTTCTTCTGTGGCACAGGTCACTCCGTATCAGAGCTCTTTGTACCAGGGTCTGCCTGTTCCACCCGACTTGGAGCTGATTAGAAGCAGGGCCTGGGCCCAACACAGTGGCTCATGCCTGTAATCCCAGCACTTTGGGAGGCTGAGGCGGGCAGATCACCTGAGGTCAGGAGTTTGAGACCAGCCTGGCCAACATGGCGAAACCCTGTCTCTACTAAAAATACAAAAATTAGATGGGCATGGTTGTGCATGCCTTACTCCCAGCTACTCGGGAGGCTGAGGCAGGAGAACTGCTTGAACCTGGGAGGCGGAGGCTGCAGTGAGCCGAGATGACGCCATTGCACTCCAGCCTGGGCAACAAGAGCGAAACTCCATCTCAAAAAAAAAAAGAAGAAAGAAGAAAGAAGAAGAAGAAGAAGAAAAAGAAGAAGAGCCTGGCACTGATTTACTTGATGTCTCCTTCACCCAGCACCAAAAGTGAATGGAGAGAGAAGACAAAGGGACAGCATAGAAACACTTTCTCCTGAGCACAGTGGGGAAACTGAGGCAGAGGCCCAGAAAAATATTTATGAACCTGGTGAATGCTTCTCTCAGAAAGGAAAGCTGGGTCAACTTCCAGCCTCTGCCCATTGGAGCCAAGCCCTGACCCCATCCCCTTTAAGGTTTTCTCCTGAAGCACCCCACCTCCACCAGCCCCCACCCTGGTGTTTTCCCCTCTGCTTTCAGTAAGTGAGATAAAGAAAGTCCCTACAGCCAAGAATTCCCAAAAAGCAAAGGCAGCTCTCATGGGGGCAGTGGCAAAGCAGACTGAACTGCAGCATGAAGGACTGTGGGCAGGCTCAAGGAAGAACCTCCTGACCATCAGAGCTCAGGTGATCCCTAAAGTGATCCCTATGGGGAAGAGGAGGGGGCTTCACCTATCCAAGGGGTGTCGGGAAGAAGAAGCCGGGGATGGAACACAGATCTTTCCACAGGCAGGAGGATGACCTGGCTGACTTGCCTGAGAGCTTGGTTCTCACCCGGGGGGCTGCTACTCTATCTCAAGGCCCATCGCTCACATTAATTACCGAGAAAAAGCCAATTTCTCCTCATTTCCAGACTCCAAATGACAGTATCATTAGGCTAGTAATGTGCGGAGAAATTGTGCGTGTCTGTCTTGGAATATGTCCTGAGCCAGAATGGATGAGGGCGCCCCCAGCAGGGGTTTGTCTCCAAGACACTCCCCATGGCTGAGGGCCAGTCTCCAGAAGAGATGCTGTGCCACCAGGGCAGAGATACTCTCCCTCTCTGTTCAGTTGGCACTAACAATGGTGATTAAATCATAGCAGGCAATGGTGTGGGCAATAGCCCACAACACAAAAACGCTGCCACACATGAACAGAGCCACTCTTGACTTACCAGAAGGACAGGAACTCCCTGGTCTGGGCTGAACTTGAATTTGAAACCTGTCTGCTGTGCCATGGTCCTTCCCAGTCTTGCCTGGACACTTTTCTCTGAGCTCCTATCCACCTGTGAACCAAGAGACATCTGGGCGCCATCTTGCCTCGGGGAAGGAGGAGTTGGCTGGTCCTGAACATTTTCTCTTCCCTCAGCAAACTCAGCTCCCTGGATGTGAGTGGAACACTGCCTCCTAGCCCTGAAAAAACTCGCCTCTGCTCGCAGCTCTTCACACACCTCTCCACACTCTTCATGTCTAGTGCTCATTTTTTTTTCTTTTTTTTTTTTTTTTTGAGACGTAGTCTCACTCTGTCCCCCAGGCTGAAGTGCAGTGGCACGATCTCGGCTTACTTCAATCTCTGCCTCCTGGGTTCACGCCATTCTCCTGCCTCAGCCTCCCGAGTAGCTGGGACTACAGGCACCTGCCACCACCCCCGGCTAATTTTTTGTATTTTTAGTAGAGACGGGGTTTCACCGTGTTAGCCAGGATGGTCTCAATCTCCTGACCTCGTGATCCGCCTGCCTCGGCCTCCCAAACTGCTGGGATTACAGGCGTGAGCCATGGCGCCGGGCCGTCTAGTGCTCTTTCAAACCCACTTGACACAGGAGGAAACTGAGGCCCAGAGAAGCAAGACGATTTGCCCAAGTTCAAGCCTCAGAGCTAGGCTTGACCTCCTGGTCTGCCCAAGGCCAAAGCTCAGACTGAAGCCAGAGGCCTCAATCCAATCCACGCAGTACTCTAGGCACACGACGTCCTCCGTCCCAGCTCCCGCCCTCAGAGCTGAGGTTGGTGAGGGAGAGGCAGGATGTGAAAATATAATTATAGCTCAGTGTGATGCATGCATGACACAAAAGAGGAGATCCAAAAGGTTTATCCTCCCCAGTAATCAAAGAAATGCAAATTAAAACAACAGTATAATGCAGTTTTACCTATTGAAATTAAGACAGGTTTTTGTTTTGTTTTGTTTTGTTTTTTAAAGATAGCACCAGCGTTGGTGAAAACTGCAATCTGGGCGCTCTCAGACTCCGTTGATGAAAGGGTAAATTAGAACAACTTTTCTAGAAGGCCACTGGGCAGGAGTGTCAAGAGCTTTAAAAACAGATAGACCCTTTGGTCCCATTAATCTACTTGGAGGAACTCAATCCAAAAAATAACCACAGCTGTTAAAAAGAACCAGGTACAAAGATGCTTATTACTGTTATTTACAACTATGAAAAATCACAACCAACATAAATGTCTAGCAATAGAGGGTTGGTTAAATAAATTATGATATATCCATATATAAGGATATTATGCAAACATTAAAAGTCATGTTCTTGAAGAAGTTTTAATAACCTGGGCAAATGCTCACAATATAATGATACATGAAACAAAGCAGGAAAGAAAACCATACAGATAGGATGGGCTTTATTTTATAAAGAAAATGTTTCATCAGTTTGTTTGAAGAAGTCTGGAAAGAAATAAACTGAGAGTTAACCTGAGAGGATTCTGGGTGATTTTCTGTTTCAATTTATACTGTTCTGTTTCTTCCAAATCTTGTATACATTTTCAGGGGGAAATAAAAGACATTAGAAATATATGCAGTGTGTGTGTGTGTGTGTGTGTGTGTGTGTGTGGTTGGGGGAGTAGCCCAGGATGTTAGGAGAAACAGAGACTCCTAACCCAGCCTGCTGGCAGTCAGGGAAGGCTTCCCATTGGAGGCAATGCCTGCGCTGTGTCCCACAATGACTAAGCTTTATCCAACGGAGGCAGGATTGGAGTTCTAGGCTGGGGAACAGGTATGTGCAAAGGCACAGAGGCAAAAGAGATCCTGGCCTCTTCTGGAAACTCTCAGTCACTGGTGTGGCTAGGTGAGGGGACAACAGGGAGAGGATGGGGGTGGACAGAGGCCTGACCAGGGAAGGCCCAGAAGACCAGGGTGAGGAACTGACACTTTGCTCTAGGAACAAAGTGGAGCGTTGCAAAGTGTCAGCCTCTCAGCCTGATCTTCTGGGCCTTCCCTGGTCAGGCCTCTGTCCACCCCCATCCTCTCCCTCTTGTCCCCTCACCTAGCCACACCAGTGACTAAGAGTTTCCAGAAGAGGCCAGGATCTCTCTTGCCTCTGTGGCTTTGCACATACATGTTCCCCAGCCTAGAACTCCAATCCTCCCTCTGTTTGGGTCCTAAGCAGGGGGGTGACAGGATCTAAGCTGTGTTTTATCTTCGTGAACACAGAATGGTGAGGGGATGGGGTGTGGGAGATAGAGAGAGGCCAGATGTGGAACCTGGGCCAAGGGGGCAGCGGTGGGGAGGCTGCTGCACGTCCAGAGGAGGGAGGGTTTGGCCTGGGCTAGGCAGTGGTGGCCAAGAGAGGAGGGGCCCTTGGAAGCAGTGATTAGGAGGAGATTGGACAGGACTTGGTGATTAATTGAAGAGTGGAGGCAGAGTGGGGGGAGGGGGCCTCTGCTGCTGACAGTGACTACAGCACGCTCAGAGATTTCGATCGCAGTTTTAGGAGTGGCTTCCTCCTCCATTTCCCCTAGATAGACAGATTTGGGGCTTCTATGATATTAGGCTGCAGAAGGTGGGAGAAGTTGACCTTGGTCCCGCCACCACACCCAGCCTGACCTCTGGCTCACCCTGAGCACCCCGCACCTTCGTCACCTCTGCACTGCCAGCCCTGGAAGGTGGGGCGGGCAACGATGAGGGAAGTCCACAGGGAGGCGAGGAAGTCCCCGGCCAGGTCCCTCCCTCAGGACACGGGCACACGCTGTCACACGCGGGGACACACATCCTCAGAGAGGGAGCACAGCCACCCACGGGGCTCTGAGAGTCAAGTCACAGGCACTGATGTATACCCAGGGGAGCTGTAAGATACAGGACTGTCACACACACAGTCACCACCCGACAGTTACACGGCCTCTGACACTGCCAGCCCCAGGCTGGGTCTCACACGCAGGCCATTATGCTCAGCCAGAGTCCCCAAGGTCCTCCCTCCTGCCCTGCCCCCCACACCCCACCCTCCTCCAGGAGGACAGGGCAGAGGGCTGGCTGGCAGAGAGGCCAGCACAGGGGGCTGGCATAGGGACCCGCAGCTCAACGGGGCAGCCCAGCCAGGAGGGAGGCCTCTGAGAAGGGGTTGCCAAGGCAACAGGCTCCTGCAGAACCAACCAGAGGCTGAGATTCTCGGCTCTTATTTTTAGAAGTTGGGCCTGGGCTGGTTGGGCTGGTCAGGGGCCAGGCTCCCCTGGGCATGCCCGGGACATAGACACCAGCCTGAACGCCCTAAGGGGTTCTGGTGGGCAGCATCCAGGCTGCAGCTTCTTCCACACACTCCCAGCCCCCTTCCTGGGGCGTCATGCCCCAGGTGGGATCTTGTATTCCCTCTGTCTTCAAATACAGCCAGGGACCTACCAGCAGCACCCACCACCCACCAGACCCCAGGCCAGGGACATAGCCTGTTCGCTCTCTGCACTGCAGCCTCTGAGTGTCTGTGCTTTGATTGATGGTATCAGGGGAAGCGGGGCTTGGCCAGGCCTGTAGGGTGGTGTTGCCAGGCTTGTGTCATTGTCAGCATGAGTGTATATGTGTGTATTGCAGGGGCTGCTCTCACTCTCAACTGTGTGTGTGAGCATGTGTGTGTGTGAAGTCCCTCTTCTATGGGGCAAAACAGAAGTCTCCCTCTGGCTCAGCTCCACTCACCACTCCCCGCTAACTTCCACCCCTGCCTGGATTTCTTTAAAGTGAGAGGAAGAGGCAGAGATCTCAAGCTGGGTGGGCCTTGGTGGCCCCCCTTGTCCAGCCCCTTCCTGTGACTGAGCAGGCTTCTGAGGGGGTAGAAAAGTGGTGGCCAGGAAGGGGAGAGGCCAGGCAGGCCCAGCCCGACAGAGCCTGGGAGAGGGGTACTGGGGAATCTGGGGTGAACTGACTTTAAGGTGACTCCTCCAGCTGCCAGGGATTTCTCTGTTAATCTGGGACGGCTCTGTTTGCATCTCATTTCCCTATATTTGCATAAGAAGGGCCTGGCTGGCACCAGAGATCGAAATTCCTGGCCTGGGTAATTGTGTGGAAAAGCCTCTGGAGGCCCAGCAGGAATCCTGGGGAAGCAGAGGCAGGGGCTGGCTGTGCTGACACGGAAGGTCCCCATCCAATCCCAGGAGCCTCCACTTCTTCCCCAGTCCCTGGTCAGGAGGGGTGGGGATGCCGGCGGAAACGGAGAGGGAGGGGTGACAAGATGAGAACTCATTCCAATATCGCTAAGAGAGTAAATTTCCAATGTTCTCATCACAAAAAAAATGTTAAATATTTGAGGAGCTAGATATGCTGATTAGCTTAATTTAATCATTCCACAGTGTATTAAAAAATCATAACACCACTTTGTACCCCATAAATACAACCGTAATTGGTCAATTTACAGTAAGAAAAACAATTCGAGTCATCCTCAACAGACCCTGGTACCCAGCATGGAGCTGGGGTGCGTACCCATTGGTGGAAATGGCCTGAACTTGGTAAGGTCAGAGTTGGGATGGGGAAGCAAAACTCAGCAACCTCTTTCCTCTCCACTCCCTCAGCGCCCACCAGTCTCGGGAGAGGGCCTGACAGGAATGACTGGGATCATATCTGGGACCTGCCACTTACTGTCCCCAGGACTCTCAGACCTGGGCAAACAAGGTCCATGCCCTGGGGTCCCATTTTAGATGACATCCTTTGGCCCTCTTCTGCATGGGGGTGAGGAATTCAAAGGTTCAGGGTCCACCTGGAGCTCCAGTCCCCTTCTAGGCCATATTCCAACCCATGACCCTGGAATTCCCTGCCCAAGGAGGCCTAAGCCAACAACCAGGGTCTATAGAGCCACTTTCCCATGTGCGTCCTTCCTCCTCAAGCCCAAAGGGTGGCTGTTTGCCAGGAGTGTGGACCTAGCAGGGATTGCAGTGTTGGGGTGCCCACCGGCATGCAGACAAGGGCCCTTATACTGCAGGATGGAGCCCAAGGTAGGATGAGAAGGGAGGTGGGCGGAGGGCTGGGGACCTCCTTTTGTGTTGTTGCCCTAGGCTCTTGAAACACTTGGGGTGGCTCTGACAAGCTGTTTGACCTTGGGCAAGTTACTTAACCTTCCTGTGCCCCCCAGTAGGGTTAATAATAGTACTTGCCTCTCAGAGTTGTTATGAGGATGAACTGAGTTAATTCATGTAAAGCAATTTGAACAGTGCCTGGCACAGAGTACCAGTGCGTAAGCGTTAGCTATTATTATCTATTATTCTAGGATTTGGCTTTTTTTTCTCTCTCTCTCCAGCTGCAGAAGCCCCTTCTCTTTCATTTAAGAGACTGAGCAAGAAGCAGGGAATGGGGATCCCCTCCACTTCCTCTTCCTCCTCCCTCATAGCCCAGGCCCCCTTTTCTCCTTTCCCAGCTCCTGCACCCCCAGGCCAGGATGCCAGGAGGGCAGCCAGGTCACTGGACTGAATGTCATGATTTGTTTAAAGTCTTTATTGGCTGAATGACTGAATGAGCAAGTGAATAAATGAAAAACAAGGACTGAGCGAATAAAAGTCAGACAGAAGGCTGGACGGACTGATGGAAGAACAGACTGACAGGCAGATGCTTTGGCTTTGGGGCCCTCAGATCTGTTTCCCTGAACATTATTGTTTTCTGCCTGTTTTGATTAGATGGTGGGAGGCAGATAGGGGAGGCAGGCTCTCTGCAAGGTCAGCTGTGGCCTGGCGAGTGGCTCACCCTGCAGAAGGGGCCCCTGTGCCTGTGGCGTTAGAGGGAGAATGCCCACATGCATCCAAGTCCTTCTGTGTCCTGTAGATGTCTGAGTGTGAATGAGAGACCTTGGGACAGGCTCTATCCTGGCCTGGGGCAGTGGGGGCTGAGGGGAGAGGCTGATGAGCTTCATTACTTCCTTATTTACACCCCAGCCTACTTCTGGCGGAGCCAGGCCTCAGTGCCCGCCTGGCAGCCAGCGGGTTAGCGGTGATGGAGAGCTCCCTTGGGGCCTGTCAGCCTCCACCATCTGGCCAGGCTGGGGAAGGTGGGGGGACCTGTCGCAGGATACCCCTCTGGGCCCTCCGGCTTGGCACTCGGCTCATCTCAGAGAGTGATGGGCAAGTGGACATGTGGGGGTGCAGCTGTGTGGGATTTTGTGTGTGTGGCCAGCCTGTGCACACACTGGCTAGGTCGGGGTGTCACAAGCAAAATGTGATGTGTTCGTATTCGTGACTGGCCATGTTTGTGTGTCTGCATGACTGTATTCTGTGCATGACAGTGTATGTCCCAGAACGCGAGCAAAGTGCATGGGTCTCACGTCTGGGGGTTTTCCCAGGGAAGCTCAGGGTGGAGACAAGGGTGGGGAGGGCTTGAGCCCAGTGGGGACTGGAGCTGTGGCTTTAAGAGGAAGGTGCTCAGTGAATTCCTGGCTCAGCTTTCAAGCAGGAGAAATTAACCTCCATGTCAATCTCTTGAAAGGGGCTGAAGTCCCTGTGAGGGAAGCCAAGTCAGGCTGAGAGCATCCCTGCCTGTCCTTGAGCCCCATTCCGGTGGTGGGCAGTGGGGGGACAACTCTGCTTTCAGGCACCATCCCAGGCTTCCCAGGGAAGCGTCCCTCCCTGGCCCCAGCACAGAGACAGGACACATGTAAAGCCACTCGGAAGTACAGGCACACAATTACCTAGACATGGACACTGGCACAGCGTGATCACACGTGATCCAGACACCCACATGTGTAGTCACAGATCTGCTGGGCACAGTACACGTACATATACCCAGGCATCATGAGACACTCACCTCATGCAGCCACACAGACGTATAGGCACATGCATGTTTACACACAGTAATGTGCCCATACATGGGTGAAACACATTCTTGCAAAGATGCACATGCTTAGAGTCACATGCATGCAGACACACTTGCATGTTTTCACACACATTCTGTCCCTCCCGTGTCCCCTCCCACCCTCCAGTTCTCTCTCAGTTCAATTCTCTCCAGTTCACTCCAGTTCTCTCTCAGTCCAGGGCCCTGCTGCCGCCCTCACCCACTATGGACAACCCTCTGAAGGGCATCACAGGAGGGTTGCATGCATATGTGACCCTATGAGTAAAAATCTGTGTGTGTCTACACGTCTGTTTGTATATGTGAGTGTCACTGGTAGTCTGTGTGGCTCTAGCTCTGTGAAAATGTATCTTTATGACACTGTGGGTATTTTTCTGTGTATCTCTGTGTATGCTTCTGGAAGGCCCTATGTGTGTCTGTGTGTACCCGTCTGTGAATGCGAGTATGTGAGACAGTGGGGAATTTTTATATCTATATGACTGCATTCTGTGGGCCACCTCTCTAAGTATGTCTGGATGTGTATATCTCTGTGTGCATTTGCATATCTGTGCCTGTGTACATGCCTCTGCGGTCCAGGATCCACAGTCTGGCTCAGTGGGCACCCCTGCCAACAGAGGCTGTGGCCCGGGGTGGGGCCAGGCAGGACTGAACTGAATACCCTGGCCATTGACAGTTGTATTTACAGAGCTCCGAGTAGGAACGTAATTGCTTCTATTAATCTTTCTCCGGTTGTTAATTGCTCACTTATCGGGTTGTGTATTATGCCGACTGTTGCTCTTAATTCGCCTCCATAGCTGCAGGTGTTTGCTGCCTTATTAACTGTTAATCGGCGCGACTAGGGATGGAGACTTAATTGGCCCCCAGAGTGGGACACAGGCGGGCCAGCCGGACACTGCCAGGCTCACAGCCTGTCCCTGGAACCCTCACCTGTGGAGCACAGTTGGCTGGCCCACCGCCATCCACCAGCAGACAGCAGTCTTGCATACAGCAGTCAGAGTGACAACTGCAGAGTATGGTCTCCATGCAGTCCTACCTCCTCCAGGAAGCCACTCAACCCCTTGGAACCCAGTTCTTACATCCCTGTCCATCACCAACAATCTTCCTCCACACAGGATAGGAGCCAACCCCAGTTTTTAAATGAACAAGAGCCTCCAGGAATTCTGCTGCTCCTATCCAGCACACTTAAGGGGTCCCTCTCGGCTTCTGCTTGCACAGTGCAAAGAACAGGGAACTCCCTCCATGGCACTGTTACATAGCTGCAGCAACGAGAAGGTTCTCCATACTGAGCTGACTTATTACCCCCCACACAAGTTGAAACAGAGGAGTCCTTACTGCCTACAACAGGGAAACTGAGGCTCAGAAAGGGCAAGGGGGTGGCCCCAGGGTTCCCCAGTCCTCTCTGGTAAAGGAACAGACATGTGGCTCTCCAAGCAGTTTCTGCTCTCAGTCTCCCTTCCATCCCAGTCCTGCTCCATCCCAAACACCTCAGTCCTGGAAGGTACTTCCTTAGCCACCACCTGCTCTGCCCTGGTCTTCGGGCCTCCCAAGCTCAGCTGTCACTGCTACAGCCGTCTCAGGCTCCAGGCCTTTGGGACAAGAAAGCAAGTTTTCTGGAAACCAGTGGGCTCCCTGAGAGAGACAAGGGTATAAGGGGGAGGCGGTAGGAGGGTCCACACTCACCAACCTGACCTCCAGCTTCCAAGAAGGACAAATAGAGAAAACAATAGTCCTCATCCTGTGCATCAAATCCAGTCTGCCCTGACATCTGGAAGTTCTTCTGGTGTCTAGTTGTCATGTCTTAAGCGGCAACTGAAGTTGATTTGCTTTGGTTGGGTTCTGAGAAGAGTTGGGCTCCAGGGAGGGAGGAAGGGAGCACCACTGAGTGCCTACTGTAGGCCAGAAAGCAGCAATTAGTGTGTGTAAAAGTGGCAACCAGTTAAACCCTCCCATCACCTGGTAAGTTAGAGATTAGTATCCCTGTTTACAGAGAAGAAAACTGAGCCACAGAGAGGGTAACTAAACTTGTCAAGGCCACACAGCCAGAAAAGGAATTGGAGTGCCAACAAGGCCTGGCATTGCTTGGGAAGCTGGGTGTCTTCAGTCAGGGATATCTGGATGGATTCATGCTAAGGGTTCAATAAGGGGACGTGGGGAAAGGGAACTGATGGTCACTGTCACAGCTCACTCATCCACCCCACATCTGAGAACATGGACAGGCTAAACACTCACGCATGCGCAGCCCACATGCCTATCAGACGGGATGAGGAAGAAGCAAAGAGAACCGTCCAGGGATAGTTGCCCAAACAAGTTCCGGCCCCGCCTCTATGTTAATGACATGCAGATATATGTAAATTTGTACAAGCAACCGCTCAAACCTTTGGGAGCAATGGGGTGACACAGGAGCAGTTGCTATGGAAATCCAAAAGCGATACCCGCTCTGCACCCCCACCCCCCTCACAGGCAGGCGCACAGACACGTGCACAAAGACGCAGGGTTCTTCACTCCGGAGCCAAGAGGATCACGGAGTGGCAGAGTGTGAACCGGAAGGACCCTCAGAAACTGCGTCCAGCCGGGGGAAGCTCAGGCCCGAAGAAAGTCACCGGGAGAGCAGTGTCGCGATCCCTGGTAGCCTGGGGCGCCTTCCACTAAAACCCAGGGCGCGAGGTGTCCCTTCCGGGTCCCGGGCGATTCCGGCTCCGGCCTAGCAACAACAAGCCCCGCCCAGCGTTGCATAGCAACGTCCCTGGAGCCTAGCAACCGTCAGTCACGCCCCCTAGCAACGTCATGCCTAATCCTCGCTCCAGGCTTCTGCCGAGAGAGAGAGGGGCAAGGGGCTCGTGGACTGGGGCCAAAAGGTGGCGGGGGTGGGGGAGGGTGTCATGTTTAGCAGGCTGCAGGATTTCGGGGCCCACCTACAGCCCTTCCACGGGCGAGCTGTTACAGAGCCGCGTTATCACCCCCATTTACAGAAGGGAAAACTGAAGCTCCCAAAGGAAATCCCTGCCCAGGGTACAGAGCTCGCTCTTGCCTGCGTGTTCCAGGAGAGCGGCTCTGGCGGCTCTCCGGAGGAAGCCCTGGACCTGGAGGGGAGGGAGTGCACACCCGTTTCCCTCCATACCAACTGCATTAGGAAAACCACCCAAACTGTGGGCTCAGAACCAAGCTGTAGGTTTGCATAGTAATTTGCGTCATTTGCATAGAGCGCGGAGGCTGCGGCGCTCCCAGGCCATTTCGAGCCGGAAAAGTTCCCGAAGGAGCCCCGCTCCCTCTCCCGGTTCAACTGTCCAGCCCCCTCTCCCTACCCCTCACCCGCACCCCACCCGCATCCTACCCCGCCCCCGCTTCCAACTCCTTGCGCTAAGTTCCCGCACCTCGCCCCACCCCCCGCTTTGACTCCGGTCCTGCCAGC
Source organism: Homo sapiens (assembly GCF_000001405.40). Classification (NCBI taxonomy): domain Eukaryota; kingdom Metazoa; phylum Chordata; class Mammalia; order Primates; family Hominidae; genus Homo; species Homo sapiens. The sequence goes on from NC_000001.11 coordinate 31,789,348, forward strand.
CCCGACCTCCATCCCAAGGCCGAGGGCCCCCTCTGCTGTCGTCCGCGGGTAGGGCAGCCGCAGAGCTCATGGGGCAGAGAAGAAGGGCTCCCCCAACCGACCATCGCCCCACCCCTTCCAGTCCAGCAGGGGCCAGGGTGAGGCCTGTACATGGGTGGACTTTGCGAAGGGGTGAGCAAAGAGCGGGTAGGGCCCTTCTGGCCCCGGGGCGAAGGGTGGGGTTCTAGAGAGGTTCTCTCCTGGAAGCCAGGCCCCTTTCCCCACGCTGGGTTGGTTGGCCCTGGCAGCTGGTTCCCCCATCAGTCCGCAGATGCAGCTCTCTCGAGGTACACCCCACATGAAACGCTTGACAGTTGCAGTTGCTGTTAGAAGCTTGTTCTAGGCCCAAGGCAAGGCAGCACCGTCCAACCCTAATACCAGTCTCCAACCCCACCCTGAATGCCCACCACCAAGGCTAAGACCTTTGACATTTTCTAACACCAGTCTCTGGAATCTGGCAAGAGATACAGAGAGGAGTCACCCAATCTGGATCTCCTGACTTCCTCAACAGAGACCTACACACAGGCAGGCCATGAAACTCACACAGATACTCTCACATGCTTGCAGGCACACTAGTGCACAGAGATCCCTGAGAAGCACATAGACAGAGACTCGGAGGGAATATGGTGAAGGTATGTACTATCCTTCCCCATCTAGTCAAAGGAAAAAAAAATCTTAGTATTAACTGAAAAATTTAAAGTCCACTGCAACTTGCTTATCTTTTCCTCTCTAGCAATCTCTTGATGTCTGATGTCTGTGACCCTCCAAAAGGCTCTGTCCATTTCTCTCTCCACCCCCAACCTCGGTCCTACTTTCTTTCCCACCACCACCTCTTCCTCCTGGTTCAGAATACTTGCAAAATGCTTCCAGAAACCACCGTGGCAATAGCTGTGCCCTGGGGCGCAGTGATGGTTCAGGACCTCAGACCAGCAATGAGCAAGGCTGCACATTTGTGCACAAGACACTCACTGACACACCCACTCAACCCACATCTGACCAGGACCAGGGGCTCTCCTGACCAGCTAGCAGATGCAATCCCAATTTTACCAAATTCTTTATTGAACAAAAAATCAACAGCAAACATTGTCAAACAGGAAGTTCAAACAGGGCAGGTGGGTAGGGCTGACCATCCTCTCCTTGCAGTCCCACCTCTCTCTGGAACAGGCTTCAACACTAGTGAGGGCATCAAAACCCCTGTTCTGGTGGGTAAGGAGGGTCAGGCCTTTCTAGGGAAGGGACACTCAGAGCCAGCTTCATCTGTAGGCCCCAAAGAGGAGTCACGGGCTGGGCCAGGGGGCTCTGGAGCTGCAAGGGCGCTAGACAAACGCTGCAGAGGGCGGGGGATGGAGCTCTTGGTCTGGGGGCACAGTAAGGCTTGGAGCTGGTGACTCATGGTCGCCAGGGATTCGAGGTGCCGGAGCAGGGCTTGGTGGGGACAGGAGTCCCTGTGGAAGTGCTGGCCACGGCCAAAGCCATGACCAGCTGGTGCTACTGAATAGGGATGCTGGGACTGGCGCAAGCCTGGCTCTGGGGGCCACTGCCCTCGCCCAGGATGCTGCCAGTTTTCAGGCTCTGGCCAGAGCCTCCCCCTGCCTCTGGGGGGCCTCTGCCAAGCAGAGATTCCCCTTGGAGCTATACTGCCCCTGCCCTGGCTCTGCTGCCAGGCACCTCCTGGGGGAGGGGTGCCCTTCAGGGGCACATTCGGCCTCCTGTCATCTGGCTGATAGTATCTCTTCTCCACCTTACTGTTGAAGGAGACCATCTTTTGAACCTTCCCCAACCAGGGGCTGGACCCTGCTGTGTCTGGAAGCCCTTCCTTGGGGAGCAGCACAGCCAGCAACAGACTTGAGTGAGTGACCTCCAGACCTGGGGAAAGGAGAGGGGAGACAGGAAGAGCCCAAAGGCCTGCGGGGAAGAACTGTGTTCAGCTTAGCTGCAGCAGATCTGGAGCCTACATCCCAGGAAGGGCTTCTTCACAGTGAGATGGGGCCCATGAGATGCTGGGAAAAGTAAGTAGGAAGGTGGGGCTGTCTCGGAAGATTTGAGCTCTGCGGGATCAAGGCTTATCTGGCTGAGGCTGGGGTATGGATTGTTTGACCTGAAGACTCTACAGACTCAAAGTCTACCTCATTGTCTCAGGACATGGAGCCCCAAAAGGCCAAGCGCTTTGCTCAGGAGTGGGCAAAGCGCCCACTGCCAACCTCGCTGCTTTCCTGAGCCACGCCGTGGAGGGTGTCCATGCACAGAGGCCGAGCTCGGCCCCCCGTGGCTGTGGCGAAACATCCCTCCCTCCTCTCTGAGGTGACATTTACAGTCAAGTGTGTGTAGGTCCTGACTCTGTCCTGCTGCCTGGGTCAAATGTGGCTGTCCCTGGAGTTTCTCTTCAGGGGTGCCTACCTTGAGAGGCAGTGTGGTGTGGTGGTTAGGGGCCAGGTTTCTGAAGCCATGTTGTGCTTCACACAACGTGTGAACAGAGTGAAGCCCAGTTCTGCTGTTGACTGACTGTGTGACTTTGGACAAGTCATTTGCCTTCTTCCTCCCTCAGATTCTTCTTCTATGAGATGGACAGTCTAGTCTAATAGTACCATTCTCATAGGGTGATGAGACTACAAGAATTCATCTAGGTAAAGCTTTTAGAACAATGGCTGGCATGCAGTTCATGATATCCAAGCGTGAGCTATTACTGTCATTGTACTCACATTTGCCTGGCTGGGTGAGGAGTTCCCTTCTGAGATGTGCCTGCCTCTACTGGGTGACTGTGTCAACCGTGCCTGGTCTGGTCACCAAGTGAGCAGAGGCAGGGTCTGGTATGGGGACTAGGCACTCACCTGGGCCCCCCAAAGGGCGCAGCCTGGTGGGCAGGGGCTGGAAGGCAGGCAGGGGCAGCAGGACCATCCCCATGTGCTCCACAGAGGCCAGCCCGTGGCGCTGCCTATCATTGAGGTATGAGTAGAGCAGGCGGCAGTTCTGGGTGTCCCGGGCCCCATGTGGGCACAGTCTGACCACGCAGACGTCCTGCGGTGGCAGGAGGAGAGCAGCTGTAAGCGCAGTCATCCTCTGCTCCTGCCAACACCCCTGGGCTCCCTGAAACCCCTGAGAACCCCGTGAGAAAGTATGTCTCCATCTTCCAGAGGAGGAAACAGAGGGACCTGTCCAGGGTCACACAGTGAGTCTGCAGTCACTCTGGGAACTAGACCCAGATATCCAAGCCAGGCCTCTGCTCTAGAAGTGGAGAGGGAGGTGGGAGTAAGGTACTAGGAAAAGAGGGGGTGCCCAAGAGTGGGCAGGTACCTTGGCCTTGGCTGGGCAGATGCTGGCCAGAAGGTCCCAGACAATGTTGGAGGGGATGCAGCCTGCCGAGCGGATCACGGTGGGCAGAGCCTAGGGGCAGGAAGGATGGCCAGTCAGCTCCCCAGCTTCCCACCCACTCAGGGTGGACGCATTCCCAGCCACCTGGAAGGCTGCAGCCTGTGGCAAATATGGGCAGGCAGTGTTCCAGGACCCTCAGTGGCTGCCCAGAAAGCTCTAATTGCCCCATGGAGGTCTGCAGCCTGTACTGGCTAATCTACAACTTCTCCAAAGCCCCTCCCTCCCTCCTCTATCCTCTGCTCTCATCCGACACTTTAGCTGATCATTAAGTCACTCAACGATCACTCCTAAAACCCTCCTTTGGGCCCTTCTTGCTATGGGTGACAGGGAGTCCTTCACCCTGTTTGTCTCTGTAGGAATGGGACCAACATCTCATTTGCCCCCATGCCCTGCACAGGGCCAGGCACAGAAAGGGGTGCCCATGAATTGTTTTAGAATGCATGAGTGAAAGAGAGAGAGAGAGAGAGGCTGCCTGGGCTGGTCAGTGTGTAAGGGAATCCCTGGCGAGGAGGGCAGGTGCACCTGGACAAGCCGACAGCTGTGTCCCGAGACCAGCTGGGCCCTGGCCCGGAACCGCTTGATGGAGAACATGTCCAGAACACCTTCCCAGGGTGGCAGGCAGGGCAGGGCCTTTGTGGGTGCAGCAGGCACATGGAGCCCAGATGGAGGGACCCTAGAGGGAGGGACAGAAGACAGGGCCAGACAGAGCAGGCCATGAGGACTTCCCCGGCACCTCCTTTCTTTTCAGAGCAGATCCTGTGTCCCTACTGTGGGGACTGGAACACTGGCCCAAGCTTGGCCTTGTGCAGGGGGCTGCCAGGAGGCTGGGATGATTAGTTCCATTGCACAGATGGGGAAAGTGAGGTTCCCAAGGGAGGGAAGACTTGCCCAAGGCCACACAGGAAAAGCCAGTGCTATGTCTGTTGCACCAGGTGGTGGCCTCCCCCTCAACCCTGCTGGGTTATCCACCTCCCTGCTCCCAACCCCACACCTGTCCTGTGGTTCCGTGGGAGACAACTCCCTGGTTTTGGGCATCTCTGGAGCAGGCATAGGAGTTTGGCTTAGGGCTTTCTGGAAGATATTGTCCCCGCAGCTCTTGGCGGCTTCGAAGGAGCCTAGCAGCTCATTCGAGGGCTCCCAGTCTGCAAATAGCAGAGGCAGGAGCTGAAACAGGGGCAGCAGCAGCGCTGAAGCCAGCCCAGGGCTTTAGAGCCAGGGTTGAACCAGGTTCTTTTCTAGGTGACCTGGGGCACGGGCACCCCTGCTCTGCCACCCTCTCCCCAGGCCACAAATCCCTGTTGCTGCTGAACTGCACGCTCAGCCCCAGCCTGGCTGCCACCCCTGCACCCCTCCCGTGTCCCCTCCCACCCTTGCAGATGTGGCAGTTGGGGTCTAAGAAGTGGTGGTCATGCTGCCCCGTGGTGTCCTCTGATGCGATGGGCAGGGCCTGTGGGCTGCAGTCCATGAACATCTGCGGTCCCTGGGAGGCAGAAGACAGAGGGGCAGGCTGAAAACGTGGCTGGGGGTGCCCGGAGGCCTCCATGGGTAGGGGGCCCCAGGATGTGGTTTATTTTTCTCAATAATAAATGTTGTTTTATTACCAAAATACTGTGAACTCATAAAGAAAATTTGGAAAACACCAAAACTTGAAAATTAAAAAGAAAATCACTTCTTGTCACACCACTCAGAGACCACTGTTGATATCCTGGGTATTCCTTTACAATCTTTTTCTTTTTTTTTCTTTTCTTTTTTTTTTTTTTGTTTGTTTGTTTGTTTTTTGAGACAGAGTCTTGCTCTGTTGCCTGGGCTGGAGTGCAGTGGCTCGATCTCGGCTCACTGCAACCTCCACCTCCCCGGTTCAAGCGATTCTTCTGCCTCAGCCTCCTGAGTAGCTATAGGCGTGTGCCACTATGCCCAGCTAATTTTTGTATTTTTAGTAGAGACGGGGTTTTACTATGTTGGTTGGCCAGGATGGTCTCCATCTCTTGACCTCATGATCCACACGCCTCGGCCTCCCAAAGTGCTGGGATTAAAGGTGTGGGCCACCGTGCCCAGCCCTTTATAATCTTTTTCTATACACAGGGTTTGGGGGTCCTTTTCCTGAAACAGCTGGGATCATATATTCAACTTGGTGTTCTCTTTTTGTTCACTAATAATAGCAGAGGCATTTGTCACATCATATAGTCCCCGTAGACACTGCTGTGATGGGGTGAGACTGGAGTGGACGTCTCACCTCTGTTGCTATACATTTGGGTCATTTCCAGGTTTTCACTATTACTAAATAGCACTGAGGACATTTTTTGTGCAGAAAGTAGTTTCCTAAACTTTAAATTATGTCCTTAGGACAAGATTTCAGAAGCAGATGACAGAATCAGGGAGAAGGAACATTTTAAAGACTCTTGACGTCTATTGCCAAATCACTTTTTTTCCTCATACTAGAAATAGCTTTAAACATAAAACAATCATTGCTTTAGGAAGGTTTAAAGAGATTTTGAAACTCTACTCTTATCAGCCACCTCCAGAACAGTCTCAAAGCACAGGCTTTGGAGTCAGCCAGCCTGGGTTCAAATCTCAGCTTCCCCACTGCACATATGTGACCTTGGTGCCAGGTTCCTCATCCCAGAAATGGGCAGGGAATAGCACCAACCTCCTAGGCCATTGTGAGATGTGAATGAGACACTGCTTGTAAAAGGTGCACACAGTAGGTGTTCAATAAACAGTAAAGATAGCTATCATGTGTTATTTTCCCCTCCCCTCCCCTCCCCTCCCACCTCCTCTCTCTCTTCCTCTCTGGGGCTATCTAGGTCTTTCTCCTACATTGCCATTCAGTTTGTTCAGGGAATACAAACTGATTTAGACTGAGGAGCAGCCACACCCCTTAGGGATCCTCTTGGCACAGGTAGAGGTTCTCCCAGTCGTTGGCCTGAATATTAGTGGTAGGAGTGGGGAGCAGGGATTTCTGTCGTTCACTGTCACTTCCCCAGTGCCTAGAACCGTGCCTGGCACCTGGTAGGTGCCCCATAAATATACTGACTGACTGAATATAGTTAAAGGGACCTGCCCTGCACCCCTCTCCTGAACAGGCAGCTGATGAGACCCAGGTGAACATCTGACCCACAGAACATTCAACTACAGCCAGAGTGGCCTTCTGAGAGTGACCGAAGGAAGCCAAGGGAAAGTTCTAATCAACTGCAGGAGTCTGAGATGATGGCTTCATGGATTCTGGGGCTGCTGAGCCACCATGTCAGGCTATGTGCAAGCCAGGGCCAAGGGAGAGGAAGGAGCAGGATGGACATGAGGATGGAGCAGATCCTCAGCGCCAAGAGCCCTAGACTATTGTCACTCCCGTTGGCTTCCCAGGTCTGAGGACAAGTTCCAGGAGGCCCTCTGGATGGACTGCCAGGGTGCCGGGTGGTTCCCTGCCTGGAGCATCCCTAAACCAATCCACTGAATACAGTGGGTCTTCGTTCCTTCCATCTGAAAAAGTCACTGCCTGGAACAGCGCAGCCTGCTGCTTCCCAGCAGAGATCTGGGCAGAATGCCAGGTTGGGGATGACTATGATGATGGGACTTAATACCACTCATGTGGGGGCCTTGGGGTGAGGCCAAAAGGAGGAGGACCGACAGTGACAAGGCGCTGGCAGGCCTGTGCCAGCAGCACTGTCCCACCCCATGTTCCCCTATGCGTTAAGGATCGCTGTCCCCGTTTTATCACAAACAAGGTGGGCCTCAGAGCAGTCAGGTGACATGCCCAAGACCACACTGCTGGTGAGGCGAGGCGTGGGACCCCCAGGCATGGGCTCTGCCCAGCACCAGGTCAGGCTCCAACTTAACCACCAGATCCTCCAGGGTCAGTGTCTGGTCCATGTCCCGCTGAATCTCCACTTCGCCCTTGTGGGTCATTTTGGAGGCTGGAAGTCTGCACGGCTCCTTCTGTTGCTGCTCAATGATATTCAGGCCCTGAAGAGGTGGAGCAGGCCAAGCTGAGCCCAGTTAGGGGGCCTCTGGCCATCAAAAGCCCAAGTGCTCACTTTCCTCCCTTGAGGCCCCTCTCTTGTGGTTCCCCTCTCCTCAAAACTTTTACTTCCGCCATACCCCTCCTCTGGGAAGCCCTCCACCCTTAGCGCTACCTCTCCGTATTCCACTGATTCACCCTTCAAGTCCTGCCTCCTCCGGGAAGCCTTCCCGGATTTCGCTTTCACTCACAGGTCAATTCAACCTCTGACGGTACCTCATCCTTTTCTGGGAAGGGTGTGGTGTTGCTGAAAGAGTGCAGGCTCTGGAGTTCCCACTGGGCCATTAATAAAGATTCATAAGATGGTATGGCCTGGGGCAAGCACTTAGCTGCTCTAAGCCTCAGTTTATCTGTTCTGTAGGAATTTAATTTAAAGCACTATATTAAACAACATATATAGAGTGCTTAGCCTGGAACATGGCTCATAGTAAATGCTAGTTGTGAGTCTTACTGTCGATCAATGTCACTCTATCTGCAATACTTCCTGAAAACCTGTCTCTCCTTTTCTAACAACCCCTGGAGAACAGGAGGTCTGCTCCTCTCTGGTGGGATCAGCCTCGTGGGCATGAGATCTGTGCAATCGCACAGGGCCCTGCACTTAGGAGGCCCACGCTTGGTTTAGCGCTCTGTTGTTGTCACCTTGAAATTCTTAGCAGTTGTTGAACAAAGGGCCCCACATTTTCATTCTGCACTGGCTCCCACAAATTACAAAGCCAGTCCTGATCCCTGGCCCCCACAGAGCCTGGACAGAAGCTCAGCCTATAGTGGACAGATTCACCTGATGGACTCTTGGTTATTCATTCTAATCAGTTCAGTGTCTTCCAGAGCAGGGGCTGGAGTGCCTCGCCCCATCCCAGTGGCCTCAGCCCCTAAATCAGTCCCTTCTTCTCTCACTGGGCCACCAACAAACATGAGGTGAGCATTCTCCAAAGCCTGCTCAGTGCCACAGCTTCCCTGTCCCAGAGCAGTTCCCAGGCAGGGAGAGACCCATGGATACAGGGTATATGGGGACACAGCTGTGAACCCAGGGGCTATGGGGCCCCTCCCCCAACCTGGGGTACCAGGAAGACCTCCAGGCTTTTCCAGGGCATCTGAAGCTGGGATCGGAAAAGAGGTACCTCAGGACTCCGGACTCTAGGTCTCACCACAGTCCTCTCCCAAGCCCCCCACCCCACAGTCCAGCTCAACTGAAAACCAAGTGTGTCACATCTCTACCAAGCTCTCCATTCCCAGTCCCTTTCATTTCCACCCCTTCTCCTGTTTCTCTTGTGGGGAGGGTCTCTCTGACTCCCTATCTGCCTTCTCTGTTTCCTTGTTTCTGTCTTTCTGAATTCCTCCTCCCTCCCTCCCTGTCTCTGTCTCTCCCTCTTCCACTCTCAGGCCACCCACTCTGCCCCTACATCCCCTCACCCATCCCGACTGGGCTCAGCACTCACCCTTTTCTCCTCCTGGTCCCGCCAGCGGGCCAGCTCCTGGGGGGCCAGCTGCATCGAGCTCATCCGCACCAGGTCGTAGGGGGTGACATCTCCATGAACCACTTTGAGAAACAAGTCCTGGTGGGGGCAGGGGGCAGGGCTGCACCACACGCTGAAAGAGCTCCCCCACCCTAGCATCCTGCAGGGGCTCTGAGATTCAGAGAGGGGACGCAGCCCAGCCCAAAGCCCTGCTCACCAGGTTCCTGGGGTCCCGCAGGTTGAACAGCAGGCTGCGATACTTGGTCTTGTACCGGCCATTGGTGCCTTGTGTCAGGTCCCAGAGGGCTGCCTCAATGCCAGCAGCAATGCCCTCCACCACCTCCTCACTCAGCACTGGGTCTGGGAGCTCCCGAAGGCTGTGGAGGCCAGGGCAGGGCGGGGGCACTGAGCCCAGGAGGCTCTCCAGGCACTTAGTCCCAGAGGGAGGCAGCTGGGTGGGCGGCAGGGTCTGGGCCAACTTGTTCCTGTCGTGGGTGTTTCCCTGCAGGAACCTACTTATTCTCACCCCAACTCCGTGAGGAGGAAATAGGATCATTCTCCTTTTATGGATGGGGTTACTGGGGCTCAGGGAAAATAAGAGGCTTACTCACAACTGTGTAATTAGTGGCAAAAGCAAGATTTGAAACTCGACTGTCTGACTCACCAGCCTGTGCCCCGTCTCTGGCTCACGGGATGTGTGGAGGGGAGGAAGCCGGGGTCAGGTCAGAGTAAGGCAGGAGTCAGGGGGAGAGAATGGAGCCCTGGCCCTCGGTGTCATCTGTCATTGACTTGCTGTGTGGCCTTTGCAAAGTCCAACCCTCTCTGAGCCTTGGTCTCCCCATCAGCAAATGACAGCTCTGGGCTCAGATCTCTGAGCCGCTCCCAGCACACACTCTACGTGAAAGCATTTGCTGCGGGTGACATTGATGTGGATGGACCTGAGCCGAGGCTGAGAGCTGCAGCAGCTAAGTGGGGAAGCACAGCCTTAAAGCCAGAGAGACCCAGCTTCAAATTTCAGCTCTCCACTGGCTCTTGGTATGGGCAAGGGACCTGGCACAGCTACCAAATGGGGTTAGCCAGACACCCAGAAGCCCTTAGAACATGGCAGGGCCCCGGAGGCGGGGGCATGTGAGGGCGGCCCTTGGGATGTCAGGGGAGTGGGGAGCAAGGCCTCACCGAGTCCATAGTACCTCCTGCATGGAACGGACAACAGTGCCCCGCACCCCAATATACAGGGATGGCTTCTCCTGTTGGAGCTGAGCTGTAGGGAGAGAGCGTCACAGGCTCCCAGGGGTGCCCAGGGGAAAGGGGAGGGGGCTGACTCAAGGCTGATGGGTTTAGGCAGACAGGAGAGGGGTCCCACCCTCAAAGACCTAGACCCCTCCCTCTATCCATCTGGGAGCCAAGCCCAGGCAGCCAGTGGCCCCCACCCCTTCCCCCACCCCTTTGGGGAGGAGCTATAGGCTGATGGGATGTGGGGAGAGAAGAATCATAGCAGGGGCTGGGCCCAGGAGCTGGGCCTGAGTCCTCCCCAGACCCCAGCAGTCTCTGGAAGCAGAAGAGGCTCCCTCCAGGGCCCTTCACCTGAGTCCTCTGGCTGCTCCGGAAGAGAATCCTCTTCAGCCTCCATTGGGCCACTCTGTAGGGGAGGCGTGAGGAATTGAGGCTGTGCTGGTGGGCCTGGCTTCCAGCCCAGGGGACACTGCTTCCTCTAGTCACCTCCCCACTCCCACGTCCTCCCTGACCCATGCTCCAGTGAAGGAGGCACATGGCCGGGGCAGAACAACTTGCCTGGGAACATGCAGGGTCCGAGCTGGGGTCGCCAAGGGCCAGGGAACCGCTTCTTGGAGGGTAGAAGGGGTCAGAGAGGCCACCAGGGTCCCCTGCTGTGCCTCCTGAAGGAGAAGGCTGGAAAACCTTGGGGCAGGGAGCAGACAAGCTATTGGCCGGAAATGGAGGCCAGGGACTGTTCCCTCCCCAGATGTACTGGAGGCCCAGCCCCTCCCTCCTCCAGTCCACCCTGAATTCAGAGCTGCAGAAAGTAGTACACATGGAGCCCAGGCCAGCCATGCAGGCTGGGGCCGAACCCTGCCTCTGGCTATTCTGAATGACCGCGAGCAAGTGGCACCCTCTCTCTGAGCCTCAGTGACATCTCTGTGAATCAGGTGTGAAGGTGCCTCTCTCAGCAGGATTAAATGACATCACTTGTTCTGTACCTGGCACCCAGCAGGGCCCTGCACCATGGGCCTTTTCTTCCTTCTGAGCCTCTGGGCAGGTGAGGGTGAGCTGACCTCCATCAAGTCCTCTAGAACCTCCAGCTTTGGTGGCAGCTGCCCCCCTGCCTGGCCGTGGCTGATGGCCCCCAGGAGCTGGATCACTGGCCCGGAACCCAGCTGCGGGGGAGATCGCACTTCAGAAGCAAGCGGGGCCAGCCGCTGTCCCCGCCTTCAGAGTGCTCGCCTCATCTGTAATTGTTGAACATCTCTCTCCCACTGGAGTGTAAGCTCCGTGAGGATAGAGAACATGCCTGTCCTGGTCCCCGCTGTATTTGCAATGCTTGGAAAAGGCCTGGCACATAGTGTTCAGTGAAAGTTTGCTACCTGGCTAGCCTCTGTCCCAGGAGAGGGGCCTGTCTCCATCCGCATCCTTTCTCAACTTCCCCCTTAACCCCCAGTCACATTCATAGTTAACTGAACTCTGTGCCAGGACCCTCTCACTCTTCTTCTGACCACAGATGCATCTCATCAGGAGGGACATACCTTGTTCTGACTCCCCCTCCTCCTGCTCAAAGCTCTGTCATGCCCCTTTCAGGGGTCACTGACTTGTTGTCTGCCTCTCCCTTGAAGCAGCCAAATGCAGGCATCTGTAAGGCTTACACTCTGTAAGGCTGCTGATCACTCCCCTATTGCCCATAAAAGAAATCCCTTCATGACCATTTCAAGGTGCAAAGTAGATTTTGTTCTTCTAATGAACTACGGAATCTGTCCCGCTCGGCTTTTTGCTATGGCTGCCAGGAAGCTCAGTGTTAACTTTGAGCCTGGCAGGTGTACCTTTCCAGGATTGGTAGAGAGCAAGGTGTTGTTGTAACAAGATCCCCCACCTCCTTCCTCTTTTCTTGCTTTCTTTAGGCTTTTAGCCCATTTTAAGTGTGTTTCAATTCTTTTCATTTATTGCAAACCACAGGGAATTGTTTTAAAAGTAGGTGAGTCTGAAAACTAATCCTTGAATGAATGATCATGAAATGGTCAGGTTCCAAGGTCTGCAGGAAACTAAAAGTCTAAGATCCAACATTATAGAGGGAGGGGAGCACTAGGATCCACTGGGGGAGGGCAGGCTGGGTGGGGGTAGGATCTCCACATCTACTGTGGAGGAGCCCTCCCACTCCACCCCACCTGAGGCAAGGGAGAAAGAAAAGCAATAATAAAATGTAAAAACCTACGTAGCACACAAGCTTCACTCCATGGGGTATTTTCACTTCCTCCTTGGAGAGAAAGAGGATGCAGAGATTAGAATCCAGAGGACCCAGCCACCCCATGGCAGGGAATTCACAAAAAGAAGACAATCTTGTTGAAAGGGTGTGTGTTCAGTGTTCACTGAGTTGTACTTACAGCAAAAAGTTGTCCATCAAAGGGGAAATGGTTAATAAAAAATATGTCCATCAGGCCAGGTGCAGTGGCTCACGCATGTAATCCCAGCACTTTGGGAGGCTGAGGCGGGTGGATCACCTGAGATCAGGAGTTCGAGACCAGCCTGGCCAACCTGGTGAAACCCCGTCTCTACTAAAAATACAAAAATTAGCTGAGCATGGTGGCGGGTGCCTGTAATCCCAGCTACTCGGGAGGCTGAGGCAGGAGAATAACTTGAACCCAGGAGGCGGAGGTTGCAGTGAGCCAGGATCGTGCCACTGCACTCCAACCTGGGTGACAGAGTGAGACTCCATCTCAAAAAAAAGGCCCATCAAAGGGAAATGGTTAATAAATGGTGACACTTCATACTACGAATTCTATGTGGCTTATAAAGGGTAAGGAAGTCATCATAAAAATTACCACTTGTTGAGGGTTTATGAAGTAGCTGGCCCCACAGAAGCACATCATTCATGCTATTAAGGTCTCAGAATGACACCATGAGGTATATACTATTTCTATCCCCATTTTACAGATGAGGAAACTGAGGCTCCAAGAGGATCTGAAAAGTCCTATAGCTGCTAAGCTGCAGAGCTAGTATTAGAACCTAGCTCTGTCTGACTCCAAAGCCCAAGCACTTAGCTGCGGGGCTATGTGGAGACATGGAAAGATTCATGGAAAGATGTCAAGAAGTATTATTGGGAGAAAAAGAAAAAATAGGTTACAGAACAATATCTGTTGCATAAGCCCATTTATGTAAATATATATTTACAGATACATAATAGAGGTTATCTCTGGGGAATGAAATTCCAGGGAGACTTTCACTTTCTACTTGTAGGAACTTGGGTATTCATGTTATTCAAAACGAGCGTGTATTTCTTTTACAACCGGAAACATGTTTTTTTATTAAAAACAAGTTCAGAACAATACGTGTGGTGTGCTACCATTCGCGTTACAGACAGAACGAATTTTAAAATTTGTATTTGCTGGAATACACATAAAATATCACAGGAAGTATCTGCAAGAACCTATCTAACCCAGGCTGCCAGTAGGGAAGCAACTGGGTGCCGGGAAAGATGAGTTTCACTTTTTTTGTTTTTTTGAACCATGGAAATGAATCAGCCTTTCAAAAAAGTAAACTGAGAAAGAGGCAGAAAAAAAAAAAACAAAGAAAACAGGGGTGTGGGAAGAATATCAAGACCAGCCCTTCACAGTTCAAAGCCTTTTGGCTGGCCCGTCTCAGGGGTCCTAACGTCCATGTTATGAGGCTCCAAAACAACAGGCAGGAGAATGAGATGAGCGAAGCCTTTCAACACTGGACTATCAGACCAGAATACAAACTATGTATGTATAATATGTTTAAAGAAATAAAAGAAGGAGACGAACACATGAGTGAAGGACAAAAAAACTACAAAAAACAACCGGGCAGATTTGATCGGGAACCAAACACGACTTCTGGGAATGAAAAATATAACGATCTTAATTAAAATTTAAAAACTCAATATATAGATTTAATAGCATATTAGATGCAGCTGAAACAAATTAGCTAACTGGACAACACATTTAAATAAATTAAATGTGTTGCACTTTGTGAACACTGTGAAGCACTAAGAGACACATCACGCCTGTAATCTCAGCACTTTGGGAGGCCGAGACAGGAGGATCGCTTGAGGCCAGAAGTTTGAGAGCAGCCTGGGAAACATAGCGAGACCCTGTCTCTACAAAAACAAGAAAAAAAAAAAAAATAGCCAGGCATGGTGGTGTGTACCTGTAGTCCCAACTACTCAGGAGGCTGAGGCGGCAGAATTGTTTGAGCCGGAGAAGTCAAGGCTGCAGTGAGCTATGATCACACCACTGTACTCTAGCCTGGGTGACACAGCAAGACACTGTCTCAAAATAAAGGAAAGGAAAGGAGAGGAGAAGAAAAGAAAGGAGAAGAAAGGAAAGGAAAGGGAAAGGAAAGGAAAGGAGAAGAAGGAGGAGGAGGAGGGAAAGAAAGAAGAAAGAAAGGTAGGAAGAAAGAAGGAAGGAAGGAAGAAAGGAAGGAAGGAAGGGTGAAAATGATTAATCTAAAGTTCCAGAAGGAGAGAGGAAAGAGAATGGGTAGAAGCAGTGTTTAAAGAAATAGGGCTAAGAATTTTTCAAAATTGATAAAAGACAAAAATTTACAGATTCAAAAAGCTCAGTGAATCTCAAACAGAATAAATAAAAGGAAATTCATACCTAGACACATCAACACTCATGATAAGGAGATCCTTACACGCATAAAGAGAAAAAATAATAGCTAACACTTGACTAGCACTTAAAATGTGCTACATCTGTGGCAAGTGCTTTACATATTAGTTAATTTAATCCTCACCATAATCTTATGAGGTACTGGTACTGTTATCTCCCCCATTTTACAAAAGAGGAAACTAAGGCACATAGAGGCACAGGGAGGTTAATCAGCTTGCCCAATGTCACACAGCTAGAAAACCAAAGAGCTGGGATTTAAATCCAGACAGTCTGATTCCAGAGGCCATAACTTCAACTACTATTCTATGATCCCATTCACCAAAATACCTTTCATCTATAAAGGAATGGCAATTAGACTAACAGCTACTTTCTCAATAGTAATAATGAAAAGCAAAACATAAAAAAATAATATTTTCAATGTGCTTAAAGAAAATAACTATCAATTGTGGACCCAGACAAAATACTTTTCAAGAATAAGGAAGAAATAAAGATACTGTAGAGAAAAATCAAGAGAGCTGTTATTTTTCTTGATAATTTTGCTTTGCTCAATAAACAAAATGCTAAAAGATAAACCTGAGGCAGAAGGAAGGAAAAACAATCCCAGATAGATAAGATGAAAGGAAGAATTTTGAGCAAAGAAAATGATGAAGATGTTGTTAAATCTAAATAAACATTGATTGTATGAAACTATAATAACAGTGTGTAATTTGGGGATTTTTTAAAAAAAAAGATAGGACTAATTTACTGGATAACAACAACACACAAATTGGAAAGGTACGCGCTTGGAATTAGAGCATTCCAAGATCCCTATATCATTTTGGAGTAAGACAAAGATTGTAACTACCTTTATACTTTGATAAGTTAGTTATTTGTGCTCAAATTTCTTTTTTCTTTCTTTCTTTCTTTTTTTTTTTTTTGAGATGGAGTCTCGCTCTGTCACCGAGGCTGGAATGCAGTGGCATGATCTTGGCTCACTGCAACCTCCACTTCCCGGGTTCAAGCGATTCTCCTGCCTAGGCTTTCTGAGTAGCTGGGACTACAGGCGCCCGCCACCACACCCGGCTATTTTTTTCTTGTATTTTTAGTAGAGACAGGGTTTCACCGTGTTAGCCAGGATGGTCTCCATCTCCTGACCCTGTGATCCACTGGCCCCGGCCTCCCAAAGTGCTGGGATCACAGGTGTGAGCCCCGAGCCCGGCCTGTGCTCAAATTTCTAAGAGAACCACCAAAAAAATATAAACTGAGGATAGGAAACATCTAAACTACTAGAGGGATAAAAAGGAGTAAGAAAAAATAATCCAAAAGGAGGCAATGAAAGGGAGAAAGTGCTGAAATGCAAAACATACGCAAAGCACAAAACAGGCCGGGTGCAGTGGCTCACACCTGTAATCCCAGCACCTTGGGAAGCTGAGGTGTGAGGATTGCTTGAGCTCAGGAATTCGAGACCAGCCTGGCCAACACAGCCAGACCCTGGCCCTACCAAAATTTTTTTTTAAAGAGCCAGGCACAGTGGCATGCACCCGTAGTCCCAGCTACTTGGGAGGCTGAGGTGGGAGAATTGTGAGCCCGGGAGATCAAAGCTGCAGTGAGCTATGATCACGCCACTGCAGTCTAGCCTGGGCAACAGAGTGAGACTGTGTCTCAAAAAAAAGCACAGAATAAAATGGTAGGAGTAGATGTAAATAAATCAGTAACTATAACAAATGTAAATGTACTAATACTTCAGAAAAATACAAAAATTATCAGACCTTTAAGGAAAGAAAATACAGTTATAAAGTCTTTATGAGACCCATTTCTAAAACATAATTATGCAAAAAGGTTAAAATAACAAAATGGAATAATATACGAACAGGCAAATAACCAACCAAAATAAAGCTTTGTAGCTATATTAATAATCAGATAAAACAGATTTTAAGGCAAAAAATCATTAGAGGGCAAAGACTGACTACATAATGATATGTAGTTTTACCAGGAAGCTATAACAACTCTAAACTTATAAGCATCTAATAGCATAAGCTCAAAAACTATAAAGCAAAAAAAAAACTACAAGCAAAAAGACAAATCCACCATGAGAGCAAGAAAATTTCATATATCTCTCTAACTATTGATAAATAAAGCTGACAAAATAATCAGTAGGAATAAAAAATAATTAATGAAATCAACAAGCTTCATCTGTACATATATATAAATATATACGGAATATTAATCCTAATAACTAGAGAATACATATTATTTTCCAGTATACATGCAACATATATAAAAATTGAGCAAAGCCTGGGCCAAAAAGCAAATATCAACAAATTTCAAAAGACTTTTTTAGATCAGCACTGCCCAACAGAAACATAAGCCACATGTGTACTTTTAAATATGGTAGCCACATTTTAAAAAGTGAAATTAATTTTGTAGTTTCTTTAATTCATCATATCCAATATATTATCATTTCAACATGCAATCGATATGAAAACTTTTTTTTTTTTTTTGAGACGGAGTCTCACACTGTTGCCCAGGGTTGGAGTGCAGTGGTGCGATCTCGGCTCACTGCAGTCTCCGCCCCCGAGGTTCAAGCGATTCTCCTGCCTCAGCCTCCTGAGTGGCTTGGATTACAGGTGCCCACCACCACGCCTGGCTAATTTTGTTTGTTTGTTTGTTTTCAGTAGATACAGGGTTTCACTATGTTGGCCAGGCTGGTCTCAAACTCCTGACCTCATTATCCGCCCGCCTAGGCCTCCTAAAGTGCTGGGATTACAGGCGTGAGGAACCGCGCCCAGCCATGAACAACTATTAATGAAATGTTTACTTTTTTTTGTACTGAGTCTTTGAAATTCAGTGTATATTTTACACTTACAGTACATCTCAATTTGGACTAACCAAATTTCAAGTGTTCAATAGACACAAGCGGCCAGTGGCTATCAGACTGGATAACTCAGATAAAGACCAACTTCTCAGACCACAATATCATTAAGTTAGAAGGCAATAAAGACAAAAGCAACAAAATATGTTTGGAAATTAAGAAATACACTCTTAGCCAGGCGTGGTGGCTCACGCCTGTAATCCCAGCACTTTGGGAGGTCAGGCGGGTTGATCACCTCAGGTCAAGAATTTGAGACCAGCCTGGCCAACATGGCAAAACTCCATCTCCGTGCTAAAAATACAAAAATTAGCCAGACGTGGTGGCACACGCCTGTGATCTCAGCTACTTGGGAGGCTGAGGCATGGGAATTGCTTGAAGCTGGGAGGTGGAGGCTGCAGTAAGCCAAGATAGCACCACTGCACTCCAGCCTGGGGGATAGAGCCAGACTCTGTCTCAAAAGGGGAGGGGAGGGGAGGGGAGGGAGGGGGAGGGAAGAGAAGGGGAGGGAAGGGACTTTTAAATAACAGATAGGTCAAAGAAAAATTGTAATTAAAAATGATAAAATATTGAGATTGAATGATAAGACTGTATGTTAAGTCTATGAATGCAGCAAAAGCGATAATTAAAAGGTTCTTTTATAGCTTTAAATGACTTTATTAGAAAGGAAAAAAGGCAGAAAACTAATGAACTAAGCATAATTTTTAAGACTTTATAAATAGTAGCATAAACTGAACGGAAGGTGACATTGACAACAAACATATAGTGGAGAGGATGAACAAACCAAAAATCGGTTCTTTGAAAAAACTGACAATTGTCTGACAAGATTGATTAAGGAAAAGAGAGGAGGTATAACTAGCTAAAATTTGGAATGTATAATTACAAGTGCGCAGTCCTTAAAGATAAGAGGCTATTGTGAAATACTGTATGCCAACATGCCAATAAATTTGAAAACTCAGATGAAACAAATAGATATCTAGAAAAGTATAACTTACCAAAATTGATTCAAGAGAAAAACAACACTGAATAAACCTATAGCCACAAGATAAATTGAATCAGTAGGGAAGGAAACACCTTCCCTAAAGAGAACATCAGTCCATACTTTTTTTAACCAGCCATTCTATCAAAATGTCCAAAGAACAAATAATTCCAATCTTAAATACATTATCCCAGAAAATAGAAAACAAAAAGATAATCCACAATTCATTCTATGAAGCTAGCAAAACCCTGATACCAAAATCTCACAAGGGTATTATAGAACAAATCATTTCAGGCCAGTTAATTCATCCATTGAAAACCCGAAACAAAACATGAAATTGAATTCACAAAATACGAAAAAGATATAGCATTACCAAATTGGGTTTGTTCCAGCAAGGCAAGAACTTAACATTTTAAAAAACTTAATATTTAAAAAAAAAAACACTAACTCCTTAAATTAACGTTAATAAATTCGAAGATAAAAATCATACTATTATCTCAGAAATGGAAAAAACACATGTGATTAAATGCACTGTGCAATAATAATAATTATAATAATTGTAAATATTGTAATTGTAATAATTATAATAATAATTATAAATAATTAGCAAACCAGGAAGAGAAGGGAGTTTCCTTTACCTGATAAAGGGCATCTATATAAATAACATAGCAAGTGTCATACTTAAGGTGAAACGATGACCACATTTCCTTTAAAATCCAGAATAAGTCACGGGTTCCTTGCTATCACCATTTCTATGCAACACTATACTAACAGTCTTAGCTAGTACAGTAAGGAAAGGGAAGGGAAGAGAGATGTAAAGAACTGGAAAGGAAATAACAAAAACTGTCATTTGTCTACATAGAAAACAAACAAAATCCAAATAGATAAATTATATAGATTAATAAAAGCAAGATTTCTGGATGCAAAATCAATAAACAAAACTCAATTGTGTTTTTACATGGGAGAAAGTGTAGAAATGCAAAACATATGCAAAGCACAAAACAGGCCAGGCCTGGTGGCTCATGCCTGCAATCCCAGCATTTTGGGAGGCCGAGGATCACCTGAGGTCAGGAGTTCAAGACCAGCCTGACCAATATGGTGAAACTCCGTCTCTACTAAAAATACACAAATTACCCGGGCATGGTGGCGGGTACCTGTAATCCCAGTTACTTGGGAGGCTGAGGCAGGAGAATCGCTTGAACCTGGGAGGGGGAGGTTGCAGTGAGCTGAGATCATGCCACTGTACTCCAGCCAAAAAACTTTTTAAAGAAAAGACTTAATAAGAATAACCAAAATGCATGAAAAGATGCTCCTTAGTAAGAGGGCAGTGGAAATTAAAACAACATTGAGACACCACAGCATATCTCCATTTCAGCAAAAAACCTAAGTCTGCTACCATCAAGGGCTGGTGAAGATGTGAAGTCACCAGAATATTCATACACTGCTGATGGGGGTGTATACTATTTCAACCACTTTAGAAAACATCTGGCACCATTTAAGTTGAAGATGTGTCCACTCTATAACCTGGCAATTCCACCCCAGAAAATATTCCCTGGAGATACCCCATATGTACCAAAAACCATACAAAACTATCACAGCAGCACTATATGTAGTAGCCAAAAAAAAAAACACCAAAAAACCCAAATGTCCACATGGAGTCAACAAATAAATAAATTGGGGCATATTCATGCAATGGGGATACTTGGTGCCAACACTTAGGAACTGTGTGATCTTGGGAAAGTTACTTAATCTCTCTGTGCCTCAGTTTTCTCATCAGTAGCATGAAGATAATACCAGTATCTACCTCATGGTGTTGGGGCAACGATCATTATCACTATTCGAGACTCTTAGAACAGTGCCTGGAACAGAAGAAGCTCTCTCTGTAAATGCCTGTGTTGATAAAGTTCCTTGGTCCCTGCCCTGGAGAAAGGCCATCCTGACACTCGACCACCCTGCAGGCTCTCCATTTCCATTCAAGCTGGCCTCTCCCACCTGGCTCCCGTTCCACCTGTAACCCCCACCCTCTACTCCTGCAACACTCCAAGCTGCCTCTTGCAATGCAGCTCTGCAGAGCACTGCCCTCTTCCTAGCAAGCCTCTCCTACTTTCTCACCTGCTGAACACCTACTTCCCTTGCCTAGACCCAGTTTAGACAGCCCCCTCCTCTGCCCTCCCCTCCCCTCTGGACATCCACAGTCCACTGGGCTTCAGTCTGTATTTCAATTCTCTGGTTAGTGGTTTTCTCCTCCCACTAGACTGTAAGATCCCTGGACGAGCCCCCTCCTTGTTCAACAAATTATAATAAAGCCCCGTGAACAGTCAAGTTATGCAGGACTGGAGTCAAACCCTGGCTCGGCCACTTACTCGCGATGTGGCCTGAGTGAGTCACTTAACTTCTCGGAAGCCCAGTTTTCTTACTTAGTAAAATGGGGATATTAGTGTTGAATTTTTTTTTTTTTTTTTGAGACAGGGTCTCACTCTGTTGCCCAGGCTGGAAGGCAGGGGCACCAGCACAGCTTACTATAGCCTTGACCTCCTGGAATCAGGTGATCCTCTCACCTCAGCCTCCTGGGTAGCTGGAACTACAGGCACAAGCCACCATGCCCAGCTAATCTTTGTATTTTTTCTACAGACAGGGTTTTGCCACATTGCCCAGGCTGGTCTCCTGAGCTCAAGCAATCCACCCGCCTTGGCCTCCCAAAGTGCTGGGATTACAGGTGTGAGCCACCACGCCTGGCCGACATTGACCTTTAATGGTTAATGTAAGGATTAAATGAGATGACATACTTGAAGCTCTCAGTCTATAGTAGGCACACTAATGAAACGAGCTCCTCTTAGGCTGCTCTTCTGTTAGGAAGACACTCTCCTCCTTCACTCACCTCTTGACACTTTGCAGCTACAGACAGCATACCTTGAACCAGGGATTCTGGGTCAGGCCAGAGGAGCTGTGTGCCTCCCTGGTTATGACTGGTGGAATGTGAGCAGCCCAGGGTCACTGGCAGAGTTGCCCCACACACACACACCCACTGCTATCCCACCCATAGAGCAGCTCCAAACCTCACTGGCCACTGTGGGGCCCAGGACGGACAAGAGAATGGCATCCAGTCCCCCTCCCATCTCTCCTCCAAGAGTCTCTGGTTCATGCCAGAAGAATACAACACGGCCAGCCTCTGATATCAGACTCCTGGCAGTTCTGGGGCCCACTTCATTCTCCCCACTTCATAGAGGAGGCAACTCAGATTCAGAGAAGAGACATTTCTAAATGTCTAAAGTCTTTCTGCAGCCAGGCGCAGTGGCTCATGCCTGTAATCCCAGCACTTTGGAAGGCCGACGCAGCGGATCACCTGAGGTCAGGAGTTTGAGACCAGCTTGGCCAACATAGTGAAATCCTGCCTCTACTAAAAACACAAAAATTAGCCGGGCATGGTGGCCCACACCTGTAGTCCCAGCTACTCAGGAGAATCCCTTGAAACCAGGAGGCAAAGGTTGTGGTGAGTCAAGATTGTGCTACTGCACTCCAGCCTGGGTGACAGGGCGAGACTCCCATCTTAAAAAAAAAGTAAATTAAAAAAAAAAAAGTCTTCTTGCCACTGAGCTTAAGAAAGGAAGAAAAAAAAGTTAAACTCATCTAAATGTCTGAAGACATGTCTAAAGTCACCCTGTACTAAGAGGCAGAGCTTGACCTTGAACCTGTCTGCCCCTGCCACAAGCCAGGCTGTCTCCAGGGGAAGGTGCTAAGGCCCTAAACGGGGCTCCAGACCAGCCGGGCACTGTGCCCCCCATTGCCCAGGCCCCACTCAGCCCTGTCT
The DNA here is from genome assembly GCF_000001405.40 of Homo sapiens. Lineage (NCBI taxonomy): Eukaryota > Metazoa > Chordata > Mammalia > Primates > Hominidae > Homo > Homo sapiens. The sequence goes on from NC_000001.11 coordinate 31,811,718, forward strand.
GCAACCACCCGCCTGTCCCTGTCACAGCCCAGACTCAATTCTTCTCCCGCAGCTGGTACTGGTTGTCATGGCAACGAGTTGTTTGGAAAGCTGTGGGATGATGGGCTGTGCCGCAGTCAAGGATGGAGCCTGGAGGAGCCAGCAGTCATGGGCTGCTTCCAGTCAAGCCAGGCAGGAAGCTGGCTCCACCACCGCACTCAAACCAGCCCCCTTAAAGGCTGCAGACCCAGGAATCCCAATTCTGGGCATCTGGTCCAAATAAATCATGTGAAGAAGGGAGGAGCCAGACGCACAAGGATGGTCACCCCTGCACTACTTACAGCAGGACGAAATTGCTTATGTCACTAACAGGTAACCTATTTGAGTATTTTTCTTGCACCAAGCACTGTGTTAAATGCCAAACATGTGTCATCTCATTTCATCCTCACCACCTCCCTAGGAGGTAAGCACTCTTCATACCCACATTTTGCAGATGAGAGAATTACACTTGAAAAGGTGAAGCCACTCACCTCGGTTGTTCAGATAGTGGCAAAGTCAAGATTGAATGTTAGCCTATTGGCCTCCAGGGCTCATGCTCCTCACTACACTACAGTGGTTGGAAATGAGAAGAGGAAGTCCCAGCCCTCATCCCGACAGCGCCTGTGCCTGCGACAAATACATCCATAGACAGCTATGATGCAGGGCTCAGGAAAAGATCAAATTCGGCAGAACAAGGTGAACCCACTGGGAAAGACCTTCAAATACTACGGAACTTACAAAACCAAGCAAAGTCCTGGAACAATAAGGCATAATAGGAGCCTATTTATAGGTAAAAAGGCTTGATGCATAGTGGAAAACAGCTCACTGGTTCTATTTTACTAATTGGCTGTTTGGCCTTGAGTACTCATGTCACCTCTCAGAGCCTCAGTGTTCAGATCAGTGAAATGGGTATATGTCAATAGAGTCTACCTCATAGGCTTGTTACAAAGATTGCAGATAAAGTGCTTAGCCCAATATCCAGCACATGTTAAGCAAGCCAGATGCTGTTACGACTGTGCCGATAACACAGAAAATACACAGAGAAGGCAGTGCAGTGAGCTCTCAAGACAGACCGCCTAGGCTTGTAGCCTTGCTCCCATTCACCAGCTGGGTCTGTAACCTCACCTCCGTGGACGTCGTGTGAAGATTAAATCAAAAACATCTAGCACATCATGCATATTCAATAAATGTGATGAAAATCCAACTATGTGAGAAATATACACCAAAAACAAGTAGAGTCTTCTTCTGCCTTTGGTGTATAAATGTTAGCTATGATTATTAATAAAATGATGATGATTATAAGTAAAAGAACAAAGGAAAGGGAAGTGGTGATATAGGGAACATGGCTGGTCACTGACTCCCCAGCTATGTGAGCCTGGAGAATATTATTAACCCTCCGAGCCTCAGTTTCCCCATCTGGTTATATGGGGCTAACGCCTATCTTACAGGGTAACTGTGAACACTAAAGGAAAAGCAAATTTAACACGAATTAAGCAATTTACCTTGTGCCTTGTGCTGTGCTAGGCACCTTTTTTTTGTTTGTTTGTTTGTTTTAGACAGTCTTGCTCTGTCACCAGGCTGGAGTACAGTGGTGCGATCTCAGCTCACTGCAACCTCTGCTTCCCAGGTTCAAGTGATTCTCCTGCCTCAGCCTCCAGAGTAGCTGGAACAGGCATGTGCCACCATGCCCAGCTAATTTTTGTATTTTTAGTAGAGACAGGGTTTCACCATGTTGGCCAGGATGGTCTTGATCTCTTGACCTCGTGATCCGCCTGCCTCTGCCTCCCAAAGTGCTGGGATTACAGGCGTGAGCCACTGCACCAGGCCTAGGCACATTATTTTATACCATAATCTCATTTAATCCTTGAAACAACCCCATGAAGCTGCAATTAGTATCCTTTTTTTACAATGAGGAAACCTAGAGAGGTTAAGAAAACATCCCACAGTCATTCAGCTAGGAAGTGGGCAGAGGCAAAATTCGAACCCAGGACTCACTGACTCCAAAAGATAATGACCCCTCACAAGGATTCAGCGAATGTAGTTTATTTTCTCTTTCCCAGTTTGTGGGCCTCATTTTACCCAGTTTAGTTAATAGGGATGTGAGAATGTTCATGAAGCGCCCATCTAGCTTAGCTTTATTAAATTCCACTGCCAAGTATGGTATTGAGAAACATGGCCAGGCCCTTCCTATCCCAAACTCTCAGACTCAGCTCACCAGTCTGGGGCAGCCTCCTGGGCTGGGTTCCTCTGGCCTGTCCTGGTGGGAGTTGTCTGAGCTTCTGTCTGTGCCCCGGTCTTGGGCACAGGGCACTGGACCTTTCTTCAGGTTCTTAGTGCCCTTGGATCTTCTCTGCTCCATGAATGGGCCTGAGCAGGCCCTGCTGGCTTCAGTATCCAGGGAGGAGCTGAGGCCGCCCAAGGGCTCCCGGGAGCTGGCACAGGTGTCAGCGGGGGCAGCGAGTCCTTGCTCCAGCCTTCCCCTGGAAGCTGGCTGAGCCTTGGCCTCCAGCTCCTCCTGGTCCTGTGCTGGAGCCTGGCCTTCATCGCTGCCAGTCCGCACGACACACACAGCTTCTTGCTGCTCTGCAGAGGCCTGTGCTGACGCCCCCAGGCACAGTGCTGCGCTCTGTGGAGGAGCCTGTGCAGCTGAACTGAGGGACTCCCCTCCACTGGGCACTGGGAACCCGACAGGGCCACAGGGGCTGCCTGGCTGGGGCCCATCCCCTGTAGCGGGCAAATATCCAAATTTCTCAGTCCCTGAGGCACATCCTGCCCCACTTCCACCTGGCTCTCCAGGCCCAGACCCAGTGTCTTTTGGAGAGGGAGGTCTGCAAGGGCCTCCCAAGGACTCCAGGTCAGCAACTTGGGGAGGGTCTCCCACAGACAGGAGGTTGTCCCCACGAGGGCTCTGATCAAGCCACAGGAAGTCACCAGCCCCTTCCTCACACTCTGAATGAGCCCCTTGCCTCCTCCATTTCTTTCTTACCCTCACAGGGACTGGGTCTGGTGAGGATGTCAGGGGCCTTCCAGGGGGCTCCTCTTTGCTGAGTGTGGGGCTTCTTCTGTCACACCCTGGAGAACTCATTCCACCGTCTCTGGCCTCCCTGGGCCTGAGGCAGCTCACCTCCTCCACTCCTGCAAGCCTCTCCCTGCAGGCCAGAGCTCTCTCTGGGAGGCCAGCAGACCTGCTACAAAGTTTCCTGGGGCAACTGTCATCTAAGATGTCACACAGAGAAACCTGGAGCCTCTTGGAGGTCAGAGCTCTCCCCTGAGTAGGCACCGAGGGCAGCTGCATGTGGAGCCCAGGAGCCAGCATCGAGCCCCGGCTCTGTACCACAGCTAGCAGCTCCAAGACCCCTGGCCGGACCTCAGCAGCACCTGCAGCCCGGGAGCTGCCACCTCGAAGGGCCTCCTTCCTGGGGATCTTCCTTCTGCTGCCAGCCCTGACTCCGGGCCCAGAGCTTGCTCCCGGCCCATCTGGTGACAGGCCTGGCATGGAGCTGGCTCCTTCCATGTTCTGTAAAAGCTCACAGTTGTGTTGGGGACTGAGCACAGGGTCTCCTGTGCTGGGGCCTTCTACGTCCCCCGCCTGGGACATGTCTGTCCACCTACCTGGGCCAAAAGCACAACACGGGCCCTGTGTGGAGACAGAAAGAGGAGACTTTGTCTTGGAGAGTCCGACCTGTCAGCCCGTTCAGTGGGAACTGGGAGGAGCCCCTCTTCCAGCCAGCTCTCCCAGACCCTTCCACTCCTGAGGCCTAGGGGTGAGCACTCCAGGGAGGGGAGCACCCAGCAGGAGCTGGTGTCCTGGGTGAGGGTGGAGAGGCCTGCCTCCAAACAGGGCCGAGCTACAGTGGCCTCCAGGGTCTTCTTGTCTCTGAGAGTTCACACATTCGCTTAAATGGGACCTAATAAGATACCATTTATTTATGACTTATGTGCTTATTTCATTTCATACTGGCAGCCACAGGTGAGGACACTGAGATTCTGAGATGTTAAGACACTCACCCAAGGAAGCACAGGAAGTGGAAGGGCCAGGAGTCTCTCTCCCAGTTCTCACACTGCGCAAGGAGCAGATACTGAACGGGGTTCGTGCCCATAACCCTTCTCGTCTCTCTCCCATCGGTCCCGTTCTGAAAGGCGCCCCACCCAGGTTCCCAAGCCTTACTGGGACAGTCCCCCAGCATCCAAGAAATCCGGGCCCCATCGGTCGCGTCGCTCTCACCTGGGCTTCCCTGAGTTTTCCCTCCTGGGGTTCCACCCACTAGCTGAAAAGGAGCTGAGATCACGTGATGCGGGGGAGGGAGGCCCTTGCTGAGGGATAGGGGCGGAGTCCCTGATGATGAGCAAAAGGCTGCTCCCCAGGCGTGCTGGCGTTCCTGCCCCGGCAGAGGGCGCCCTCTTCCTCCTGAGGGCTTCCTGGAGGAGGTGCCAATCCTGGCTCCCAAGCAGAGGTAGGTGGGTGCATGGGGCAGCGAGGGGCCTTGGCTGCCTGCCTGAGAGTTTAACTTGATCCTACCGCAATAGTCCCTGAGCCAGTAGGACAATGTCAGAATTACCTAGATTTTTTGCCTAATTTTATTTTATTTTATTTTTAAACTTTTATTTTAGGGTCAGAGGTCCATATGCAGGTTTTTAATATAGGTAAACTTGTGTCACGGGGGTTGTTGTACAGATTATTTCGTCACCCAGTTATCAAGCCTAGTACCCAATATTTATTTTTTCTTATCTTCTACTGCCTCCTACCCTCCACCCTCAAGCAGGCCCCAGTGTCTGTTGTTAACCTCTTTCTGTCCATGTGTTCTCACCATTTAGCTCCCACTTATAAGTGAGAACATGCAATATTTGGTTTTTCCGTTCCTGCATTAGTTTGCTAAGGATAATGGCCTCCAGCTCCATCCACGTTCCTGCAAAGGACGTGATCTCATTCTTTTTTATGGCTGCATAGTATTCCATTGTGTATATGTACCACATTTTCTTTAGCCAATCTGCCATTGATGGGCATTTAGGTTGATTCCATGTCTTTGCTATTGTGAATAGTGCTTGCCTAATTTAAAAAGAAAATCTCAAATATAATTAATGTAGATGGAAATGCAGAATCAATTCCAATAGAAGGTTAGAAATAAAAAGTTTAAAGCTATCTCTCATTTCCCAATACCCCAACTCCTGGAAACAACTGTGTTTTGTTTTTTGTTTTTTACCATGTTTGTCATCATGTTAATTTTTTAAATTTCATAACTGTAAATAATATACTCATGCCTCTATTACTTGATTTATTAATTTTAACTGTGTCTGTTGTATCTGTTGACTTCCTGCTGTGGTGATTTTATTAACCACCCTTTCCCCCTTTCTCTTCCGCTTTTCATATATATATATATATATATATTTTTTTTTTTTTTTTGAAACAGCGTCTCGCTCTGTCGCCCACGCTGGAGTGCAGTGGCACAGTCTCAGCTCACTACAACCTCTGCCTCCCAGGGTCAAGTGATTCTCCTACCTCACCCTCCCGAGTAGCTGGGACTACAGGCACGTGCCACCATGCCCTGCTAATTTTTGTATTTTTCGTGGAGACAGGGTTTCACCATGCTGGCCAAGCTGGTCTCAAACTCCTGACCTCGTGTTCCACCCACCTCAGCCTCCCAAATTGCTGGGATTACAGGCGTTAGCCACCGTGCCTGGCCCTCTTTTTTATATTTATATTTTAAATTTTACTATTGGTTTCTATTATCACTTTGAATACTATTCTTAAATGTCTGTTTCTTCTGTATATTGTATCTCTTGACTCTTCTCTGTGTGAAATGGATAATTTCCCTTGATGTCCCCTCCCTGCTTCTGCCGTTATCCATGAACTAAGCTTTTATTTTTGTATCGCTGAGGTTTATAGCATTTACATTCTATTCGGTAAAGATAATTCAGTTTACCGTTGTTTACCTGTAGATTGATTCTTAACACTGAAAGCCAAATGACATTTATAATGTTATGATTATGTAAATACTTTTACTGCAGAAACAGTGGTGTTTGGCTTTTTTTTTTTTTTTTTTTTTTTTTGAGATAGGGTCTGGCTCTGTCGCTCAGGCTGAGTTGTGGTAGTGTAATCATAGCTCACTGCAGCTTTGACCTCCCAGGCTCAAGTGATATTCCCCTCTCAGCCTCCTGAGTCGCTGGTACTACAGGCATGCACCGCCATGCCCAGCTAATTTTTTTTTTATTTTTGGTGGAGACGAGGTCTCACTATGTGGCCCAGACTGGTCTCGAACTCCTGAGCTCAAGCGATCCTCCCATCTTGGCCTGGGATTTCAGGCGTGAGCCACTGCACCCGGCCAGAACCAGAGATTTGATAAGTCTGATTGCGAGGGAGATGGAATTCCCTGGCACTAAACCTGTGCCAGGTGAGACTGTGAGAACCTTCCAGGCCAATGGAATACTAAATCACAGTTAGACTCAATAAATTAGATCTATATATCAACATGAATGTATCTCAATGATATAATGTGGAATTTTAAAAACAGCATAATATGAATAACAAGGGAAACCGAGTCTGGAGTACACAGGAACTCCCTGTACTAATCTTCAGATTTTTCTGTAGATCTAAAACTATTCTAAAAAACAAGGTTTATTACAAAAAACAAACCAAGCTATTGGGTAATCCATATTGAAAACTGTCATGATCTGGCAGTCAGAGTCATAGATGAGGTAAGAGTAGAGACTGGATGTCACCAATGACCAAAATTACTGCTCTAAGGAAATAGTTTTTGTAAATGAGAAGCCCTCCCTCTAAGGAATGTCTTGGTCATGATGGCAGAAAGTTGACCAGGTTCCCTAAGACCAGTGAACCAAGCCATTCTGGTCCATTTGGATAATGGAAGTCTCCCACATTGGGCAGAGAAAACGGGAGTGGAGATGTTGTCAGTTCCACATGGTATAGAGATAAAGAATGGCTAACACTTACGTAGTGCTGTTTTGAGCCAGGGACTGGTCTAAATGCTTTACCTATATTAATCCTGTATTTGCCTGTATTAATTTACCTATATTAATCCTTACATCAAGTCTGTGAGGTAAGAACTGTTATTATCCTTATTTGACAGATGAGGAAATAGGCCAAGACAGATTAAGTAATTTGCTCAAGATTAGCAAGGACTGGTTTTAGAAGCCAGCCAGTCTCTGGCCAGTTTCTCTGTCTCCTGGTATTCTATTTATTTATTTTATTTTTATTTTTTTGTTTTTTTGAGACAGTCTCACTCTATCACCCAGACTGGAGTGCAGTGGCATGATCTCGACTCACTGCAACCTCCACCTCCCGGGTTCAAGCGATTCTTCTGCCTCAGCCTCCGGAGTAGCTGGGATTACAGGCGCACGCCACCACACCCAGCTAATTTTTGTGTTTTAAGTAGAGATGAGGTTTCACTATGTTGGCCAGCCTGGTCTCAAAATCCTGACCTCAAGTGATCTGCCCGTATCGGCCTCTCAAGGTGCTGAGATTACAGGTGTGAGCCACTGGGCCCAGCCTTTCTCCTGGTATTCTAAAATGTCTCTGTCATAAAAAAAAAATAAAGTAAGGTTTTGCCCAGGTTTTGGCCTAATGCTATTTGCCTCATCATTAGCTGTTTGCTCCATTGACTCATGACAGCACCTCTGCGATATACCTGGTTCCCATTAAAGAATGCAATTTATTTCTTGGCTTTCCTTTTTTTTTTTTTTTTTTTTTGAGATGGAGTTTCTCTCTCATTGCCCAGGCTGGAGTGCAGTAGCAGGATCTTGGTTCACTGCAACCTTCGCCTCCTGGGTTCAAACGATTCCCCTGCCTCAACCTCCCAAGTAGCTGGGATTACAGGTATCCACCACCATGCCCGGCTGATTTTTTGTATTATTAGTAGAGATGAGGTTTCACCATGTTGGCCAGGCTGGTCTCAAACTCCTGACCTCAGGTGATCCACCTGCCTCGGCCTCCCAAAGTGCGTGAACCACCACACCTGGCCTATTTATTGGCTTTCTTTTCTCTTCCATTGATCGATTTGTCTATTCTTGATCAATATTGTTTTAGTTCTATGGTTTTGTGATAAATATTGCTATCTAGGGAGCAAGCTCCACCCCCTCAACTTGGTTTCTATTTTTTATAATCGTCTTAGCTAACTGTATACCGTAGAATCATTTTGTCAAGATCCTTGAAAAATTGTGCTGGGATTTAAATTAGAATTTCATCGAATTTACAGATTAGGGATAAAATTGAATAATACTGAGTCTTCTCATCCATAAATGTACCTTATTTCCATTCTGCCAGGCCTTCAATTCATTTTTGTGATTTTTCTTCATCAAAATATTGCACATTTTAATTAAATTATTCTATTCTTTAATATTTTTATTGCGTTTTCTTTTTTCTTTCTTTTTTTTCTTTCTTTTTTTTTTGTTGAGATAAGGTCTCGCTTTGTGTACAGGCCGAAGTGCAGTGATATGATCACCTGGGCTCAGATGATTCTCCCACCTCAGCCTCCTGAGTAGCTGGGACTACAGGTGCCTACCACCATGTCTGACTAAATTTTTGGTTTTTTGTAGAAACGGCATCTTGCTATGTTGCTCAGGCTGGTCTCAAACTCCTGGACTCAAGCAATCCTCCCACCTCGGCTTCCCAAAGTGCTGGGATTGCAGACATGAGCCACCATGCTGGAGGCGGTGACTCACGCCTGTAATCCCAACACTTCGAGAGGCCTGGGCGGCAGATCACCTGAGCCCAGGAATTCGAGCCAGTCTGGACAACATGGTGAAGCCCTGTCTCTACAAAAAATACAAAATTATCCAGGAGTGGTGGCATGTCCCATACTCCCTGTAGTCCCAGTTATTGGGAGGCTAAGGTGGGAGGATGGTTTGAGCCCAGGAGATGGAGGCTGCAGTGAGCCAAGATTGTGCCACTGCACTCCAGCCTAAGTGACAGAGTGAGACCCTGTTGCAAAGATATTAATAGTATTCTCATGATTCAAAAATCTCTATTGTATTGATTACAGTCCCCTTTTAATTCCTAATACTATTTATTTGTGCTTGCTCTCTCTCAGTCATCCTAGGGTTTTTTGGTAAATCAGATTTTTGCTTTTTTATCTCTGTTTTTTATGATGTTGTTATTATATTTTCTATTTCACCATCTTCTGGTTTTACCTTTCTTATTTACTTTCTTCTATTTCCTTTGGTTTACTCTTGTTCTTTCATTTTTTTTTTAAGAAACAGGGTCTTGCTCTGTTGCCCAGGCCGAAGTGCAGTGGTGTGATCATAGCTCACTGCAGCCTTAAATGCCTACTAATTGGCCTCAAGCTAATTTTTAAAATTAGTTTAAATTATTTTGGAGAGATAGAGTCTCACTATGTTGCCCAGGCTGGTCTCAAACTTGTGGCCTAAAGTGACCCACTCCCAACACTTTGGGAGGCCAAGGTGGGAGGATCACTTGCACCCAGGAGTTTGAGACAAGCCAGACAACACAGTGAGACCTTGTCTCTATAAAAAATACAAAAATTAGCCAGACATGGTGGTGCATGCGTGTATTCCCAGCCTAGAGACAGGGTGTCTAGGGAAACAAAGTATTAGTGCCTAACATTTCTATTTTTTGTGAAGATGAAGTCTCTCTATGTTGCCCAGGCTGGTCTTGAATTCCAGGGCTCAAGCAATCCTCCTGCCTCAGCCTCCCAAAGCACTGGGATTACAAGCATAAGCCATCACACCCGGTGGCTACCTGTTATTATTAAAAATAAATGTAGTTTCAGGCCAGACATGGTGGCTCATGCTTGTAATCCCAGCACTTTGGGAAGCCAAGATAGGAGGATCACTTGAGGCCAGGAGTTCAAGACCAGCCTGGTCAACATAGTGAGACCCCCATCTCTAACTGAAAATAAATAAATCATACATAAATAAATGTTTCAGCCAGGCATGATGATGAACGTGTATAATCCCAGCTACTCTGGTGGCTGAGGCTGGAGGATCCCTTGAGCTCAGGAGTTTGAGACCAGCCTAGGCAACATAGCGAGACCGTCTCTCTATTGAAAAGAAAATGAAAATATACTTTTACTGCATTGTGATCAGTTAAAATTGTCTACATAATGTTGCTTTTTTTTTTAAGTTTTTAAGATTTCCTTTGTGATCTGATATACTGTCATTGTTAATATTCATTGTATGCTTGAAAAATGATTGAAATTCTCAGTTTAATAGTTTAAGCTTTTCCTTTTTTTTTCTTTTTCTTTTCTTTTTTTCTTTTTTTTGAGATAGAGTCTTGCTCTGTCACCCAGGCTGGAGTACAGTGGTGCAATCTCGGCTCACTGCAACCTCCACCTCCCAGTTCAAGCAATTCTCCTGCCTCAGCCTCCCGAGTAGCTGGCATTACAGGCACCCGCCACCGTGCCCGGCTAATTGTTGTATTTTTAGTAGAGACGGGGGTTTCACTGTGTTGGCCAGGCTGGTCTCGAACTCCTGACCTCATGATCCACTCACCTCGGCCTCCCAAAGTGCTAGGATTACAGGTGTGAGCCACGGCACCTGGCCAACAGTTTAAGCTTTTCTTACCTCAAGCTTTTTACTCATGTTTTTCAAATCCATAGTAATCTATAGTAACTTGAATCTACAGAAATCAGTGTTCAATGCAGAAAACAAAAACTACTCTAGATATTTTAAGCACAATGAGGTTTAATACAGGGCACTGGGTGTTTCAAAAGTCACTGGGAGGCCAGGCACAGTGGCTCACGCCTGTAATCCCAGCACTTTGGGAGGCCGAGGCGGGTGGACTGCTTGAGCTTAGAGGAGTTCAAAACCAGCCCAGGCAACATGGCAAAACCCCATCTCTACAAAAAGTACAAAAATTAGCCGGATGTGGTGGCGCATCCCTGTAGTCCCAGCTACTTAGAAGGCTGAGGTAGGAGGATGGCTTGAGCCCAGGAGGCAGAGGTTGTAGAGAGCCGAGATCGCACCACTGAACTCCAGCCTGGGTGACAGAGCCAGACCCTATCTAAAAAATGAAAAAAAAAAAAAAAAAGTCACTGGCAGGCTATAGGAGTGGACCCGAGGCTGGGCCTAGAACACACATTAGAACTGTATTTATAAATACACTGCTAGGGTAACAATACAAAGGTCTAATACAGGCACTGCCACTGCTGCTTCTACTGCCCACATACACAACACTAGGGGCCAGACATTGATGCGGGCAAACTCGATAGCTCCACAGTTGTGCTTGGAAGCAGTAACAGCCCACGGAAAAGGACAATGGTCTTGGCCTCTCATCTGCTTTTCAGATCTTGCACAATAGCAGTAAGTGTTGGAAAATAATTCACATCTGAAACACTCATTGTAAGGGAATCTGTGAAAGAGTTTTGGCTTTCTATCCTCTACAGGAAGGCATACTAGGATGTGGAGGATTGCTTGAGCCCAGGAGTTCAAGGCTTCTGTGAGCTATGATAGCACCACTGCACTCCAACCTGGGTAACAGAGTGAGGCCCTGTCTCTAAAAAAAACTTTTAAATAAAATTTTAAAAAATCGGCTGGGCACAGTGGCTCACGCCTGGAATCCCAGCACTTTGGTAGGCCAAGACAGGCAGATCACTTGAGGTCAGGAGTTCGAGACCATCCTGGCTAATGTGGCGAAAACCTGTCTCTACTAAAAATACAAAAATTAGCTGGGCATGGTGGCAGGCACCTGTAATCCCAGCTACTCGGGAGGCTGAGGCAGGAGAATCGCTTAAACCCGGGAGGCAGAGGTTACAGTGAACCAAGGTTGTGCCACTGCACTCCAGCCTGGGCAACAGAGCGAGACTCCATCTCAAAAAAAAAAATGTTTTAAATCTCACACAATTATTACGAACGTGTCAATTTTTTCCCTTTACCTCTGTAAGTTCCTGCTTTATATATATTTAAAAACACTTTTTTAGGAGCATGCAAATTCATAAATTTTTACATCTTTTTTGGAGATTATAACTTTCATCAGTGCCAAATGTGCCTTTTCTTCCTATTAATGTTCTTCTGCTTTAATTCAGTTTTTCTGATATTAATATTGGTAACTGCTTCCTTGTGGTAGTATTTAGCTAATATAGTTTTGTGGGGTTTTTTGTTTTTTTTTTGTTTTTCAGAGACAGGGTCATGCTGTGTCACCTAGCTTAAGTGCAGTGGCATGATTACAGCTCACTGCAGCCTCTAACTCTTGGGCTCAAGTGACCTCCTGGGCTCAAGTGATCCTCCTGCCTCAGTCTCTCAAAGTGCTGGGAATTCAGGTATGAGCCACTGCACCCTGCTCATTATTCATTTTTTACAGAGGAGGAAAGGTGGGCTTCAAATCCATGACTTGCTAGGGATTGCTCCGCTGGAGATAAGCGGAACTATGTCCAACCTCAAGTCCAGCTCCATCCAAAGTCCCTCCGCCAGACTGTATTCCCACAAGGGCGAGAACCAGACTGGGTCTGCCTTGTTGGCCAGCTCATTCACAGGGCCTAAGGTGGTGCCTGTCGTTTAATATGAAAACACACCCAGAGGCAGTCAGAGAGGGAGGAAGAACACAATGGCACGACTTCGAGGAAGCCAAGGAAAGACTGTTTGGGGGTTTGTGGATTTTTTTTCCCTGATAAATTATTTATTTTGGAATAATTTTAGACTTACAAAAAAGTTACAAAAATATAAGAAGTTCCATCTACCCCTCACCTATTTTCTGTCATTGTTAACATCTTCTATTACTGTGGTCTCTGCGTAAACTAAGAAACCAACATTGGTACATTACTATTAACTAAACTCCAACTTTATGTGGATTCCACCAGTTTTCCCCTTCAGGTCCTCTGTCTGTTCCAGGCTCCCGTGCGGGCTACCACGTTGCATTAGCTACCATGCCCTTAGTCTCCTCTGATCTGTGACAGTTTCTCAGTCATTCCTTGTTTTTCATGACCTTGACAGTTTTGAGGAGTAATCGTCAGGTATTTTGTAGAGTGTTTCTTAATTTGGATTTCCCTGATGCTTTTCTCCAGATTAAACTGGTCTCAGGGGTTTTGGAAAGAATGCCGCACAGGGAAAATGCCTTCTCACATCAGAGGAGGGGGTGCGTGGTAGCCACAGGTGATATTAACCTCCACCGCTTGGTAGAAAGTGCTTTCCAGACTTCTCCACTGCCAAATTACTACTTTAAGAATTTTAAAGGCTGGAGACAGTGGCTCACGCCTATAATCCCAACACTTTGGGAGGCTGAGGCGGGCAGATCATTTGAAGTCAGGAGTTCGAGACCAGCCTGGCCAACATGGCAAAACCCCGTCTCTACTAAAAATACAAAAATTAGCTGGGCGTGTTGCCGGGCATCTGTAATCCCAGCTTGTCGGGAGGTTGAGGCAAGAGAATCGCTTGAACCCAGGAGGTGGAGGTTGCAGTGAGCTGAGATTGTGCCACTGCACTCCAGCCTGGGCAACAGAACGAGACTCCATCTCAAAAAAAAAAAAAAAAAAAGAATTTTAAGGTAGAGAGAGGTAGTGTTTTCAAAGAATATTGAATGATGTGGAGGAAGTGTCATAATGTGCTGTTAAGCAAAGGAAGAGAATGGAAGGAAATCCACCAGAATGTTGACAGTGGCTCTTTCTCAATTGCTTCTTTTCTCCTCTTGCATTTTCTTTTTTTTTTTTTCTTTTCTTTTCTTTTTTTTTTTTTTTGAGACGGAGTCTTGCTCTGTCGCCCAGGCTGGAGTGCAGTGGCGTGATCTCGGCTCACTGCAAGTCCCGCCTCCCGGGTTCACGCCATTCTCCTGCTTCAGCCTCCCAAGTATCTGGGACTACAGGCATCCGCCACCACGCCTGGCTAATTTTTTTGTATTTTTAGTAGAGACAGGGTTTCACCATGTTGGCCAGGATGGTCTCAATCTCCTGACCTCATGATCTGCCCACCTTGGCCTCCCAAAGTGCCGGGATTACAGGCGTGAGCCACCATACCCGGCCTCTTGTGTTTTTTCATTACTCTACAATAAATATATAGGACTTGAAATTTCTGTAACGTTTTCAAAAAATTGTATATAGTATCACCTCCATTATACAGATAACACATACAGACATTTATTCACAGGAACAATGTATAAAATATCCATTAAATGTTGATAGCTAGGGATTATCTCTGGATGGTAACTTTTATTTCTTCATTGTGATTTTATGTATTTTTCCGTTTTTAAATAATAATCTTATTTTACTTTTTTAAGAGACAGGGTCTTGCTCTGTCACTCAGACTGGAGTACAGTAGTGCAATCATAGCTCACTGCAGCCTCCAATTCCTGGGCTCAAGTGATCCTCCTATCTCAGCCTCCTGAATAGTTAAGACTACAGGCATGCCACTGCACCCAGCCCTGTTTATTATACTTTTTAATTGGACTTCAATTGCATAGAATGAGGTTTGTCATACTAATTGGGTATATAGTACACATTCTCATCATCGGTCCATAAAAGGCCTTCTTTGAATCATTTATGAATTTATCTATTAGGGTGCCTATTTTAATAATATAAAAATATCCATGGAACCACTGCCCAAGACGAAAACTAAAATACTGATAAGAACTTACACAGACTGATATGATTCTCCTCACTTTTATCTACCCACCGCAACCCCTAATATGAATCCTGTGTTGTGTTCTTTTGCTTTCTCTTTTATGTAGTTTTATCACACCCACATCTGTTTCCCCAAATTATATGTATTTTTTAATGTGATATGTTGGGATTTACTTTTTTTCCTTTTCTTTTTTTTTGAGACAGAGTCTCACTCTGTCGCCCAGGCTGGAGTGCAGAGGCGTGATCTCGGCTCACTGCAGCCTCTGCCTCCCAGGTTCAAGCGATTCTCCTGCCTCGGCCTCCTGAGTAGCTGGGATTATAGGCATGTGCCACCATACCAGGCTAATTTTTTTTTTTTTGTACTTTTAATAGAGACAGGGTTTCACCATGTTAGCCAGGCTGGTCTCCAACTCCTGACCTCAGGTGATCGGCCCGCCTTGGCCTCCCAAAGTACTGGGATTACAGGCATGAGCCACCACCCGGCCAGGATTTCCTTTTACCACTCAAAATTATATCGCTAAGTTTCATCTATATTGTTGCATTTGCCCAGCTCCTGTGTAATATTTCATTGTATGTTATTCCAAAATGTATGTGTCTCTTCTCCTCTCAGTGGTTCTCTGGATTATTTCCAGGTTTTGTGCTGACAGGAACATTCTAGCATGTGTTTCCTAGTGTATGTGGTAAGAGTTTCTCTTGTATATGAAGTAAGGAGGGAAATTGCTAGGTCATAGTTGTCTTAGTTTGGGTTTCCCTAGAGCAGAGCGTGAGACAGAGACTAAGCTGCTACCTGCGTCTGTTGTTGGTTGTTTATTTGTGGGGTAAGCCCAGGAAGCAGGAGTAAGGTGGCAGAGTGAGATGGGGAAGAGATCAAGGTCACTGCTGGAGAACTTGATTTTTGGAACTGTGGGCCCAGAGAATGGATGACAGGGACATTTTTATCTGCAAGCTCCTGAGCCCCATCTGTCAAGGGCTGCTCCTGGCATGTTATCTTCCCTGCACCTCTAGGCTGTGCTTGGGCTTGGGCTGAAAACAAAAAGACGTATAACTTGTGCTGAGGTGGGACTTGTTAGCGTGGGGTGAGTCATGAGGTCAAGGGAACTGCAGCCGGGGCGCAAATTAGAGGTGAGTGGAGGAGAGGCAATACTGGCACCAGAGGCAGCTGCCAGAGAGGATAAGTGAATGTCCCACTTTACAGACTCACGCCAAACTGTCTTCCTGAGTGCTTGTGCCAATTTACACTCCCATCTGCAGCCTTTGAGAAACCCAGTGAACCCACATCCTCTCTGACACCTGGTACTGTCAGGCTTCTTCTTCTTCTTCTTCTTTTTTTTTTTTTTTTTTTTGTAGATGTAGTCTTGCTCTGTCACCCAGGCTGGAGTGCAGTGGTGCGATCTCTGCTCACTGCAACCTCCGCCTTCTGGGTTCAAGCGATTCTCCTGCCTCAGCCTCCTGAGTAGCTGGGATTACAGGTGCCCACCACCACATGAGGGCTAATTTTTGTATTTTTAGTAGAGGCAGGGTTTCACCATGTTGGCCAGGCTGGTCTCAAACTCCTGACCTCAGGTGATCCACTAGCCTCAGCCTCCCAAAGTGCTGGGATTAGAGGTGTGAGCCACCATGCTGGCCTTTTTTTTTTTTTTTTTTTTTTTTTTGACATGGGGTCTTCTTGCTCTGTTGCCCAGGCTGGAGTGCAGTGGCACGATCACAGCTCACTGTAGCCTCGACCTTCTGGACTCAAGCAATTCTCCCACCTCAGCCTCCCAAGTATCTGGGACTACAGGTTTACTACTGGTGGCGTGCACCACCAGGCCTGGCTAATCTTTAAAAATTATTTGTAGAGATGAGGTCTCACCATGTTGCCTAGCCTGGTCCCGAACTTCTGGGCTCAAGTGATCCTCCTGCCTCAGCCTCCCAAAGTGCTGGGATTACAGGCATGAGCCACCATGCCCAGCCCATCAGGCTTCTTAATGACCAGTTTTCTGGCTCTTGGTGGTTTTCTCTCTCTTTCGTTCTCTATCTTTCATATATATGCATTTGTGTGTATGTGTGTGTTTCTTTTAAAGTCAGAAGTAGAAAGAAATCTTATTTTTTTCAAGAGCTAGTTTACCCGTTGAGAGTGTCAGTTGTTGTAGGGGGGCCTGGAAATATAAAGACTAAGAAAGGACCTAATCATGAGGCCCCGGGTTACTGGTGACTCTGGGGGAGTGGTTGGCAGGGGAGGGAGGTTGATGAAACCTCAGGGGGATAAGGGGCGGGACACCAGGGATGCAACAGAAGAGAGCCGGGTAAGAAGCCTGGTGGCCAAAGGAAGGAGAAGATTGCAAGGTCAGGTGGAGGGCATGTCTAGAAACGGAAGAACTGAGTTTATAGTGAAATAAGGAGGAGCCAGGGAGGAGAGGGTGATGGAGAGGCAGAAGCAAGGGGCAGACTCCGTGTTAAGAGCAATGGGGACCGGGCGAGGTGGCTCATGCCTGTAATCCCAGCACTTTGGGAGGTCGAGGTGGGTGGATCATGAGGTCAGGAGTTCGAGACCAGCCTGGCCAAAATGGTGAAACCCTGTCTCTACTAAAAATACAAAAATTAGCCGAGCATAGTGGCGCACACCTGTAATGCCAGCTACTCGGCAGGCTGAGGCAGGAGAATTGCTTGAACCCGGGAGGCAGAGGTTGCAGTGAGCTAAGATCGCACCATTGCACGCCAGCCTGGGTGACGTAGCAAAACCGTGTCCCCCCACTCCCCCAAAAAAGAGTAATGGGGGCATCACAGTCCTCTCGAGGAAAGAGCATTGACTTTGCAGCCAGACATATGCAGATTCAAATCCCAGGGCTGCCAGTTATGAGGTGTCAGAGAGGCTGAGGATGGAGGAGCACCTAGACCGGAAGGCACTTAACACTTGGTAGTTAGTTCTCTCTCCCTTCTTCCAAGAGTCTGTGGCTGAAGCGAGTCCAGATCTGGAAGCTGGGAGGTTCTGCAGGACTGGCCCTTGGCTGAGTGGGCTGCAGGCTTCGGAATCCCGTGAGTCTCAGGGAGGCCAGGTGAGAGCAGGTTTCTAGAGAGGGAGAACAAAGGGGATCCTATAAGTTGGGGAGAGATGAGGGTGATGACGGAGGAGGCCAAGGTGCTGCTGCCGAAGCAGGGAAATTGCCATTGATGAGGGTAGGGGCTGGGCCTCCCTGGCTGAGGTCCAGCAGGACAGAAGTGAAGTCAGGGCAGAAATGCGCCGGGTCCTGTCCTGCCCAAGAGGAGCCACCTCCACTTCCAGCCATGCCTGCTTATGTCGTGTGGCCAGTGCCCAGGTCCTACCCCAGCTGCTCCTCCTCCTTCGTCCCCATCTCAGGTCCTGGGATCCTTCCACTGTGTTCTCCCAGCCAGAAATCTGGGTGTCAGCCTTGCCTCCCCAACTCAGCAGCCATCTAGGGTATGGACTCAGCCTCACTCTGCTTTTCCCAGGAGGTTCCCAGGGTTAGGGCACCTTCCTGCAGCCCCAGGCAGCTGTCGTCTGGCAGGACTCCCTTCCGTCGTTACGCAGGAGGCTGGGGGCTTCACTGGCTCCCTCTGGCTCCCAGAAGGATCCATCATGGATTCAGCTGAGGGAGCTCTCAGTCTCGCCTTCCTGAGATGCACTGATTTTTGGGAACTGGCTTCTCAAGCTGCTGGGGAAGGGTGGGGAGGGCAAAATTTCATTTTCCATGGATGCCTTTGTGCACATCCCTCAACCTGGCTTTATGAGCTGTGGGAAGGAGGGAAGCAGGGGCGGATCTGGACCACACTGAGCAGCTAGGAGGTGAATTCTGGAGGCAGAGCAGTTTCTGCAAATCACGCTAGCCCGGGGCACTCCCTAACCTGCCCATCCTGTGCCCGCCTAGTCTCGGCCAGCAGGCAGCAGGCACCATTGCTTTGCACTGTGCACGTCAGGCCCTTCCAGGCCCTTCAGCAGAAGGCAGTGGGGCCGCTCAGCCAGCAGTCACCACTGCTGTCCACAGCTCCACTGACCCAGCCCAACATGCCGCAGCTCACTTTGTCACCCCGCCTCCCAGGTTCTCTGATTTGCTAAAGGACGTGTTCATGGTTGTCTATCTTATGAACTGGAAAACCAGAGCAGATCCTCAGGGCCTCAAGCAAGAGGCTCAGTGTTACAGGGCTTGCAGCTCCATGTCCTGAGGCTCAGTTCCTGCCTAGAGATGGACACCGCTGTCCCCCCAGGGCCACCAGCACCAGGACCCTCTGAAGCTGCCAGGTGCCCGTGCCCCTTGGGGCCTCCTCCCAAGGCCCTTGCTCTTCTGCACCGAAGGTCATGCCTACTGCCCCGGGACACTGCTAACTAGCTGTGGGTCACTGGCAAGTGTGTTGGTCATTGTTTGTGCCTCCGACAGTGCTCTATGCAGTCACCACTCAACCTGGTTGCACCTCTAAGTCCTGGGCTGCAGCCAAGGTGGCTGGATTTCCTGTGCCTCTGAGCTGCTAGCTGCTATGGACACAGCCAGATGCTCCAAGGCTCCTGATCCTTGTCCCGAGGGCATGTGAACCGACACAGCCAGGAGGAAACCGGAGCGCTGACTGCTGCAGGTGCATGTGCTTGTGCTTATGAAAAGTGGCCCTTTTCTGAGGCCGCCAGGTGCTGCTGGCAGCCTGACCCAGGCTGCTGAGGGACACACTTGGATCAACATGCTTTATACTGCCAATGGCGACCTGGGTCACCTGGCCCGGCTAGGGTTTGTCAGGTTTCTTCACTGAGAAGATGACTCTTCTCCTGTCCATGCTCCCTTCCATACTTACCCTTAGGAAGGAAGTCATTATGCACAGATGCACAGCCCACGTTTAAGCAGTGGGGCTCATGTGCCACCTCCTTGAGGGTGGACTATCTACATAAATTATTTGGAATCTGTATGGGAGATTTGTCTCTTCTCATTCATTTATTTATATCATTTGTTCAGTCATTTATATTGCTCTGGACTCACGGGTATTGATTTTATACTTTGGGTTGTAATCCATTGCTACTTTATTTGGTTTGTTGCTCGAACTATTCCAGTTTTGGCTGTTGGAGGCTCTTTTAGCCCCCAGAAGTTTTGGCTGTTGGGGGCTCTGGGTCTCTTTAACATTTTGTTGTACCCCCATTATTGTGGGGTGGGATATATCTCCTACCTCCTTGAAGACTTTCCACTCCCCTGATGACAAACATCAAATGCCGTTGAGACTCCAATTCACCCCTCCCTCACTCACCCCTGCCACTTGCTACTCCGGACCCTGAGCCCTGGCTGGGCCTCTGGTCCTGGGGATCTCAGAGCTGCTGGACACATTGAACTTTGAACCTTGCCCTTCCCTTCCCTCTGCCCAGCCACTATCACGCACAAACAATGCCCTTTCCCCTGGTTGAGTCTGTCTGTCCTCCAGTTCCAGCCTCCAAAAAGCTTTATCACTTTAGTGCCAAAGCTGCCAACTTCAGTGTATATGAACAAACGTACTTAAAGGACAAAACAAAACAAAAAGACCTGCCTCTCTATTGCCTTTGAAACCTACCTTATCTTCTTCACTCCCACACTTTAGATAAATGTCCATTTGCCTGCAACTGTTTTTATCACACACCCTCTCATTGGCCAGGGTAGTGTCATGGTCTCTGGAATCCTCCAGACTCTGATTCCAATCCCGGTGACCCTAGGCAGTGAGTTGATCCCTCAAAGCCTCACTTTTAGTCATCTGTAAAAGAGAGTCAGTAATAGCCTCCAAATAGCTCACACTGATTCATCACCACTGTTGATGTCAGGGGATAACTTATGAAAAGTACCTAATATCCTTTGCCTGCCAGGCCCTTCCTTCCTCCATCTGGGGAATCCAAGGTCTGGGTTTCAGTCTCCATGAAACCTTTCCCAACCAACCGGCTGGAGCGAGTGATTCCTTCCTGCCTGCCTGCACCTCCCTAGTACTTCGAGCGATTATTTGCTGACTCTCAGCTCCATCCCACCCCACCTCCAAACAGGCTGCCCAATGGTCAGAGTCATGCTGCATTAGAGCCAGGGGGTTAGGAAGAAAGGTCATGGACTTGGACTTGGACATCACACTTCAGTGTGATCTGCATTGGGACTGTGGCTCTGCACCTCAGCTGCTTGGCCTTAGCAAGTCCCCTAACCTCTTTGAGCTTCCTTTTCCTTATTTATAAAATTGTGATAACAGTAGTTATTTTATACGAATGCTGTGGAGATTTAAGTACATAATCCATGTCAAGCATTTCACATAATGCCCAGCACTCAGAAAGTGCTTAATAAACGGTCCCTTCCTCTCTTCTTAATATCAGGCAGACTGCTCTGCCAGGCTCCGTTTATTGATGGATTCAAGGTTAAAAATAGAGCGGCAGCCTTGGGGAGTAGGTCCTTCAGAGCTGGGAACTGACACCTTTGGTGCTGTGAATAGGGAAGGAGCCTGCCTCTCCCTTCAGGGGCCTCTCAGAGAAACACAAATCTTGATGCCTCTGGCCTTTCTCTCATTGATTTCCAGGGCAGGCGTGCAGAGGCCAGACTGCTCGGCTGGCAAGCTCAGACCAGAGGCTCTGCGATCAAACGCGCTGGCTTCTCACCCCAGCCCTGCCATTCAGTGGCTGTGTGACCTTGGGCAAGCAGTGTTTCCTCTCAGAGGATCATCAGGGAAACTGACAATGCTAACAACATTGATTTTTTTATATATATTACATATATATATCACACATATATTACATATATATATTACATATGTGTGTGTGTGTATATATATATATATATATATATATATATATATATATATATATAAAAGCAAACAACCGATACTGGCAGAGACCTTGTGGTTGATGACCAATCAGCTCTGGGACTCAGGGTAATGGTGTCCCCTCTCTGAGCCTCAGTTTCCATCTCTCTGAATCAGACACAGCAGCCCTGACTTACAAAGCTGTTGTGAGGATGCAGCAAGGTCATGGATAGCAGCTGCTGACAGCGGTAACGCCTGACGGGCACCTGAGTTATCTAATAGTCCATCTTCCAGTCTGAGGGTATGGGGAGACACATTTATTTTAGCTGTTTGTAACTATTGATCCATCAGCCTTGGAAAATGCAAAGAAATGCATCAACAGAAAAACCCTTCACATCTTGAGTTGCTAACAGGCTGGTCCTGCCAGTGGGTAAACAACTTCTGTGCGATTGACTTCCCCTGCCATCAGCTCAGCACTCTTGGCAACTTGTTTTGTTACCTAGGACAAGACACTGGTTTAATTAAAGCAGATCCTGAATTGTGGGCAGGAGCTCCCACTTTCCCTTCTGCAGGGAATCTTAGCAGTGATGTCAAAGGGCATAAATCTGACTTCCAGGGCCACTGAGCCAGCCTTCTTCAAGCAGACATGCAGGGGCTGGATGGTCCATGACCTCAGGGCCACACTCATGGGTTGTTTCTTCCTTCCCTTCCTGGGACTGGTCTATCAGGCTCCAAACCCCTGTCCCTCCCTCATTTCTGACCCTGAGATGGATACAGAACTTCATGACAATAACATTAATAAAAATACACAATCCTGGCCAGGCACCGGTTTACACAGTCCCAGCTCTGGGATTATAGCTGTGAGCCACTGCATCTGGCCTACCATTGTTATTTTAAATCTTTCTTGACCTGAACCCTCAGTTCATTTTTAAAACTCTTCCTTTGGCAGGACAAAGGAACATGGTGGCTCATGCCTGTAATCCCAGCGTTTTGGGAGGCCGAGGTGGGCAGATCACTTGAGGTTAGGAGTTCGAGACCAGTCTGGCCAACATAGAAACCCTGTCTCTACTAAAAATACAAAAATTGGCCAGGTGCGGTGGCTCACGCCTGTAATCCCAGCACTTTGGGAGGCTGAGGCGAGGTCGGGAGTTCAAGACTAGCCTGGCCAACACGGAGAAACCCCATCTCCACTAAAAAATACAAAATTAGCTTGGTGTGGTGGCACATGCCTGTAATCCCAGCTACTTGGGAGGCTGAGGCAGGAGAATAGCTTGAACCCAGGAGGCGGAGGTTGCAGTGAGCCGAGATGGTGCCACTGCACTCCAGCCTGGGCAACAAGAGCAAAACTCCGTCTCAATAAATAAATAAATAAAAATAAAAATACAAACTTAGCCGGGCATGGTGGTGCACACTTGTAATTCCAGATGCTTGGTGGCTGAGGCATGAGAATTGCTTGAATCCAGGAGGCAGAGGTTGCAGTGAGCCAAGATCATGCCACTGCACTCCAGCCTGGGCAACAGAGCAAAACTCTCCCTAAATGAATTAAATAAATACATACACAATTCCATCACATTGCAGTCCTCAAGGGAGATTTCTGCAAGAGCTCAAGAGCCCTGGGCCAAGGCACTACATGCAAAGGCTCTCTTCCCTGCCACCTGCAACCTCTGCACCTAACAAGCGAGAAGAAATTCATGTTTTGCCCACGCTGAGCAGGATGATCACCTGAGGATACGAGTAACCCATATAGGACTGCTGTCACCAGGTGGGGGCGTTGATCTGACAGCATCCTATAAGAGTCCAGGCTCTCGATTCTCATTCTCTTGGGTTTCAGTCCCGGCTATAGCTTTGGGTGACTCTAGGCCACACTCTTAACCTCTCAAACTGTTAGTTCCTCAGTGTGTGCCCCTTGAATAACATGGGGGCACTGACCCCTGCATAGTCAAAAATCCACGTATGTGAATAACTTTTGACTCCCCCAAAACTTAACTACTAACAGCCTACTATGGACTGGAAGTCTTACCAATAACATGAACAGTTGATTAACACATATCTTGTATGTTTTATATATATTATATACTGTATTCATACCACAAAGTAAGCTAGAGAAAAGAAAATGTTATTAAGAAAATCATAAGGACAAGAAAATACATTTACTACTCCTTACGTGGAAACAGATCATGGATCATCATAAAGGTCTTCACAACCTTGTCGTCTTCATGCTGAGTAGGCTGAAGAGGAGGAAGAGGAGGGCTTGGTCCTGCTGTCTCAGGGGTGGCAGAGGCAGAAGAAAATCTGCATGAGAGTGGACCACACCATTCAAACGTGTGTTGTTCAAGGTTCAGCTCCATATGTATTTGTTTATTTGCGTGTTTATTAGTATTCTTGCATGTAGACAACAGAGTCCACTCTGGCTAGTTTCCGTAGAAGGAAAATTTATTTAGGGATGTTAGAGAAACAGGATCTGGATGCAGCTTTCAAGAGCCTCTCCAAGAAGCATATTGCAGAATCAGACTCATGGAGGACCTGCCACCACTGTCACTGACTCCAGGCCACACTGCTTTAACTGCCACCAGGCTGGCAGAAAAAGGATGCCCTGCACACAGCTATTCCCATGCATAGCTCATCACTCAGTTGGCGTCTCAGGTGGGCAAGGATGATTGGAGGAACCAAGGTCACATGCCTGCACCCTAGCTGCAAGGGAGGCTCACTTGGCTCTGAGGAGGAACTCAAGATATCAGGAATCCCACTCCAACGTCTTCCACTTGATTGCTTTCTTGGGTCCCTAGTAAGTAGTTCGAATGCAAAAGAAGTTGGAAATTTTAAGCTAAAAACAAGTTATGTTAAAGAAGAAAAAATCTGGAGAATTTAATTAGAAGTAGTTCTTCACCAATAGACAGCCAATCAACTGTAAGTTCAGGCAAGCTGTCCTGCTGCATCAGAAACGTTTAAAAACCTGTATTCCCAGCTACTGGGGAGGATCGTTTGAACCCAGGAATTCAAGGCTGCAGTGAGCTATGATCACGCCACTGCACTCCAGTCTGGGCAACAGAGCAAGACCTCTCTAAAAACGAAAAGAAAACACACACACACACACACACACACACACACACACACACACACACACAAAAGGAAATGCTGAAAGGATTGCTTTCTTTTCCACAATAAGTAAAAATCCTCCAGAAAACAAGAGGAAAGGAAAGGGAACCAATACTTGTGTGTTTATTGTGTGCTAAGCATTTTACATGTATTCTTTCTTTTAATTTTATTTATTCATTTTTTGAGACAGAGTCTCACAGACAGGAATTTTTTAAATTGTTGAGCAGCAGTGAAAGATAAATGGTCAGTACAGCTTCCTTCCTGTGTCCCTCAATTAGACTGTAAACTCCAGGTAGGCAGGTACCTTGAATATCTTGTTCATCACTGTATCTCCAGCACCTAACATGGAGCCTGTGATGAAGAAACAGATAAAGGAAACGTAAACAATAATAGAACCACCTCAACTTTGAGGCTTCTGGCCAGCTTACCATCTCTCAAGGGGCTACGTCTCCAAACCTTTGGAAGAGCTCTTCCTTATTCATGGAATGTCCGTTCCTCCACACCCCCTTGCCTGATGGTGAAGTTGTCTCTGTCTTTCTATTCTCAGCTTTGACTCACCTCCTCCTGGAGGGTTTCCTTGATGTACACCTCCATGCCTATCACCTCTGTTGGCATCACCACCACATCCTTGCCCTAACAGCTAGTTTTGTATGGTAGTTAAGAAGGCAAGCTCTGAAGTCCAACTGCCTGATTTCGAATACTGGCTTCAGCTCTTATTGGCTGTTGGTGCTTAGGTAAGTCGTGTGGCCATTCTGAGGATCATTCTCCTCGTCTGTAAAATGGGGCTAAAAATAGTAGCTAAATCACAGGATTGTTGTGGTTTTAAATGAGATAGTATATGCAAGTTCTTAGAATGGGGCCCGGTACAGAGAGAGAGGGAGCGTGCAAACAACCTCTGCTGCTGTTGCAATTCTTTACTCTTCTAGAACTTAGCAGGGCAATATTGTAATTGTTTTCCAGTTTGTATTCCCAACTTAACTGAGGCCTTCTGGAGTCAGGAACTGGAGTGTCCTTTACTCCCATACCTCTTCATGCACCTGCCATCCAGATCAGATGTTCACATAATATTTGTTGTATAAACTCAAAGAAATCACAAATGCAAAGATGGAAAGATAAAACGTTTAGGGTGTGTATAATAGAAAAATAACTAAAACTAAAATGTCACCTGGGAGTGGGGAAAATGGAAAATGGCTAATAGCTACGTGGTGTAAAGATTTTATACACATCAATAAAAAATATCTGAGTTGCTAAGACAGATGGGTACAAAGGTCATGAGCAGGCAATTTAAGTAACTAAATAGAAATAGTAAGTAAAATATGGAAGAATACTCAGTCTTCCACAAATGAGCTACAAATGATAGCAACAGTATCATAGAATGCAGAATTAAATATAGAACCATCCATAACTGAGAAATGTCCAATGGCAGAAGAATGGTTACATAAATAATGATATATTGGCTCAATGGCATGGTGTTCCACCATAAAATAATTATGAAAATGTTGAAACGAGTGTTTATGACATAGAAAGTTTGCAAGCAGATTGCAGAACTAAACTTAAAGCATCATCACCGTGTGCGAAATGTTCATCTGGACTTGATCGAAGCTTGGCAGAGAATATAAGAAAATGAACACAGTTGCCTTGATAAAAGAGAGAAACCTTACTGAGTGCCCCCATAGCCCTGACTCCATGCCCAGGGCTTATACACATACGATCTCACTGAATCCTCCAGTTCTCCCCAGCTCCCTGTGAGCTAAGAGTCATTCCCCTTTACAGGTAAGGCAGCTAAGGCAAAGAGAAGGGCAAGAAAACCTGCCTGAGGTGGTGCAGGCAGTAATTAGCAGAGAGGCGTGCCAACCCTGGTGTGTTGGACTCCATGTTCGGTGCTCTTTCCAACTCATCAGATGTGTAAGATGGATGTGATCCAATAGTTTTATTTCTCTTTAAACATTGCCTTTAGTGCTGTTTAAATGTCACTTGCGCAATTAAAACACAATTAAAAGAAAAACCAAAGCTGTCTCAGGAAGGCAGCTTAGTCTCTGTTCCTCCAGAGAGCTCCATGGACCAGAACCCCACCCTGCTCCTGGTCGACACTCATGGTTTTGCCCAAACAATCCCAGGACACAGCCCTGCTGAATTTTCTGTCCCTCTTCATTGGATTTAAAGCCCACAGGAGGCATCTGGCATTTCCTCCACCCCTCTCACCAAGACTCTCCTTTCATTTGAAGGTGCCCAGGAACTCTAGTTACCCGTGTCATGGGGACCCCAGTACTATTGTCAGTATTTCAGAAAGCCAAATAGAAATTGTGCTATCATCCTAACAAGGCCTTGTGGGCTGACAGAGTGCCCCTACTGTCCATCCTTGGATGAAAATGTGTGCTGACCCTGTGCGCCAGGAAAAAACGTACAGAATCCCAGGTTGCTGAGTTTAGGGGAGTCAGGGAGGTCTCCCTGGGGAGTGGACTTTTCCAGCTGAGATCTGGAGGGTGAGTAGGAGTCAGCCAGGCGAAGAACAGAAGAAAGAGGCTCACTCTGTTGTCCAGGCTGAAGTTCAGTGGCACAATCATAGCTCATCATAACCTTGAAGTCAAACCAAAAGTAACATAAAAGAGAACGCACTGATGCAACACGTAAGATAGAAATGAAGAAAGAAAAATTAAATGAGAAAAAAATTTTAAAGTTTAAATGATAAGAGAGAAAATGTGAGACCCTGTCTCTAAAAACAATAAAATAGGCCGAGCACAGTGGCTCACACTTGTAATCCCAGTACTTTGGGAGGCAGAGGCGGGCGGATCACCTGAGGTCGGGAGTTTAAGACCAGCCTGACCAACATGGAGAAACCTCGTCTCTACTAAAAATACAAAATTAGCCAGGAGTGGTGGCACATGCCTGTAATCCCAGCTACTCGGGAGGCTGAGGCAGGAGAATCGCTTGAACCCGGGAGGCGGAGATTGCGCCATTGCACTCCAGCTTGGGCAACAAGAGCGAAACTCCGTCTCAAAAAAAAAAAAAAAGCCCTGAGGCAGGAAAGATGGGGAGCTTTCAAGAAAATGAAATGAAAGACGCACTGTGGACCATGTGTGGAGGCTCACGCCTGTGCTGGCTCACTCCCAGCACTTTGGGAGGCTGAGGCGGGCAGACCGCTTGAGGTCAGGAGTTCAAGACCAGCCTGGCCAACATGGTGAAACCCCATTTCTACTAAAAATACAATGACCCCAAAAAACCATATACACATGTCAAAGTCACTGAAGAAGGAAACTCAAATAATGGTATCAAAACAATATTCTATAATATAATGATCCACATCAAAATATATTCTATTGGCCAGGCACAGTGGCTCATTCCTATAATCCCAGCACTTTGGGAGGCCGAAGTGGGTGGATCACCTGAGGTCAGAAGTTCAAGACCATCCTGGCCAACATGGAGGAACCCCATCTCCACTAAAAATACAAAAAATTAGCTGGGCGTGGTGGCACATGCCTGTAATCCCAGCTCCTCCGGAGGCTGAGGCACGAGAATTGCTTGAATCCAGGAAGCAAAGGTTGCAGTGAGCTGAGATTGCACCACTGCACTCTAGCCTGGGCAACAGAGCAAGACTCTGTCACACACACATGCACACACACACACACACATATATATGCTATTTAAAAAGTATTAGATTTTAAAGTTAAGAAAGATTCCTTTGAGAATCTAAACATAAAGGAACAAGTTACTTAAAAATCCCAGGCTGGCCTCTGGCTTCTTTACAGCAACATCCAGCATTAGCATACAATAGACAGATACCTACAAAGTCATCAAGGAGAGAAAGTGTGACTCAAGAATTTTATTTTCAGCCAAACTGTTGTTGAAGGAGAAAGGCAAAAGACAAAATTTTTGAACATGTGTGGGAAGTTTGGAGGCTGAGGCAGCTGCACAGTCTGGATTTGTTGGAAGAATAGGATTTTTTTCCTTATGGTGACCCAGAGTTTTACTTAGGGGTTCATTCACACATTTATCCAACAGATTTTTTTTTTTCTCTCTCTCTCTCTTTTGAAACAGGGTCTTGTTCTGTTGCCCAGGCTGGAATGCAATGACGTGATCACGGCTCACAGCAGCCTGGACCTTCTGGGCTCAAGCGATCCTCCCACCACATTCCCCCAACCCGAGTAGCTGGGACCACAGGTGTGTGCCACCATGCCGGGCTAATTTTTTTTTTTTTAATTTTTTGTAGAGATGGGGTCTCCCTAGTTTGCCCATGCTGGTCTTCAACTCCCCGCTCAAGTGATCTTCCTGCCTCAGCCTCCCAAAGTGTTGGGATTACAGGCATGAGCCACCATGCCTGGCTTAAACAGATTCTTAAAGACTAGAGAAGGTGTTGGGCCCTGTGTCCGGAACTGTCTTATACCAAATGCTAAGAAGGGTGAGGGGAAAGTGTCTTTGCAGAGATGAGTTGGCCTTTGAAGGTGAGTCAGAGTAACTGAGAGGAAGGGGATCCCAGGCAAAGAAAAGGGCATGAGCAGTCGGGCGCGGTGGCTCACGCCTGTAATCCTAGCACTTTGGGAGGCCAAGGCGGGTGGTTCACGAGGTCAGGAGATCGAGACCATCCTGGCCAACATGATGAAACCCTGTCTCTACTAAAATACAAAAAAATAGCTGGGGGTGGTGGCACGCGCCTGTAATTCCAGCTACTCAGGAGGCTGAGGCAAGGGAATTGCTTGAACCGGAGAGGCGGAGGTTGCGGTGAACCGAGATCGCACCACTGCACTCCAGCCTGGGCAACAGAGCAGCCTCCGTCTCAAAAAAAAAAAGCAAAATAAAAAAGAAAGAAAAAGGAAAGGGCGTGAGCAAAGGCAGTGGGCATGGAGGCACGGAGCAGATATTCTAAGGCAGAGGCCAAGCTGTCATCATGGATAGGACCTGAAATGTCCAGGTGTTTGGAATGGGAGAAATGGGTAAACCCGGAAGGCTCAGGGTTGGGAAAGAGGGAGAGAGCCTGGACACTGGTCTTTCAAGAGGCTCAAACTTGGCTGGACGCAGTAGCTCACGCCTGTAACCCCAGCAATTTGGAAGGCCGAGGCAGACAGATCACTTGAGACCAGGAGTTTGAGACCAGTCTGGCCAACATGGTGAAATCCTGTCTCTACCAAAAGTACAAAAATTAGCTGGGCTTAATGGCGCACGCCTGTAATCCAGCTACTCGGGAGGCTGAGTCAGAAAAATTGCTTGAACCTGGGAGGTGGAGGTTGTAGTGAGCTGAGATTTCGCCACTGAACTCACTCCTGCCTGGGCGACAGAGTGAGACTCAATCTAAAAAAAAAAAAAAGCACCAGCACCGCACATGTATACATATGCAACTAACCTGCACATTGTGCACATGTACCCTAAAACTTAAAGTATAATAATAATAAAATAAAATAAAATTTAAAAAAGGCTCAAACTTTATCCCACAGGCAATGTGGAGCCATAGAATGAGTGAAGCAGGAAAACTCAAGGAGACAAGGAGATATCTTGAAACCTTCGCAATGAGAAAAGGTTCGGAGATTTTGTGAGAATTCAGCCATTCCCACAATTGCTTATAACAGTCATACCTAACGGTGCACACTAGAATCATTTCCTGCAAAGTCAGGAACAAGGCAAACTTGCCTACTATTGCTACTTTTTGTTCAGCGTTGTATTGAAGCCTCCCACCAGCACAGAAAAAGAAAGACCTTAAGGATTACTGTGACCATCTACGTATTTTTCATTGCTGAGTCAAAGAAGGTGCTTGTATATTTCCCTCTTTCTTCATCTTTATGTTTTTCCTGGAGTTTTAAATTGTCTTTCTTTTGTTCTTACACTATCTGCCTTTATTACTGAGGGCAGAAACTTCCCAACAAATTGGAAAGGTGGATATTCCTATTTCCTTTCTACAGATAGAGGAGGCTCAGAGGAATTGGCAAAGTCCACAGGAAATACACAGTGGAGCTGGGATTCTTTTTTTTTTTTTTTTTTTTTTTTTGAGACGGAGTCTCGTTCTGTCGCCCAGGCGGGAGTGCTGTGGCGCGATCTCCGCTCGCTGCAAGCTCCGCCTTCCGGGTTCACGCCATTCTCCTGCCTCAGCCTCCCGAGTAGCTGGGACTACAGGCGCCCGCCACTGCGCCCGGCTAATTTTTTGTATTTTTAGTAGAGACGGGGTTTCACCGTGGTCTCGATCTCCTGACCTCGTGATCCGCCCGCCTCGGCCTCCCAAAGTGCTGGGATTACAGGCGTGAGCCACCGCGCCCGGCCGGAGCTGGGATTCTTAATCTGTTTCGTGGGATGACTCTATCAACCTCTGGGCTGGCCCCGTGCAAAGAGCTGGAGTATGCGTTGGCAGATACAGAGGTGCGGTAGGTATGTCTCAGTTATGCGAACTTCATAAAGTTCACAAAGAAGAGGACAGTTGCAGGAAATCCCAAAGGCCACCAAATGAAAGAAGGTCCTATGAAGCGATGCCTGGAGGCCCAGCCACACTGGCCAACGCTCAGCTCTCCAAAGGGCCGAGCCACCTCTGTGCAGCAGCAGGGCTTTTGGATCTTTATCCCCCTGCCTAGAATGTTCTTCTCTGCTCTTCCTTGGGTTGGCACTTGGGTAGCATTTCCTTGGGTTGCTCAAGGCTTTGTTACCAAGTCAGGGTCCCACCTTCCCTAGGCAGAATGCTTCATGGAGGCTCCCCAGGCCTTGTGCAAATGGGGGTCTATCGTATCAGGTCATCAGACTAGTCCATTCCTGTCGCAGCCTTGGGACTAGTGGACACCATCTCTGGCCCTTGCAGAAATACATGAAATGAAGCACTTGGAAAATTCCATGTTAATCAGCACCTGGAAGCAGAGGACTTCTTTCTGAGCATAAGTGAGAAGCCCTCAAGGGCTCCCAGAAATACCTGGCTCCTCTCTCTCTCTCTCTCTCTCTCTCTCTCTCTCTCTCTCAACCACCACATCTAATCATCTATTTACTCAATACATTGTGTGAGCACTTCCCCGGTGCCAGCCTGTGCTAAGCACTGAACACCAGGGCAGGCTGTTCCTGGCACAAGGGCACACAGCCCAGGGGCAAGTAGGGCTGAGATCCAGCCCGGGGACCGTTTGCCAAGCTGTGGGCCCAGAGAGCAGCATCTGCCCCAAAGGATTCCTTTTTCTAATTCCCTCAAAAGCACTGCATGCGCTGGCTGCAGCCCTGCACATTAATGAATTAAACCCACATGGTCCCTGCCCTTGTGGAGCTCCAGTCCAGTGCAAGACAGACACATAATTAAACAATTAAACATATAATTAGAATTCACCCTTATTTTGCTGGTGAGGAGACTGGGTTTCCTAGAAACTAAGTGACTTAAACAGTTAGTGACAGGGTCAGGGTTCAAACTCTCATCTCCTAGCTCCAAAGCCACAATCTGTTCTACAGCGTGATAGAGGCATTTGAGCTACATCAGTATTCATTCTGAGCATCAGCCCTGATCTCCAGCATTTCAGATTCTCCCTCTTTCTGACCCATTTGATTACAAGCTCTGGTTCCCCTCATCCTGAAGGTCCCTCCTCTTGACCTTGCCAGCTCCTTCAGCTCATCCCAGCCTCTCTCCTCCCTCTGGCTGCCAAACCTCTAACTTGGATCCACCTGCTTCCTATTGCCAAAGCTTGCAACAGTGAATGACTCTTGCAGCTGGTACTTCCTGTCCCAGGCGTCTTTTGGAGCCAGTCATGCATCCCAGAGGCTGGGCTGGGGATAGAACTGAGCAACAGTCCCTGGGCCATACTCAGAATTCCATTCCCAGTGGCAACACAAGCCATCACAAATCTAGGAATAAGCTGAAATGAATAAAATTATGAAACTTTACTGAAGGTCATAAAAGGCGATCTGAATCAACGGAGAGACTTGCCATGCTCCTGGGTGGAAAAATTCAGTACTATAAAGATGTCATTTCTCTTCGGAGTCATCTACAAATTTAATGTGATTCCAATCAAAATAGCAAAGACATTTTTTGGCCAGGCATGGTGGCTCACACCTGTAATCCCAATGCTTCTGGAGGCCAAGATGGGAGGACCGCTTGAGGCCAGGAATTTGAGACCAGCTTGGGCAGCATAGCAAGACCTTGTCTCTAAAAAAAAAAAAAAACAAAAATGTAATTAGCTGGGCATAGGCCAGGCATGGTGGCTCACGCCTGTAATCCCAGCACTTTGGGAGGCTGAGGCAGGCGGATCACCTGAGGTCAGAAGTTCAAGACCAGCCTGGATAACGTGGTGAAACCCCATTTCTACTAAAAATACAAAAAATTAGCTGGGTGTGGTGGCGCGTGCCTGTAATCCCAGCTACTCGGGAGGCTGAGGCAGAATCGCCTGAACCCGGGAGACAGAGGTTGCAGTGAGCCGAGATTGCACCATTGCACTCCAGCTTGGGCAACAAGAGTGAAGCGAAACTCCGTCTCAAAAAAAAAAAAAAAAAAAAAAAACGCTGGGCATGGTGGCAGGAGCCTGTAGTCTCAGCTTCTCAGGATGCTGAGGCAAGAGGCTCCCTTGAGCCCAGGAGTTCAAGGCTGCTGTGAGCCCTGATCACGCCACGTATTCCAGCCTGGGAGAGACAGAGCAATATCCTGTCTCTAAAAAAATTAAAAATAAAGACATTTTAAATGGAATTTGACAAGCTGATTCTCAGGTTAATCCGGAAAGAAAAAAATACAAAGAGAATACACAACAACAGAATATCCAAGAAAAAATTTTCAGTAGTTTTTATTGTGGTAAAATATATGTAACATAATATTTATCATTTAAACCATTTTTAAGTGTACAGTTCAATGGCATTCAGTACCTTCACACTGATGTATAACCACATCACCACCATCCATCTCCAGAACTTTCCATCTCATCTTCCCAACTGAAACTGTGTACCCATAAACACCAACTCCCCATTCTCCCTTCCCCACAAGAAAAAAATTTTAATGAATAAAAACAAGAAAACTGTCAAGCCAGAAATAAAGATACCTTATAAAACAAGATAAATTATATCTATCAATCATAAATGTAGCATTTCAAATCCATGAGGAAAAGATAGACTATTTAATAAATGGCATTAAGACAAATGGCTCTCCAATTTTAAAAATAGAAAATTTGAACTCTACCTCACACCAGACACACAAAGTCCCTTGAATTTAAAGAACTCAATGTAAAAAAAAAAAAACCCATAAAATCATTAGAAGAAAAGTAAGAAAGGTGGACAGATTTGACTACATAAAAACATTTAACTTCTGAATGACAGAAGACTCGATGAGCAAAGTTATAAGATGAATAACAGGCGGGGAAAACAAACCCACCATAGACATGCAGAAATGGAACAAAAACATATCTTGAAATAATAACAATTTTGCTTTTATTTTTCCCACTTCCTCACATCAATCAGAGATTTAAAATTACCTAGGAGAATTTGTGCTTTTATAGCAGGAATATAAAGAGAGAGAAACAGTCAGTGTTTGGATGTCATTGTTTTTTTAACTTTCTGGATAGTCTACTGAAGCCCACATCAGAAATCACACTTTTGAAAGGCAAAGTCTTTTGATTTGCAAGAGGCTGCTTTTGCTGAGAGAAGAAAATGCTCTTGAAAATCAAAAGGGAAGGCCTTGGAGGAAGCTGAAGGTAAAATTTATGCCTTAACGATGGATTGAGAGGGAATGAGAAGACCCAGGTCGTGTCTCCCCTAGGGAAGTAAATGGGGTCACTGAGCTGGGAAAGAGAAAGGCAGTAGGAGTGAGAGTGACCTTCGAAGAGGTCAGGGGGATCCGGGATGGGGAACTGGACCTGTGGGACCCAAGGAGAGGAGTGGAGTCAGTGCCCAGAGACAGCTAAGTCCACTCCGTCACCACTACTGGGGAGCTTCCTGGGGACTGGGCCATCACCAGCAGACCTTCTGTGAGCATTCAGCTGGATACCACAGGCCACCTTGGCTGAAGAGCCACATTAGTCATTGTATTAATCCATTCTTTCATTGCTATAAAGAACTACCCGAGACTGGGTAATTTATAAAGAAAAGAGGCTTAATAGACTCATGGCTCTGAAGGCTGTACAGGAAGCATGGCTGGGGAGGCCTCAGGAAACTTAAAATCATGGCAGAAGGTGAAGGGAAAGCAAGCACATCTTACATGGTCAGAAAAGGAGGAAGAGAGTGAAGGGGAGGTGCTACACACTTTTAAACAACCAGATCTCATGAGAACTCACTATCACGAGAACAGCAAGGGGGATGTCCACCCCATGATCCAATCACCTTCCACCAGACCCCTCCTCCAATATTGGGGGTTACAATTCAACATGAGATTTAGGGGGGACACAAATCCAAACCATATCAGCCATTCAGCTCTGCACTGTCTGACGAGGGCCTTCATTGACAGCTGTCTGGAGTGCTCAGCAGGCGTGATACCTACTCATGTCCTGATACTTTGCTGAGGACCCCCATCCACACTTATCCCTAGTAATGCCTTCCCTTTTCACATGGCTCAGGACATTCACCAGCCTCCCAAACCAAGGGTGGGATCTTTGATACCCACAGAGGAGGCAGTAATATGGAGTGAAGACTGCCTGCAAGCTGTCCTTGGGTAGAACTAGATAATGGTATAATCTACCCTGGTTAAAGTGATCCACAATATATAAAGAGCTCCTATAAATCAACAAAAAGGAGGCCAACAACCTAATAATTAAATTGGCAAAAGATATGGAAAAGAGAATTCACAGAAGAAATACAGATGTCTAATAAGTATATGAAAAGATGTTCAGTGACTGTTCTAATTAGAAAAATGCAAGTTAAAACAACAATAAGATATATTTTGCTTAGCAAACTGGCAAAAATTTAAAAGGCAGATAAGGGAAAAAAGCACCTTCCTTTGCCATTGGTGGAATTATCCATGGGTGAAGGCTTAGTAAAGGGCAATTTTGTAATTCTATTGAAATTTTAAATGTGTACAGTTTTAAACCCAACAATTCCACTTCAACCAAAATGTCCAACCAGGGGATGGCTGAGAAAGTCATGAGCAAAGGGGCCTGTCTGACATGTGTGTGTAGAATGGTTTTGCAACATCATTGTTATGAAAAACTGGATTGGGAGTAAAGTTGGGGATGTTGCCATTTAGGTGGTGATCATGATAGGCTGGACTGAGAACACGATCCTTGAGTGACCCATAAAAGAGGTGAGAAGTGACCCATGCATACTTTTGGGAGAAGACATTCCAGGAAAAGGGAATAGCCAGTGTAAGGCCCTTGGGGGAGGTGGAAGCCCATGCCTAGCATGTTTGGGAAAGTGACGCCACTGTAGCTGGAGCAGAGTGGCAGGGAGGAGGGAGGGGGACTGGGAGGAGGGCACGCCAGGGAGATCCCCAGAGGGGAGGTGGAACCAGTAGGCACATCACTCAGGGCCTTTCAGGCCATCATAAAGGCGCTTTGGTTTTGCTTAGAAACTGGAAGCCACTGAAGGGATTTATTATTTAGATTAAAAAAGCAGAATGTAAAATCAAAGTATAGGATGCTATATTGAAAAAGTCATTTTAAAAGGTTGAAAGGGAATCATCAAAATTGACCACAGCTGCCGAGTTAGGGTGAAGGGATTATGAATTTTTTCCTCTATCCAACTTAATGTTTCTGTGTTGCACGTTTGTGATTAAAATATGTTTCTAAGAGTTTTTAAAGTTGTGGTGGGTTTTGTTTTGTTTTGTTTTGTCTTGAAAAACTGACTCTCGATAGGAAGGCAGAAAACTATTATGAGGGGCCGGGCACAGTGGCTCACGCCTGTAATCCCAGCACTTTGGGAGGCCGAGGCAGGCAGATCACTTGAGGTCACGAGTTCAAGACCAGCCTGGCCAACCTGGCAAAACCCCGTCTCTACCAAAAATACAAAACTTAGCCGGGCATGGTGGTGTGCGCCTGTAATCCCAGCTACTTGGGAGGCTGAGACAGGAGAATTGCTTAAACCTGGGAGGCGGAGGTTGCAGTGAGCCAAGATTCCACCACTGCACTCCGGCCTGGGTGACAGAGCGAGACTCCATCAAAAAAGAAAAGAAAAAGAAAACTATTGTGAAGGAGGAGGAGGTGTGCAAAAAGCAATGGAGTTAGAGGCAGGTGGAGGGTGGGGCCAGGACCGAGACAGAAGTGGGGCCAGGGGTAGGGAAACTGGTACAGAGGTCGGGGGGAGGGAGAGAGGGGGACACTGAGGCAGACAGAGAGATGGGAAAAGTGAGACCAAGAGAAGCAGAGGTGAGAAATAGGGAGAGACAGAGACCAGGACAAGGGCAGGGGCCCGTGGAGGAGGCCACCTCCATGGTACTCCCTTCAGGACCTCAACACCCCATCAACCTCTCGAGACCCCTGTAAGATCCACGGGCCCAGGTGCCTGATCTAGGCAGCCCAGCAATGGCCCATCCTCCAGCCCCACTCCAGCATCTCAGGGTCTGGGAACTCAGGAGCCATCGGTGCTGCTTGGATGACCTTAAGCAGGGAAGTGGCATGACCAAGCTCAAGTGTCACAGAGCCCCTGTCTGCGAGGAGGAAATGGGTTGGGTCCAGGAAAACCACTCTGAGAAATATCGGGTACTTCTAAGAGCAAGGCAGGGCTACAAAGCGCTTTCATATCACCTGCGCGCACACACATGTGTGCACACACGCACACCCACACGTCTTGGGGGGGGGGGCACACATTCGTTACAGCCCACACAGAGAAATTCCAGTATGTGGTAAGGGCCAGAGCTCTTACATCTGCTGGAGGCAGCCAGCAAGGCCAGAAGTGCACCTGCAGCAGGAACTCATCTGCTGAGACACTGTACAGACCCTGGTGGGGCGCTCCTCACACCTGCTTGGCCCAGTTGACTCAGGGCATCCAGGGGGGACAGTTGCATGCACCCTGCTTGAACCCCATTTCAAATGCGCCCTGCAGCTTCCCTCAGCTTTTCTGCCTCCGGGCTTTCTCCTTAGCTGCAGAAGGCCACTCAACCCTCCAGCAGACACAGCTTGGAAGTCCAGGAAGCTGATGTCCCTGCGGCAGCCCTCAGCAATGAGGGACTGGAATCATGGATAAATGCGTCAGCTTTCCTACCTTCTGTGGAACAATTCTGAGGGTATTCCTCATGGTTTCTCTGAGGGGCCCCAGCAGGATATGCCCAGTTGCCTACAGTGGGAACCAGCTCAGAGAACACCCTCGTTGAAGGAATCATTGGTCCTGTGGAGCCCCACGGCCTGGGTGTGTCTACTTGCCTCTTTGCGGTATCATTTACTTGCTTCTCCATCCCCTATATTTCCTGTAGATAGAAGTCCGGCCTCAGGTTCAACTCTTCTGGCAAGGCACCAGAGCAGGCACTGTTGGTGTCCCACCATGTCCCATGGGCCAGTGCTGGAGGCCACCTGCAGACCTTCTGAGTCTTGCAACCTGAGGGCATTTTCTGCTCCTGAGAAGAGCCAGGGAGTTAACAACCCCGAGCAGCCTTTGACTAGCGTTGGGTGGAGATTGGTGGCTAAATAGCCCAGCTTCCTCGCCTCTCTAGGGAAGGTTTCCGACATGTTCTGTATAGCCTTTCAGAGGGTCCCCAGAGGAATGGAGCTCCAGTTCCCGGAGTAAAGACCCACTCATTAATTCACTTTTTATTGGCTTTCTGCCTTTCCCTGCCTCACTTCCCTATTCTCTTAAAGACGGATGCTTTCTGGGATCATCTTCCAAATAAATCACTTGCACCCCGATCCTTTTCCTAGATACAGTCTGCTTTTTTGGGAAATCCAAACTAAGGCAGCCCGTTCTTAGTTTGTACTGCACGTGACACAACTGTAAGGGTTGTGTACTGCACGTGACTTCACTTCAGGAGATACAAGAGCAGTGCTAGGGTGGGCCCATGGGCTCAGGTGTGACAATCTGATCCCTCCATTATGAAATTCTCCATCAGCCTTTCACATTAATAATTTCATCCATAGGGGATTATTGCCTGAATCCATCATTTTATTAGGAGTTGTAAAAAAGATGGTTTTCTAATTCTATCAATCCTTTCACATTTATTAGCTGGAATTTTTTAATAAAGAACTTTCCCTCATAAACTAGGGCTTTAAATTGAGATTCGGTAGTAGAAAAATGACAGGATGAGGGCCTAATTCTTTCTTTCCATTGCTAATTCTCAGGACAAGGAATTGCACCCTGGTTATCTCCAGTGGTATTTAATGATACCTGTTTGATTTAGGGCTTTCTCTCTATCGATATGAAAAAATGAGTGTTTACATAGTATGTTTCAATCCATTTCAGTCATCATTCTTTCTGATGATAAGTAGTCCCATCTTTAGCCAGTGAGTGTCCCTTCTTGTTGACCCCTATGCCCTTTGGATATGATCCCATTACTTTTTGACAATGTCCTTGCTTTCTGGCCCAATAGGATGTCCCAGGCTCCTGTTGTCTGTTTTTTTTTTTTTTTTTTTTTTGAAACAGAGTCTCTCACTGTCCCCCAGGCTGGAGTACAATGGCATAATTTCAGCTCACTGCAACCTCTGCCTCCCAAGTTCAAGTGATGCTTCTGCCTCAGCCTCCCGAGTATCTGGGACTACAAGCACACACCACCACGCCTGGCTAATTTTTGCATTTTTAGTAAAGACAGGGTTTCACCGTATTGGCCAGGCTGGTCTTGAACTCCTGACCTTGTGATCCGCCCACCTTGGCCTCCCAAAGTGTTGGGATTACAGATGTGAGCCACCGTGCCCGGCCATGTGTCTGCTTCTTTTCCCAGACCTGGAATCTGCCATTCCTCCAAGGAGCCCTGGTTCTTGGTAGATGGTGAACACGATCTGGGCACAAGTGCACACGTTGCTGCCGGGTTATTATTGTTTCTAAACCTTTTCAGTGGACAGAGCTAGGAAATACATACTTTTGAACAGGAAAAACAAAAGGATTAAGAGTTTCTGCTGATAGTTCCAATTCCAATCTAATATTTCGGGGTATTTATTTAATCTCTTTGGTCTTATCTTTGTATCTTTTTTCTCATACACTGAAGATTTTAGATTCTAGCACTAACAATTACTTATTTGCATTATTCCGTGGTTTTTATAAAATAGTTTCAAAAATAATGCCAATATTTTTATTAACAATAAGATTTCCAGATGAAGATGAACTTTTAAGACCTCCAGGAGGAAATTAAGACATGAGGGCTCTCAGCCTCAACCTCCTGGGCTTCAGCCATCCTCCCACCTCAGCTTCCCTAGTAGCTGGAAATATAGGCACATGCCACCACGCCTGGCTAACTTTTGTATTTTTTGTAGAGATGGGGTTTCACCATGTTGGCCAGACTGGTCTCCAACTCCTGGCCTCATGTGATCCGCTCGCCTCGGCCACCCGAAGTGCTGGGATTACAGGCATGCGCCGCTATGCCCAGCCCAGTTCGTCTCTTACTGATGGACATTTGGATTGTTTCCAAAATTTCAAATAATGCCACAATGAATAACTTTGTGCATAAATCATTTTGGTATTTTTCTCTGTGTATCTTTAGGTTAGAACCCTAGAAGTGGGATTGCTGTGTCAAAGGGTAAATATTAATATATAAGTAATCATTTATTTATTTTTTTCTTTTGAAACAGCCTCGCTCTGTCACCCAGGCTGGAGTGCAGTGGTACAATCTTGGCTCACTACAGCCTCCACCTCCCGGGTTCAAGCGAATCTCCTGCCTCAGCCCCCGCCACCACACCCGGCTAATTTTTTTTTTTTTTGTATTTTTAGTAGAGACAGGGTTTGACCATGATAGCCAGGATGGTCTCGATCTCCTGACCTCGTGACCCGCCCACCTCGGCCTCCCAAAGTGCTGGGATTAGAGGCGTGAGCCACCGTGCCTGGCCATAATCATGTATTTTTTTTTTTTTTTTTTTTTTTTTTTTGAGACGGAGTCTCGCTCTGTCGCCCAGGCTGGAGTGCAGTGGCGCGATCTCGGCTCACTGCAAGCTCCGCCTCCCGGGTTCACGCCATTCTCCTGCCTCAGCCTCCCGAGTAGCTGGGACTACAGGCGCCCGCTACCACGCCCAGCTAATTTTTTGTATTTTTAGTAGAGACGGGGTTTCACCGTGTTAGCCAGGATGGTCTCGATCTCCTGACCTCATAATCCACCTGCCTCGGCCTCCCAAAGTGCTGGGATTACAGGCATGAGCCACCGCACCCAGCCAATTTTTTTTTTATACTTTAAGTTCTAGGGTACACGTGCACAATGTGCAGGTTTGTTACATATGTATACATGTACCATGTTGGTGTGCTGCACCCGTTAACTCATCATTTACATTAGGTATATCTCCTAATGCTATCCCTCCCCACTCCCCCCACCCCATGACAGGCCCCCAGTGTGTGATGTTCCCCACCCTCTGTCCAAGTGTTCTCATTGTTCAATTCCCACCTATGAGTGAGAACATGTGGTGTTTGGTTTTCTGTCCTTGCGATAGTTTGCTCAGAATGATGGTTTCCAGCTTCATCCATGTCCCTACAAAGGACATGAACTCATCCTTTATTATGGCTGCATAATATTCCATGGTGTATATGTGCCACATTTTCTTAATCCAGTCTATCATTGATGGACATTTGAGTTGGTTCCAAGTCTTTGCTATTGTGAATAATGCAGCAATAAACATACGTGTACATGTGTCTTTATAGCCGCATGATTTATAATCCTTTGGGTATATGCCCAGTAATGGGATGGCTGGGTCAAATGGTATTTCTAGTTCTAGATCCTTGAGGAATCGCCCCACTGTCTTCCACAATGGTTGAACTAGTTTATAGTCCCACCAACAGTGTAAAAGCGTTCAATAGGATAAATTTTTAAACTGGCTCTTTGAAAGTACTTTTTAAAAACACAAAATTGGCCTGGCTCAGTGGCTCACATCTGTAATCCCAGCACTTTGGGAAGCCCAGGCAGGCAGATCACTTGAGGTCAGGAGTTCAAGACCAGCCTGGCCAACATGGTGAAACCCTGTCTCTACTAAAAATACAAAAATTAGACAGGCATGGTGGCACGTGCCTGTAATCCCAGCTACTTGGCAGGCTGAGGCAGGAGAATCGCTTGAACCCAGGAGGCGGAGGTTGCAGTGAGCCGAGATCGCACCATTGCACTCCAGCAATAGAGCGAGACTGTCTCAAAAAATAAAGATAAAAATAGCAAATAAATAAATAAATACATACATACATACATACATAAATGCACAAAATTGACTGGCACAGTGGCTCATGCCTGTAAACTTAACACTTTGGGAGGCCAAGACCACCAGATCACTTGAACCCAAGAGTTCAAAACCAGCCTGGGCAACATGGTGAGGTCCTGTCTCCACAAATAAAATAAAATAAAATAAATTAGCCAGGCATGGTGGTGCAAGTCTGTAGTCCCAGCAACTCGGAAGGCTGAGGTGGGAGGATCACTAGGA
The DNA here is from genome assembly GCF_000001405.40 of Homo sapiens. Classification (NCBI taxonomy): domain Eukaryota; kingdom Metazoa; phylum Chordata; class Mammalia; order Primates; family Hominidae; genus Homo; species Homo sapiens. The sequence goes on from NC_000001.11 coordinate 31,853,437, forward strand.
GGTTGAGGCTATAGTGACCTACGATCACACCACTGCACTCCAGCTTTGGCAGCAGAGTGAGACCCCGTCTCAAAATAAAATAAAAGCACAAAATCACTTGCAAGCTTAAATAAGTAAAAAAGAGAGAAAATATATATAAAGGATGAGAAAGGAGATATCACTACAGTTATAGAAGTTACTAAATAATTTAAAAGTTAGCATTATGGCAACAAATGTCTTAGTCCACGGGAGACTGACAGTCAATCAAAATATAAATGACCAAAATTGACTCGAGAAGTAGAAAAGCTGAAGAGAACAATAATCAAAGAAAAGATTTAAAAGGCTGTTGAAGAGCTCTCATTAAAACAAATCATAAGTCTCTCTCTCTCTCTGTTTTCCTCTTCCCCTCTCTTCCTTCCTTCTTCCCTCCCTCTCATCCTCCCTCCCTCCTTTCTCCTCCTCCATCTCTATCTCTCTCTCACCTTTTTCTGTGTGCTGGCTCCACTCCTTCATGTTACACAGTCTCTGCTATGGTTTGGATGTATGTGTCCCCCAAAATTCATAAGGGTGGAACTAAAACCTAGTGTGATAGTACCCAGAGGTGAGGCCTCCAGGAGGTGATTAAGACATAAGAGCTCTCAGCCTGGGCAACATGGCAAAACCCTCTCTCTACAAAAAATATAAAAAATTATCCAGGCATAGGGGTGCATGCCTGTAGTCCCAGCTACCTGGGAGGCTGACGCAGGAGGAACATTTGAGCCTGGGATGCAGAGGTTGCAGTGAGCCGAGAACACGCTATTACACTCCAGCCTGGGCGACAGAGAGAGACCCTGTCTCAAAAAAATAGGCCGGTTGCAGTGGCTCATGCCTGTAATTCCAACACTTTGGGAGACCGAGGCGGATGGATCACCTGAGGTCAGGAGTTCGAGACCAGCTTGACCAACATGGAGAAATCCCATCTCTACTAAAAATACAAAATTAGCCGGGCATGGTGCACATGCCTGTAATCCCAGCTACTCAGGAGGCTGAGGCAGGAAGATCACGAACCTGGGAGGCGGAGGTTGCGGTGAGCTGAGATCGCACCATTGCACTCCAGCCTGGGCAACAAGAGAAAACTCCGTCTCAATAAATAAACAAATAAATAAATAATAAATAAATAAGGGCTCCACCTGCATGAATGGGAGTAGTGCCCTTATAAAAGGTCTCAAGGGAACTAGCTAGGCTCTTTTGCCCTTCTGTCGCTTCCGCCATGGGAGGACACAGCGTTCGTCCCCTCTGGAGGATACAGCAACGAGGCACCCTCTTAGAAGCAGGGACCAGCCCGTCACCAGACACTGAACCTGCCAGCACCTTGATCTTTAACTTCCAGCCTGCAAAACTGTGAGAAATCGATTTCTGTTCCTTACAAATGATCCAGTCTCAGGTATTTTGTTAAAGCAGCATGAACACACTAAGACATTGTCCACACAACCAGAAAGGGATCCACTGGCAACCTCAGAGGCAGCTCGCCGACAGCCCACCCTTCATTCCCTTGTGAAACATAAGAACGAGGACTGGCCTATCCTGTTCATTATAACAGTAATAATCAGAACAACAATAATAAAAACCATAGACTGCTTGTCCAGCTTCAGTTGCAGGGTCAGTCGTTACAGTGTCTGAAGGATGCAGTCTGGGGCCCTGCCTAGGTTGGGGCACGCTCCTCCACTTCATGGCTGAGGCAACTGGGGCACCGTGATTGATAACTCCACCCAGGTCACGTGGCGCTGGGGGCAGTTACCCAAGGAGCCATAAGCCTATGGATGATCACCGTGCCCTGCAGGCACTCCAGCACTTTCAGACGATGAAAACGGGAAGATTTCCCAATCTGTTCCATACTCTACTGGTTCCTTCTCATTTTCATTGCCTGACTTGAGGCATGATGAACCATGACCTCAAGTCAAACAAGGCCACAAGGCTAAAATTTAACTGGATACCATCTCCAATGTCATTCATACGACATTTAACACATACTTGTGGAGCACCCACCTTGCTCTGGGCACTGGGGAATCAGAAAGGGACAAAGAGAATATCCAACAAGACCTGTCTTCGTGGTGCTCACTTTCTGTCCATGGAGTTGTGGGGCCCCAAGAACGTGACAGAATGAAAGATCCAATCCAGTTCAAAGGTCTTTGTTGTAAAATGAAATACCATGTTTACATATCTTAGGAGACAAAGAAATGTGAAACCTAGCCCCAGTCTGAGTAGGAGTGCAGCCTTCTCAGAGCAAAGAGAATAATTAGATCATGTGAGTCACTGGAATCCAGGAAGCAGCCTACATGAGGCTCCCATTTTGTAAGTTTCAAGAAAGCAATTTGAAGTAGCGGCTAAGTGCAAGGATTCTTAGTTCAACTCTCAGCTCCACTACTTATTGGCTGGGTGATCTGATTAAGTTTGTTACCTTCTTTGTACCTCAGCTTCTGGGGCCAGGCCCCAGACTACGTCCTTCAGATGCTGTAAAAGTGATAAAAATTATATTTATCTCGTGGATTACACATATAAGAAAGTGTTTATTGAGTGCCTACCAAATGCAAGCATTATTCTAGGCATTTGGTAGACATCAGAGAACAAAACAAAGATCTTGACCTCTCGCAGGGGGAGACAAACAGTGAATGCAATAAGCAAGCAAATATATGTATTTCTGGAGATGATAGGTGCTGTGGAAAAAGGAAAAAATAAAGCAGAGAAAGACGGAGAAAGAGGGGAGGGAGGGCTTGCTAGATTCCTAGAGTTGTCAGAGTTGGCTTCATTGAGATGGTGAGATTTGAGTGGGAACTTAAAGGAGGTGAGTGAGTGAGTCAAAGCAGATATCTGGGGAAAAAGCTCTCCCAGCAGAAGGAACAAACAGCTAGTGCAAAGGCCCTGCGGCAAGAGCTTGTCAGGGAGTGTTGGAGAAAAAACAAGAAAACCAGATGGCTGCAGCTGAGGAGGGGAGAAAGGAGTAAGAAAAGGAATCAGGGTCGGGTGCGGTGGCTCACACCTGTAATCTCAGCACTTTGGGAGGCCGAGGTAGGTGGATCACAAGGTCAGGAGTTCGAGACCAGCCTGACCAACATGATGAACCCTTGTTTCTACTTAAAATACAAAAATTAGTCGGATGTGGTGGCATGCACCTGTAATCCCAGCTACTCAGGAGCCTGAAGCAAAAGAATCACTTGAACCGGGGAGGCAGAGGTTGCAGTGAGCCGAGATCACGCCATTGCACTCCAGCCTGGGTGACAGAGAGAGACTCCATCTAAAAAAAAAAAAAAAAAAAAAAAAAAGGAAAGGAATCAGATGGTGGCAAGCCCTGGAGGGCAATGAAAGGACTTTGGCTTTTACTCTGAATGATATGGGAGCCACCAAAGGTTTTGAGCAGAGGAGGGACATGATCTGATCACATATTAAAAGAATCCCTCTGGATTCTGTGTTGAGACTAGAAGATAAGTGAACAAGGTGGACGCAGGAAGAACAGTCAGGAAATGCAATGGCTATTGCAGCAATCCATGCGAGAGATCGCAGTGGTTCAGACAAAGGCAGTAACAGCGGAGGTGGTAAGAAATGGCCAGATTCTGGATGTATTTTGATGGTAGAACCAACAGAATTTCCCAACTGGAATATGGGGTGTGAGGAAGAGAGGGGAGTCATCCGTTTTTGGTCTGAGCAATTGGAAGGACACTCATCAACTGAGGTAGAGCAGCCTTTGTGGGGGAAAGATCAGGAATTCAGTTTTGAACATGTTCAGTTTGAGATGTCTATTTTTATTTTATCTTATTTTATTTTTTGAGAAAGAGTCTCACTCTGTCGCCCAGGCTGGGGTGCAGTGGCGTGATCACAGCTCACTGCAGCCTCCAACTCCTGGCTCAAGCAATCCTCCCCGCTCAGTGTCCCCAGTAGCTAGGACTACAGGTGCGTACCACACACCCAGCTCTTAGACGTCTATTAGACATCCAAGTAGAGAGCTCCACTAGGTGGTTGGATACTTGAGTATGGAGTGAGAAGAGAGTTCTAGGCTGACAATAAAACTTCAGGAATCATAGGCATATAAGAAAATGTATTAAAGACCAGCCAGGAAATGAGAGCACATAGGGAAGAGAGGAGCTTCAATGGATCTTGCCAAGACCCAGGACATCCAACATGAGCAGAGACGAGGGAAGAGGAGGAACCACCAAGGAGACTTAGCATAACCAGTGAGGTAGGAGGAAAACCCAGAGAAGCTGATGTCCTAGAAGTGGTGTCTGCAGGAAGAGAGAGGGCGTGTCAGATGCTACTGCTGGGTGCGTCCACTAAGATGAAAGAAGATGATCCAGGCAAGTACTGAAGAGAAGGACTGGCAGGGTGGGTTTAGAATAGCCTGGGAGGAGAGGAATGGGGAGCCAAACCCACCACCCTCTTGAGGAGTTTTACCGCAGAGGTGAGTAAGAAAAAAGTGGGGTAGTAGCTGGCAGGAAAATCTGGTCAAAAACATTTGTTTTGTCTTGTTCTGTGTTATAAGATGGGAGAAATCACAGCATGTCTGCTTGCTGATGGGGATGACCATGGATCATTGCAGGGCAGGTCACTGGCTGAGAATGAGACGGGAGAGGTGCTGGGAGGTTGAGGAGTGAGCAGGATGTATGAAGCACTCACTTCAGAGCATGTGGGAGAGTGAAGGGTCTGCGGCATGGAGTGTGCTTGCTAGGCAGCCTTCCGGGCCCACTCGAGGTGTGTGGTCAAGGGTCATGATAATTAAATGCACTAATGCGTAATACATGAAAAGCACTTAGAACAGAACCTGGCACATAGAAAACACTATATAAGCATTAGCGATTATTATTTAAAATTAAGTATAGAAAGGTCTAAGACCATCAAAACCATAGTGTTTTATGTATTTATAATGTTTAAGAGTATTTGGCCTACTAGAATGACAATCTTGTAACTCCATTTTAAATGTGCAATGGGGTAATTAATTAAGACTTATGATTTCAAATTGAAATCTTATTAAAGTAATGCACAATATTGGAAAATCTAAGTGAGTTTTAGGCTCACCATATTTATTAGCTTAATTTTCTAGATTGATAAGAATTATTTTGTACTTAGGGAAGTTTTGTTTGTTAAGTGAGAAAACTTAAATACTTAAAAAAGAAATCAAATATATTTATTAAGTTTATCAGTGCAGTTTTATAGTTGTAAAGGTGTTTAATTAAGTTCTTAAGTGGGACCAAACATTATTCAAAGTCACCTTAAAAATTATTGTTGACATTTATTAGGCTTATAAATAGAATAATAAGATTTGTAAGCTGAACATAAAAGCCTAAGGAGGAACCAAGGTTTTTGAATTTGTAATTTTAATAAATCGACTCCATTTTTAAAACCAAAAATAAACCTTCTTAATAGTCTTCTCTGCAAACAAAAATCATCCTCAAGGACATCAAAGAAGAGTGTCAGCCAGTTCTAGGAGCAGCTGGTTCATGTGGGAGAAGAATCAGAGCCCAAAACAAACTACCTTGCCTTGGAGGTCATGTTGGGGGCTGAGCTCCATGAGTGAGCACCACATAGAGAAGGAATGGAATGAGGGCTGGAAGGAGAGGGGATGGTCACCCAGCTGGGATGGGAGTTGAGGGTGAAGGGCTGAGTCTTCAAGGCAGCTGGGAGATGAGTGAGACAAGAGGCAACTTCAGGTATGAGCATTCTTCATTGAATCCTATATTATTAGAGTTCTCCAGAGAAGCAGAACCTATAGGATGGATGGATGGATGGATGGATGGATGGATGGATGGATGGATTAGATGGGTGGATATAGATAGACAGATAAGATAAATGACAGATAGGTGATAGATTAGATAGAAGATAGATTAGATAGATGATTGATAGATGATGGATTAGATACATAAGATAGATGATTGATAGATAGATAGATAGATAGATAGATAGACAGATAGATATAGAGATGAGATACAGATTACGGGCGCGGTGGCTCACACCTGTAATCCCAACACTTTGAGAGGCTGAGGCAGGTGGATCCCTTGAGCTCAGGAGCTCAAGACCAGCCTGGGCAACATAGTGAGACCCTGTCTCTACTAAAAATACAAAAATTATCTGGGCATGGTGGCACACGCCTGTAGTCCCAGCTACTTGGGAGGCTGAGGTGGGAGGATCACTTGAGCACAGGAGACGGAGGTTTCAGTAAGCCAAGATGGAGCCACTGCACTCCAGCCTGGGTGATAAAGCGAGACTCCGTCTCACAAAAAAAAAAAAAAAAAAAAAAAAAAGCTAGTGATTAAATAGATAGAGATAGAGGTGAGATAGATAGATACATATGAGATGGATGGATAGATAGATGAGAGGAAATTAACTGTGGAAATTGTCTCACATGATTATGGAGGCTGAGAAGCCTCATGGTATGTCATCTGCAAGCTGAAGAGCTAGGGAAGCTAGTGGCATAGCTCAGTCCAAGTCCAAAGGCCTGAGATCAGGGTAGCCAATGGTGTATCTCTGAGTTTGAGGCCAAAGGCCTGACAACCTGGCGGATCACTGGTGCAAGTCCTGGAGTCCAGAGGCCAGAAAACCTGGAGTTCTGATGTCCAAGGGCAGGAGAAGATGAGTGTCCCAGCTCCAGGGGAGTGAATTTTCCTCTCCTCTGCTTTGTTGTTTCATCCAGACCCTCAGTCATTCGGGTGAGGGTGAATCTTCCTTACTCAGTCCACTGGTTCAAATGCCCGTCTCTTCCACCCTCACAGACATACCCAGAAATAAGGCTTCACCAGCTAATGGGGTATCCCTTAACCCAGTCGGGTTGATGCCTAAAATTAACCATCACAAATCCTTTTTTACATTATTCAGGACATACCAGTAAAAATGTGAATTGCAACCAGGTGAGGTGGCTCAGGCCTGTAATCCCAGTACTTTCAGGGACAAAGGCAGAGGATCACTTGAGCCCAGGAACTCAAGACCAGCCTGGGAAACAAAGTGAGACCCCATCTCTACAAAAAAATAAAAATAAAAAATTAGATGGGCATGGTGGTGTGCACCAATAGTCCTAGCTACTTGGGAGGCTGAGGTAGGAGGATCTCTTGAGCCCAGGAGTTTGAGGCTGTGGTGAGCTACGATCATGCCACTGCACTCCACCCTAGGCAACAGGGCAAGACCCTGTCGCTTTATTTAAAAAAAAAAAAAAGAAAGCGAATTGCTTTTACTTTGATTGCAGAAGTCTTTCTTCTAATACAATCCCGGGCCAGGACTGACCATAAAGGGCCCTGGCTTAGGAGAATCTGAGGCCTCCAGGCAGAAAACCAATTGTTGAGCTGGTGCCCGCATCTCTGTTCTGGCAAGACGTGCTAATCTGGAAGGCACAGAAGGAGTGCTACTGAGGACAGAGATAGATTGTTCCTGACGCTTTTCCTCAGCCTGGAAGCAGCCATCCTCAGAACGGCTCTTCTCCCTTGGCCTGATTCCTGGTTCCGCCTTCTGGGTTTGGTTTTGTTCCATTCTGTTTTCCAACTCCCATCTATTTAGTGTTTACTATGTGCCAGGCAATGCTCTCAGTTCTATACTCAGTCATCTTGAGATGAGAACTCATGAGAACTGTAGGTGAAGGTCTCCCAACTCCCCAGTAAGGTCACTTGACTGGTTAGCCTGTCCTGAGAGCTCAAACTCTTTTTTTTTTCTTTTGAGATGGTGTCTCACTCTGTCACCTAGGCTGGAGTGCAGTGGCGCAATCTTGGCTCACTGCAACCCCAGCCTCCCAGGTTCAAGCAATTCTCCTGCGTCAGCCTCCCAAGTAGGTGGGATTATGGGCGTGTGCCACCACGCTCAGCTAATTTTTGTGTGTTTTTAGTTGAAACAGGGTTTTACTATATTGGCCAGGCTGGTCTCGAACTCCTGACCTCAGGTGATCCATCCACCTAGGCCTCCCAAGGTGCTGGGATTACAGGCATGAGCCACTGTGCCCCGCTGAGCTCAAACTCTTAACCACTGCAATGGTTTGGATGTGTGTCCCTTCAAAACTCATATACTGGAACTGAAACCCCAAGGTGATGGTATTAACAGGTGGGGCCTTTTGGGAGGTGATGAAGTCATGAGGGACTGCCCTTGTGAATGGGATTAGTGCCGTGATGAAAGGGCTCAAAGGAACTAGCTAGGCCCCTTTCTGCTCTTCCCCCTTGTGCCACGTGAGGGTGTCGTGGTAAGAAGATACCATAATCTGAGCAGGGCCTTTCTGGACACCAAACCTGTCAGCACCTTGGTCTTGGAACTCCCAATCTCCAAAACGGTGAGAAAATAAATGTCTGTTCTTTATAAATGACTCCATCTCAAGTAATTTGTTACAGCAGCACAAATGTGTTAAGACAACCACCATGCTACGTTGCTTCTCTGTAACAAAGTTCCCGGAGACCTTGACATCAGGCTTAATGGCGGCCAGTCTGAACCTCAGTATCCTCAGGTATAAAATGGAAATAATGCATCCTATGTTAGGCAGTTCTATGAATTAACAGGGACAACTGTTCCAGGGCATAGAGAAAGAAGAAAATATCCTTGGTTTTCTTTAAGAAGATCTTGTCCACCTAACTCGACAAGGGTCATGCAGAAAAGAAAAAGACAAGACCAACCTCGCTTACTCACATTGCTACAAAACTCCTAAATAAAATTGAGGCAGGATGAGAAATGTTGCTGGGCGTGGTGGCTCACACCTGTAATCCTAGCTATTTAGGAGGCTGACGCAGGAGGATAGCTTGGGGACAGGAGTCCCAGACCAACCTAGGCACCATAGCAAGACCCTATCTCAAAAACTAAAAAAGATAAAAAGCCAGGCTTGGTGGCATGTGCCTGTAGTCTGAACTACTTGGGAGGCTGAGGCAGGATTGCTTGAGCCCATAGGCCACTGCAGTCCAGCCTGGACAACATAGCAAGACCCTGCCTCTGAAAAAAAAAAAAAAGAGAGAGAGAGAGAAATGCTATATTTCTTATACAACTGCGTTTACAGGCTGGGAGTTCGTACTCTTAAAAATACTAGCAAGGACAACTTAACAGTGTATTAGGATAGAAATATACTTTGATCAAGTGGTGTTTATCATAGGAATGTTAGGATGGTTCAATATTAATACATCTATTAATGTAATTTATTCTAGGAACTAGTCTATAATAATGGTTTAAAAGAAAAATATACCATGACCAAGTGGTATTAGTTACAGGAATAAAAAGATAGATCAATATTAGAAAACCTATTAATATAATTTATCTTGTTAATAAGTAGAAAAAGAAAACCACATATTTTAAAAGATAATGAAAATGCACTTGATAAATATAATATCCATATAACTAAGTTTTTAAAGCCTTTGTAAAATAGAAATAAGATTCTTTCTTATGATTTTTTAAAATGTCTCAGACCAACTTTAAGCATCATGTTTCACAATGAAACTCTAGCTCCATTAAGCGAAGAACAATCAAGCGTCCCAGTCACAACTCTTAATTAACATTGCTCTGAAAGTCCTAGTTAATTTAGTTAGGGAAACACATGAAATGATATATAAATATTAGAAGGAAGGAGGCAAAGTAAGCATCATATAAAGTTAATATGACTATATATCTAGAAATCCCCCCCAAAAAAATCCATTAAAAATATTAAGTGAGTCCAGGAACATAGCCAATTATAAAGCAAATATACAAAAATCAATAGCATTCTCACCAAACAATAAAAAGTAGTTAGAGGCTGAGTGTGGTGGCTCATGCCTATAATCCCAGCACTTCGGAAGGATGAGGTGGGCGGATCACTTGAGGTCAGGAGTACAAGACCAGCCTGGTCAACATGGTGAAACCCCGTCTCCACTAAAAATACAAAAATTGGCTGGGCATGGTGGCACGTGCCTGTAGTCCCAGTTACTCAGGAGGCTGAGGCAGGAGAATCACTTGAGCCTGGGACGTGGAGGTTGCAGTGAGCCAAGATCATGCCACTGCACTCAAACCTGGGTGACAGAGTGACACTCCATCTCAAAAAAAAATTGCTTTAAATAGTTAGAAAAGTTAATGGGCAAATATTCCATTCATAATATTGGTAAAGGCATACCCACCTATTTCCCTCAAATTAACGTTAAAATTTACATATTCCAACTCAAAATCCCTAAAGACCTTATCTTAGAATTTAGAAAGCAATTCTAAAATTAAATTGAGGCATAACGCTATAAAAATATTCAGGAAAAATCTGAAAAATAAGATTGAGAAGGGGCTTCCCCATCCATTAAAATATATTACAAAGTTTTAGAAATTAAAACAATATGGCACTGGCACAGACGTTTTAAAATTTAAAAGGATTTTGGCTGGGCGCGGTCGCTCATGCCTGTAATCCCAGCACTTTGGGAGGCCAAGGCGGGCGGGTCTCTTGAGGTCAGGAGTTTGAGACCAACCTGGCCAACAGGGTGATACCCATCTCTACTAAAAATACAAAAATTATCCGGGTGTGGTGCCACTCACCTGTAATCCCAGCTGCTCCAGAGGCTGAGACAGGAAAATCGCCTGAACCCAGGAGGTGGAGGCTGCAATGAGCCAAGACTGTGCCACTGCACTCCAGCCTGGGAGACAGAGCAAGACTCCGTCTAAAAAAAATAATAATTATTTTATATATATATATATATATATATATATATATATATATATATACACACATATATTTAAAAGGATTTTATTCTCATCAAACATGGTAAGGTGACAGACACAACTCCCCTTGAAAGAAGGGTTTATTATTAACAGTTCCCAGAAGGAGGGTGCATGCCACACCATGCAGGGCCACACAGAGAAGCACCAGGGTCAGTCAAGAGGCAGAAGGAGCAGGGGAAAGCATGGGCCAGGGCCTTTCTTGTGGTACTCCTGGGAAGGAGTGGGTGAGGCCAGGTAAGCAGCTGAACAGGTTTAGAATTGGATAGTCTGAATAATTTCACTAGCTCTGGGATGAAGAGGCGGTCCCTGGTTGTCTAATACCTGGCTCTGCCTCAGTTTAGGGCAGGAGGAATTTTGGGTTGGTATGTTAGATAAGAAGGTAGTTTCAGGTATGGGCTCCAGATTGGTTGGTTTTCATACAGAACAACTTGCTTTTAAACAACTTGCTCACAGGCAAGTTGTTTACTAAGAATGAGCTAGCCCTGGGAGGGGTGATCTCTCCAAGATTAGTAATACCCCCAGGATGTCAAAGCATCATAAATAGAGAAAAGTTAAAATCATAATTAATAAAACAGAATAGACAAGTGATCAATAAAACAGAATAGAAAGATGAGACCAAAGTGCATAAAAGAATTCGATGAATGATCAACATGGTTTTCCTCATCAGTGAGAAATTGCTAGATTATTCAATAAATAATGTTGGGACAACTTCCTAACCACTTAAGAAAAAGTGAGCCGGGTGTAGTGGCTCACGCCTGTAATCCTAGCACTTTGGGAAACCGAGGTGGGCAGATCACCTGAGGTCAGGAGATCGAGATCAGCCTGGCCAACATGGTGAAGCCCCGTCTATACTTAAAAATACAAAAAATTAGCTGGGCGTGGTGGTGCACACCTGTAATCCCAGCTACTCGGGAGGCTGAGACAGGAGAATCACTTGAAGCCGGGAGGTGGAGGTTGCCGTGAGCCGAGATCACACCATTACACTCCAGACTGGGGGACAAGAGTGTGACTTTGTCTCAAAAAAAAAGAAAAAAGAAAAAATTAAGTTAGAACTATATCTCACAAAATAAACTTGAAATGACTCAAAACACTAAGTGAAACTACACTGGACTATAAATGTGTACATGTGGTATTTTTTATAAACTTGGGGTGGGGGAGGGTGGCCAGATAAAATACAGGTATACCCCATGAATTATCTGGGACATACTTATACTTTAAAAGTATTTCTTGTTTATCTTGAGAACTAAAAATAAAGTCCTTAGCACTCCCAACCACCGAACGGACCCACTGGTAACCATGCAGGCTCCGAAGAAACCTTAAAAACTGAGTTCCCAGCCATGACAGGACAGGAGATAGGATGCGCCTCGCTATACCCTCTCCCTTTTGCAGTTTAGACACAACAACTGGCCAGCATTCACGTTAAAATGGAGATCGTAAAGTCAGGGCGAGGTGGCTCACACCTGTAATCCTAGCACTTTGGGAGGCCAAAGTGGGTGGATCACTTGAAGTCAGAAGTTTAAGACCAGCCTGGGAAACATGATGAAACCCCATCTTTGCTAAAAAATACAAAAAATTAGCCAGGTGTGGTGGCGCCTGCCTGTAGTCCCAGCTACTTGGGAGGCTGAGGCATGAGGATCACTTGAACCCAGGAGGTAGAGGTTGCAGTAAGCCGAGATCGTGCCACTGTACTTCAGCCTGGGCCACAGAGCGAGGAAAAAAAAATAGTGATTGTAAGACTGATGAGACAGATAGTTTGTGACAATACGAAACCAAATTATAAACAAGACATAAGGCCATGCCAAGCTAGGGTTAAGTCACGCACCCCTACACTCATAGAATAAGTTATGGGTCAGGCATGTTGGCTCACATCTGTAATTCCAGTGCTTTGGGAGGCCGAGGTTGGACGATTGCTTGAGGCCAGGAGTCCAAGACCAGCCTGGGCAACATAGTGAGATCCCATCTCTATTTTTCAAATAAAATAAAATTTTAAAAATAAAAAAAAAATTTAAGAATAAACTAGGCCAAGCATGGTGGCTCACACCTGCAATCCCAGCACTTCGGGAGGCCAAAGTGGGTGGATCAGGAGTTCAAGACCAGCCTGGCCAACATGGTGAAACCCTGTCTCTACTAAAAATACAAAAAAAAAAAAAAAAAAAATTAGCTGGATGTGGTGGCATGCACACACCCACCTATGCGGGAGGCTACACGGGAGGCTGAGGCAGGAGAATCACTGGAACCCAGGAGGCAGAGGTTGCAGCGAGCCAAGATTGTGCAACTGCACTCCAGCCTGGGCAACAGAGAGAGAATTGGTCTCAAAAAAAAAAAAAAGAGAGAGAGAATAAACTATGTTCTATTTTCTTTTTCTCTAGCAGCTAAACAAACCCTAGCTTTGAAACAAGCGATAGTAAAACAGTTGCAGCTCATTTACCGTGAGACTCTGACTAACTGACCCCCTCCCAGCCCTGCTCCACAAGCCATAACTACGACTTTGACTGGACAAGAGACTCATTTCAGTAACGTTCTCCTGATAAGAGATCACCACTCATGGACTGGCTCTGGGTGGTTTACAGAGGCTACGCTTGAGTGCCTTCCTGTTCCTACTTCACCTTTTGATGTATAGGGCTTAATTGTAAGGCATTTAAATGTTATGTCCCCACCCCAAAGTGAACATGGGATGCATGTAACATGCATGTTTGTTCAGTATTCATGTGTCAGGCCCCCCTTTGTGAATATTCATGGCTCTTCCTATAACCTGCTGAATATGTATACTTTGACCAACCCATTCAGCAGAAATCCCTGTTCCATTCTCCCCTCTCCCCAAGTGCTTAAGGGGCCTCTGCTGGAGGCTGTGCTTCTCAGCATGCAGAATGGCCAACCTGCAGGCTGCAACCCTTTACAAGAAATAAAGTCTTGCCAAATTTATAAATGGTGTGATTTTTTCAGTTAACAATCTGGAATTCAGCTTTAACTGGGCATCTTATGTTTTATTTGCTAAATCTAACAACCCTGGGAGGGGTAACTCTTCTAAGAAAAGCAAATGACCAATTAACCACACTGAAAATCAAATAAATGCAAATAAAAATAGTGAAAAGACACTTTTACTTATCAACTAGGGGAAGACTAAAAACTGGGCTGGGCACGGTGGCTCACGCTGGTAATCCCAGCATTTTGGGAGGCCAAAGTGGAAGGATCACTTGAGCCCAGGAGTTCCATGAGACCAGCCTGGGTAACATAGGGAGACCCTGTCTCTACAAAAAACCCAAACATTAGCCGGGCATGGTGGTGCACACCTGTAGTCCCAGCTACTTGGGAGGCTAAGGTAGGAGGATGGCTTGGGCCCAGGAGGTCAAGGCTGCAGTGAGGCATGATCACACCACTGCACTACAGCCTGGGTGAGAGAGCGAGACCCTGTATCAAAAACTAAATAAATAAAAATTAATAAATTTTTAAAAATGGCCAAATCCAGTATTGGTAAAGGGGTGGGGAAATAGGCATGCCCCCTCTAGCTAGGACCACCACTCATTTTCCTCAACATTTCTGACCCTGTAGAGACCTAACCCTCAATATTTGTGTCCTCACCTCATTCACTCCTCAACCCATCATAGTCTGGCTTCTGCCACCCTCGCACTATTAAACAGCTCTTCCTCATCTCCAAACCCACGGGGATATCTCTCCTCTTGGTCTTACGCAATGTCTTTGATCCTGTTCCCCCCCTTCTTCGTCATGATCACCCTCTTCCGTAGCATCCATGGCCCCCACCCCTCTCATCTCCGATTACTTTTCCCATCACTACTTCCCAGTCTTTTTTCTCTGTCCACCTGTTCAGTACAGGCGTTCCTCTCTCTTCTCTATTAAGTCCTCTTCCTTGCACAGTCTCCATGGGAATTCTCATACCACAGATCAAGGACTTGGCCTCCCACTGACATCTGCCTTCAGAGCACCAAGCCTACAAATCCAACTGTTTACTAGACTCTGGTGCTCCACAGAGCATCTCAAACTCAAATGACCAAAATGACAAACATCATCTTCACCACTAATCTTCATCTCAGAAAAGGCCGCTGCTGTCAAATGAACTGTTCAAACCAGAAACCTGGGTGTCATTCTGAACTGCCCTCTCTCCTTCTCCACCCACAACCAAACCATCACCAAAATCACCATCTATTTTGCTTTCAAACTTCTCTCACATCCCTCTTCTTATTGTCAATTCTACTGCCACTGCATCACCCAAACCAGCTTCAACTGCTCCGTCTCCCTCACCCCCTACAACTCAAAAGAAAACAGGTGCAAGGTGAGAACAAGAAATTTGCAATGGCCGGGTGCGGTGGCTGACGCCTGTAATCCCAGCACTTTGGGAGACTGAGGTGGGCAGATGACTTGAGGTCAGGAGTTCAAGACCAGCCTGGCCAATATGGTGAAATCCCATCTCTACTAAAAATACAAAAAATTAGCCAGGTATGGTGGTGGGTGCCTGTAATCCCAGCTACTCGGGAGGCTGAGGCAGGAGAATCGCTTGAACCCAGGAGGCGGAGGTTGCAGTGAGCTGAGATTGTGCCATTGCACTCCAGCCTAGGCAACAAGAGTGAAACTCTGTCTCAAAAAAAAAATTGTCAAAAGAAATCCAAATGACCAAAAAACATGAAAGAGTAATCAACTCTGTTAGGAATTAAAGAGACACCCAACTTTAAAGTGAATGAGAAAAAAAAAATACTGCCTTTGCCTAAACAATTAGCAAAGATAAAGAAAATGACCATCCATGGTAGTAATGAAGTTCTGGAGCAATGGGATATTCTCACACTGGAATTAACCCATTTGAAGGCATTTTTTAATTCAAAATTTAATTTCAAAATTCTGAATGAGCAGAAACTGCAACCCAGAAATTCCTCTTCAAGGAATTTATCCTAAGATGACTGGGCACAGCACTGAGCACTTACTCTGGGTATTTTCTCATTTAATCTTCACAGCAATCAGCCCGGTAAGGCTGGGAATATTGAGCCCATTATACAGAAGAGCAAACTGAGAGTTAAACAAATAACTCCCAGGATGCTTGTAAGTATCAGGGCTCAAACCACAAGCTTAAAAGCCCCCACTCTGCTGTCTCCTTGGCATAAATGTCTTGTCCTGTGGAGGAAGCAGACTCAGGAGAAATATCTTCTGGGTGCTTCCTGCCTGGGTGCGTCCTAGGGAGGCAGTAACGCAGCAAGTAAGAGAAGGGACATTTATGGAACCACAAGGGCAGCCCTAGAGGCTATGAAGAGGCTTGGAGGCAGCCATCTGGCCATGGGGTGGATTCCCAGGGAACTTGTTTTGATGTTGTACTTACATAGAAAATACGTGTTTTTACTTAACTGGCTTAGGGGAGTGGACGGACATTATAGAGAAATTGGCCCCAGGGGGAATATTTACACCACGGAAATTAGTGAATGCTACAAATCAGAGTGTATCAGTTAGGAACTGATTCAAGCACACATAAGCCAGCCAACAGTGTCTCATGTGAGTAGAAAGATTTTATTTTGTCTCCAGCACCCATATGGCTGGTAGCTGCTTCTGTCTTCTTGCTCTGCTGTTCTGTGGCTCTGGCATCACAGCCAAGTAAAAAAGAGGAAACCACGGATATGGAAAATATGATGAGCAGAGTCTGCCACAGGAGGATAGAGTCCCCAGGCCACCCTTGCTACCACCACTGTGGTGCCTTGGTTCAAGAATAAAATAATGCCCAAGTGTGGTGGCTCACACCTGTAATCCCAGTGCTTTGGGAGGGCAAGGCAGAAGGATCGCTTGAGGCCAGAAATTCAAGACTAGCATGGGCAGTGTAGCTAGACTCCATGTCTACAAAATAAAATAAAAAAAAAATAGGTGGGGCTGGGTGTGGTGGCTCATGCCTGTAATCCCAACACTTTGGAAGGCCGAGGTGGGCAAATCGCTTGATCCCAGGAGTTCAAGACCGGCCTGGGCAACATGGTGAAACCCCATTTCTACCAAAATTACAAAAATTAGCCTGGCATGGTGGCACATACCTGTAATTCCAGCTACTCAGGAGGCTGAGGTAGGAGGTTCGCTTGAACCTAGGAGGTGGAGGTTGCAGTGAGCTGAGATGGTGCCACTGCACTCCAGCCTGGATGAGACTGTATCTCAAAGAAAAAAAAGAAAAAATAGGCAGACATGGTGGTTTATGCCTGTAATCCTAGCTACTCAGGAAGCCGAGTCGGGAGGATCACTTGAGCCCAGGAGTTCAAGGTCACAGTGAGCTATGATTGTGCCACTCAACTCCAGCCTGAACAACAGAGTGAGACCCTGTCTCTAAAAACAATAAAATAGAAAATAAAATGACATAAAATAGATTCTAAGAGCTCTGAAAGCCAGATGGTGAGAGAAGCAGCTGAGGGAAGTTTTGGAGGCACCCTGTAGCTTCGAAGCTCCGTTCTGTTTCTGTATGTACCAGACGGGCAGCCCCTGCCTTCACCTCTGTCTCCCTGAGTGTATATGATAGACTGGCCTTGGCAGGGACATTGGCCTTCTCAGGCTGGGCAGTGGTGACTGGGGCTTCAAGAGCCTTCCCCATGGGGCCTCAGCTAGAGAGTTGATGCCGTCTGGTGACTGTAGTTTACTAACTAGTTTGGGGACCCTTGTATTGGTAAACTGGCTCAAAATTTTTCTTTAATTTAAGAAAACCACCCTGACTTGTAGCATTCATTAATTTCCATGGTATAAATATTCCCACCAGGGCCAATTTCAAGCTACCACCAAATAACAAGCAGCTCACAGGATTCCTGAAGATGTAACAATTGGCTCTAGGGCGCCTGTGCATGCTGACTCCAGCACGCCACTCCGGTGAGCCCTACTTTGGGAACTCCCAGAGATAACTGGGGATCCCTCTGAGGAGAGACTGAGGATTTGTCATCACATGAATGGGGTGTTGAGGTAATCAGGGAATTAAGCCCAACTTTGTAATAAGAAGCTGATAAAGTTAGGTACCCAAGCTATATGTGCACTAAAATGTTTTAATATGCATTCTTATTGTAAATAGACACAATGCTATTTATCCATTCAATAGGCATTTATTGAGAATCTCTTCTGTGCCAGGAACTGTTCTAGACACTAAGGATGATTAAAGTGAATAAGATAAAGTTTTGTCCTTTTGGAGTTTACAATCTAGAACATATGAAATGAGGTCAGAAAGTTACAATTATTACGAAGAAAATTAAAGCAGAGAAGGGGATAGAGAGGGCCAGGACTGCTGAGTGCAGTGGCTCACACCTGTAATCCCAACACTTTGGGAGGCCGAGGCAGGTGGATCACTTGAGGTCAGGAGTTTGATACCAGCCTGGCCTACATGGGGAAACTCCGTCTCTACTAAAAATACAAAAATTAACCAGGCATGGTGGCATGCGCCTGTAATCTCAGCTACTTGGGAGGCTAAGACAGGAGAATCACTTGAACCCGGGAGGCAGAGGAGGTTGCAGTGAGCCAAGATCGTGCCACTGCACTCCAGCCTGGGCAACAGAGCAAGACTCCATCTCAAAAAAAAAATTTAGCCAGACACAGTGGCGTACGCCTGTAATCCCAGCTACTCGGGAGGCTAAGGCAGGAGAATCGCTTGAACACAGGAGGTGGAGGAGGTTGCAGTGAGCCAAGATCGTGCCACTGCATTCCAGCCTGGGCAATAGAGCGAGACTCCATCTCAAAAAAAAAAAAAAAGAGAGAGTGCTAGGACTACCAGTTTAGAAAGGATGGTCTGGGAAGCTCTTCCTGATGAATTGACATCTGAGCAGAGAGGAAAATGAAGTGAGGGAGGGAGTCAGACCGCAATGCAAGGGCACATTCCAGGCAGAAGGGAGAGCAGGAGGAAAGGCCCTGAGATGGATGTAAAGTGGACATGAGTGAGAACAATGAGGTTCCAGTGTGGCTGAAGCTCAGTGAACCAGGGAGAGCAACAGCATGAAATCAAGTTAGAGAGGTAGCTAGGAGCCAACCATGTACACTAAGGATGGAGTTTGTATCTTATTCTTTTTTTGTTTTGATTTGTTTTGAGACGGAGTCTTGCTCTGTCTCCCACGCTGGAGTGCAGTGGTGTGATCTCAGCTCACTGCAACCTCTGTCTCCCAGGTTCAAGCCATTCTTGTGCCTCAGCCTCCCGAGTAGCTGGGATTACAGGCCTGTGCCACCATGCCCAGCTGGTTTTTGTATTTTTAGTAGAGACGGGGTTTCACCATGTTGGCCAGGCTGATCTCGAGCTCCTGACCTCAAATGATCCACCTGCCTCGGCCTCCCAAAGTGCTGGGATTACAGGCGTGAGCCACCGCACCCAGCCAAGTTTGTATCTTATTCTAAATGTGATGCAAAGACACTGGAGGGTTTGAGCAGGGAAATAACAATATCTCCTGTGTGAGGCAGGCGAATCACAAAGTCAGGATTTGAGCCCAACCTGGCCAACATGGTGAAACCCCGTCTCTACTAAAAAAAAAAAACAATTCAAAAAATTAGCCGGGCATGGTGGCAGGCACCTGTAATCCCAGCTACTCAGGAAGCTGAGGCAGGAGAATCGCTTGAACCCAGGAGGCAGAGGTTGCAGTGACCTGAGATCACGCTACTGCACTCCAGCCCAGGTGACAGAGTGAGACTCCATGTCAAAATAAATAAGTAAGTAAATAAATAAATAAATAAATAAGTGTTATCAAAAATAGAATGTGGGCCAGGGGCGGTGGCTCACACCTATCATCCCAGCACTTTGGGAGGGTGAGGCAGGCAGATCACTTGAGTGTAAGAGTTCGAGACTAGCCTGGGAAACATAGTGAGACATCTTCTCTACAAAAAATAATCAAAAATTAGCCAGGTGTGGTGGTGCATGCCTATACTCCCAGCTACTCAGGAGGCTGAGGGATGGGAGGATAGCTTAAGCCCGGAGGGGTCAAAGCTGCAGTGACCCGTGATCGCAGCCATTGTACTCCTGTCTGGGGACTAAGTGAGATATTATCTCAAAAAAAAAAAAAAAGAATGTGGGTGGGAGAGGAAGCAGAGAAAACAATAGGGCCTATTGCTACAGTTTGGGTGAGAAATGGTGGTGATGGTGGTTTGAGCTAAGGCTGTTGAAGTGGGGGAAGTAAGAAGTGGCTGGATTGAACTAGATTAGACAAGATTTAACAAAGAACCGGATATGAGATAAAAGGAAAAGAAAACGAATCTTGGATAACTCCAATACTTTTGCACTCTCCACTCAAAATTTTGGGATTGCTAGGGAAGGGCAGGTTTGGGTGAGAAGAACTAAGAGTTCAGTGGAAAGATCATATGTCTTTATTTTGCCTTCATTCCTGAAGGATATTTTTGCTGGGTGTAGAATTCTGGGTTGACATTTGTTTTCTTTCTGTGTATTAGACATTTGGAAGAAAAACAACCATAAAGGAGACATTTTCAGACAAATAAAAACTGAAACAGTTTGCCATCAACAGATCTAAATATACCAAAGACATTCTAAATATTTTATTTCTAGCAGATAGAAAATGATCTTGGGTGGGGGTGGTGGCTCACATCTGTAATCCCAGCAATTTGGGAGGCTGAGGCAGGCAGATTTCTTGAGCCCAGGAGTTCAAGACCGGCCTGGGCAACATGGGGAAACCCCATCCCTACAAAAAACACAAAAATCGGCTGGGCACGGTGGCTCATGCCTGTAATCCCAGCACTTTGGGAGGCCGAGGTCGGTGGATCATGAGGTCAAGAGCTTGAGACCATCCTGGCCAACATGGTGAAACCCCTTCTCTACTAAAAATACAAAAAAATCAGCCAGGCATGGTGGCATGTGCCTGTAGTCCCAGCTACTCAGGAGGCTGAGGCAGGAGAATCACTTCAACCTGGGAGGCAGAGATTGCAGTGAGCCGAGATCGTGCCACTGCACTCCAGCCTGAGCAACACAGCTAGACACCATCTCAAAAAAAAAAAAATCAGCCAGGAGTGATGGCATGTGCCTGTAGTCCCAGCTAGTCGGGATGCCAAGGTGAGAGGATCACTTGAGCCTGGGAGGTCGAGGCTGCAGTGAGCCATGACTGTGCCACTACACTCCAGCCTGGGTGACCGAGCAAGATCCTGTTTAAAAAAAAAAAAGAAAGAAAGAAAAAAAAACTGAAGTAAGAGGTTTATTTTATTTTATTTTATTTTATTTTTGAAATGGAGTTTTGTTCTTGTTGCCCAGGCTGGAGTGCAATGACGAGATCTCAGCTCACTGCAACTTCCACTCCCAGGTTCAAGTGATTCTCTTGCCTCAACCTCCCAAGTAGCTGGGATTACAGGCATGCACCACCACGCATGGCTAATTTTGTACTTTAGTAGAGACAGGGTTTCACTATGTTGGTCAGGATGGTCTCGAACTCCTGACCTCAGGTGATCCAACTACCTTGGCCACCCAAGTGCTAGGATTACAGGCATAAACCACTGCTCTCAGCCCTCAAGTAGGAGGTTTAAATGAACACTAATGTATATAAAATAATAATAATAGACTACATGTTTTAAAACAAATATTTCAGTCAAAAGGCAAAGATTACCAGACTGAATAATAAAAATCTAATTATATATTGTGCGTAAGAAACACACCTAAAGCACAGATATACAAAAAAGTTGAAAATTGGACTGCGCATGGTGGCTCACACCTGTATTCCCAGTACTTTGGGAGGCTGAGGCAGGCCGATCACTTGAGCCTAGGAGTCCAAGACCAACCTAGGCAACGTCATCTCTAGTGAGACCTCATCTCTACAAAATATAGAAAAAAAATAGCCAGACATGGTGGCACACGCATGCAGTCCCAGGTACTCAGGAGGCTGAGGGGAAGATTGCTTGACCCCAGGAGGCTGAGGCCATAGTGAGCCAAGATTGTGCCACTGCACCCCAGCCAGGGTGACAGAGCTAGACTTTTCTCAATTTTTAAAAAGAAAAGAAAAACAAAGTAAAGTTGAAAATGGAAAGATAGAAAAAGTATATTATGCAAAACTGTCTTGGGCTGCTATAACAGAATATCTAAGACTGGATAATTTATAATGTATAGAAATTTGTTTTCACAGCTCTGAAGACTGGGAAGTCCAAAATCAGAGTGCTAGCATCTGGCAAGGGTCTTCTTGCTGCATAATAACATGGTGAAAGGCAGACAGCAAAGGAGTGAAAGAGAGCGAGAGAGAGACAGCGAGAGACAGAAAGAGAGAGAGAGCACGTGCACCAGAGGGGGCTAACCCACTCCCAGCATTAATCCATTCATGAGGGTTGAGCATTTATGACCTAAACATTTCTTAAAGGTCCCACCTCTCAATACTGTCAAAATGGCAATTAAATTTCAACATGAATTTTGAAGGGGACAAACATCCCAGTCATAGCAAATACTAAACAACAGAAATCTGTTGAAATTAAATAAAGTTGAAATGAGGTTACAGAAGAAAATAGACTTTAAAGCCAAAATCATTTCATAATGGGAGAGGTCATTTCATAATGATAAAAATTTAATTAGCCAGAAAAATATAACAATTCTAAATTGGCATGTACCTAATAACATGCTTTTTATTTTATTATTATTATTATTTGAGGCAGAGTTTCACTCTTGTTGCCCAGGCTGGAGTGCAATGGCACGATGTCGGCTATGCAGTCGGATATAGACTGCAACCTATGTCTACTGGGTTCAAGCGATTCTCCTGCCTCGGCCTCCAGAGTAGCTGAGATTACAGCCGCCTGCCACCACACTCGGCTAATTTTTTTGTATTTTTAGTAGAGACAGGGTTTCACCATGTTGCCCAGGCTAGTCTCGAATGCCTGACCTCAGGTGATCCACCCACCTCAGCCTCCCAAATTATTGGGATTACAGGCTTGAACCTCCGCACCCAGCTACAACATGCTTTTTAAAAGATATAAAGTAAAAAATTAAAAATGGCAGAATGACAAAGAGAAACAGATAAATCCATAAATCCATAATCGTAGCAGGAAATGTTAACATATCTCTCTCCATTAGTTGCTAAAACAAGTAGACAAAAACAATCAGTAAGAACACAGAGGATTTAATGATTAACTAGCCTGACCTAGTAGACGTCTATAGAACACAGTATGCAACCACTGCAGAATCCATGTTGCTTCAGCACTCATGAAGTATTTCTAGAAATCAAATACATCCTGTATCCTTGGCCATTAAGCAAATCTGAACAAATGTCAAAGTATTAAAATGATATAGAATATGTTTTCAGACCACAATGCATATATGCTATAAATTAATAAAGAAAAGGTAATCATAAAATCCCCATGTATTTGGAAATTAAGATGTTTCTAAATAATCCATGTTATTCATTGACTACATAAAATCAAAATAATAATATCTCTTGGGGGTTAAAAAAAAGAAAAAACACACAGCGACAATAGTATATAAGCTGGAGACTGGTTAATGAAGTTAAAGTGTTTTGGGGTTGTTGCATAGTTCAGGGAAAAAAAAGGCATTGATTAATTTTAGACTTTGATAAGTCAGGAAGCAAGTTGAAATTACTAGGGTAACTACTACAAGAATAGAAACAGAAAAGAGATCTTTCGAACTAGAGGAAAAAGAGAACAAGACAAAATAACAGACCTCTCTCATAATTGATGGAAGCAGCAGACAGAAATCTAAGCAGGGATTTATAAGATTTGAATATATGTAGACTTCCACATAGATGTTAAAAAGGCCACTTCCAGCTATAGCTGGGACTGGCTGAGACTGGCTTAGTGTGCTAAGGTTTAGTTCACTAGTGGAATCTGGGCCCCAGGAGCATTGGTCCCAGGGTGGAGACCCCACCATATCCCTCAATCCTCATCACTTCAGTCTGTTTCACTGAACTTTCATCTTCCAGTTTCTGTATCTCATTACCTGGAGGCAATTTTTTTGGCTTTTTTTTTTTTTTTTTTTTTTTTTTTTTGAGACAGAGTCTCATTCTGTTGCCCAGGCTGGAGTGCAATGGCACGATCTCGGCTCACTGCAACCTCTGCCTCCCGGGTTCAACCGATTCTTGTGCCTCAGCCTTCCCAGTATCTGGGATTACAGGCGCCCGCCACCATGCCTGGCTAATTTTTTGTATTTTTAGCAGAGGCAGGCTTTCACCATGTTGCCCAGGCTGGTCTCAAACTCCTGAGCTCAAGCAATCCGCCTACCTCAGCCTCCCAAAGTGCTAGGATTATAGGCATGAGCCGCTGCACCCGGCCAAAGCTTTTTTCATTTTACTTTATATTTTATTTTTATATATTTTTTTGAGACAGAGACTCTTGCTCTGTTGCACAGGCGAAAGTGCAGTGGCATGATCTCTGCTCACTACAGCCTCGACCTCTTGGGCCCCCGTGATCCTCCCACCTCAGCCCCCCACATAGCTGGGACTATAGGCATGATGAATGATGAGCCACCATGCGCAGCTAATTTTTATGTGTATATGTGTGTGTGTGTGTGTGTGTGTGTGTGTGTGTATTTATATCTATATAGATAGATAGATTTTTTTTTAGTAGAGATGCAGTTTTGCCATGTTGCCCAGGCTAGCCTTGAACTCCTAGACTCAAGCGATCCATCCATCTTAGCCTCCCAAAGTGTTGAGATTACAGGTGTGAGCCACCGCTCCCAGCAGGCTTTTTTCAGAGCTACAAAAGACCTCTCTACCTGGAGAATGAATGGCAGGATAGGTGTATAAATACCCCAGCTCCCTCACCCATCTGGGAAGAGGACCCTGAGACTTTCTTCGGCTTCCCCATGGACTTTAGCTCTAGCTGCCCAAAGTGGTCTCTGGTGTGATAATACGCCCTTTACTGGGAGCCTTCCCTTTCTTGTACACTTCTCAGTCCTCTACTGGTGTTTCCTGTACTTCCTGAATTACTGTGCACTGAAGTCCATGTCTCAGGGTCTGCTTCTGGGGGAAGCAGACTTTTGTTGACATGTCTCCTGTGCCACTTCCCAGGACCTGTATTAAAGAGAGGCAGTTCCCCAAGTGTCTATTAGACACAAGAGCCACCCCTGAGTGGCTGCTGCTCCAAGGGCTGTGTGCTTATGAAGGCCACGGTCCTGGGCCATGGGAGAATCTTCTCTGTTTTGCAGAGAAGCACAAGACTCGGCGTTGGGCTGGCCAGCATCTAGGCCTCAGCTGGCAAGAAAGTCTGTAGGACCCGGTATGTGTCTCTTGGGGCTGAGAAGACGGCAGGCAAACCAGCAGCTCAAGACCATGTGGCCTCAGGCTGGGGTAACCCAGATCAAAGCTCCTCTGACCAGTCTCCAGGGAAGACTTTGTATCTTTGTTGCCAAGTACACAAACTTTCTTAAGGGGAAATGAGTCCGGGACTTTTTGGCTCCATTTAGGTTTCAAAAGAGCTAGATAGGGGACCTTCCAGGCCCCTTGGCCACCAATCCTTCCCATTCTGTGGCTGCAGCAGCACAAAGGGAATTTAGCAAACCTTATTTCAATAGTTGGAACCCAGCACAATTTGGAGGAAAGAGGATGGATTTTAGAACCAGGAAGAGCTCCATTCAAATCCCAACGTTGCCACTTGCTAGCTGGATAATGTTGACAAGTGACTCAGCCTCTCCAAACTGCACTTTCCTCACCTGTAAACCAGGTATAATAAGTGTATTACCTTATAGGATCACTGTGGGGATTAAATTAAATAATGCTTGTAAAAAACTTAGTACAGTATCTGGTACATAGGAAATAATAAATGGTACCATTGTTACCATGTTTGCCACAGCTTGATTATAATAACAAAAAATTGAAACAACTTAAATTCTATCGATAGGCAATTGGTTAAATAAAAGTGTTGGCTGGGCATTCTGGCTCACACCTATAATCTCAGCACTTTGAGAGGCCAAGGCAGGTGGATCATTTGAGGTCAGGAGTTCAAGACCAGCCTGGCCAACGTGGTGAAGCCCCGTATTTCTCTACTAAAAATACAAAAATTAACCAGGCATGGTGCCACATGCCTGTAGTCCCAGATACTCAGGAGGCTGAGACAGGAGAATCACTTAAGTCAGGGAGGCAGAGGTTGCAGTGAGCAATGATCACTCCAGCCTGGACGACAGAGCCAGACTCTGTCTCAAAAAAAAAAAAAAAAAAGGTGTTACATCCCTATATGCAGTAGGATGCTGTGCAGCCATTAAAAATTATAATGCGGGTTTATACCTGTTGATGTGGACAACTGTTCATGTATTTATTATTTAGTAGGAAAAAGCAGGTTACATATCAATATATACAGTGTGGACTTATTTTATGTTTAAATGCAAGTTTGGGCTGGGCACGGTGGCTCACGGCTGTAATCCCAGCACTTTGGGTGGCCGAGGCAGGTGGACCACCTGAGGTCAGGGGTTCAAGACAAGCCTGGCCAGCATGGCGAAACCCTGTCTCTACTAAAACTACAAAAATTAGCCAGGTGTGGTGGCACACACCTATAGTCCCAGCTACTCATGAGGCTGAGGTGGGAGGATCGCCTCCTCCCACCGGGAGTTGGAAGTTGCAGTGAACCGAGATCTCGCCACTGCACCCCAGCCTGGGCAACAGAGCGAGACTCCCTCTCAAAAAAGCAATAATAATAAATGCAAGTTTGTATATGTGTATATTGATGTATGTATAATTATAGGTATAAATGCCTAGAAAAATATTTGGAATAAGATATACCAAACCATTAATGGTGCTTATCACTGCAGGGTGGTACATGGGTAGATTTTTTTTATTTCTGCTTATCTGCATTATAACTTTTTAAAATAATGACCATGTGTGACATGTGTAATAAAAATAATAATAAAACATACGCTGGGTGCAGTGGCTCATGCCTGTAATCCCAGCACTTTGGGAGGCCAAGGCGGATAGATCACGAGGTCAGGAGTTTGAGACCAGCCTGACCAACATGATGAAATCCCGTCTCTACTAAAAATACAAAAATTAGCTGGGCACCTGTAATCCCAGTTACTCAGGAGGCTGAGGCAGAAGAATTGCTTGAACCCAGGAGGTAGAGGTTGCAGTGAGCTGAGACCCAACCACCGCACTCCAGCCTGGGCTACAGAGTGAGACTCCGTCTCAAAAAAAAAAAAAAACATGAAAATGTGTGGTCGAGAGCAAGATAGAGCTCCAGAAGAGATCTGCCCAACACAACACCAGCTGTGTGGCACACCTCTAACCCCAGGCAAATTACTAAAAACCTCTCAGCCTCAGTTTTCCTCTGTGTAAATTGGGTCATTGTAGATTAACTGAGATAATGCACATCAAATCCTCAGCTTGGTGCCCAGCACACAGTGAGCCACTGATCTTCAACAAGGCATTTGACCCAGGACTCCCAAGTCCAAGTTCATTACTATTCTCAGCCCATGGAACTGCCTCCAGCTAAAGATAAGGGCTGTTTCCTCAGTCACAGTGCTCCCTGCCATGTGGTGGAGACCTTATGTCTCTTCAAAGGTAATGACTGGCAAGACTGTTGTCGAGAGAGAGGGGAGAAAGAGAGAGAGAGAGACAGTGGCAGGGAGAGAGGAGAGGGAAAGACAACTGTTAGGCAGAGGTGGAGAGAGTCCATATTCTTCTGAACTGTTTGAAAAAAAAAACAGACTTGTTCATGAATTTCTTTTCGGGTTTAAAGATATGGGAATAAAATTCTTTTTAACACTTTGAATTAACAAACTATTGAGTTACTCCTTCAGCAGGAAGCTCTTTTCCTTCTGCAGAGCAAGTTCATTTCACGAAGTATAGTCTGAGGACCATCTGTATTAGGATCCTGGGCCCCACTCCGCCACCTCCTGCTCCAGTGAATTAGACTTTCTGGGGCAGCAGAAGAGTGGGGAGCCTGCGTAGCCTCACTTTAATTAGCTCCCCAGGTAATTCTTAAGGACATCAAAGTTTAAGAACTACAACTTTATGAATGCATTGGCATATCAAGCACTTAGAAATGCTATCTTCCCTGCAGTCTATGAGATTATATCACAGTTCAGTAAGTCAAGTGAATCCACCTGTGACTTTGCCATTATTTACCGTGCAAACTAAAATTATTCACCCCCGTAATCTCATGATCCTACTAATATCACTGGTCAAATGCTGCCTCAACTGGTTAAGAAATTATAATGCAATACTGTGTAAATATAGAACAAGAATGAGGAGGCTTTTTCCATTGTACTGTGGACTAAGCTCTGAGCTATGTAAAGTGAAAAAAAATCAGTGTTCAACAACGTGTTTGGTCTGCAAGCACTTGTGTAAAAAGAACGCCCCCCCACACACATATAAGATATACACATATATATTTGTATATGCAAATCTTTGTATATGCAAATATCTGGAAGACTATTTAAAGAACTGGGGGTGGGGAGGAGTTGTGGTTACCTCTGAGGACAAGGGGTGGCTGAGGACATGAGAAAGATTTTTCACAGTACTGTACACCCACCCTTGCTTTTGAATTTTGAACCATCTGAATACATTCCTTTTTCAAAAATAAATTAAACTCAAATGTAAAAATATGTTGCCTGGGTGTGCTATCTTTGAGCTGCTCTGAATGCAGGAGCCTCCCTCTTAACTCATCCCCGTGGCTCTCTGATACTCAGACTGTCTCTTCATCTAAGGCGCCCCTTCTACGAGTCAATCACTGACCTTGTCCATCCACAGACATATTTTGATCGGACTATTAAGCCAGACAACTCCTCTTGCACTTAACATTCCAGTCCAGAGGCAGCGAGAGCACACTTGCAAAAGATTCCATGATTTTAGACTTTGGCAAGAAGCAAGAGGTCAGTGTGCTTATGTAAGTCAACATTGCTTCTCAAAGGCGACGTGCTCAGGAAGGTAACGTGCATTCTCAGCCTAGCTCAGTCCACAGCAGCAACAGCAAGACTTGCACAGGACGAGAGGCAGCTTGGAGGGAGACAAGAGGGAGAGAGCTGAGTCTCCATCCTGCTGAGGGAACTGGACAGTCCCAAATTGATTGGCTTAAGTAAAAAGGAGAAATCTGTGATTAAGAATAGCATAAGGGTAGCCCAGGCGCGGTGGCTCACGCCTGTAATCCCAGCACTTTTGGAGGCCGAGGCAGGCAGATCACGAAATCAGGAGTTCAAGACCAGCCTGACCAACACGGTGAAACCCCGTCTCTACTAAAAATACAAAAATTAGTTGGGCATGGTGGCGCATGCCTATAATCCCAGCTACTCAGGAGGCTGAGGCAGGAGAATCGCTTGAACCCGGGAGGCAGAGGTTGCAGTGAGCCAAGATCACGCCACTGCATTCCAGCCTGGGCGACAGATCGAGACTCTGTCTCAAAAGAAAACAAAAAAGAATAAACTAAAGGTAACATAGGGTCCAGCCATTCCACTCCTAGATTTTTACACAAGAGAAAAAGAAATACCTATGTCCATACAAAGACTTGCACACACGTGTTCATAGCAGCTTTATCTGTAAAAACCCCAATCTGGGAACAGTCCAAATGCCCACCAATAGATAAGTGGATAAACAAATTATGGCATACCATACAATGGAAGAATCCTCAACAATAGAAACGAATAAACTATTGTTACATGTAACAACATGGATGATTCTAAAAATAATGATGCTGAGTGAAAAAAGCCAAAGAAGAGTGCATACTGTATGACTCCGTTTATAGAAAACCCTAGAAAATGTATGGCTGGGCGTGGTGGCTCATGCCTGTAATCCCAGCACTTTGGGAGGCTGAGGCAGGCGGATCACGAGGTCAGGAGATCGAGACCATCCTGGCTAACACGGTGAAACCCCGTCTCTACTAAAAATACAAAAAAATTAGCCGGGCGTGGTGGCGGGCACCTGTAGTCCCAGCTACTTGGGAGGCTGAGGCAGGAGAATGGCGTGAACCCAGGAGGTGGAGCTTGCAGTGAGCCAAGATCGTGCCACTGCACTTCAGCCTGGGCAACAGAGTGAGACTCCATCTCAAAAAAAAAAAAAGAAAAGAAAACCCTAGAAAATATAAGCTAACCTATAGTAACAGAAAACACATTCGTGGGTGCTCGAGATGGGGGCGCAAATAGGGCTGGGAGGGAAAGATTACAAAGGGGCAGGAGGAAACTCTTGGAGATGATGGATATGTTCATAATCTTAGTTGTGGTGGCGGTTTCACGGTGTAGTCACATGCCAAAACTCATCAAATTACACACTTTGAATATATGCAGTTTGTTGCATGTCAATTATACCACAATAAAGCTGTTTTTTGTTTGTTTGTTTTTAATCTTGGGTTATCCCATAGAACTCAAGAAATAGGTTATGCTTCCTGGATTGAAGGAAATGTCCTGTCTCTTGGCTGTGGTGGTAGTTACACAACTACACATTTGTTAAAACTCTTCCAACTGTGTGCTTAAGATCAGTTTTTTGGGGTTTTGTTTTGTTTGTTTTTTTGAGATAGGGTCTTCCTCTGTCACCCATTCTGGAGTGCAAGTGGTGCAATCACAGCTCATTGCAGCCTCAACCTCTCGGGCTCAAGTGATCTTCCCACCTCAGCCTCCCCAGTAGGTGGGACTACAGGCACACGCCACCACACCTAGATAATGTTTGTATTTTTTGTAGAGATGGGATCTCTAATGTTGCCCAGGCTGGTCTCAAACTCCTGGGCTCAAGTGATCCTCCCACCTCAGCCTCCCAAAATGCTGAGATTACAGGCCGGATCCACCACAACCAGCCCACAGGGAAGGATTCTGATTGGCCCACTTGGGGTTAGGTATTAGGCCTTCATTCATGTGTTCCAAAGATACTGAGCAGCACTGGCCAGCATCCTGTTGGGCCCTGGAACACTGTGGAGAGTGAGATAAATGAAGTCTCTGCCCCAGAGTGGCTTAGTCTGCTCCCACTTCAAATCAAGATAAGTACTTTCAACAACAAAAAACAGAGTTAGGGGACAGAAAGCAACTTTGGGAAGGCAGTGATCCAGATGAGGTGGTCAGGAATAGTCTCTAAGGTGACCTGGAACAGACAAAAGGGGCCCACTCAGCGAAGACCAGGCTGCAGGGAAGTGGGCTCCAGGCAGAAGGAGGAACAGGTATAAAGCCCCTGAGGCAGGAGCGGTGGCATGAGAGGCCAGGGTGGCTGAGCTCAGTGGGAAGGAGTTTGGGAGATGAGGCCGGATCCTACAGGGCTTTGCAGGGCAGGGAGAGGAATTTGCATTTTATTCCCAGTGTCTTGGGAAAACTCTGGAGAGCTGAGGCAGAATGGCTTGATGTAACTTTTTTTTTTTAGATGGAGTTCAGCTCTTGTTGCCCAGGCTGGAGTGCAATGGCGTGATCTCAGCTCATCACAACCTCTACCTCCCAGGTTCAAGTGATTCTCCTGCCTCAGCCTCCTGAGTAGCTGGGATTACAGGCACCTGCCACCATGCCCTGCTAATTTTGTATTTTTAGTAGAGACGGGGTTTCTCCATGTTGGTCAGGCTGGTCTCGAACTCCCGACCTCAGATGATCTGCCCGCCTCGGCCTCCCAAAGTGCTGGGATTACAGGCGTGAGCCACCGCGCCCGGCCATAAATTTTTTTTAAAGCTCCTCTGGCTGCCATGAGAATAGACTGTAGTGGGACAAGAGTGGAGCAGAGAACGAGGAGAAGCCTACTGTGGTCGGTCACATATTCGGAGGGATAGCCAACAGGACTTGCTAATGGATCAGGTGTTGGGAGGATGGAGGTGAGAGATAGGGAAGAAGAAGGCCCCCAAAAGAGAAATACATTGGATAAATGCAGCAGGGCAGGCAGAGTCTGGGTTACTAACAAGGCATCTTCCAGCTGATCACAAGGCTGAAGGTGGGCCTGGGGTGAACAAGCAGTCACTGTCATAGCTGCCGATTTTAAATTCCCTCTCTAGGCCGGGCATGGTGGCTCAGGCCTGTAATTCCAGAGCTTTGGGAGGCTAAGACAGGAGGATAGCTTGAGGTCAGGAGTTCAAGACCATTCTGGGCAACAGAACAAGATCCCCCCGCCACCAGTCTCTACAAAAACTGTTTAAAATTAGCCGGGCATGGTGGCACACACCTGTAATCCCAGCTGCTCCGGAGGCTGTGATGGGAGAATCGCTTAAGCCCAGGAGTTCAAGGTTGCAGTGAGCTCTGGTCACACCACTGCACTCCAGCCTGGGTGACAGAGTGAGCAGAAGTGGAGAGAGTATGTATTCTCCAGAACCTATCTCTGAAAAAAAAAAAAAATCCTCTCTGAATCTCTCAGGAAACTGGTCGGGAAAAGAAGAGGGTTGGAGTAGTCTCAGTGGTTCTCAGTGGGGGTGGAACCACTCACTACAGCATACTGACATTTAGAGGAGGGGACTAAGGATGCTAGACATCTGGAAACGTGGGAAATCCCACCCAATAAAGAATGGTCCCATGTCCCACTTCCAAATATCCCATTAAACATTTATGAAGATGAAAAGCCTGTACATGCAAGTATGGTTGTTTAAAAATACTTCCCATGGCTGGGAGTGGTGGCTCACGCCTGTAATCCCAGCACTTTGGGAGGCCAAGGCGGGTGGATCACCTGAGATCGGGAGTTCAAGACCAGCCTGGCCAACAAGGTGAAACCCCGTCTCTACTAAAAATACAAAAATTAGCCAGGTGTGGTGATGCCCACCTGTAATCCCAGCTACTCAGGTAGCTGAGGCAGGAGAATTGCTTGAACCTGGGAGGCAGAGGCTGCAGTGGGCCGAGATCACACCACTGCACTCCAGCCTAGGCAATAGAGCATGTCACCAATAACAACACTCATGGCTTTTGAGGTGCAATGTAGTCGAACCAATATGAATTTATAGCTGTGACATCTGGGGTGATTCTATGCATAGGTGCAAACATCTATTTCAGTGTCTTCCTAGGGTAATCGTGCCTAGATATTTACAAATTTAAAGTGCATTTATTATAAATTACTTTCCTTCTATTTCTCCTCTTTTGTACAGTTCAATTATAAGCCTAAGCATATTTTATATTTATATACATACACATACATTTAATCCTCAGACAATTCTATGAGGCAACACTGTCATTAGCTCCATTTTATAGATGAAGAAACTGAGGCACAGAGTGGTGCCAGAGCCCACAAGGCTGGTGAGCAGCTGAACAGGCATTTGAACCCAGGAAGTTTACTCCAAAACTCATATTGTCTAAAGCACTGTATCATATAGACTTCAGGTAGATTATTTTATCTATGTATTTTATTTCAGAATAGTAAGCTATTTACTAAATACTGGTCCGATAAAAATGAGATGCAATGGTCTCGAAGCTCTCTAGGCCTCTCCTACCTCTAAAATCCTTTTATTCTGGCTGTGTTCCTAAACACTCTTCTCATTCAAGTTAACCTGGAAGCAAGAGAACTTTCCTGAAGAGGCACCGTGTTATATCAAATTAGCGAGGCCATTTTGCTTTGTTTATTTATTTTATTTATTTTTTTGAGACAGTGTCTCACTCTGTCACCCAGGCTGGAGTACACTGGCGCGATCTCAGCTCACTACAACCTCTGCCTCCGGGGTTCAAGCGATTCTCTTCCTCAGCCTCCTGAGTAGCTGGGATTACAGGCATGCGCCACCACTCCCGGCTAATTTTGTACTCTTAGTAGAGACAGGGTTTCTCCATGTTGGTCAGGCTGGTCTCGAACTCCCGACCTTAGGTGACCCGCCCGCCTCGGCCTCCCAAAGTGCTGGGATTACAGGCGTGAGCCACCACGCCTGGCTGCTTTGTTTTTTAACCACGATACTCAAGTCTAGCAAAGATGCAATACAGGTTCTTAAACATTCCTGGAGGGAAGGCAACGAATGATCCCTTCTCAACATAAATTCAGCAACACGCCCCAAGAATTTATAAAATTCTCACATTCTTTGACTCTGGCTTCACTTCAGAACATCTTTCTTAAGGAAATATTTGTTATTGTGGTAGAATATACACAACATAAAATTTACCATTTTAACCATTTTAAAGTCTGTGATTCGGTGGCATTCAGTACATTCACAATAGTGTACAACCATTACCACTATCTAGTTCCAAAACATTTCATCACCCAAAAAGGAAACCCCATGTCCATTAAACAGCCACTCCCCATCCCGCCTCCCTCGGACTCTGGCAACCACTCATCTGCTTTCTGTCTCTATGAATTTGCCTATTCTAGATACTTCATATAAATGGAATCACACAATATGTGACCTTCTCTGTCTGCTTCTTTCACTTCAGCAAAATGTTTTCAAGGTTCACCCACATGGTAGCATGCATCAATACTTCATTCTTTTTTGTTTTTATTTCTTTTATTGACATAAAATTCACATAACATAAAATTAAATATTTTAAAGTGTACAAATCCATGACGTTTAGTACCTTCACAGTGCCCTGCAACTACCACCCTATTTCCAAAACATTTTCATAAGCCCAAAATAAAACCCCATATACATTAAGCAATTAATCCCCATTTTCCCCTCCCCTCATCCCCTAGCAACCACCAATCTACTTTTGTTCCCCTATAAAGTTAACTCTTCTGGATATTACTCATATAAACAGAATCACACGTTATGTGACTCTGTCCGGCTTCTTTCATTTAACATTAGGGTTTTGAGGCTCATCCACGTTCTGACATATATCAGGACTTCAGGACTGCACATCTTTTTATGGCTGAGTAATATTTCTTTTTTTTTTTTTTTTTTAGATGGAGCCTTGCTCTGTCACCCAGGTTGGAGGGCGGTGGCACAATCTTGGCTCACTGCAACCTCTGTCTCCCAGGTTCAAGTGATTCATTCTCCTGCCTCAGCCTCCCGAGTAGCTGGGATTACAGGCACCCGCCACCGTGCCTGGCCAATTTTTGTATTTTTAGTAGAGACGGGGTTTCACCATGTTAGCCAGACTGGTCTCAAACTCCTGACCTCAAGTGATCCACCCACCTCGGCCTCCCAAAGTGTTGGGATTATAGGCGTGAGCCACCGCGCCCAGTCTGGCTGAGTAATATTTCATTGTATAGAGATACCACATTTTCTTTGTCCATCCATGGGTGGTCATTTCCACTTTTGGATTATTGTGAATAATGTTGCTATGAACATTTGTGTACAGTTTTTATTTGAACACTTGTTTTCTTTTTGTTTTTCTTTTTTTTTTTTTTTTTTTTGAGACGGAGTTTTGCTCTTGTTGGCCAGGCTGGAGTGCAATGGTGTGATCTCGGTTCACCGCAACCTCCGCCTCCCGGGTTCAAGCGATTCTCTTGCCTCAGCCTCCTGAGTAGCTGGGATTATAGGCATGTGCCACCACACCCAGCTAATTTTGTATTGTTAGTAGAGATGGAGTTTCTCCATGTTGGTCAGGCTGGTCTCGAACTCCTGACCTCGGTGATCCTCCCGCATCAGCCTCCCAAAATGCTGGGATTACAGGCGTGAGCCATCAATTGAACACTTGTTTTCAATTCTTCTGAGTACATACCTAGAAGTGGAACTGCTGGGTCAGACAGTATTCTATGAATTCTATGTTTAGCTTATTGAGGTCCTGCCAAATTGTTTTCACGGCAGCTGCACCATTTTACATTCCCACCAGCAATGTTCCAATTTCTCCTTCTCCACATCCTCGCCAACACTTGTTACTTTTCTTATTATAACCATCCTAGTGGGTATGAAGTGGTATCTCATTGTAGTTTTATTCGCATTAATCTAGTGATTAATGACATTGAGCATCTTTTCATGTGCTTTTGGCCATTTATATATATTATTTGGAGAAATGTCTACTCAAGTCTTTGCCCATTTTTAAATTGGGTTGTTTGTCTTTTTGTTGTTGAGTTGTGCCTAAGGAAGTAATTTTAAATTTTAAAAAATATAGCCGGCGTGGTGGCTCACGCCTGTATTCCTAGCACTTTGAGAGGCCGAGATGGGTGGATTACCTGAGGTCAGGAGTTCAAGACCAGCCTGGCCAACATGGTGAAATCCCGTCTCTACTAAAAATACAAAAATTTGCCAGGTGTGGTGGCAGGCGCCTGTAATCCCAGCTACTACACAGGAGGCTGAGGCAGGAGAATCGCTTGAACCTGGGAGGCAGAGGTCGCAGTGAGCTGAGATTGCGCCATTACACTCCAGCCTGGGCAACAAAGCAAAACTCCATCTCAAAAAAAAAAAAAAAAGAAGAAGAAGAAGAATATGATCAGGGAACTACAAACAGTTTTCTGGGCTGTGGTATAAGGTTCAGTGCAGACAAGCAGGAAGGAGCTAGAACTAGAAGGATTTTTCATGCTAAACCTTTACCTGAAGGCCCAGGGAGCTTCAGAAGGAGGTGCCATGATCAACCTATGTGTTGGAAAGATCACTCTGACACCCCATGGAGGATGCACTATGGTGGGGCCAGACTAGGGTCTACTCAGGAGGCTGTTGTGAGACAAAAGGAACTAAGACAGTCGCGGTGGGCGGGGACAGGAAGTAAGACATTAACAACTGCCGCACATTAGACTGTGAGCCACACAAGGTCAGAAAGCAGATATGATTCCTGTATCAGAGTTCCTGCCTGTTACGCATTGAACGCTGTCTTAGTCCATTTGGGCTGCTATAACAGGGTGGCTTATAAACAACAGAATTTGTTACTCATAGTTCTGGAGGCTTGGATGTCTAAGATCAAGGCCCTGACAGCCTCAGTGTCTGGTGAGGGCCCACTTCCTGGTTCACAGATAGTGCCTTCTTACTATGTCCTCACATAGTAGAAGGGCCAGGCTAGCTCTCTGGGGTCTCTTTATAAGGGCACTAATCCCAATCATGAGTGTTCTGCCTTCCCAAAGACCCCACCTCCTAATACCATCACCTTAGGAGTTAGGATTTCAACATATGAATTTGAGGGGAACACAAACATTCTGACTATAGCAGAGTATGTCCCTCCAAAAGAGCTATGTTGAAGTCCTAACCCCCAGTACCTCAGAATGTGACCTTATTTGGAAATAGAGTCATTGTAGATGTAATTAGTTAAGAAGAGATCACACTAGAGTAGGGTGGACACTTAATTCACTATAACTGTTGTCCTTATAAGAAGACAGTCATCAAGAGTTTGAGATCAGCCTGGCCAACATGGTGAAACCCCGTCTCTACTAAAAATACAAAAATTAGATGGGTGTGGTGGCACACACCTGTAATCCCAGCTATGTGGGAGGCTGAGGCAAGAGAATCACTTGAACCCAGGAGACAGAAGTTGCAGTGAGCCAAGATCGCACCACTGCACTCCAGCCTGGATGACAGAGTGAGACTCTGTCAAAAAAAAAAAAAACCTTGAAACACAGAGTGGGCAAGCAAATTTCCCAAGGTTTCCAAAGCTAGTTAAATGGCAGAGCCAGGATCTGATGCCTGGCAGGCTGACTTCAGGCTCCAGTGCTCTTACCCAATATACTATGCAGCTGTTCTATTAAATATTTGCCGGAAAGTTCAACAGATGGATAAATGAATGACTGGATCAATCTGGATTTGGTACCAGAGTAAAAAGTGAAGATGGGTGGGGTGTGGTGGCTCATGCCTGCAATCCCAGCACTTTGGGAGGCTAAGGTGGGAGGATTACTTGAGGCCAGGAGTTCAAGACCATCCTGGGCAACATGGCAAGGCCCCATCTCTATAAAAAATAAAACAATTAGCTGGGCGTGATGCCCTGAATCTGTAGTCCCAGCTACTCGGGAGGCTGAGGTGGGCGGATCATTTGAGTCTGGAGAGATCGAGGCTGCATTGAACCAGGATCAGGACACTGCATGGGTTCGATGGCTCACGCCTGTAATCCCAACACTTTGGGAGGCCGAGATGGGTGGATTGCTTGAGTCCAGGAGTTCAAGACCAGCCTGGGCAACATGGAGAAACCCGATCTCTACAAAAATACAAAAATTAGCCGGGTGCTGGTGGTGTGTGCCTGTAGTCCCAGGTACTCGGGAGGCTGAGGTGGGAGGATCACTTGAGCCCAGAGGCAGAGGCTGCAGTAAGCTGAGACCTGTGCCACTGCACTCCAGCCTAGGCAACAGAGTGAGACCCCTCCTCAAAAAAAAAAAAAAATAAGTGAGGATGACTCCCAGGTGTCTGGCTCAGATGACTTAGTAGGTAAGGTATCTCCATTTAATGAGACAGGAAAAAGAGAGGCGACATCAGATTTGTGAGGTGGAGGTTGGAGTCTGGGGAAACAACAAATATGTTCTTGAAATGCTGAGTTTGAATTACCAAGAAGACAAACAAGTGATGTCCAATAGACTGCTGGACACATGGGTCTGGAACTCCAGAGAGGCGCATGGGTTAGAATTATAGACTTGGGAGCCATCAGTATACTTAATGTCAGGGTTTGAATGAGATCACCAAAGCACAGTGTATAGAAAGAGAAAGCAGATGACCCAAGACAGAGCCCTGAGGACACTGGAATTCACAGGGCAAGGGAAAGAAAAGAATCCTTTACTTCCTAGCAAAGGGTCTGTCGTGGAAACGACAAGTCAGGTTGTGGTGGCTTGAGGAATGAATAGAAAATGAATCACAGGGTAAATGTATGTGTTACAGGTGAGAAAGTGACAGATGGATTGATGGGCTGTGGCAGAGAATCAGTATGGAAATGACTGACTAGACACGGTGGTTTGTTGGTTGGAGCCAGCTTGCATCAAATGAGAGCTGATTACTAAATTTCAGAAATGTTGCAAGCTGGTTGTTAGATACAGCTTTTTTTTTTTGAGATGGAGTTTCACTGTTGTTGCCCAGGCTGGAGTGCAATGGCGCGATCTCGGCTCACTGCAATCTCTGTCTCCCAGGTTCAAGCGATTCTCCTGCCTCAGCCTCCTGAGTAGCTGGGATTATAGGCATGCGCCACTATGCCCAGCTAATTTTGTATTTTTAGTAGAAATGGGGTTTCTCCATGTTGGTCAGGCTGGTCTCGAACTCCCAACCTCAGGTGATCTGCCTGCCTTGGCCTCCCAAAGTGTTAAGAATATAGGCGTGAGCCACTGTGCCCAGCCAATACAGTCATTATTAAAAAATTAGTTGAAGAGACTTACAATCAAATATAAATTAAATTAATAACAAAGGTCATAAATTCTTAAAACTCATCACTTCCTAATTATTTTACTAGGCTTTATTATCCATGCTCTTATACTTACTGTATCTATATGGTGGAAATGCCATAATGATGTGCCACTGCACCTCGTTTCCCAGCTCTGTGTTCAGTGATGTCAATTGGTAGCTTGAAACTAACCATGGAAATTACCACATGCTATAAGTCAGAACTTGATTTATTTATTGTTTTATTGATTGTTTAGACTTATGAAAGTAAAGGAGAAAATGTTAGTAATGCGGCTTTTACTTAAAAGTGTATCATGTCTGTAGCCATCACATTGTAAACAGAATTTTTAAAAACTGAAGAAATAGTCTTCCAGTATTCAAAAGCAATTATCTGGCCAGGCGCTGTGGCTCATTCCTATAATCCCAGCACTTTGGGAGACCAAGGCTGAAGAGTCATTTGAGACTGGAAGTTCAAGATCAGCTTAGGCAACATAGAGATGCTCTGTCTCTACAAATAAATTGGCCAGGCATTTGACACACGACTGTAGTCCTAGCTACTCAGAAGGCTGAGATGGGAGGATCCCTTAAGCTCAGGAGTTCGAGGGTACATTGAGCTATAATGGTGCCACTGTACTCCAGCCTGTGCAACAGAGCAAGACCCTGTCTGTAGATGAATGAATTAATAAAATAAAACTATTATCCAATTCCTCAAAGAAGTCACTCATATCACTAATGAATGAGTGAAGTTTTGACATATGTCTTCATTGTTTAACTTTCAAGTCCTTTACATAAAGGCAAATATCAACCAACATTTATGTTGGGTTTGTCAATTGTAACCACAGGTTGCCCAGGACATAAAAGTTTGGCAAAAATCAACAAAAGCAATCTGTGAAAATCAATTGTCTATATGGAATTTATAATACAATTTAATTATGTGTTACATATCCATTATGTCACTAAAATGTGTAGTAAACTAATGTGTATGTATGTATATATGTACACATATACACATATAGCTATGTATGAACACATATACACATATATCTATGTATGTACACATATACACATATAGCTATGTATATACACACACACAAATGTTTTTCCCCCCAGACATTATTCAACCTCCTCATGACGTAAGAGGCAGAACAGTCCCACTGCCATGGGAATAGGTCATTGGAGTTAAAGTAGTAAAGGCCTTCAGCACTGAGAGGGCTGGAAGAGGCACTGAATTCATGCAGGATAAAAGAATGACTAAAGGATGTGGGTCTGTTAGGCCCAAGAAACTCCATGCATTGAGTGATGAGAGAACTCCATGCATTGAGAGAACAGTAGCAATGAGGATGAGTAGTTGTAACAGCCTGACGATAACTATCTCAAGCTGGTACTACCCAAGAACAATGGTCTGGATGTGGCTGCAGGGGGCTGACTCCTTGGTTCTCACTGGCCTGTGGTATATGGAGAATGAGTAGTCCCCATTTATTAGGTTACAGAGAAATAAGTGTCCTCAGGAGACAACCTGGTTTCAGTTCATAATAATAGCTTCCATTTATTGAATGCACGGGGACTGTGGTACAGCAGTGTGATCAGAGCTTCTGAGTTAGACATTTCAGGTTAGAATTCAGGCTCAGCCACTTACTATACATGTGAGACTGGGCAGGCTACTTACCTTCTCTGAGCTTTCATGTCCTAGTGTGTAAAATGGAGAAAACGTCATTTACCATGCAAAAGATAGTACACTTAAAAAGTAAGCATACAAGGGCCGGGCACGGTGGCTCACGCCTGTAATCCCAGCACTTTGGGAGGCCAAGGCAGGCGGATCACAAGGTCAGGAGATCGAGACCACCCTGGCTGGCACGGTGAAACCCCGTCTCT
This sequence comes from Homo sapiens, assembly GCF_000001405.40. Lineage (NCBI taxonomy): Eukaryota > Metazoa > Chordata > Mammalia > Primates > Hominidae > Homo > Homo sapiens. The sequence goes on from NC_000001.11 coordinate 31,893,841, forward strand.
ACTAAAAATACAAAAAAATTAGCCAGGCGTGGTGGTGGGCGCCTGTAGTCCCAGCTATTCGGGAGGCTGAGGCAGGAGAATGGTGTGAACCCAGGAGGCAGAGCTTTCAGTGAGCAGAGATTGCGCCACTGCACTCCAGCCTGGGTGACAGAGCGAGACTCCCTCTCAAAAAAAAAAAAAAAAAAAGTAAGCATACAAGATAAAATAAAAGGCATCCAAATAGGAAAATTTCTAATTCCAAATAGGAAATTTCCTTTCTTTGCTGACAATATGATTTTATACCTAGAAAACCCTAAAGACTCCACCAAAAGGCTCCTGGAACTGACAACTTTAGTAAAGTTTCAGGATGCAAAATCAATGTACAAAAATCAGTAGCATTTCTATATACCAACAATGTTCAAGCTGAGAGTCAAATCAGGAACCCAATCCCAGTTACAATAGCCATGAAAAAATTGAAATGCCTAGGAAAACAGCTAACCAAAAAGGTGAAAGATCTCTAGAAAGAGAACTACGAAACATTACTGAAAGAACTCAGGGACAACACAAATAAATGGAAAAATATTACATGCTCATGGATTGGAAGAATCAGTATCTTTAAAATGGCCATACTGCCCAAAGCAATTTACATATTTAACACTATTCCTATCAAACTACCAATGTCATTTTTCACAGAATCAGAAAAAACTATTCTAAAATTCACATACAACCAAAAAAGAGCCCAAATAGCCAAAACAATCCCAAGCAAAAAAAAAAAAAAAAGCCAGAGACATCACACTATCTGACTTCAAACTATACTATAAGGCTAGAGTAAATAAAACAGTATGGTACTGGTACAAAAACAGATGCATAGACCAGTGGAACAGAATAGAGAACCCAGAAATAAAGCCATACACCTACAACCATCTGATCTTCGACAGAGTAGACAAAAACAAGCAATGGAGAATGGGCTCCCTATTCAATAAATGGTGCTTGGATCACTGGCTAGCCATATACAGAAGAATGAAACTGAAACCCCATCTTTCACCATATACAAAAATCGACTCAAGATAGATTAAAGATTTAAATGTAAGACCTCAAACTATAAAATCCTAGAAGAAAACCCAGGAAATATCCTTCTCAACATCAGCCTTGGCAAAGAATTTTTGGCTAAGTCCTCACAAGCAATTGCAACAAAAACAAAAATTGGCAAGTGGAACCTAATTAAACTAAGGAGGTTCTGCCCAGCAAAAGAAACTTACAACAGACAACTTACAAAATGGGAGAAAATATTCGCAAACTATGCATCCAACAAATATCCAGAATCTGTAAGGAACTTAACAAGCAAAAAACAAATAACCCCACTAAAAAAATGGGCAAAGGGGCCAGGCACAATGGCTCACACCTGTAATTTCATTACTTTGGGAGGCCAAAGTGGGAGGATTGCTTGAGACCAGGAGTTCGAGACTAGCCTGGGCAACAGGGCAAGGCTCTGTCTCTACAAAACTTTTAAAAATTAGCGGGGCATGGTGGTGTGCACCTGTGGTCCCAACTACTTGAGAGGCTGAGGCAGGAGGATCACTTGAGCCCAGGAGGTCAAGGCTGCAATGAGCCATGTTCATGCTACTGCACTCAAGCCTGGGTGAAAGAGTGAGACCCTGTCTCAAAAAAAAAAAAAATAAATAAAGAGGGGGGCAAAGGACATGAATAGGTACTTCTCAAAAGAAGACATACAAGTGGCCAACAAACATGAAAAATTGCTCATCACCACTAATCATCAGAGAAATGCAAATCAAAACCACAATGAGATACCATCTCACACCAGTCAGAATGGCTATTATTAAAAAGTCAAATAATAACAGATGCTGGTGAGGCTGCAGAGAAAAGGGAATGCTTATACACTATTGGTGAGAATCTAAATTAGTTCAGTCACTGTGAAAAGCAGTTTGGAGATTTCTCAAATAACTTAAAACAGAGCTGTCATTCAACCCAGCAATCCCATTTCTGGGTATATAGCCAAAAGAAAATAAATTATTCTACCAAAAAGACACATGCACTCACATGTTCATCACAGCACTGTTCACAATAGCAAAGACATGGAATCAACCTAGGTGCCCATCAACAGTGGATTGGATAAAGAAAGATAGTACATAGAAACCATGGAATACTATGCAGCCATAAAAAAGAACAAAATCATGACCTTTGCAGCAACATAGAAACAGCTGGAGGCCAATATCCTAAGCAAATGAATGCAGGAAAAGGAAACCAAATACCACATGTTCTCGCTTATAAGTGGGAGCTAAATACTGAGTACTCATGAACATAAAGATGAGAACAGGCTGGGCACAGTGGTTCACGCCTGTAATCCCAGCACTTTGGGAGACCCAGGCAGGCGGAGCACCTGAGGTCAGGAGTTCGAGACCAGCCTGGCCAACATGGTGAAAATCCATGTCTACTAAAAATACAAAAAATTAGCTGAGCATGGTGGTGCACGCCTGTAGTCCCAACTACTTGGGAGGCTGAGACACAAGAATCACTTGAACCAGGAGGGCAGAGGTTGCAGTGAGCCGATATTGTGCCATCACACTCCAGCCTGGATGACAAAGTGAGATTCTGTCTCAACAAAATATTTTTTTTAATAATAACAAAGACGAGAACAATAGGGTGGGTGCAGTGACTGACACCTGTAATCCCAGCACTTTGGGAGGCCTAGGCGGGCAGATCACAAGGTCAGGACTTTGAGACCAGCCTGGCCAACATGGTGAAACCCTGTCTCTACTAAAAATACAAAAATTAGCTGGGTGTAGTGGCGGGCACCTGTAGTCCCAGCTACTTGGGATGCTGAGGCATGAGAATCACTTGAACCCAGGAGGCGAAGGTTGCAGTGAGCCAATATCTTGCCACTGCACTCCAGCCTGGGTGACAGAGCGAGACTCCATCTCAAAAAGAAAAAACAAAACAGTGCTGTCTCCAAACATGAAATAATTAAAAAGTCTCCTGTAGTACAAACACACATAACACCTGGGCAAATTATTGCAAAAGGTAGAAAAAATACAAGTTTAGCTCATCCTTCATCACCGATAAAAAAAATTGGTAAGTTCAAAGGCCATCTCCTCTTCTCTATTTTCTGTCTCATCCCATGATTTTTAGATTTCAAGAGGACTTGTAGTAATGAATATAGGTGCTAAAAATTAATCTAAACATGATTCAAATCTTTATGTATTCATGAAAATTTTACCTGTTATCAATCTTAGGGTTCCAGGTATTAATGGCAATTCTAAATGAAAGTCAAATATAATCATTTGCATAAAAGTATTAAGGATGATTAATTAGTATTTTCATGCAGCTGTGATCTATTCTGTGCTTTTAGAGCTGAAAATTTTTTACCAAAAACATTTACCTATGCTAATCTACAGGAAATTGCAGAACATTCTCTAGTTTTCTGTGTACTCAGCCACATTTATAGCATTTTCATAACTGGGATCATATTTCATATTTTCTGACTTTAAAAGGCATCAAAATTCTACACCCTTGAAAATTAGGTTGATTTCCACACCATTCCTTGAATATTTATGTGTTCAGTTCCAAAAGGATGATAGTGATTAAATGTACTCGTGTTAACAAATTCCCATTTTTGTGTTTTGCATGATTTGGAGAATATGTATATTCCAGTTTCAAGGGGCCTAAACTTGAGGTGCCCTTAAAACTCAGTCACAAGGCTTAGGTAGAAAAGTGTTTTCAGAGAAATGATTTATCTATGCTGAATAAAAGCTGTAGCACTGGCAGCTCAGATCCAGTTGCGATTGCTAAAGCATGTCCAGGCTGGTTATCTAATGCCTCTGCAGGAATTTAGGCCACACATTAATGCACTGAAGATAAAATCAATTTGAAAATTTATTAAATCAAATGCCAATCCTGGCATAATACTCTATGTGCAGGAGAACCAGCCAACAATAATAGGAAGCCAATTATAGACTATAAACCACTCTGCTCAAACATCCTGGTTTGTTACTGACAGGGCCCCATTACACACAGTTTGCGTAAGTTAAATCCACTGATGAGACAGAACTGCTATACACACACACGCATGGGTGCGTGTCCCCGCTGCACCTAACATAAAGATGCAACTCAATTAACAGGAATGCTTATCGAGTGCAAAACCTCACAGCAACATCCTGAACATGAGATCCCCAAGAAATACCTTCTCATTCCTCCACAGCAGTGCAACTGAGCAGTGAAGCACTGGTTTTAAAATCAGCTCCAGATTCTTTTTTCTTTTTTTTCTTTTTCTTTTTTTTTGAGATGGAGTTTCACTCTGTGGTCCAGGCTGGAGTGCAGTGTGGTAGTCTCAGCTCATTGCAACCTCCGCTCCCAGGTTCAAGTGATTCTCCTGACTCAGCCCCCAGAGTAGCTGGGATTACAGGTGCCTGCCACCATGCCCAGATAATTTTTTGTATTTTTAGTACAGACAGGGTTTCATCATTTTGGCCAGGCTGGTCTCGAACTCCTGACCTCAGGTGATCCACCTGCCTCGGCCTCCCAAAGTGCTGAGATTATAGGCGTGAGCCACCACGCCCGGCCCAGGCCCAGATTCTAATACTGCCCCTGCCACCAACTTGCTATTACTTCACCTCCTGATTTTCTCATTTATAAAATGGGATTAGCAATGATGAAGCCTATGTAGTAGCCTATGAAGATTAAATTAGATCATGCACATGAAATTCTGAGCACAGTAGTACTCAACAGATGATGGCCAGTATTATCATTTTATTTCTCTATCTTCCTGACTGCCAGACCCCAAAACAGCAAAGGAAACAGAAGTAACATGGCTAATATCACACTTCTGTTAACCTGTTTGGGGTGGTTAGCAGGGTTGCAAGTAGTGAAGAGGATTCTATTTACTTTCATGTGCAAGTGTGATCTGTGGAGAAAATAAGAGGTAGGGGCGGTTTTACAAATCTTTCCCATGGCCAGATATCCCTGTAAATTAATCCTTTGAAATTAGCATGTAGGCCAGGTGCGATGGCTCACTCCTGTAATCTCAGCACTTTGGGAGGCCGAGGCAGGCAGATCACGAGGTCAGGAGATCGAGACCACCCTGGCTAACATGGTGAAACCCCGTCTCTACTGAAAATACAAAAACTTAGCCGGGTGTGGTGGCGGGCGCCTGTAGTCTCAGCTACTCGGGAGGCTGAGGCAGGAGAATGGCGTGAACCCGGGAGGCAGAGCTTGCAGTGAGCTGAGATCGTGCCACTGCATCCAGCCTGAGCAACAGAGCGAGACTCCGTCTCAAAAAAAGAAAAAAGAAACAAAGAAAGAAATTAGCATGTAGATATGCTGGATACCTTTTCATGTAGATCTGGGATCTGGTGGCTAAAAGGAAAGAATCTTCTACCCCATCCATCCGCTGCTCCCTTAGTTAAGGCCCCAACACTTCTGTCCTGAACTGCTGCAACTATCATCCACCCACCATCCATAAATGTCTCTCAGCTTCTAGTCTCTCCAATTCATTCTCATTCCTTCAGCTGATATTTGTTGCATGCATAGTACAAATCAGGAACTGGGTTTACATAACAGGTACGGTCTCTGATTTAAGGAGCTCCTTGAATAACTTTCTGAGAATAGATCTGACCACGTAGCTGCTGTGCTTACCAACCTTCATGGCTCCCCACCGCCCAAAGCGGATTCACAACTAGAGACTGATTCAGAATGATCTGGGTGGTACCTGGACGTGGACATTTTTAATAAACCACATAGTTGAATCTGATGTCTTCTCCAGATTGAGAAATGATCAATAAAGTTTCAAATTTCTTTCTTTCTGCCACCTCTGCCTCCTGGGCTCAGGCAATCCTCCCACCTCAGCCTCCCAAGTAGTTGGGACTACAGGTATGCACCACCATGCCTGGCTAATTTTTGTATTTTCTGTAGAGATGGGGTTTCACCATGTTAGCCAGGCTGGTCTCAAACTCCTGAGCTCAAGCAATCACTATCTGAAAATAGATTACTAATTTGTGTACCTGTTTATTCTCTGTCTTCTCCAGTAGAATGTAAGCCCTACCAGGGCAGAGCGTGTTTCTTGTTTCCCACTATATCCTCAGTGCCTAGAATAGTGTATAGGATGTAGCATAAATCACCACTCTACCTATAGGAGCTTCAGTCACAGCATTTAACATGCTATTTGTATAATCCCTTCTAGTCAAGGCTCTCTTGGTTATTAAGAAACTGACTCAAGCTATTTTAAACAAGGGGCGAGGGAAGGGACAGAAACCATCGAAAGGACTTCAGGGGACGACGTGCAGCTGGGCTTTATGAAAAAGAACTCTGAATTCAGGGGCATTGCTCCCCTAATCCCAGGCCACAGTCTCTTCTCTCTGCTCCCCTGGGCTGCTTCTCCGTCCTCCTTCCTCTGTCCTATGTCTACTCGTCTCACATATGACCCAACATACACATGGCCCTACTGGCCCCTCACATCCAAGAGTCTACCTCAGTTGAAATTGAGAATCTGGGCTGGGCACGGTGGCTCACGCCTGTAATCTCAGTACTCTAGGAGGCTGAGGCAGGTGGATCACTTGAGGTCAGGAGTTCGAGACCAGCCTGGCTAACATGGTGAAACTTCATCTCTACTAAAAATACAAAAATTAGCCAGGCCTCGTGGCATACACCTGTAGTCCCAGCTACTTGGGAGGCTGAGGCAGGAGAATCGCTTGAACCCGGGAGGCAGAGGTTGCAGTGAGCAGAGATCACACCACTGCACTCCCACCTGGGCAGCAGAGCAACACTACATCTCAAAAAAAAAAAAAAACGAGAATCTGCTGGCCAATGTCAGCAGTTGAGTCAACTGTCTATCCCTGATCCAATCATCTATGGCCTCGGGGGTAGACGGGGAGGTACAAGGAAGGGGTGTCTAGTACCTCTTCTACTCTGATGACAACCAAACCTGCCTAGCACAAATCCAAACCCTCCAGAGAGACCAAATCTTGCCCCTTCTCCCAAAAATACCATGCTCTTTCATACTTCCACTGCCTTGTATTATTTCCTCAACCTGAAATGTACTGTCCCCACATCAACCTTTTTTTGTAAGTGTACAACTTAGCAGCATTTAATGCAGTCACACTGTTATGCAACCATCACCACTGTCTAATCCCAGAACACTTTTATCACCACAGAAAGAAACCCTGTCCCCGCCCTAGCCCATGTAACCGTAATGTCTTCATTTCCCTTGTATATATGTAGAATTGAAAATTGTACATATTGGAATTGCTGGGTCATATGGCAAGTGTTTAACTTTTTGAGAAACTGCCAAACTGTTTTTCAAAAGTGACTGCACCATCGCTTTATATTATTACCAGCAATGTATAAAGGTTCCAACTTCTTCATACCCTTCCCAAGACTTGTTATGGTCCATCTTTTTTATGATAGCCATTCTGATGGATGGAACATGCTATCTCATTGTGTATCAACCTTTTCTATCTCATCCTTCAAAATCCAGCTCAAACATGCCCACTGCAGCATCTCCTGATGTGCTCCAGGGCAGTTTTAGTTACCCCCTAGTATCACAGTACCATAATTCGTCTATGTCTCTATCCATACCCATTCATTCAGTATCCACTGAGCACCTGCTGCATGCCAAGCACTATTTGAGGTGCTGAAGATACGGTGAACGAAACACAAAACAAAAAACAGCTATGCCTTTGTTGAGCTTATATTTTGGTGGGGGAAACAAATAATTAAAAGGTCGAGGCCGGGTGCAGTGGCTCACACCTGTCTGCAATCCCAGCACTTTGGGAGGCCGAGGCAGGCGTATCACCTGAGGTTGGGAGTTTGAGACCGGCCTGATCAACATGGAGAAACCCTGTCTCTACTAAAAATACAAAATTAGCTGGACGTGGTGGCACATGCCTGTAATCCCAGCTACTTGGGAGGCTGAGGCATGAGAATTGCTTGAACCCAGGAGGCGGAGTTTGCAGTAAGCCAAGATGGCACCATCACACTCCAGCCTGGGCAACAAGAGTGAAACTTTAAAAAAAAAAAAAAAAAAAAAAAAAAGAAGCTTGTGAGATGGTGGTAAGTATTACAGAGGACACTAAAGCTTAGTGGGACAAATAGGGTGGCCATGGAAAGCTTCACTCAAGCTAACATTTGAGCAAGAATTAAAGTTAAGTTTCCACTATGACACATCAGTGAGAGATGAGAGGGAGGTATTGGATATGGGTCTAGAATCCAGAGAATAGAGTCCAGGGAGATAGAACAGAAGTGTAGAAGCTAATGAGGAACCAGAAACCGAAACTGAGGTGTGGCAACTAAACTAGGTGAAAACTCAGGAGTGTAGTGTTCTAGAGGCAAAAACCTGTATTCGTTTTCTATTGGTGCTATAATAAATTATCTCAAACATTGTGGCTGAAAACAACACAGATTTACCCTACAGTTCTGTAGAAATCCTACATGCAACCAAAATCAAGGTGTTAGCAGGCTAAGTTCCTTCTTGGAGGCTGTTGGGCGAATCTGTTTCCTTGCCTTCTCCAGGTTCGAGGCTGCCGTCACTCCTTGGCTCCTGGCCCCTTCCCTCCACCTTCAAATAAATCTCTGATCCTTCTATCCTAGACACATCTCCCTCTGACCTCAGCTAGGAAAGGTTCTCTGCTTTTCGGATCCATGCTATTAGATCAGGCCTACCAAGATAATCCAAGATATTCTTCCCATCTCAAAATTCCGAACTTAATCACACCCACAAAGTCCCTTTGACATGTAGGATAACATTCACAGGTTCCAGGGATTTAGAACCTGGACATTTGAGGGGGGGTTAGGGGAGAAGGGCATTATTTTCCTACATGCAAATGAAGCATTTCAAAGAGGAAGTGGTCAACTGTACCATATGCTGACATGTCAAAGAAGTTATGAAGGTGGGCACAGTGGCTCATGCTCATCATCTCAGCGCTCTGGGAAGCGGAGGCAGGGGGATCATTTGAGACCAGGAGCTCAAGACCAGCCTGGGCAACATAAAAAGACTATGTTTTGGCCAGGCACGGTAGCTCACGCCTGTAATCCCAGCACTTTGGGAGGCCGAAGTGGAGGGATCACTTGAGGTCAGGAGTTCAAGACCAGCCTGGCCAACATGGTGAAACTCCATCTCTACTAAAAATACAAAAATTAGCTGGGCGTGGTGGCACGTGCCTGTAGTCCCAGCTACTTGGGAGGCTGAGGCAGGAGAATTGCTTAAACCCAGGAGGTAGAGATTGCAGTGAGCCGAGATCGCGCCACTGCACTCCAGCCTGGGCCACAGAGCAAGACTCCATGTCCTAAATAAATAAATAAATAAAGGCTATGAAGACTATGTCTCTCCAAAAAAAAAAAAAAAAAAAAATTTTTTTTTTTGAGACAGAGTTTCGCTCGTCACCCAGGCTGGAGTGCAATGGCACGATTCTCCTGCCTCAGCCTCCCGAGTAGCTGGGACTACAGGCATGCATCACCCTGCCTGGCTAATTTTGTATTTTTAGAAGAGACGGGGTTTCGCCATGTTGGCCAGGCTGGTCTCGAACCCCTGGCCTCAGGTGATCCGCCCGCCTCGGCCTCCCGAAGTGCTGGGATTACAGATGTGAGCCACCACACCCAACCAAAAAATTTTAATTAGCTGGGCACAGTGACATGCACGTGTAGTCCTAGCTACTCAGGAGGCTGAGGTAGGATCGTTTGAGCCCGAGTTCAAGGTTACGGTGAGCTATGATCATGCCACTACACTCCAGCCTGGGTGACAAAACAAGACCCTCAAAAAAAAGTTATGAGAATTGACCATCGATCGGGGTGATCCTTTTTTTTTTTTTTTTTTTTTTTTTTTTAGACAGTCTTACTCTGTTGACCAGGTAGGAGCACAGAAGCATAATTTTGGCTCACTGCAACCTCTGCCTCCCAGGTTCAAGCGATTCTCGTGCCTCAGCCACCCAGAGTAGCTGGGATTACAGGCGTGTGCCACCACATCCAGCTAATTTTGTATTTTCAGTAGAGACGGGGTTTCACCATGTTGGGAGGCTGGTCTTGAACTCCTGGCCTCATGTGATCTGTCTGCCTTGGCCTCCCAAAGTGCAGGCATGAGCCACTGCACCCAGCCTCTGGCGATCTTTAACACGGGCTGTTCTGTGGAGTCAAAATCCTCATTGGTGCAAGCTCAAAGGAGAGAAGTAGAGAGCATAGATAGATAATTCTCAACTTGTACTAGAGAAGAGCAAAGAAGCGGGATGACAGCTGAAGGGGCAGATGCGGGGTCAAACAAGGATTTTTTTAAAATATGGAATACTAGCATGTTTATAAGCTCATGGGAATGATCTAGTAGGGGGAAAAGTTAATGAGCAGGACAGAGAAGGAAAATGGCTACACCTCTGGGCCCTTTGAACAGGTTAAGGGATGGAATTTAGCACACAAGTGGAAGAGCTTGCCTTAAATAGGGCAAGGACAGGCCGGGCAGTGGCTCATGCCTGTAATCCCAGCACTTTGGGAGGCCAAGGTAGGCAGATCATGAGGTCAGGAGTTTGAGACCAGCCTGACCAATATGGTGAAACCCCGTCTCTACTAAAAATACAAAATTTAGCTGGGCTTGGTGGCATGTGCCTGTAATCCCTGCTACTCAGGATGCTGAGGCAGGAGAATCGCTTGCTCCCGGGAGGCGGAAGTTGCAGTGAGCTGAGATTGCGCCACTGTACTCCAGCCTGGGTGACAGAGCAAGACTCAGTCTCAAAAAAAAAAAAAAAAAAATTGGGCAAGGACAGTCTGCCTATAGTAACTAAAAGACAGTAGCACAGATGCAGGTGGGTGAGTAGATGTGATGGGAGGAGCTTGTGAAAATTTTATTTCTAAGTTTTAAAAAGTCATAAGCTGAGAGGATGGCAAAGGTGTTAAAAATTTAAGAGAAAGTGTAAATGGGATAGAGAAATGTACTAGGATTGAGAGGTTTTGAGGCTCATGTGAGGTCATAGCTTTAGTTTTCAAGACAGGGTCTCACTATGTTGCCCAGGATGGAGTGCAGTGGCTGTTCACGGGCACAATCATTTCACAATGTAGCCTCAAAACTCCTGGGCTCAAGTGATTCTCTTGCCTCAGCCTCCTGAGTAACTGAGACTTAATAGGCGCGTACCACCTGGCCCGGGGAGGTCATGACCTTAGAGAGACTGAATCAGCATGTTCAGTTGTGTAAGTACTTAAGTGCACAGAAAGTGGAGTACTGAACTTAACCAAAAATGGATTTTAGCCAGGGAAGTACAATGCAACAAGAGATGGGGCAAGGCTGAAAAGCTGATTGTCACAGTGCATCACAGAACCTAAGCTAGGTAATGAAGGACATGAAGAAGTGAAAAGAGGTGAAGAGAAGTGGCAGGATCAATGAATTCTGAGACTCGTCTCGCTGTCACCCAGGATGAAGTGCAGTGGCACAGTATCAGGTCACTGCAACCTCAGCCTCCCATGTTCAAGCAATCCTCTCACTTCAGCCTCCCGAGTAGCTGGGACTGTAGTCCAGATGGTAGTGCGCCACGACACCCAGTTACTTTTTGTATTTTTTGTCAAGTTGGGGTTTGGCCATGTTGCCCAGGCTGTGGATCAATGATCTATAAATAGTACTATAACCACCCACTGTAACTGTTTTATGTCTACATATCTGACACCCCCTCCAGACTGAGGTACTCCAAAGTGAAATGAGTGTCGTATCTTTTCCTAGTATCTGAGCATGTTGTTACCTGGGTGGATGGATGCTTACCCATAGTGAAAGGGAAATTCCACACTCCCAAATCCTGATATATTAATACAGAGCTGTTACTTCCTCATTGTTCTTTAATACGAATTCAAGTACAAAGTTGCAATGCTTCACCAAAACCTATGGTATAAATAAGCTGGGTGCAGTGAGAGACTACTCAGAATGGCCATAGTATATGCGATTATTGACTCTGTGAATAGCCACTGCACTCCAGCCTGGGAAGCACTACACGACTCTGTCTCTAAAAAATAATAATCTATGGTATAAACCAAGCCTTTGACAAGATGCTGAATTCCTACAGGGTTGTATACAAGAACTGAACCAGAAAATGTACTAGATGTATCCCAGCTATGGTTAAGTTGGCTCTTCCTGAACACCTCAGTGACATAAAATCTTTGAATTTCCAAGCCTCTATTTTACCTCCTTGCAGTAAACTAGCAGGACCCAAAACAGTCCTTGAAAATAGCAGGCAAAGAAAGGGGAACAGATGTAAGTGAAATTTTGGTTTTGTTGTTGTTGTTTTGGGACAGGGTGTCTGTCACCAAGGCTGGAGTATAGTGGCATGATCACAGCTCACTACAGCCTCAACCTCTTGGGCTCAAGTGTTCCTCTCACCTCAGCCTCCCAAGTAGCTGAGACTGCAAGCACACACCACCATGCCCAGCTAATTATTAAACATTTTTTTTTTGTAGAGATGGACTCAACACATTACCCAGGCTGGTCTTGAACTCCTGGGGCTCAAGTGATCCGCCTGCCTTGGCCTTCCGAAGTGCTGGGATTATAGGCATGAGCCACTGCACCCAGCTTAAACTCCGCTTTATAAGCACAGACATAAACTCTTGAGGATGGAGGAAAAAAATGCACAAAGAGCGTGTAAAATATGTTTTATTGTTCTTTAAAAGGGTTCAGGGTTTGGTTTTAAATCAGGCTGCACACCTTTCAAATCAATCTGACATCTCTCTATGTCAAACTGGCTTCAGCTAGCAATACTTCATTAAATCGAAAAGAAAAAAATTGCTTTAAGGAAAAAAAATCCAGTTTTAAGAACAATTAACATTAGTCTTTAAAATAAAAGGAGGGCTAATGTTTCATGTTGCTTTATACATCCTTCTCCTCAATACAGAACCAGGAATGTAATTTTCCTAACTCAGGCAGGCACTGATACTGATGGACACTGCGCGTGCACACACACACACACACATACACACACACACACACACACACACACACACACCCCCTCCCCCCAAACAACAAAATTCAGAGTATGTCAAAGGAAAAAGGTTTGTTATTGTATTGATCAAAACCCAGTGGAATCAACACCATCTATCTTAGCTTAGCAGGTATGCTGTTTTGATCTTGAGTCTATATTAATGGAATCTATTGTTGCATTCTGAAATAAAGAATTTTGGATATACCATTATGTTTTAAAGTCCTAGAAACAATTTCGAAAAGCATTATTTTGTTTTGTTTTCTGGGATGGGAGAGGAGAGAATCTACAGATTTGCGTTTAGTTAAAAATCAAAACTCCAGCATAGGAAATAGGCAGTTCACATAGCCGGTCAACATGTGAGGTATCATCAGTGTGAGACAAGGTCCCGGTCTGTTCCTATTGGCCTAGCTGACGCTAACAAAATGGGAGGCTTATGGCTCTGCACAGCAAATTCCAGCAGGACAAGATGACTTTAAGCCCGTATTCAGAGCCCTAGAAGCAGGGCACTACTGAGTACGTAATATTTAGAGGTGAAAATAGTGCAAGAGCCCCTGATGGTGCCCCTCTACCTGCTTTGTCCATGCAGCCTGATCATAACTGCCTTCCACAAAGGAGCAGAAAAACAGCTTTTCTAGATCAGTACACTAAACCCAGCCAAGAATCTGCAAAAATGCTACTACACCGCTTCACAAGCAACACAGTCCCTTCACTACTCATTGGGTTGCACGATGTCTCTCTTCTACCCTGTTATGGCCTGTGGACACATACTCACTAGGCATCATTGTTGGTTTTAAACCAGGGATTTTTTTTTTTTAATCTCAAAAAACCTAGTAATAACAAGGCAATCAGTGGTTAAACTGAACTTTACATATAGGGGGCAGTTTGGAAAACACATACCACAAGCATTTCTCAAGTCGAAAATATGTGAATTTGCTGCTGCTCCTTTGACGGTTCCTGAAAATTCAGAGTACAAGTCCTAAAATAAAAATTTTAAGCTACCAGCATTCTCTGATACTAGACAGAAAATCAGAGTAACGCTACAGCCCACAATTCTACAGGGTGTAAAAAGTACGCTCACTGCCTGGACATCTTTATTGATGGCCTGGAGTCCTCCCTTTTAGAAGACAAGTTTCTGGGATAACCACTTAGCTTCATTGGTTAGGGAAGAGAAGAATTCGACTCTCAGGTAAGTTGAGAAGAGACTCCTCTTAAAATGCCATTTCTCCACTAATTTATCAAAATAAAAACAAAACAAAAGGCTCTTGGCTACTTTGCCTAGTATTAGATAGGGTTTTGAAGAAACTAACATGAACACCCTTTCATCAGTAAAGACTAAAAACCACCTGGAAAATATATATATATATATATATATTATATTATATATATATATATATATATATATATATATATATATATATATATATATATATATATATATATATATCACTGCTGTTTTTTTGGTGTTGTTTTTTGTTTTTTTTTTTTTTTTATCTAAAAGTGCCCAGGTGGGCTTAAGGCTGCCAGACTGCACGCACATCTACAGCAACAAGGGCTTCTATTCCATCTACAACTTGGATCGGGGGAAAAGGGAGATGTAGGAGAGGAAGGAAAAAAGAGGGGAAAAATATACCACCAACCCTCCCCCACAAAAAAAGGGAAAAAAAAAATCCCACCACAGGGAGATCTATGTGCCAAGCATAATGGAAGAGTGTGCTCCCCAAACAGATGGTTTTGCACAGGCTAATGTTCTGCTGGTTTTCCTTAGAGACCTATTTTGAAAAAGTTTAAAAAGACAGGAGATTTCAAAATAATTCAATCCTGGCAGAAATTCAAACTCCAAAACTAGGAGCAAAATCATCCTTCACTGAATTAATTCCTTTTCTCTTTCTCTTTTCTTAAACATTTTATTCATTTTATAGAGAGATTTCTTTTTTGTTTGCTTTTGTTCCAATCATTAGGAGAGTGGTTGAGGAGTACTGAATCCATCACTACTTTGATGACACAGGTAATATTCCAGATTCACATTTCCAGGTACCAAGAGTTCCCTCTAAATGGCACAATCAAGTCAGCCTTCGTTTACATTTCCTTCTACTGAACACAGCAATGCCCATTGGTATCTCTGAAGCGTAATCGCATCTTAGGTCGGTATTTCTCCAAATAAAGCAGCTGTTTGGAATTGAACGCTCCCCTTCTTTTTCTGAAAATACAAGAATGGCAAACTTTATCATGTAAAAAAAGAGCTGTCTGATTCACTGAAATGCATTATTTACATCCTAAAGCCTTTCTAATTCCACACAGCTGAAAACCAGCATATTTCCCATACTACAACAATTCTTAAAGAGCTAAGTTGCAACATGAACTTTCTAAGCCCTCCTAGAAGGAATAGAAAAATTTTTCTTGCTGACTGTCATTATAGTCTATTAACCATTTAATAAAGATCAGAATAGTTTCTACTTTCGTTTTCTTTTTTTAAAGGAAGGGTTGAAAGGGAAAGGGCAAGACAAAAATTGTCAAAGAATTCTGGATAACAAAATAGCATGATTCGTTATTCCAGATCAATGTCAAGATCCTGTCTGTGCACTACCATCCTGATTTTGTCCCTGAATAGATCACTTAAGAGTCCCAGGTGAGGCCAGGCGTGGTGGCTCACGCCTGTAATCCCAGCACTTTGGGAGGCCGAGGTGGGCGGATCACGAGATCAGGAGATTGAGATCATCCTGGCCAACATGGTGAAACCCCGTCTACTAAAAATACAAAAATTAGCTGGGCGTGGTGGTGCGTGCCTGTAGTCCCAGCTACTTGAGAGGCTGAGGCAGTAGAATCGCTTGAACCCAGGAGGCAGAGGTTGCAGTGAGCCGAGATTGAGCCACTGCACTCCAGCTTGAGCAACAGAGCGAGACTCCATCTCAAAAAAAAAAAAAAGAGTCTCAGGTGATTAACTGCTCCTCTACACATTCTTCTTGCCTCCTCCTAACAGAGAATTATATTTGGAAGGTATTTGGAATCTATTAAAAGGGGCATTTTTGAGATTCCTAGATACTCAAAACAATATACTGGACACAGTCTATAATGTCCAAATTAGAAAACTTTTGAATCTGGAAACCAGCTGTACTGAGTCTCTATCACTTGCTCTAAATTTTTTACATCTTCAAATAATACTTCAAGCCAAAAAAAGCAAATTATCCCATACTATAAATGAATATCCCTTCCATAATTCCTTCCTCATGCATGATCTTGCTTTCTGTGTTTCTGAACACAAAAACTTCATACTCACTGTCTTATAAACTGAACTGCATCTTCGTACTTCATTCCACATTCAATCAAAGCAAGTGCAACCAGCACAGGTGCCCTGCAGAAAGAAACCTGTATGTAAGTATCCATAAGTCTTGGAGTGAAAGGATTTTTAAAAACCTGTAACTGCATATTACCAATGCAACGCATGAGCTTTCTTTTTCCTGTATACTAAAGTAGCTGGTATCTGCCTAATACAGTAAATATATCTCATCATCATTAATTCTATGATTTTTTTTTTTGGCGGGGCAGGGGACAGGGTCTCGCTCTATCACCCAGGCCAGAGTGCAGTGGCACAATCACGGCTCACCGCAGCCTCAACCTCCCAAAGCTCAGGTGATCCTCCTGCCTCAGTTCCTCAAATAGCTCGGACTATAGGTGCCCGCCACCATGCCCAGCTAATTTTTGATTTTTAATAGTTAGTAGAGACGGGGTTTCTCCGTGTTACCCAGTCTGCTCTTGAACTCCTAGGCTCAAGCAATCTGCCTGCCTCCGCCTCCCAAAGTGCTGGGATTACAGGCGTGAACCATAGCGCCCAGCCTGATTATCTACTTTTAGTAAAGCACTAAATTCTAAACCTTAAGAAATCTTTACTCTTTAAAACATCACATTATATATTAAATTCTCTCATCACTAGATATGATCAAAAATCCTTCATTGGCCTTTAGCCATTATCACAGTAAAATAAATGACCAAACATATTACTTATCTCCAATGTGTCAGAATTTTCATTACCAATTGATTTTAATATTTCCTTATCAAATGCTAAAAAGGTGCTAGACGTTTTCAAGAAAATCCTTTTGATGAGCTAGGAAAATGCCCAAGAATTGATGACTAGAAGAAGTTCTATCTTTTTAAAAAAATTTAACAAAGGAAATGATGTTTTTATAAAGCCCATTACAGGGCACCAATTTTGGGCTACCTAAAACTAGGATAGCTACTAGTTATAAAACTGCCAACTCACGTTACAACATTATCTTCAACCTTCAGGATAAGGACTAAAACTTCTAACCTTATGAACAAACAGTACCACACTACAAAAAAGGAAATA
Organism: Homo sapiens; assembly: GCF_000001405.40. Taxonomy (NCBI): domain Eukaryota; kingdom Metazoa; phylum Chordata; class Mammalia; order Primates; family Hominidae; genus Homo; species Homo sapiens. The sequence continues at coordinate 31,911,106 of NC_000001.11, forward strand.
GCAAACAAAAGGGCAGAGCAGAACTAACAGCTTGAGTAATCACCACCTTGAGGCAATGGCAGCCTACACTAATGTTTTGAGTCAAAGTGTGCATCCTAAATTGGCATTTAATCTGCTGCTGATGACAGCGTTGCAACACCATTCTAAGCAATGCTCAGGGGAAAAGGTTTTAAGATCAAAGTCAATTCTTGTCCATACATCTTCTTTCAAGAGTTTAAAGTTCAGATATCTGCTATCTATTAACTTCCCATTCATCTCAGTCCAAAATTAACCATGTATAGATTCATCAAACTCTAAAATTATTTTAATTTTGTTGCCAATTTCAGTGACCTGAACTTTTGATTACTTGAAATAGGGAGAAAAATAAAACACCCACAATCCAGGCTGGCATCAGAATCAGACAACCAGATGAAATGAACAGGCTCTTTTGAGAAATCATTACACTAGTTTTTCCTCTCATTTCCTTTCCTTTCAGGTAATTTAATGTTATTTAGTATAATATATGCAAATGTCTACCAAAGTGAAACTTTCAACTAACTTAGGCATGGTAATGAATTCAGACAAAAAGGGTAATAAAGGTAAGAGTTTACCTTCCCAATCCTGCAACACAATGCACTGCAACACAGCAACCTGGCTCTTCACGAAATTTGGTTTTTAACAGGTTTAACCAATCATCTACTATCTGATTAGGGGGTGGAGCTCCATCATCAAATGGCCAATCCTGAAAAGAAATGACCTTTTACATTAAATTGATATTTTCTCCATGATTAACATCCTAATACAGAATACCTGCACACAGTACACACGGCAGGCCTAACTGAACTAACTGCACTATATATACCTATTGTTAACACAATTCTGATCATTGCTGTAAAATGATCCAGGATTGAAATTAAAGTTTGCCAAATAAATTACCCTTCTCAATGCAGTGTCGCACACATCTGAATTTACAAAAACTTACAGAAATCTCTATCAGAGTCATAAGAGCTAGTGTTCTCCCAAAAATGATATCTGAATAGAGTAGTAATTAGACATAATAGACAAAACTGTAATTAAAGCCAAGACAAAGTAACAGAGGACACAGCACATGTCAACATGATTTAAAAGTCCACTCTGGCAAAGCATACCAACTGGTGTCTCATTGGTCTCTACAGATAATTGAAGATTATAATTCAAGATAACTAAGTTATGACATCTTTAGAGAAAGGTTATCTGATAAGAAATCTCCAATAGTTAGTAAATCATAACAGAAACAAACTACCATCTTTGTGCTTATTAAAAGGCAAGCAGTGAGTATTTTTAAAGTGCTTACTAAATTATATATGTCCCCATTTAACAAGGACAGGGCTGCATGACAGGGTCCTGGGCAAATGGAGACCATTTTGTCAAGTATCCCTTTCTCTTTCTGTATTCACCTATTTGGGCTATCTTTCAATTAAGACTAATCCCACGAGCATTCACAGTATAGGCAGGGGTTTATCTTCCTCACTACTTAGCAAGAGGTCCTAAGAAACCAACACAAATGGGGAGTGGAGGAGGGGGACTGGGGGCTGACATTTTACAAGCCTTCCCTCCTGCCATCTAAGCTTCAAAGATAGAAATGCAAAAACACTGTTAGGAATTTTTTTAAAAACATAAGGCTATTCTAATGAGATTGGATAAGGACACTTTAAGATATTAGGGGAGGAAAAAGAGAAAAGTGACAGAGCATTAAATTGATTCTGCATTCATTATTGGCACCACTAGAACACTTCATGTAGCCCATTAGCCAAAACAGTACATGATTGAGTTGACAACTACGCCCCATAATTAAAGGACTGTGTTATTATAAATGTCACTAGAGAGTTTAACTGTAAATAGCAATAAAACCAGTACCTTAGTCAAGAGCTTACTTCCTCTAATACTCCCTAAAATGCACCTAGTTAAGAAACAATATAAAACATGCTTCACTTACTCATATAAGTAGTGTCTATTTTTAAAAAAATCATTAATCATTTAGAAACATCTGAACCTCAAATTGATACAGCTAAAACCACCATTAGTCTATTCCAATGTGTGTCTGGTTTGCAAGAGCATTCAGAGGACTGACAGGCCTTATTTGGGGATATCCTCTTACCATGAAATGTTCCAAAACCCTCCTCACCTAGCAAAATTAGATTAACTCTTAAAATCTCTGTCTGGGAAAAGGAAATTCCAAGCTTAAGGCTAAATGCCCTTGTTTTTTCAAGTGTAAGTTAAACCTTTCATTTTATCTGATCATAGCTATTTATTTATTTGTTTGTTTGTTTGTTTTTAATGACTTATTTTCCTCTGGGTAGATACCCAGTAATGGGATTGCTGGATCAAATGATAGTTCTACTTTTAGTTCTTTAAGGAATCTCCACGCTGTTTTCTATAGTGGTTGTACTAGTTTACATTCCCACCAGCAGTGTACAAGTGTTCCCTTTTCACCACATCCCTGACAACATCTATTTTTTTTTTTAATTTTTTGATTACGGCCATTCTTACAGGAGTAAGGTGGTATCATATTGTGCTTTTGATTTGCATTTCCCAGATCACAGCTATTTAAAACAAAACAAAAACCTAAATTTAAAGGCCTGGAATAAATCTTAGGCCTACCATTATCTTCCTCAAACTAGTTCAAGTTCTTTAGTTCATTTCTATTTCACAAAGATGTTTACCAACATTACTGACTCAAACAGACTATGGTCAATCCAGTCATTTTCTCACTCTGCCATCTGTCAAAACAAGTTGATTTTTGCTCACTAGAGAACATATTCATAATGCAGCAAAATAAACTTGTATGCAGCTTATTTTCGGAAGTTTAAATTTTATTACTACTTTTTAAACACAGGGCTGCATTTGACATGTTTACACTCATTCCCAGTGATTTCCAGCAGTGGACAGTAAAGTCATTTAGAAATTTGACTGCAAGCAAATTATTACCATGCCAAACTATTAAAACACATTATTGACTGATTGACTGACAAGGTCTCTGTCACCCAAGCTGGAGCACAGCAGCACAATCATGGCTCACTGCAGCCTTGACCTCTCGGGTTCAGGTGATCCTCCCACCTCAACCTCCCAAGTAGCTAGGACTATAGGTGCATGCCATCACGTCCAGCTAATTTTTGTATTTTTCGGAGAGACAGGGTTTCACCATGTTGCCCCACTAGTCTTGGAACTCCTGGACTCAAGTGATCCACCTACCTTGGCCTCCCAGAGTGGTGGGAACAGGCATGAGCCACCACACAGGGCCCTAAAACACATTTTTTTAAAACACATTTGGCTATTTAGTTTTTATTTTCACCAAAATGGACATGAGGAAACTATGGATCAGATATAAGAGGACTGCCTTACCAATAGGTCATTATTCTTTTTGCATCAACTGCCTTCCCAACCACTGACCAATATAATAAAGACTACAGAACTACCTCTCAATAAGAAGCAGGAACATAACCTTAAACCAGTATCTTCCTTGTTACGTTCTTCCTAACTACTTATAAAATCTCCAGTTCTCTTCCTACTACATAACCTTCCCACAATCAAACCAACAGCTCAAAGACATCTAAAATTACAAGATCATTTCATTACGTGCTCCTAAAAGCTGCTCCTACAACTTAGACAACTACTTAGGGAAGAAAGAATAAAATGTTAACTAATCTGATGCTCCCATTTGCTATAAGGAAACAGCCTATTTTGATGCTAAAAAGGAACTTAATTTAAAATAATTCCAATCACTTTGTGCTCAAATTGAGCTAGACAAAAAATCTAATCATACTAAAGCTCCTCAGAAACCTAACAAAAAGTATCAGAAACTATGCTGATTACTCTGGAGGAGGATGCCTTCTACCTCTCCTCATCCTCTTATCCCACCTTTTTGCCTCCTACAAGTTATCCACAAAATATTAAGTAACTAATCTTGTACTTGCAAAGTGGCAGAGTTCCATATGGACTTAAGAATGTCTGATGGAAATTACTTTCATTATATTCAAATTAGTAGCCTAGAAACAAAAGCTAAATATTGTATTAATTTCCTAAAAAATAAAACTTGCAAATTTACATGTTGTTAAAATAAGAGCACACTAAATTTTGCTTTTTATTAGTTGAAAATACTATGATTTGTAGGCTTTAAGAGCACAAATGAACAAAACTGCCAATTTGTTAATCCAAAAGAATTTGAAAGATTGCTATCAATAATGTATTTTCCACTACAACCTTAAAAAAATCCAAAAGTATTACTGCCAGGGTTTTTTTGTTTTTGTTTTTGAGACAAGGTCTTACTCTCATCCAGGCTGGAGTGCAGTGGCATAATCAAGGCTCACTGCAACCTTGACCTCCCAGGCTCAGGCGATCCTCTCACTTCAGCCTCCCAAGTAGCTGGGACTACAAATGTGTGCCACCGTGCCCACCTAATACCAAGTTTTTAATTTTTTTTTTTTTTTTTTTTTTGAGACGGGGTTTCCCTCTGTCACCCAGGCTGGAATGTGGTGGTGTGGCCACAGCTCACTGCAGTCTCAACCACCTGGGCTCAAGTGATTCCCTCACCTCAAAAACCCAAGTAGCTGGGACCACAGGTGTGCACCAACATGCCCCACCAGTTTTTTAATTATCTGTACAGATGAGATCTCGCCACATTGCCCAGGCTGGTCTTGAACTCCTGGGTTCAAGTGATCTTCCCACAATATTGGGATTATAGGTGTGAGCCAGTGCACCTGGCCTAGTTTTATAAATATTTATGTTTGAAAGATACAACTTGTTTTGAAAAATTTAAATACTACACACTCACTAGAACGTGGATTCCTTCTTTTTCAACTGGAGCTTTATCATATGTAGCATCACAAACTCGAACCAAAGTCGTCACTCCATACTTCTTAAGTTCCTTTAAAAAAAAAAAAAATTATAATGGAACTTGTTTTTGAAACCTACAGCCAAAAATGTAGAAATGTACTATTATAGGCCGGGCGGGGTGGTTCACGCCTATAATCCCAGCACTTTGGGAGGCCTGAGGCGGGCATATCACAAGGTAAGGAGTTCGAGACCAGCCTGACCAACATAGTGAAACCCCGTCTCTATTAAAAATACAAAGATCAGCTGAGTGTGGTGGTGCGGGCCTGTAATCCCAGCTACTCAGGAGGCTGAGGCAGGAGAATCGCTTGAACCCAGGAGGCAGATATTGCAGTGAGCCGAGATCGTGCCACTGCACTCCAGCCTGGGCGACAGAGCGAGACTCCGTCTCCAAAAAAAAAAAAAAAAAAAAAAAAAAAGAAATCTACTATTATAAATTAAAACAATGAGATATCATTTTTAGACAAAGATCAGAATTGTTCTCACTGTGGTTATATATTCAATGGACACTCATGAAATCTCAGTGGCAGTGTGAGACTCACCTTTCTAAAGGGCAGTTTGGTAGCATAACGTGAAAACTTACACAAAAGTTCACATACACTGCAACCTAAAAATTCTACTTCTGGGAGTTTATACAAAAGAAATAATTAAAGACATATACAAATATTTAGGTAACAGCACATTCACCACAAACTGGAATGGTGAAAAATTAGAAACCACATTAATGGTCCAAAAATAAGGGAATGATTAAAGAAGTATGGCACATCCATATAGTGAACACTATGACAGCTATAAAAACAATACCAAGGAAGATGGGGAAAGATTTTAAAAAATATATAGTGTGATCCTATCTGTATGTGTATTTATGAATACACACAGATATATGCAGAGAAAAACATCTAGAAGCCAGTTATTAACAATTAAATGTTGTTAAATTCTTTTTGCTTATCTGTATCTTTATATTTTTATGAAATAAACATGCTTTTTTTAAAGAAATAAAATTCTGAAATTAAGAAAAAAAGTGGTATATTAAAAAGACAGCTAATGCAGTTATAGCCAGAAGCCTTGCTCCTTTAAAACTCTCCCTACGGTGAATCCCTAACCCAGTGACTACCTATCTTCAAGGGGCTACCAATATCTTTTTTATAGTTGCAGGAGGACAGTGGCCTGTGCCACTTCTGGAGACTATGGCCAAGGAATCCACAGGTTGAAAATAGTACCACATAATTCAGCCAGGCTTAAAGGTGACTGAACAATCTGAGGGCATACAGGCGTAGAATCAACTTGTACGCTGTGTATACAAAGTTAAGAAGCTCAGGGAATTATAAGTATAAATAAGCAGGCACAGTGATATCCTATAAGAAGGGTCCATCATTTAGTTATCTAAAGTGTAAAATTATTTTAATTGCTAAAGGACTTCATTTTTCACAAAAAGGCCTTCTTATAATACAGACTCAAGAAAGGTAGAAGTATTGTCAGGAATTTTAAAAATGTTTCAAAATACAAATAAAATCCCATTAAAATAAACTCTGTAATAGCCATTCATTGAAAAGTTGCGATAAAATTTTTTATGGTATTTGTGACCTTAAGCAAGTCAAATCCTCTTTTGGTCTCAGTTTTCCCATCTATAAAATGAAAATCACTAAGAGTTCACCCACCTTTCTAACTCTACTCCATAAATACAGCAAGAAAAATCATTTAAACTCAACAACCCAAGAATGATTAAAAAGCTTATGTTCTGGTCAGGCACAGTGGCTCACGCCTGTAATCCCAGCATTTTGGGAGGCCGAGGAAGGCGGATCACGAGGTCAAGAGATCAAGACCATCCTGGCCAACACGGTGAAACTTCGTCTCTACTAAAAATACAAAAATTAGCTGGGTGTGGTGGCGCGCGCCTGTAGTCCCAGCTACTTGGGAGCTGAGGCAGGAGAATCGCTTAAACCTGGGAGGTGCAGGTTGCAGTGAGCCAAGATCGTGCCACTGCACTCCGTCTCAAAAAAAAAAAAAAAAAAAAGGGCTGGGCACGGTGGCTCATGCCTGTAATCCCAGCACTTTGGGAGGCCGAGGTGACAGATCACAAGGTCAGGAGATCAAGACCATCCTGGCTAACATGGTGAAATCCCGTCTCTACTAGAAATACAAAAAATTAGCCGGGAGTGGTGGCAGGTGCCTGTAGTCCCAGCTATCAGGGAGGCTGAGGCAGGAGAATGGCGTGAACCCGGGAGGGGGAACTTGCAGTGAGCCGAGATAGTGCCACTGCACTCCAGCCTGGCGAAGAGCGAGACTCCATCTCCCAAAAAAAAAAAAAAACTTATGTTCAAATGCTTGCTCAAAGAAGTACAAAGAGTTTTTTCTCCTACCAATAGAAAAAATATTAAGGATCTGACATAAAAATACTACCTCTACCACCTTTCCTTCACCCAAGTTTCTGGACCCTTGTATACGATTATTACAACGAAGTAGTCTGGGGGTGCCTTTTCATCAAAGGTGGTTAGAATATCTGAAGTACATACAGAATGGTTTTTAGTGTCAGACACCTAGGCAAGTACATTAGTTCCACCACATACTATGTGCCATTAGGCAAATTACTAAATGGCTCTGAACCTGTTTCCTCATTGGTAAGAGGGAAATAATGGTAGCTACACCTCATAGGGTTTTTGTATTTGTGACCTTAAGCACAAACACTGCTCGTTGCATAATGTGTAACATTGTTTGTTATAATGCTAAGTGCATATCGTGGTCAATAAATGTTAATTATCATTACTGAATGTTTGACCAAAAAAACCTGTCAATAAATGTAGAAAGAACACAGAGAAAACAGTACTAGATATCTCTACAGTCCCCAAATTTCACAAAATGTTCTTGAAAAAATCTGCTGTAACTAACCCAACCCAATTCAAACCAGGATTGGCAGGATGACTCCAAATACAGAATAAATGGCTTTGTGCTAAGAGAATTTTTTAATGGGATTTTACCTAGAAATCAATCCAAAAAGTAGACCATGCCACAATCTTACCTCTGTGAACTTGTTGAGAGTAGCATTGGTAGGGTTGTGAGTTATCAGAAAACGCATGTTCTCATAGGAGATCTCCACAGGGGCTGGACGGTTCATTATGGCAAATAAAAAGTGTGAGCGTGCGTGTGAGTGTGATGGGGAAAGTGAAAAAAAAAAATCAATAAATCTTGAAATGTTTCACAGCAGAAAACATTAAAAAGACCACTAAAATGCCTATTATCAATCAGTGTTTTCTCTATTCAACTTGTTTATTCCTTATGAAGCTTCTCTCTTCAAGATAAGCAAAGTATTTAGAATCCACTTGAATCCAAATTCAATTTGGGCCTCAATTTCTGCAGATGGATACCTTCGGACTCCAAAAAATCCAACTACATACAAAACTTAAGCAGCCTTTACTACATTTAGGCACTAGTGAGACAAGTTAAAAGTGTAGGTCACTTTCCACTTGTTTACTTGATGCTTAATTTTACTGGAGTCATTAAAAGAAATATGCTTGCAATTAAAAAAAAAAAAAGCCAACTATTTCTGAGGCCAGTCTCGGTGTCCAGGAGTCTTCAAGGCAATGTTAATTATGGCACATAGAACCTCCAAGCTCACTTGTCAGCGAAAATGCTGTGCTGAGCCTGGCAGAAGTCTGCCCTCACACTCAGAATCGCCATAAATGTGCAACGTATATTCCAACGAAAAACCTGGAGAAGAAAAGAATAAGTAAAATGAACTAGAGGCTGATGGCACAGTAAACACAAATGCCTGAAGTCAAAATACATTCTTTATAAGCCCAAAGCGATGTGAAATGTCACCAATTATACGTTATTACCATCTATGAAGAATTGGATAAAGGGGTATTATGAAGAGTTTTAAAAATCAGAGACTCGAGCCGGGTGTGGTGGCTGATGCCTGTAATCCTAGCACTTTGGGAGGCTGAGGCAGGCAGATCACCTGAGGTCGGGAGTTTGAGACCAGCCTGATCAACATGGAGAAACCCCGTCGCTACTAAAAATACACAATTAGCCAGGTGTGGTGGTGCATGCCTGTAATCCCAGCTACTCAGGAAGCTGAGGCAGGAGAATCGCTTGAACCCGGGAGGTAGAGGTTGTGATGAGCCAAGATGGCACCATTGCACTCCAGCCTGGGCAACAAGAGCAAAACTCTGCCTCAAAAAAAAAAAAAAAAAAAAAAAATCAGAGACTTGAGCCAGGTGTGGTGGCTGATGCCTGTAATCCTAGCACTTTGGGAGGCTGAGGCGGGCAGATCACCTGAGGTCGGGAGTTCAAGACCAGCCTGGCCAACATGGAGAAACCCCGTCTCTACTAAAAATACAAAATTAGCCAGGCATGGTGGCGCATGCCTGTAATCCCAGCTACTTGGGAGGCTGAGGCAGGAGAATTGCTTGAACCTGGGAGGTGGAGGTTGCAGTGAGCTGAGATTGTGCCACTGCACTCCAGTCTGGACAATGAGAACAAAACTCTGTCTCAAAAAACAAAAAAACAAAAAAAATCAGAGACTCGATTACTTTTAACTCAAATAATTTTTAAATGATTACTAGATACTTAAAACTTCCATGAACTTTTTTTTTTTTTTTTTTTGAGACGGAGCCTTGCTCTGTCACCCAGGCTGAAGTGCAATGGCGAGATCTCAGCTCACTGCAACCTCCGCCCCCCAGGTTCAAGCTATTTTCCTGCCTCAGCCTCCCAAGTAGCTGGGATTACAGGTGCCCACCACCACACCTGGCTAATTTTTGTATTTTTGGTAGAGACGGGGCTTCACCACGTTGACCAGGCTCATCTCGAACTCCTGACCTCAGGTGATTCGCTTGCCTAGGCCTCCCAAAGTGCTGGGATTACAGGCGTGAACTACTGCGCCTGGCCCATGAACTCTTCATAAACTTCACAAAGATCTCCTTATTTTTCTGCTTTGATGGTTAGGTCCTTCACATATACTCTTTGGTTAAAATAAGGTGTACCTATAAATGGGTAGAGGATATTAATCAAAATTTCACTTTGAGGATTTTATTCTTTCTATCCAAAGTATATGTGTTGGCCCTCAATGATGAGACTAACTCATAAGGCACTCTCAAAAAATCCTGTGATCCAACACTGTACTGACAGTACTTTCCTATATGATACTGTAATGTTTCACACAATGCAGTGGACATAACCAACTTGTTACGTAAATAAAGAATTGATTTTTTAAAAATCATTTCCCCTTTTCCTCACAAGTCTTGAGTAGTTGTTACAACATATAAGGAATGAGGAAAGAAGATCAGAAAAATGAAGTGACTTGCCTAACATCACACAATGGAAGTTTTTAACTGAGCCCAAATTCAAACCCAAGTCTTCTGTTAGTCCCGTTTTTTCCAATGTACCACAAATGCCTCCTGACTCAACTAATGTATAAACCTCATCCTCTCCTTTCTATTTCAGTTTACCTTTTTATTATTTGTCACATAATAATTGCCTCAAGAATACAAAATTATTTGAAGGTCACTGATTCACACACACTTCTCCCCAAACATTAATCCCTACCAAAAAAACAAAGCAAGAAGTGACAGAATTTTTATTATTATTTTTAGGCCTGCTGCTTTGAAACACAGTAATCTTTACAGCTGGCTCAGTCAGAGAACATCAACATAATCATAAATTCCTCTGGAAAAAGGGACAAAGCTTAAGTTCTTTCACTTGCCTTTTCCCTAAGTTACCAATAAAGGCTTATTTAGAAGTCTCTAAAAAATAGCTGTAACCAGACAGAAATAGGTATGAAAGATAATGACTACGGAACCATTTTCAGGAAGAAACTGAAATATATAGGTAAGTAGCTAGGCCTACAAAGCTTCAACACTATTCATCTATCCTCAAGCTTTTTTTATGATACTCTTATGGCATTTTATTGTGTAAATTGCATACTTGTGATTATATAACCACTGACACAAACATAAAACTAAAATAATATAAAAGACACAAATGAAATTCAAAATGGCATTCTAAGAACTTCAATAATACTACAGCAGAATGAGTTACTCGCTACAGTAAAAACACAAAATGTCTACCCTCAAAACTAAAAACAAAAATACATTCCATCGCTCTTCCTACCTCAAAATTCTAACTGTAACCCCAAAACATAGCCACCTTAGATTACAGAGGAAAACATTTCATAAAGTACTCCTTGTACAGTCAAGAAATTTTAGAACCAACAGAAACATCAACTACCCTGACCTTTTAAAAAATAAAAAAGTTGGCCGGGCGTGATGGCTCACGCCTGTATCTCAGCACTTTGGTAGGCCAAGGCAGGCAGATCACCTGAGGTCAGGAGTTCAAGACCAGCCTGATCAACATGGAGAAACCCCATCTCTACTAAAAATACAAAATTAGTTGGGCGTGGTGGCACATGCCTGTATTCCCACCTACTCGGGAGGCTGAGGCAGGAGAATTGCTTGAACCTGGGAGACAGAGGTTGCAGGGAGCCAAGATTGTGCCACTGCACTCCAGCCTGGGCAACAAGAGAGAAACTCTGTCAAAAAAAAAATTTAAAACAAAGTTTGGGGCTCAGAGAGGTTAAAATGGCTTAAGTATGATCGCACTGCTAACTGGTAGCAGCTTAAGAACAAAAACCCAGGTTTGTTTCTTTCTTTCTTTCTTTCTTTCTTTCTTTCTTTCTTTCTTTCTTTCTTTTATTTATTTTGAGACAGGTTTTCACTCTGTCACCCAGGCTGAGTGCAGTGGCGCGATCATGGCTCACCGCAGCCTCAACCTCCTGTCTCAAGCGATCCTCCCACCTCAGGCTCCTGAGGAGCTGGGAACACAGGTGCACACCACCAGGCTAATTTTTGATTTTCTGTAGCAACAAGGTTTCACTATGCTGCCCAGGCTGATCTCGAATTCCTGGATGAAAACCAACCTCCTGCCTCGGCCTCCCAAAGTCTTGGGATTACAGGCATGAGTCACCGTGCCCGGCCCAAATACTTTTTATCTTTTTTTTTTTTTGAGAGAGAGTCTTACTCTGTTGCCCAGGCTGGAGTTAAGTGGCACAATCTCAGCTCACTGCAACCTCCGCCTCCTGGGTTCAAGCAATTCTCCTGCCTCAGCCTCCCAAGTAGCTGTGATTACAGGCATATTTTTGTATTTTTAGTAGAGACAGGGTTTCACCAAAGGCCAGGCTGGTCTTGAAGGCCTGACCTCGTGATCTGCCCACCTTGGCCTCCCAAAGTGCTGGGATTACAGACGTGAGCCACCACACCCAGCCTCTTCTTTTCTTTTCAGAGACAGGGTCTTGCTCTATCGCCCAGGCTGGAATGCAGTGGTGCAATCATAGCTCACGGCAACCTCAAACTTCTGGGCACAAGTGATCCTTCTGCCTCAACCTCTTTTTTTTTTTTTTTTTTTTTTTGAGACGGAGTCTTGCTCTGTCGCCCAGGCTGGAGTGCAGTGGCGCGATCTCGGCTCACTGCAAGCTCCGCCTCCCGGGTTCACGCCATTCTCCTGCCTCAGCCTCCCGAGTAGCTGGGACTACAGGCGCCCGCTACCACGCCCGGCTAATTTTTTGTATTTTTAGTAGAGACGGGGTTTCACCGTGTTAGCCAGGATGGTCTCGATCTCCTGACCTCGTGATCCGCCCGCCTCGGCCTCCCAAAGTGCTGGGATTACAGGCGTGAGCCACCGCGCCCAGCCTGCCTCAACCTCTTGAGTAGCTGGGACTACAGGTGCATGCCACTGCGCCCAGCTAATATTTTTAAAGTATTTTTGGAGAGACGGGGGCCTTGCTATGTTGCCCAGGCTGGTCTAAAACTCCTGGGCTCAAGCGATCCTCCAGCTTTGGCCTCCTAAAGCACAGGGATTACAGGCCTCGTGAGCCACTAAGTCCAGCCCCACATATTTTTCAAGTTGCAATCTTCCATACAAGTATAATTTTTTTTCCAAATATCTGCTTGGATGTTCATCTCCAACTCTGCGACCTTAAAATAAGGTGGGAGACTGGGTGGAGTTTATTAAAGTAACTACTCAAAGAACAATAGTTTGCATGCAATGCAGAGCAAAACACAAGGAAATTCTAACCTATTTGAATCCCTTTGGTTCAATGACGTTATCACTGCAAATGTGTGTCAGCTGAGTAAAGGCACTGAAAGACCTGCATTGTAGTGACAGCCAGGCTTAAAGGCTACAGCTCCAGCATTAAGTTTTCTACCTAGTCTCCAGTGTGTGTCTGCTCAGCAAACAGAACAAGCTTTATCCCATCTTACTCTCCCAACCTCATTTTGGAAAGACCATTTCCAGGAATAAAGATAATTCATTATTAAGATTTTCAATTCTTAATACTGAGAACCCAGCAAAGGAATTTCTGCCAAAAGAAACAGTATGTTCTAGCACTTTTAACAGATACATGATAAAAACAAGCTTCTGTTCCCTCCCCCTCCATCAAGAGTTCAACTACACATCAACAGTTACATTTTTGCACCTGTCAATTCAGATAAACTAATGTTAATTCCTGTGACACACTTAGGAATGCAAAGCAAACAGTGTGTAAAAAATCATAAACAACCTATCACAGCTAGAAAGTACTCAAAAGTTGCAGAACCCTATGTTTTAACATAAATTCAGTGCATGTACACCATACAGGAAAATTCTCCTAAAGTTGTCTCTCTGACATTAATTCTGCTCTATCTACTTAAATAAATTATTGTTTTAACTTACCAAGTGATGAAAAAGGCTAGTTTACTTGACATATAACAGTGGTAAATTCAAATATACACCCAAATACTCCCTCTCCATTTAATTTTATCATAAAACCTAACTTTTAAAATGTTGAATTTGGGATATTTCCATTTCCTAGGCAACATTTCCATTTTTAACAAAAGAATACAACTTCAATGAAGGATGAGAAAGGATAGTCTGTGACAGAGAAGTCCTTTTAAATTAAGAAAGGAGGGAGATAAGGGATAAAAAAAAAGAAAAAACTATCCAGAGGTTAAAAAGAAAACATCTGTATGAACTGATATGAAATGACAGCTAAAAGACACTAATAAGTAAAAAAAGGCACAGTACATGACAGTATCAACAGTGTGCTTAGAAATATGTGTGAGTACTGTATGCATTCATGCACATGGGATATCTGGAAGATTACAAAGATAAGAGATAACAGTGGTTTCCTAGGGTTGGGGCAGGGCCAGGAACACAGGACTGAAGGCTGGAGGTCAACAGCACGATTTACTACATCTTAACATATACCTTTTGAACTGTTTTAACTTTTCCCATGTACATATGGTATTACCTTTAAAAAAAATTCTAAGGTGATAAGAACCCTATAATGATTTACAATCAAACTACGTTCTTAACAGTTCTATAATCATAGGATTAGAAAGAGGCTCCAGAGGGCTAGTCCTCTGTCCCAGGCAGGTCTGTACCTACACAATTCCATAAAGTGTTTTCTTTCCTGTTAAAGAGGCTAAATGAGTAAAATTCACGTCCTGCCTTGGCAACTGTAATTCTAACTACAAATAAAGTGAATTTAGAGGCCGGGCGCCGTGGCTCACGCCTATAATCCCAGCACTTTGGGAGGCCGAGTTGGGCAGATCACGAACGAGGTCAGGAGATAAGAGACCATCCTGGCTAACACGGTGAAACCCCGTCTCCACTAAAAATACAAAAAAATTAGTCGGGTGTGGTGGTGGGCGCCTGTGGTCCCAGCTACTTGGCAGGCTGAGGCAGGAGAATGGCGTGAACCCGGGAGGCAGAGCTTGCAGTGACCCAAGATCGCACCACTGCACCCCAGCCTGGGCGACAGAGCAAGACTCCATCTCAAAAAAAAAAAAGGTGAATTTAGAAGTATAAGGGAATTTTATAAAAGCAGCCTCATTTAATTTAACCCAATTTTACCGGGCATCCTTTTAAAATTCCTATCAATTGGCGGGCACAGTGGCTCATGCCTGTAATCCCAGCACTCTGGGAGGCCACGGTGAGTGGATCACGAAGTCAGGAGATCGAAGCCATACTGGCCCATCTCTACTAAAAATACAAAAATTAGCTGGGCGTGGCGGCGCATGCCTGTAATCCCAGCTACTCGGGAGGCTGAGGCAAGAGAATCGCTTCAACCCAGGAGGCGGAGGTTGCAGTGAACTGAGATTGCGCCACTGCACTCCAGCCTGGCCACAGAGCTAGATTCCGTTTCAAAAAATTAAAAAAAAAAAAAAATATATATATATATATATATTTATCTCTCCTATCAATCCACTCACATCAGGATTTCTAAGAAATCATCCCTTTACATTTCCAAATTAAATGATACAATAAACCCTCTAATTTGGTGAGCTACGCCAGTATTCACCAAATTAAAACAGCACATTAAAATATAAAGGTACAATAAAAGAATTCTAGATTTAAGGAAATACAGTCTAAAAGCAAAGGTCTAAAAAAAACGAGTATGCATATATTTACTGCTACTTTTCTTACCAGAAATTTTACAGGAAGTAATGCAAATTTGAGTCAGCTTGGTTTCAACAATCAGTCAACATGAAAGCCTAATAATGTAATATACAACTAACACCTTGCAACATTTTTTTCCTAAAGCAAATTCCCTTCATGTCAATAGCCACTTTTATTTCCCCTTAAAATAAGTATAAAAAATCTAATCTGTCAACAGTAAAGAATTTATCCTCCTGAAGAGCTAGGCATTTTCCTCAAATTCTTTCATTAATTCAAATATTTACAGAACATGTACTATGGGTCACATACTCTTACAGGTGCAAGAGCAATAAGCAAAACAAAAATTTCTGTTGGGATGGATCTTACACTTTACTGGGCAGAAAAAAAGAAATAAAAATGTCACTGCTCTGGAGAAAAATTAGAAGTAGGGGAATTAGCAGTGCCAGAGGGAGGGGGGTTCCAATTTTAAATAAGGCTAACAGGAAAGGCCTCACTGAAAAAAGTGACTTTTTATCCAAGAGCTGAGAGTGTGAGCCAAACAGGTATTTGGGGAGCATTTTAGGCAGAGGATTAACTGCTGCAAAGGTTATGAGGTGGGGACAAGCTTAGAGTATGCTAGGAACAAGGGAACCAATGCTACTGGAACAGAGAGGACAATGGAATGAATAGAGTCAGAGAAATAAAAGAGAGCCTTATAGGCCACTAAAAGCATTTGACTTTTATTCAGAAAATGATGCCTCTCCAAATGAAGCCAATGAAGGGTTTCACTCAAGAGTGACAACTCAAAGCCATAAAAAATAATGAAATCATGTCCTTTGCAGCAACATGGATGCAGCTGGAGGCCATTATCCTAAGCGAATTAACGCAGGAACAGAAAACCAAATACCGCATGTTCTCACTTATAAGTGGGAGCTAAACACTGAGTACACATAGACTCAAAGAGGGGAACAACAGACACTGGGGACCACTTGAGGGTGGAGGGTGAGAGGAGAGTGGGGCTTGAAAAACTACTTATCAGGTACTATGCTTGCTAACTGGTGACGAGGTGACAAAATCATTTGTACGCCAAACCCGAGCGACATTCAATTTACCCACGTAACAAACCTGCACATGTACACACTGAACCTAACATAAAAGCTGAAAAAGGAGAGAAAAAAAGAGTGATAACTTAGGTTTTACAAAGGATCACTCTATCTGCTATGTGGAAACATTACAAAAATGGTAAGGGTGGAAGCAAGGAGACAAGTAGATATAATGGTAGCTTAGACCAGGGTAACAGCAGTAGGGAAGATAAGAAGGGGTCAGTTTCAAGATACACTTTGACGTGGGATTTGTCCACAGACTGGATATAGAGTTTATGAAAAACAGTCAAGGCTCTGAGTAACTACAGAACTTGTGGAGTCCAACTTAATATTCAGAGGCTATTCAGACAATAGATTGTAAAATCTTCTCAACCATCAAAGTAGTAGGGAAAGTCCTCTGTAAAATGCTACTGTACCTATTGTATTTTGACCACTTGGGGGAAAAAAGTGTCTGAAAACTTGTAAACTAAAAAACCTCACCTTTAATTAGTAAAGCGTTTAATTAGTAAACACGCATCTTCTGATTAACTGGTCTCAAACTGAAAATTTATTCATCTCTTATAACCTACTCCCAAATCAAGTAGATAGAACAACAGTTCTATCTATCCTCTGCACTACCTACCTTTGTTTATCCCTCTACTGTTCCATTTATCAAACTAAAATAATCTAGTCCTTGAAACTTAGATTTAAATTAATATTATATTATATATAACAAATATATATTATAACATATATTTATATATTATAATATATAAATATAATAATATAATATATAGCATAATATAATTATATACAATATAATATTAATATTAATATCCCTCCTTACCCACAATAACTACAGTCCTAGGAAGGTGATAAAGAGGTATCAATTCAATTCTACACAAATAAGGATCCAAAATGTCAGTGAATAAGCCAAAAATAAGATGCTTTTTTTACTGTTAAAAAAAATTTTTTGGCCGGGCGCGATGGCTTACGCCTGTAATCCCAGCACTTTGGAAGGCCAAGATGGGCGGATCACCTGAGGTCAGGAGTTCAAGACCAGCCTGGCCAACATGGCAAAACCCTGTCTCTACCAAAAATACAAAAACTAGCCAGGTATTGTGGCGCATGGCTGTAGTCCCAGCTCAGGTGGCTGAAGCAGGAGAATTGCTTGAACCTGGGAGGCGGAAGTTGCAGTGAGCCAAGATCGTGCCACTGTACTCCAGCCTGGGTGACAGAGTGAAACTCTGTCTCAAAAAAAAAAAAAAAAAAAAAAAATTTCATAGTTACTCCCTTGGTTATTCCCACTTTTCCACTTCCTCATTTAAGGAGGGAACTTGAGACTCAAGTCCCAGTACAGAAATCAATAATCAGTTCTATAAAAAGAAATCATGACCTTGATGGTGGGAAAATGTCTTAACATTTCAAAACCAGTAGAAGATACATGGCCAGCCACTCAGAAAGATAAGGGAAGCAATTAGTCAACAATCGCACCTGCTTCTGAGAACAGTGACAGTTATTCACTGAAGTCCTGTGGGCCCTGTTCCCACCAAAATGAAAAGGGAGTGGTTTTAGATGTGCATGTACCCCGGTGATTAACGGTTGTCCTTTTCTAGTAATTTCTACCTCTACAAATAACTATAAGACAAAAATTGCATTAAATATTTTCAGGCCACACTTAAAAATATTTACTTTACAATTTTGTACTCCATTTTTCCTCTAAAGATTTCCAATTCTCAAAATGAATCTCTTATCTAAAATTGGTATTTTTCCTTTCATAAATAAAATTTAAATGCAGGTTAACAGCACTATGGCCAACGCCGACTTTCTCTTTAAAAAGTATTGGAATAGCACTGGTAATAACATTAAAAAATCCTAACAGCACAATCCTTATATTGAGTATTAATCTAATTGTTTTCAGTTAATCTTTTAAAAATTACATTAAATAGTTTTACTAAATGGATTCTATTCATCCATACTTTTGTGACAAAAGTATCATGGCTATCTTTTCTATGGGGTTTATGTTTAAAGACTTCAGTTTATGTGCATTTTAAGACTCCCAAGCCCCTTTATTATAAAGTTTAAGCACATTCTTTTCCTAAATAACTTTGGTAACCTTCTTAAGAATAGGAACTATCTCCAATTCAGTTGCTTCCCCAGAAAGTTAAATCCTAACATTTGTTTTATTTCCTCCTCCCATCCTTCCTTCTTTAATCTCAAAAGGCTAATTTTTCCAGAGAACAATTTAAGTCTTAATCATTTTAATTTAGTTTCCAACATCACTGTATGTACATTAACCCAAGAACCATTGAATCAATAATTTCATTAATAAATAATTTAAGATTCTGAACTTCAATTGTAATAAAGCAAATTCAGTAGTAAAAATCCAAAAGAACACCTGGAGTCAGCCTGTCAACACCACATTGAAATGTTTTCTGAGCTATATCAGGACAGTTAAAATGGCTGTAACAGCTGCAAGTTCCCTGAGGTTGCAAAATAGATACTTGGGAAAGGTTATTTGAATCACCTTTCAAAATAACCTACAGCACAGGAGTAGCATGCAAAGCAAAAACTTTCCGGCTACTGTTCACATTACCTAAAATATACCATCTCGGGCCGGGCGTGGTGGCTCACGCCTGTAATCCCAGCACTTTGGGAGGCCAAGGCGGGCGGATCACGAGGTCAGCAGATCGAGACCATCCTGGCTAACACGGTGAAACCCCGTCTCTACTAAAAATACAAAAAATTAGCCGGGCGAGGTGGCGGGCGCCTGTAGTTCCAGCTACTAGGGAGGCTGAGGCAGGAGAATGGCGTGAACCCCGGGGGGGCGGAACCTGCAGTGAGCCGAGATTGTGCCACTGCACTCCAACCTGGGCGACAGTGAGACTCCATCTCAAAAAAAAAATAAAAAATACCATATCTCAGAACTTAGTAGTTTATGGGTCAACTTAACTCTTTTCATTTCCCCATTTTGTCAAATGTATTGAGCGTATTTAAAGGTCCTGTTCCAGTATTAATCCCCAAAGAGAGTGAGGGAAACTCTCTATGGACAAGACACAGAATAAAAACATCCCAAAATACATCTTGTCAACATAAATTATTTTGTTTGAGCCCCAGAAATGTTTCTGCTGTTCAGGCACTCTGATCCAAGTTTCCCCTATAACTGGGTAAGTTACACTTCACTTCCTCTCCTAAACTTGCTTTTTATAAATTACATTATAGTTCACAGACATATGTTTGTGTACTGAGTACAATACAAGATAAACAGTCAAGAATCCAAATCATTCTATTTGAAGCTGCTGGTGGCCTTTTAAAATGTACTGTCTATCCACTAATTGTCCAATAATGGCATCCTTTCACAAAACACAGTAACATTACGATCTTTAAAAACCACACAGTGAAAGTAAATATTTCATACTACATATTAACGTGAAATAAAAATGGTGAAATAACTCTATAATGCCATGTCAAGAAGTTATTCTTTACTCACTAGCTCAGCTCAACATGGATTCACCTTCCTTTTCTTCCCAATTAAAGAATGCAAAATTCAATCTTTCTCGTCCTCTTCCTCCAAATGTTTACTGAGATAAGGGACAATATGTCACCTCCCAATTATACCAAAATGCAGCACAGCCAATCTTCAAACAAGCATTTGCAGAGACGTGTGCACATCATACAAACACTATCCAGGATCAAGCTCCTAGAAGAATCAACGTGGGTGAAAAATGCTTGATTGGTATTAAGTTTTCATATTACCACCACAAATTTTAAAGATACAAAGTAAGCGTGAGAAGAATGGAGTAGGATTAAGACTTCTGAAGAAAGGTAAAACTTTTATAATAGAAAACTGGTAGAAACAGTGAAGGAACCATGGTAGTGTGACTTGAGAAAGGTGCTTAGTCTTTGGTTAGATAACTCTGGAGAAGCCTTGACCGGGCTGAGAATTTCAGACCAATTCAAATGCAATAAAAGCTCTTAGGAATTTCAAAGCAGAGTAGTGGTAAGAGAGCAACTCTTTGCTCACTGAGAAAAAGAGCAAATATTGCCATATTTATGGGCCTCCCCTGATCTACTGAGCAAGCAGCTCCGTAATTACCAAAAAGCTTAACAAAAATTTTCTTTCAACTTACTAAATCATAGTCAACAGATAACGAGTTTAACTAAATTCTACCTGTTGATGACCTCCAAATGAAGATCCAATCTAAGAAAACAATTGAGAATATAGCCTGTGACTTATATTTAAAGTACTTTTCACCCAGAAAGACCCAATTTGCATAATTTAAACTAATCACCAAAGGAAACTTGTTTGTAACCACACATGTGGAATGAAAATAATGTCACTAGAATCTATTGTTTCTCCATCATATCCTTCTCTATTTGCTGACAAATCCTGCTGGTGACTCATATCCTTCTGCACTAACCAGTCACTCCATCCCCTAATGAAAGGCTTTTCACCAATAATGGAAAATACAATACACAACAATTTGTTCTGCTACTAAAAACAACAAATATCAACATTTGTATATAAATCCAATTTACAAATACTGTGGTGATACAACCTAGTGAATGTTTCCTGTAAAACGGTGGGGAAAATAAAAAGTTGGTCAAATTTAAACAAAAACTAAAGGACAACTGGAAGAAAACAGACCTGATTGTGAATTTGAATTCCTGTCAAACAATACATTAGTTAACAGCCAACATATCTGGCCACTGCAGAAATAAAAATATAAAGTAATTTATCTGATCTGCTAAAACAAATATATCATGTGTACATTTTATGCCAAAAGAATTAATGTCTTGAGAAGACTAAAAGTTCAAATAAAAAATACTATGAGAGGAATTAAATGCACCACTTCTCTAAAGGTAAAGACTGTTCTAAATGTTCAAAATATTTTTTCAAACCAGGCTCAACTAGCAAAGAAAGGGTCACAAAAAAGCCTAATCTTAAAATTCTCAAGAATTTAAAAAGCCAACATTGTGTAAGGTAAATTTATATTCAAATGATGAAATTTAGTTTAGGCCACTTAAAATGAAGTGGATGCTGTGTTAACATAACCTGTGGGCAAGAAAATCAGTATAGGCAAACAAAAACCGTCTACATTCAAGTCACATAAAAAATATCTGTATAATCTGTCAACTCCTCACAGTCATTTTTCTGGGAAAGATTTCTGTGTCCTGTAAATCTACACTGACTGAACAAACAGTGCAGGAAACGAGTCATTCTCTCACCTAAGTCCTGGTAACTCCACAATGGGGAACTGTGGAAAGCAGACAGCTAGTATTGCTGTGCAGCTTCTTTCATGGAGGTGCTAGGGTAGTGACAGTTTCTGGTTGAGCCTAGACCTCTACCACTCCAAAGAGCAAAAAGATTTTCACACAATATGCACTTCAGCTCTACACTAAGCAACCTAAAAGGCTTCAAGTGCCAAGACAGTGGCCAGGGAGTCAAGGGAGCCCATAGAATGAGGTTCAGCCAATAAAACAAAGGATAATGAGAGAAAGCTAACTGACACCTCTATACGTAGTTAATAGTTCAAAAGATGAAAATGGTGAAAAGATTTTTTCTTTTTTTTTTTTGAGACAGGGTCTCCCTCTGTCTCCCAGGCTAGACTGCAGTGGCATAGTCTCGGCTCACTTCAGCCTTGACCTCCCAGGCTCCAGTGATCCTTCCACTTCAGCCTCCTGAGTAGCTGGAACTACAGGTTCATACCACTATGCCTGGCTAGTTTTTGTATTTTTTGTAGAGATGTTGTCTCTATGTTGCCCAGGCTGGTCTCGAACTCCTGGCCTCAAGTGATCCTCCCGTGTCTGCCTCCCAGAATGAGCCACTGTGCCTAGCCAAGACTTTTCTAATATTTCACAGATTAAGAGACTCAAATCACCATCTCCCAAAGTAATTATAACTGGTGGTATCCACTGTTCAACAGAGATTTAAGTACTTTAAGCCCCTAAAAGGAAAAAAAAAATTATTCACTGCTATCTATTTATTGATAATCTTTAACTTAGATTCTAAAACCTGGGATTTAATAATCAAATCCCAGTACTTTGGGAGGCTGAGGCCAGCAACTCAACGCCTGAGCTCAGGGGTTCGGGACCAGCCTGGGCAACATAGCGAAACCCTGTCTCTACTAAAAATACAAAAATTAGCTGGGCGTGGTGGCGCACGCCTATAATACCAGCTGAGGCAGGACAATCGCTTAAACCTAGGAGGTGGAGGCTGCAGTGAGCTGAGGTTGCACCACTGCACTCCAGCCTGGGCAACAGAGTAAGACTCTGTCTGGAAGAAAACAAAATAAAACAAAACCCAACAACAATCAATCTATAAATAAATTTCCTTATCTGTAAAGCTAAAAGAATACTACTTACAGGATTATTGAGTTTCAAATGAGACAATACATGATTTGGCGTAAGAAAGGAATGTGGAAACCTAAACCCTGAAAGGGTAATATTGAACTTTACCAGTACCCCAAGATCTCTACCATCACCCTATTCGATAAACATAACTAAGTCCACCATGTTAAAACTATGGATCCTGGGCCGCGCGGTGGCTCATGCCTGTAATCCCTGCACTTTGGGAGGCCGAGGCAGGTAGATCACCTGAAGTCAGGAGTTCAAGACCAGCCTGGCCAACATTATGAAACCTCATCTCCACTAAAAACACAAAAAATTAGCTGGGCGTGGTGGCGTGTGCCGGTAATCCAGCTACTCAGGAGGCTGAGGCAGGAGAATCGCTTGAACCCAGGAGGCGCAGGCTGCAGTGAGCCAAGATTGCACCACTGCACTCCAGCCTGGGCAACAAGGGCAAAACTCCGTCTTAAAAAAAACCAAAACAAACAAAAAAGACTATGGATCCTGATTCTTAAGCAAAATTTTAAAGATCCCATCTTCTATTCAACAAATATAGTTGATGGAATAGCACCCAAATAAATCAACCAAACTTAGTTTCACAAAAACTTAAGCTTCATTCTTCCAAGACCAAGAGCAACAGCTAAAAATGTATGCACCTGCTCCTCTCCATCTTATTTGTAAATACATTCGTTTTCTAGGCTTCAGTGGTTACCAACCCCCACATTACAACAAAAAGGAAAAAGTATAGTCAAATCCTGTAAAATAAATCCCTACTAAATTTCAACTTTGTGTCTGAAAATTGTAAAGTGTTCCTTAATTACTGCATAAGGAAATACTACCTTTATAGGACAAAATGAATAAAAAGTTAATTCTAAAGAAAAATAAATCCAATTTACCTTGTTTGAAACTTTTTTCAAGTCAACTATATATGGGGCTCTCATACTGTTTTTTAAAGCTATACACAAAAGTATTCAAACATTTACTCTTCCTAGTGCTACAAAGTTCAATGATGTTGTAAATGGTTTCTGCCTATAAATTTGGTTCGTTCAAATTAAATTTTACTTGACTGACTCACAGAGGGAGTGGCCTGACTTTTGCTGTTCTGAGTCAGAAAATACCCCGTTCAGCAGTTCAAAACTATTTTTCATCTATAAAGGTGTTCTAAAATGCCAGCCTTTTCCAGCTACAAAATCTGTTGCCTTAGTAGAAAGATCTTAGTGGTAATAATACTTTGAATCTGTAGTTCAATTTATAATTAACAAAGTGCTTTCACGTGTATTTTCTCACTTCTTCTGATTTAAGTGTCCCACACAGCTCAACAGAGAAACTTTGATACAGTGGTAAGTTCTAGTTCACTCTTGGCCCCAATAAATATACTCTCCTCTTTTTCCAAAAAATAAAAAACATAAGACGCTGCTGCATTTCTTTAATCAGACTTCCCTCACGCAGACATATCCCAGGTGCCTCATAAAAACTGTCTCAAAGCACACACCCCGGGGCCCCAAGAGAGTTTCAAGGCATAATCTCCTCCCACATAAAAGCCTAGCTTAGGCCCCAAAGAGCCTCCAGTCAGCATCTCCTAAATGATCCCCTTGCCTCCAGCCTTCTCCATTAGTTTCAACAGCTCTCCTAAGTACTAGCTGCTAGGCCATCACGTTGATGAGAAACCTCAATATAAGAGGAGCTACTGAGAGAGTAGTATGACGTATTGGAAAAATCAAGGGCTTTAGAGTCAAAGACCTGGATTTTTAATCCAGCACTAATTATTATCTGTATGACCTGGGACAAGTTACTTAACCTTTTGAGTTTCTGTATCTCTTCTTCTCACCACTGTAAATCCATGGGAGCTCATCGCTGTATCCCTAGTGCCTGGCAAATAGAAGTGATTCAAAATAAGCTAAATGGATGCAAATGAAGATACCACCTTTCTTGTAGTTGTGAGAATTAAATGAATATAAAAAGCACCTGTAGCACAGGAGGAAATTAATACTAATCAATTCCTTCCCTCACTGAATAGTAACAATACTATTTACTATTTCTTTCTTCTTATTTTTTTTGAGAGAGGGTCTCACTGGCTCACTGCAGCCTTGACTTCCTGGACTCACAAGATCCTCTCACCTCAGCCTCCGGGATAGCTGGAACTACAGGCACGCACTACCACGCCTAACTTTTGTATTTTCTGTAGAAATGGAGTCACCATGTTACCCAGGCTGGTCTCGAACTCCTGGGCTCAAGCGATCCTCCTGCCTCAGCCTCCCAAAGTGCTAGGATTACAGGTATGAGCCAGCTTGCCCAGCCGAAAAATATAATTTCTAACTTTTAATTACACATCAGTGATTTTGCCTGTAATTCTATTATGTTCACTATCAAAAGGACCACCCTCACGCCTGTTAATCCCAGCACTTTGGGAGGCCAAGGCAGGTGGATCACTGGAGGTCAGGAGTTCGAGACCAGCCTGGCCAACAAGGTGAAACCCCATCTCTACTAAAAATATGAAAATTAGCCGGGTGTGGTGGCACACACTTGTATTCTCAGCTACTTGGGAGGCTGAGGCGGGAAGATCATTTGAACCCGGGAAGCCTGGGCAACAAACAGAGCGAGACTCCATCTCAAAAACAAACAAAAAAAAAACAAAAGGACCATACTACTCTTTGCTTATACTGAAAGACTACCAACTTCTATCGCTTCTCGGCCTTTTGGCTAAGATCAAGTGAAAGACTACCAACTTCTAGGAGACATTATTTTTAAGATAACATCATTTTTAAGATTATATCAATGTGTAAAATCCCTATCAAGGTACTACTCTTCAAGAATCCCTACTTTTACAACACAAGAATGGGAAAAGTCCATGATAATAATTAGTCCATTCATTATGAAACTTAAAAATGCCAAGATCAGAATACCAGCAAACAACTTCTCACCATCTTCACCAATACAATGGTGTGCTGGCAAGTGATTCTGAAGCCCTGATAATGTGTCATTCTGTATCCTTAATCTCCTTTTGCACACTCAGCAAGGCATAACTTCACTCACTTCCCTCTGAAACTACTCTCTCTTACAGAGCATGACAGCAAGTACCATATTCCAACTCAGCAGTGTAATGTAGTTTGGCGACTCCGGACAGACAAACATTTGCTGAATGCCTACAGTGACACTAGAATTGCTAGTCACTGCTAATTTCTTGACAAATTCCAGGAAATAATAAACCAGACTACAGTTCAATTTACCTAACAATAAAATACTCTTCACCTGAAAAACTAGCAGTACTTTACAAAAGTTTATGCTCCTGAACACTCTACAGGCCAGAGTGTAGGATTTTGGGCAACAGACAAACTTCTTTTCGTTAGCTCTCAGGGGCCCCAGACTAGGATAGGATGGCATCATTGACAAATTTGAAAATTTACTTTGAAGTCATGAAACGTGGGAGAAAAAAATGTATAGAACAACAACAAAAAAACACATCACATCCTTTCTGGGGGAAAAAAATTAAAATCCCAGAGCCAGAAGATCATAGTGCCGCTGGAGGAGACTTATACCCCCTTTCCTCATACTTGAACCTGAAGACCCACGGACAAGATGCTCCCGGAAAGAACTCCCCAACCCAACACACCAGGGTTCACTATCGCCACACACAAAGACCAAGGGGAAGGGCCTCTAGGATGCCTGCTCACACACTGGACACACGCCGGCACACCCTACCACACTCCTGCCTCTGCCACGCACCTTCTCACCGACACACACCATGTTCTCCCCCCACACTCACCCGCTCTTTACCACACTCTCAACTCTCTCCTCCCCCATTTACTCACTCATTCTACCACCACCCCTCATGCCCACACGCTCCCCACACACCCATACCCTCCCCTGCCCTCACCCACATTCCCCCAACATCGACACTGCCTCCCGACGCGCTCCCACTCCCCCCACCTCCTCGCACGGACACTCAGCCCTGTCCCCCACTCACACGCCCTCCCTTCACCAACTCACTCTCCCCCACGCTCGCACAGCTCTCTCCCTTCCACACACACGAGCCCGCCCCTCGCTCACCCACCCTCGCTCCCCCGCCCCGGCCCGGCCCGGCCCTCCTTCCGGGGACGTGTCTCCGGCCTGCACTAATGGCTGCGGCGCCTCCCGCCCTCCCCTTCCCCGAGGCCCCCGGCGCCGGCGCGGGGGCCGCCCGGGAGGGGCGCACTCACGCTGGCGAGCTGGGGACTGGGCATTGAAGTCCGGCGGTGGCGGGAGCGAGGAGGCGCCTCTCTCCTCAGTCACCTCGGCGGCGGCGGCGGCGGCGGTAGCGGTGGCGGCGGCGGCGACGACTCCCCCCCAGCCTCGGCGCGCGACACCCGGCCCGGCCCGGCGGCGGCGGCGGCGGCGCGTCTCCACGAGTCCGTCTTGCTGCTGCTGCTGCGGCCGCCGCTGCGTCTCCTGCTGCCGCCGCTGCCTCCGCTGCCGCCGCTGCCCTGTGGCGTCACCTCGCGCCGTGCCCGGCCGCCGCTGCCGCTCCAGCCGCTCCCGGACAGACGACGGTTACAGCCCGGCCGATCGCGCCGCCACCACCACCGCTGCGCGCGCAGCCGGAACCAGCTCCCGCCGCCGCCCCTCAGGGGGCGCTGCGGGGCGCGGCGCGCAGGGCCACCGGCCCGCCCTCCGCGTTCGCTGACTGGCTGGCTGGCCGGCTCGCGGGCAGTTGGGCCCGCCCACCTGCCCCGCGGGGCGCTGACCCACTGCCCTGGGCGCCTCCCCCGCTCCTCCTCCTCGTGGTTCGTTCCGCTCCGCACTCCCGGCTACGGAAGGCGAGTCCATGTGATCGGGGAGGGAAGGCAGAACGTGGCCTGGGGAGTCGCTCGCCCACGCTGCGCCCCGCCCATCCGCACCTGGGCTGGGTCGAGGGCCTGCAGCCGAGGTGTGACCTGCAAGGTCGAAGGGTTCTTTCTCGCTACTTGGCCCTAAGGCCTCGGGTCAGATCCTGATGGGACGGGGTGGCCGCCACGTCCTGGGCTTGGGGATTTCCAACTCAGAAGTGGGAACCTGGCCAGCTCAGTTCTCGGCTGCCCTTCCTGAGGCCCCAAATGAATGGCGTGTGCATCTTCGTCGAAGATATTAATACGCCACCCCCAGCTCTGCCCACAAGACACACACCCACCCTAAGAACTGTCCCTGACAAGCCAAAATTCAGACTTTCAGGATGTAGGATCTTGGGCAAGTGATTCCAAGTATTATCAACTATTAAATGGAAATAATAATCAGCTACCTCATGGGCTCTTTCACGTATCGATAACAACGTATGAAAACGCTTGAGAAGGGCCAGGCGCGGTGGCTCATACCTGTAATCCCAGTACTTTGGGAGGCCGAGGAGGGCAGATCACAAGGTCAGGAGTTCGAGACCAGCCTGGCCAACATAGTGAAACCCTGTGTCTGCTAAAAATACAAAAATTAGCTGGGCATGGTGGCGCCCGCCCGGAAGGAGGGCCGTAATCCCAGCTACTCGGGAGGTTGAGGCAGGAGACTCACTTGAACCCGGGAGGCGGAGTTTGCAGTGAGCCGAGATCGTGCCACTGCACTCCAACCTGGGCGACAGAGTGAGACTCCGTCTCAAAAAAAAAAAAGAAAGAAAAAGAAAACGCTTGAGTTGAGAAAGTGAGAAAGAAGAGACCCTGAATTTCAAGCTTTCCGACTTAATGTCACCTTTAACGACGCAGATTATCGTAGAGATTCTCAGGTGGAAAGGTTTTTGCCTCTTGCATTTGGAAGCTAGCCAGAAATTCTTTGCCAGATCATGCGTCCTGAGTTTTGGTTTGGAAAATGTGGTCACTAGCGAGCTAGGAGGCTGGTTTGGGCCACGACCAGATGGCAAAGTGCGGCATTGGAGGCTGGCTTGGGAGGGAGATGTCTCCCCCTGGGAATTGCGGGTTGGGGAGGGTCTGTTCTTTCTGTCCACCCCTGGGAAGTCTTGCCTGCCCAGAACTGGCGCCTATATAGGAAGAAATGAAGATGCTCCCGTGGGTGCTTCTCCCCCACCTCGCCACCACATCCATGCTCATCCAGCCCTGCGGGGAGAAGCAGTGATCTGTCGTCATTAGACCTTCCCCACAAGGTAGACTTGGGGCATTGCTTCTGACCAGAAGGCTTCCATTAGCGCTTAGCAGTAAAAAGAAAGGTCTTATGACTCAGCCGCATCAAGCCACAGCACAGAGTCCAGGATGTTCACCACCAGGTGGCCCAGGAGGGGGTATTCTAGGGCAAGGCTGGCTAGCAGGGCTGTGTGGGAGTTGAGAGAGGCCTTGAGGAGCAGGAGGGGCTGCAGATCAGTAGCAAGGCCCTTAGGTGAGGAGCACAGACTGGGCTCACTTGCATTCTGTCTGCCTCCAGCAAGCAGTATTTTCTACTTCCTGGAAACATAGACTGATTTGAAAGAAAGAGCTACCACCTCTGCAAAACTTTTGCTGCGTCTGTGAGTTATTGATTCTTCCGATAAAGTTGCAAAACACCTTGTGCAATACTCTACCATAGTACTTAACATGGAATTGTAATTGCCTGTTTTCAGATTCTCCCCTGCTTAAATGGATCTATTTGGGGCAGTCTAGCAGATTGTTTGCTTGTTTGTTTTCATCTAGTAGATTGTCTGACCAAGTGAATGACCCTTCCCTCCACCTAGCTCTCCTTCTGGCCCTGAAATAAAATAATGTAATAACAACATTAACAACATAAGGATAAGAATAGTGGCTCCAATAGTAGTTACCTTTACCGCCCCCCCCCTTTTTTTTTTTTTGAGACAGAGTCTCACTCTGTCACCCAGGCTGGAGTGCAGTGGCGGGATCTCAGCTCACTGCAAGCTCCACCTCCTGGGTTTACACCATTCTCCTGCCTCAGCCTCCTGAGTAGCTGTGACTACAGGCGCCCACCGCCACGCCCAGCTAATTTTTTGTATTTTTAGTAGAGGTGGGGTTTCACTGTGTTAGCCAGGATGGTCTCGATCTCCTGACCTCATGATCTGCCCGCCTCGGCCTCCAGAAGTGCTGGGATTACAGGCGTGAGCCACCGCGCCTGGCCTTTTTTTTTTTTTTTAAGACAGGGTCTCACTTTGTCACCCCAGAGGGAATGCAGTAGTGCAAACATGGCTCACTGCAGCCTCAACCTCCTAGGCTCAAGCAATCCTCCCACCTCAGCCTCCCAAGTAGGTGGGTGGGACCATGGGCCCATGCCACCATGCCCAGCTAATTATTTTTTTATTTTTGTAGAGATGGAGGTCTTGCCATGTTGCCTAGACTGGTCTTGAACTCCTGGGCTCAAGCAACCTTCACACTTTGGCCTCCCAAAGTGTTGGGATTATAGGCATGAACCACTGCACCCAGCCATAGTTACCTTTTATTAAGCATCTACTCTTTTTCAAGTCCTGATTGAAACGTTTTAAAATGTTATCAAGGCCCGGCACAGCGGCTCATGCCTGTAATCCCAACACTTTGGGAGGTCGAGGCGGGTGGATCACCTGAGGTCAGGAGTTTGAGACCAGCCTGGCCAACATGGTGAAACCCTATCTCTACTAAAAATACAAAAATTAGCCGAGAGTGGTGGTAGGCATCTATAAGCCCAGGTACTCAGGAGGCTAAGGCAGGAGAATCACTTGAACCCAGAAGGCGGAGGTTGCAGTAAGCCAAGATCGCGCCACTTCACTCTAGCCTAGGCAACAAGAGCAAAACTCCATCTCAAAATAAATAAATAATAAAATAAAATCTATTATCAAGTTTATGATTCAAAATGACCCTATTAAGAAGGTACTATTACCCCCATTAAAAAAGGGAAGTATTATCAACTATTAAATGGAAATAATAATCAGCTACCTCATGGGCTCTTTCACGTATCGATAATAACGTATGAAAACACTTGAGAAAGGCCAGGCGCGGTGGCTCACGCCTGTAATCCCCACACTTTGGGAGGCCAAGGCAGGCAGATCATGAGGTCAGGAGTTTCAGACCAGCCTGGCCAACATAGCGAAAAGCTGTCTCTACTAAAAATACAAAAATTAGCCGGGCATGGTGGCACATGCCTGTAGTCCCAGCTACTTGGGAGGCTGAGGCAGGAAAATCACTTGAACCTGGGAGGCGGAGGTTGTGGTGAACTGAGATCACAACACTGCACTCCACCCTGGGCAACAGATCGAGACTCTGTCTCAGAAAAAAGAAAAAAAAAAGGCCAGTTGCAGTGGCTCACGCCTGTATCTCAGCACTTTGGGAGGCCGAGGCAGGCAGATCACGAGGTCACGAGTTTGAGACCAGCCTGACCAACATGGTGAAACCTTGTTTCCACTAAAAATACAAAAATTAGCCAGGCGTGGTGGCGTGCGCCTGTAATCCCAGCTACTTAGAAGGCTGAGGCAAGAGAATTGCTTGAATCTGGGAGGCGGAGATTGCAGTGAGCCGAGCTGAGATCATGCCACTGCACTCCAGCCTGGGCGACAGGGTAAGACTCCGTCTCAAAAAAAAAAAAAAAAAAAGAAGGAACCAGAGGCTCAGAGAGAAGAAATGACAGAAACAGGATTCACCCCAGGTTTGTCTGCCTCTGAAGCCCAAATAATCATGATATTCGTTTCTGACTTCAGTCAATAACTGGTGTCCTCAGAATAAGCTGGAAACCCTTGTGAAATGCTGAAAAAAATATCTGCCTCTGAGAGGGAAAGGTCCTAGACTATGACACCACTGCCACATTCCCTTACCCCCCGGAAAGCAGAGAGATGCTCTCACCCCGACATCCAAATGGCTTCCCACAGAAGGCTGTAACATGGTTTTACTCTCTCCACATCTCAAACAGATCAGGAACTGGGCTGCAGGTGCCTTATTACAGCAGGAAACACCCCTAGCAGTGAGTTTCACGCATAAGTGCCCTGAGTTTATCCAGTGCTTTTGCTGAAGCATTCCAAGTGCCATTCGCTGATTAATCTTCCCAGTGCCCCTGTGGGGCAAGCTGGCAGTACTCTTGGCTGATTTTACAGAGCATTAGCTCCTTGAGAGCAGGAGCTATGTGGGCCCACCACACACAGGGGTTAGAAAAACAAGTAATGGTCTGCCGGGCACAGTGGCTCATGCCTGTAATCCCAGCACTTTGGGAGGCCGAGGAAGGCGGATCACCTGAGGCCAGGAGTTCGAGACCAGCCTGGCCAACATGGCAAAACCCCGTCTCTACTAAAAATATAAAAAAAAATTAGTTGGGCGTGGTGGTGCCTACCTGTAATCCCAGCTACTCGGGAGGCTGAGTCAGAAGAATCACTTGAACCGGGAAGGCGGAGGTTGCAGTGAGCTGAGATTGCACCATTGCACTCCAGCCTGGGCGACAGAGTGAGACTGTGTCTCAAAAAAAGAAAAAAAAGAAAAAAACAAGAAAACAAGTCATGATCGTGTGGTAAAGAAACTGAAGCCCTCAGAAAAGTGGTTTACACAGAGGTTGGGAACAGGTGACTGGTTCCCACCCTGGGATTTTACACTAATTCATCTGGCATCTTTGCATTGCCATTTTGTTGTCATGTAGACTTGGGGAGTTATTTCATCTCCCTGATGAAATAACTATTTCCCCATCTGTAAAACAGAAAAGGTAAACTTCAAAAAAAGGTTTTTTGAGGACTAAAGGACTTAGTGTGCATAACTCATGCATTGAACTCATGTTAAGTATTCAATAAATGTTAGCTAGTATTATTATTAGTTGGTACTTGGCACCGTGCAATGAATAAATGAAATGAGCCTTGATACCACCAGCTCTGCAGTTTATTTCAAAATTACAGATTCTGCAACTTACCATTAGTTTTGTGATCTTCAAGAGATGTTGTAACTTCACAAATGAACCTTTCTCTTCATCTATGAAATAGGATGATAGCTCTCAAATGAAGAGCTTGAAAATACTTTGCTTTGTAAACTGTCAAGCACTATGCAGACATTAACTGTGGTTTTAGAAACAGCACAGGCCTTGCAGTATGACTGTACAGGAATCCCAGCTCTGGCCCTTAAACTCCTCACCTCTAAAGTTTTCCTCATCTGTAATATGGGCATGGTGATCACATCTGTCTTGAAGTGTTGTGACAAATTAAGTGATTAAAGACAATATATTTAAAGTAGCTGGCACAGTGGGAGATGGTCCATAAATGTTACTTCCCTACCCCCTAACAAATAAGTCTTGCCTTTTAAAGACCTGAAGCAAAGGAATCAGCAGGATGTGGTGGGAAATGTGTGGAACCAATCGCTGAGTTGATTCCTGGCTCTGCCATTGTGTGGCTTTGAGGTTTCGCAGCCTCTCTAAGCCTTCATGTTCCTTCCCTCCAACACTAAATAAAGTATGCCTCCATTGCAAAGTTCGCTCAATAAATAGGAACTACTAACAAATGCACAGACAGGCCTATGAAGCACTCTTATGGAAAAGACCCAGTTGAAAAGACCCAGTTGCAAGTAACAACCAAAATTTCCGAGCCCGAAACCAGATGGAGTCATGAGCTGCGAAATAAGCGATCCAGGCTCCACAAAGTTCCGATGAGCATGGGAGGTTTCAAGCCCCATGTCTGGACGCTGCCAGTGCACCGGACAAGAGAAGGCCAAGAGACGACTCAACCCTCCCAGAGTGATAACTGGGTAGAAGGAGGCAGGGGGAGGAAGGAATGTACTATTCACGGCCCCACCCATCCCCTGCCTCTAATCTCTCTTCCGGAATTTTACAGCCCTCTTTTGCAGGGGCGGGGCGGAGGGGGCAGGGCGCTGGCTCCAGCTGTTTGCATGAATCCCCCGCCCCTGGCCTCTCTGCCTGTGCAGGAAGCCCTGGTGTCGTACCCCGAGCCGCTGCAGTTCGCACTCTGCGGCCTCCTCAGGCACTAGAGCTTCCCCTGCGTCCGCCTTTGGGGGAGGGGAGGGAGTGAAGCTGTGAATTCCGGGAGAAGTCAAGGGTCGCTCGGGGCGTGGGTCCGCGCGCGGAGGGGCTCGCTGTCCCGGTGCCAGCGGGAGCTGGAAAGCTTCGGCTGGGGCCTGAGTGGACGGGAAGGCGGCGGCCTCCGCGGGATCCTTCCCGGGGCCGATCCACAGTCAGGATCCCCAGCTCCACCGCCATCAAGTGGGACTGGAGTTCGGCCAGAGAAGAAAACGACTTCGGGAACTGGCAACGAGGGAGAGGGAAAAGTTGAGAAACGTGACTCAGCCTCTTTAGTTCATCTTTCACGTGGGGCAGCGGAGGCCTGGCGGGGACGGGGAGCCGCTCGGGGACTGCAGGCCCGTAGGTCGCTCCCTATCCGTGAGGGATTGGTTGGTTCCAGGACACCTGCGGATCCCAAAATCTGCGGATAATCAAGTCCCTGTTATAAAATATAAAATGGGCTGGGCTCGGTGGCTTACGCCTGTAATCCCAGCACTTTGTGGGGCCGAGGCGGGAGGATCACTTGAGGTCAGGAGTTCGAGACCAGCCTGGCCAACATGATGAAATCCCCGTATCTACTAAAAAAATAGAAAAATTAGCTGGGCATGGCGGCGGGCACCTGTAATCCCAGCTACTCGGGAGGCTGAGGCACTAGAATCTTCGCTTGAACCGAGGAAGCGGAGGTTGCAGTGAGCCGACATTGCGCCACTGCACCCCAGCCTGGACGACAGAGCTAGACTCAGTATAAAAAATAAAATAAAAAATATAAAATGGTATATAGTATTTGCATATAACCTACACACATCCTCTCGTATACTTTAAATCATCTCTAGATTACTTATACCTAATACAGTGTAAATGTTATGTAGTTGTTATACTGTATTGTTTAGGGAATGATGACCAAAAAAAAGTACATGTTTAGTGAAGATGCTATTTTTTTTTCCTGAATATTTTAGATCCCTTGTTGGTTGAATTCAGGAATATGAAGGGCCTACTGCACTTGAACCTCTGGCGCTGCCCTGCCTTCTGTGTTCCCTTCACAGCATTCTCTGATACCCTGTGACTCAGTTTCCCCATTTGGCAGTTGGAAAATAGAAAAGGATTTATTAATAACTGAAGCTAGAGCTGTTGGAAATGAAGCATCAAGGTTTCCTACACAAAGGGATTAGGAGGTAATGATGTTCATAGCTGACATTTATTGAGCACTTACTATGTGTCAGGCAGTGTTTTGTTTTGTTTTTTTTTTTTTTGAGATGAAGTTTCGCTCTTGTTGCCTAGGCTGGAGTGCAATGGCGCGATCTCGGCTCACCGCAACCTCTGCCTCCCGGGTTCAAGCGATTCTCCTGCCTTAGCCTCCTGAGTATCTGGGATTACAGGCATGCACCACCGCGCCCAGCTAATTTTGTAGTTTTAGTAGAGATGGGGTTTCTCCATGTTGGTGAGGCTGGTCTCGAACTCCTGACCTCAGGTGATCCGCCCGCCTCAGCCTCCCAAAGTGCTGGGATTACAGGCGTGAGCCACCGTGCCCGGCCACGCCAGGCACTGTTCTAAGCACTTGATATGTATTAACAAATTTAACTTTCATAACCCCAAGGTGTGGGAATTATTGTTATCTCCATTTTACATTACTATTAATATTGTTACCCTGTTATTCCCATTTCATGGAGAAACTGAGATAAATAACAGTGAAGCCACTTGACCAAGGCCACCCAACTGGTAGTACATGATAGAGCCAGGAGGATTTGAACCCAGCAAATATATTTCCAGGGCCCCACTTCCTCAACCACTGTGTGTCTGCCTCTCCTAATAAGAACGGGGTTACAGTGTACCACATTCTGGATGTTGGTCTAACAGTGTGAATTCTTTTCATTATATCAACCTCTTTCAGAGTGACTTAGATTATCTGTACCTGTATAAATGTTTAATATATGCTATCTGACCGGTGATAATGTTTCTACACACTGAAACTTCAAAGTACTAGCTTAAACAGGGCAATTAAGGTCATATGTGAAATTGAGAGGACTCCTTCCCCAATGGTCCACAGCTTTCTTAATTCTGCCAAGTGCTATGGCCAAAATCTTGACTTTCCCACCCATAGTGGGTCCCATTTTACCTAGTGGCAACCTTGAGTACCTACCCATCTCCACATCAATGATCCTAACTTCCTATCTGCTGCTGTGTTTTCAAGGATGCCGAAAAGGTCGTCCTGCCCACTCAAACATATCCCTTACCCCTGTATGTGTAGAAACTGAACAGTTGGAGGTTTTCCTCTTGGTTTGAAGCCAAAAATGATAGTTCATCTTTTGTTAAAATGCAAATATCACAAGAGAGAAAAATAAACTGGGCCTCATCAGATATTTTCATGTAATGAGAATGAGATTACCAGATCCTGGCCAAGCATGGTGGCTCACACCTGTAATCCCAGCACTTTGGGAGGCCAAGGCAAGTGGATCACCAGAGGTCAGGAGTTCGAGACCAGCCTGGCCAATGTGGTGAACCCCCGTCTCTACTAATAATACAAAAAAAAAATCACTGATCCTTCCTAAGAACAAGTTTTAGTAGGAGAGAGACCAGGACTATCAACTCACCCCAACTGGTACCTGAAAGGACCTTAGAAGTCATCTAGTGGAACCTCTCCTTTTATAGGCACACATAAAAAAAAAAAAAAAGAGGTGGGTTTTTTGTTTTTTAAATGGAGTTTTGTTCTTGTCTCCCAGGGCTAGAGTAAAATGGCGTGATCTTGGCTCACTGCAGCCTCCGCCTCCCAGGTTCAAGCGATTATCCCACCTCAGCCTCGCCAGTAGCTGGGATTACAGGCGCCTGCCACCACGCCCGGCTAATTTTTGTATTTTTAGTAGAGACAGGGTTTTTGCCATGTTGGCCAGCCTGGTCTCAAACTCCTGACCTCAGGTGATCTGCCTGCCTCGGCCTCCCGAAGTGCTGGGATTAGAGACATGAGCCTCTGTGCCTGGCCTAGAAAAAGAGTTTTTATGCCACTCAGAGATATTGAGGGTCTGAGAAGGAGCTGAGGGAAAACCATTATGGGGAAGGAAACAGAAGGGCAGGCAAAGGGACAAAAGATTAGATTAGCCTCAATGTCAGAAACCTTTCCTTCTCAAACTCCTGGGCTCAAGCAATCCTCCCACCTTGGCCTCTCAAAGTGCTGGGATTACAAGCATGAGCCACTGTGCTTGCATAGAAACCTTTCATTCTGGCTGGGCGCAGTGGCTCATGCCTGTAATCCCAGTACTTTGGGAGACCAAGGCAGGTGGATCACGAGGTCAGAAGTTCGAGACCAGCCTGGCCAAGATGATGAAACCCATCTCTACTAAAAATACAAAAAGTAGTGGGGCATGGTGGCAGACGCCTGTAATCCCAGCTACTTGGGAGGCTGAGGCAGAGAATTGCTTGAACACGGGAGGTGGAGGTTGCGATGAGCCGAAATCATGCCACTGCACTCCAGCCTGGGCGACAGAGCGAGACTCCATCTCAAAAAAACAAAAAAAGAAAGAAAGAAAGAAAGAAATATTTCCTTCTATTTGTGTTTTTTAAAATCTGGCCCTGGCTGGGCACTGTGGCTCATGCCTATAATCCCAGCACTTTGGGAAGCCGAGGTGGGCGGATTGCTTGAGGCCAGGAGCTAGAGACCAGCCTGGCCAACATGGCAAAACCCCGTCTCTACTAAAAATACAAAAATTAGCCAGACATGGTGGTGAATGCCTGTAATTCCAGCCTCTTGGGAAGCTGAGTCACAAGAATCGCTTGAACCCTGGAGGTTGCAGTGAGCCGAGATCACGCCACTTGCACTCCAGCCTGGGCAACAGAGCAAGACTGTCTTAAATAAATAAATAAATTATCTGTCCACCACTACTGTAAAGATGACACATGCATTTTATGGCATGTAAATTATACTTTAATAAAGCTGCTAAAAAATAAGACATGCTTCTTACACATTTTTTAAATTACAGAGATGGATGCTTAATAAAGCAAAAGTCTCCTGCAATCCTACCCAGAAAAAGAACCACTTTTTTATTTTATTTTATTTTATTTTGAGAAGAAGTTTCGCTCTTGTTGCCCAGGCTGCAGTGCAGTGGCGCAATCTCGGCTCACCACAACCTCTGCCTCCCGGGTTTAAGCGATTCTCCTGCCTCAGCCTCCCGAGCTGGGATTACAGGCATGCGCCACCATGTCTGGCTAATTTTTGTATTTTTAGTAGAGACGGGGTTTTGCCACGTTGGCCAGGCTGGTCGCGAACTCTCCCAACCTCAGGTGATCCACCCTCCTCGGCCTCCCAAAGTGTTGGGATTACAGGCGTGAGCCACCACGCACAGCCAAAGAACCACTATTAACAATTTGGATTATATTGTTCTTCCAGATTTTTTCCTGTACATTCATATTTTTTCTGTGTATTTATATGTATGTGTGTGTTTAACAAGTAGAATTATTTCCCTTAACAATATGTCTTGGGCAGTTTTCTGTGACAGTACGTTTAGATCTGCCTTGTTCTTTTTAAAGGCTACCTACACAGTATGATTGAACTATTATTCTTTTTTTTTTTCCCAGATGGAGTCTTGCTATGTGACCCAGAGCTGGAATGCAATGGAGGGTGATCGCGGCTCACTGCAACCTCTGCCTCCCGAGTTCAAGCGATTCTCCTGCCTCAGCCTCCCGAGTAGCTGGGATTACAAGCGCATGCCACCACGCCTGGCTAATTTTTGTATTTTTAGTAGAGAAGGGGTTTCACCATGTTGGCCAGGCTGGTCTCGAACTCCTGACCTCATGATCCACCCACCTCAGCCTCCCAAAGTGCTGGGATTACAGGCCTGAGCCACCGTGCCCAGCCGACTGAACTATAATTTATTTAACAGGTTCCCTATTGGTAAATATCCCGGTTGTTTCCAATTTTTTTGCTATTGGAAGCAATATTGCAGTGGACATTCTTGCACATACATCTTTGATATGCCTTGGAGCACTTTTAGGGAAATTCTGTAGGCTAAATTCCCAGAGAGACTTCCTTTTAAAACAATATGCTTCATCATCTATAATTTTCATCTTATTCCAAATGTCCTGACATAAAAGTCTGTTCCTGATCAAACTTGAATAAAATGCTTAGCATATAGTACACATGAAACAAATATCAATTTCATGGCCATTGTTACCATTATTTCATGATATCATTAATCCAGTGGATAGAAGCTCATTCCTTCAGTCAACAATTATTGATGAGCTTCTGCCATATAATAGGTCTGAGGCCCAACAGTGAACAGACATAGACCCTGCCCTCAAGAAGTTGACAGTCTAGAAACTGATGGATGTCTCAACCAGCAATTACAACATCGTGAGATGAGTACTACAAAAATGCTAACTAGCCAAGTGCTGTGGCTCACACCTTGGCCTCAACTACTTAGGAGGTGGAGGTGGCAGGACTGCTTGAGCCCAGGAGATGGAAGTTGAAATGACCTATGATTGTACCACTGCACTCCAGCCTTGGTGACAGAGTGAGACTCCATCTCTGAAATAAATAAATTAAATAAATAAATAAATAAATAAATAAAGTGGTAACTGCCTGCAGGGGAAATAAGGGAACACATAAAACGGACATCTAACCCGCCTGAAGAAGGAAGGAAAGGAAAGGGCTATGAGAAAGAAGTAATAGCTTGAGGCAAGGCGTGGTGGCTCACACCTGTAATCCCAGCATTTTGGGAGGCCGAGGTGGGCGGATCATGAGGTCAGGAGATCGAGACCATCTTGGCCAACATGGTGAAACCCCATCTGTACTAAAATACAAAAGAAAAAAGAAAAATTAGCCAGGCATGGTGGCTTGCACCTGTAGTCCCAGCTACTCAGGAGGCTGAGGCAGGGGAATGGCTTGAACCCGGGAGGCGGAGGTTGCAGTGAGCTGAGATCGTGCCACTGCACTCCAGCCTGGCAACAGAGCAAGACTCCATCTCAAAAAGAGAAAAAAAAAAAAAAAAGAAGAAGAAGTAATAGAAGTAATAGCTTGAATTATCCAAAGAGGGAAGGTAGTGAGTGCTCCAGCTACCAAAGGTATCCAAGCAGAGGCCAAGATACCATCTCCAAGAAATACTGGCAGGGATAGTAAAGAAGATGAATGGTTCTCGAACGTCTGTTCTCAGACTGGTGCTAGTATGTGGAAAAAGGAAAAAAATATGTATAAAAGGGTGAATTATTTACTAAATGTATTGGTTTTTTTTTTTTTTTTGAGATGGAGTCTCGCTCTGTCGCCCAGGCTGGAGTGCAGTGGCGCGATCTGGGCTTACTGCAAGCTCGGCCTCCCGGGTTCACGCCATTCTCCTGACTCAGCCTCTGGAGCAGCTGGGACTACAGGCACCCGCCACCACGCCTGGCTAATTTTTTTTTATTTTTAGTAGAGACGGGGTTTCACTGTGTTAGCCAGGATGGTCTCGATCTCCTGACCTCGTGATCTGCCCGCCTTGGCCTCCCAAAGTGCTGGGATTACAGGCGTGAGCCACCGCGCCTGGCCTAAATGTATTGTTTAAGGAACAGTATTTTATTCTAAGAATGTATACCATTCCTTCCTACCTTTTTTCATATTAGAATGTGCTTTCTTTTATGAAACAGCGGTGGTACTACATGATAGTTGTGTTTTTTCTAATGTCCTTATTTAGCCGAACTAAAAGCTAGCAACCATATCTGAGTCTCCCTTCTCATTTTTAAAACTTTTAACTGTTGATGACATCCAAAAGTCTGGGGACTTCTGAGCCAGATGACATCTAAGATTCTTTCCATCCCAGTGATTATAAAATTCTCTGCTCAACGGTGATTAAGGCCTGAAGCTAAATTAAGTTCAGAATCTGTGAGCCAAATGCTTTCCAACAGACCCAGGGTAAAAATAAATACATAAGTCCATGAGTAAGTAACAGAAAGACAACAATCTGATAGCCTCTAAAACACTTTTATTTTTTGGTTCCCAAACCACATAAGAGTACCTCGAGTTTCCATATAGATTTGCTCCCCTGCTCCGGGGAAATGTAGCAATGAAGAAGAAGAGAGACCACAGAAATAACAGATAGAAGTGATATGAGAAAAATCAATTTGGTGCAGTTTTCACAAACCTTTAAAATAGAGCAATTTAAGTGATGATGGGGTTTCATGACCAGCGGCAGCAGAGCCTCTGATGGGAATGCTGGTGTTTTTCGGGCATTTCTCTGAGTGGGTGGGAAGGGAAGCAAAATGGTTTTTTCCCCTCCCCTTCCACTTATAAGAAAATGGAGGCAATGAAAAGCAAAAGTCTCCCATAATGTCCCATTAAGAGAAATGAATGAAATGCAGCTGCCCTGTAGCCAGATAGCACAAACCCTCAGACAGGCACTGGGCAGGCCTTGCCTGCCGATGCTGCAGAAACAAAGGATTCACCAACACACCTGCCACTGCGGTTACCATGGTGACTCCTCACCTTTTGCATTCCTTAACTTCAGGGTTGAGACTGGTTCAGGGCACATTTGAGTTTTCATGTTTCTCCTTGGCTTCTGAAAAAAGAAAGGTGAGGGGAGGGGAAGGATTCTAAATCAGCTTGCATGCTGCCTTGCCCCAGCTTTTCAGCCTGCACATCTAGGCGTCTCTAGGGGAGGGAGGCCAACAGCAGGCAGAGGAAGTGGAAATGGCTCAGGTGGAGCCCAACAGACCTAGGTTCAAATCTCAGCTCCTCAAGGAATCCCTTTTTATGTTTTTCATTCAAACCACCCCTGGAGGCCGGTGGCTCACGCCTGTAATCCCAACACTGTGGGAGGCCGAGGCAGGTGGATCCCTTGAGGCCAGGAGTTTAAGACCAGCCTGCCCATCATGGTAAAACCCTGTCTCTACTAAAAATACAAAAATTAGCTGGGCATGGTGGTGCATGCCTGTAAGTCCAGCTACTCGGGAGGCTGAGGCATGAGACTCGCTTGAACCTGGGAGGTGGAGGTTGCAGCGAGTTATGATCACTATGATTGCGCCACTGCACTCCAGCCTGGCTGAGAGTTTTAATGCTCTTATTTAGCCAGACTAAAAGCTAGCTACCATATCTGGGTCTCCCTCCTCATTTTTAAAACTTTTATCTGTTGATGACATCCAAAAGTCTGGGGCTTCTGAGCCTCTTAGCTTTTCAGCCTGCACACCTTCTGGGCAAGACTCTGTCTCAAAAACAAACAAACAAACAAAACAACAACCCCTGTTCTGGGTCAGACACTAGCAGATACACAGAGATGATTGTGAAGAGCTGGAATTGGCCCCCAGAGAGCCAGGAGTACAGAGGAGATGATCACAAGCTAGGATGAGAAGTGACTTCACTGAGGCAGGTGCTGGTTCTGTCACCTCGTGGGGAGCTGGGAAACTGTGTGAAGCCTCAGCTGCATTGACAAGGACTCTTATGAACATTCTGGCAAGCCCATAAGAGCTCAGCATAAGGGCATCAAAATTAAGGGTGAGACGTGTTGAGACTTGTACTCTGTCCTCAGGCAAGTCTGCTCACTTTCCCAAGCCTCAGTTTCCCCATTGTAAGTCAAAGCTAATAGTAACTGCATTACTCTTACTGAGAAAATGACATTCATTAATACATAATGATGAAGCAAAGAGAAGACAGACCTAGATCCACCACACCCTAACTCTCCAATGCCCAGCTGAGTGACTGGGAGAATTCTGAACTTTCACCTCTCTGAGTCTCAGTTTCCTTACTTTGTAAAAGGGTAATCATAACTCATAAGGGTGTTTCTAGACTTAGATAAGAGAATATATGTATGTAAACCGCATAGCACCAGCATACAATAAAATGATAGCTGCTTTTGTGTGTGTGTGTGTGTGTGTGTGTGTGACAGAGTCTTACTCTGTCACCCAGGCTGGAGTGCAGTGGCATGATCTCGGCTCACTGCAACCTCCACTTCCCAGTTTCAAGTGATTCTCCAGTCTTAGCATCCTCAGTAGCTGGGACTATAGGCGCGCGCCACCGCGTCCGGCTAATTTTTGTATTTTTAGTAGAGACGGGGTTTCATCATGTTGGCCAGGCTGGTCTTGAACTCCTGACCTCAGGGGATCTCCCCACCTCAGCCTCCCAAAGTGCTGGGATTACAGGCGTAAGC
Source organism: Homo sapiens (assembly GCF_000001405.40). NCBI lineage: Eukaryota > Metazoa > Chordata > Mammalia > Primates > Hominidae > Homo > Homo sapiens. The sequence continues at coordinate 31,953,764 of NC_000001.11, forward strand.
CACTGAGCCCGGCCAGTAGCTGCTTTTTTGTTTGTTTGCTTTTGAGATGGAGTTTTTGGAGTTTCACTCTTGTTGCCTAAGCTGGAGTACAATGGCATGACCATTGTACTCACTGCAACCTGTGCCTCCCAGGATCAAGTGATTCTCCTGCCTTAGCCTCCCTAGCAGCTGGGATTACAGGCGCCCACTATAATGCCTGGCTAATTTTTTGTATTTTTAGTAGAGACGGGGTTTCACTATGTTGGCCAGGCTGGTCTCGAACTCCTGACCTCAGGTGATCCACCCGCCTAAGCCTCCCAAAGTGCTGGGATTACAGGTGTGAGCCACTGCGCCCGGTCTTTTGCAAGCTCCGCCTTCCGGGTTCAAGCAATTCTCATGCTTCAGCCTCCCGAGTAGCTGGGACTACAGGCATGTGCCACCACACCCAGCTAATTTTTTGTATTTTTAGTAGAGACGGGATTTCACCATGTTGGCCAGGCTGATCTCGAACTCCTGACCTCAGGTGATCCACTCACCTCAACCTCCTAAAGTGCTGGGATTACAGGCATGAGCCACCACGCCTGGCCCCTATGGTAGTTGCTTTTAAGTATAGAAATGGAATTCCTGATCGAGAGCCTCATAGTCAGATATTATTATTGTTATTATTATTTTTAAAAATTTCTCTCTTTTTTTCTTTCCAGGCTGGTGTCAAACTCCTGGCCTCAAGCCATCCTCCCACCTCTGCCTCCCTAAGTGCTGGAATTACAGATGTTAGCCACTGTACCCGACCTATTGTTAATAGTGTTACATGTATAGAGAACCTGGCACTTAGTTGACACACCAAAAACTTTACTTCCCAGCCTTTTCAGACCCTTTCCTCAGGCCACCCCACCTTTGCCTTCTCTTCAGCTTTCAAATGTGTTGGCTACTTCCCTTCCAGGCCAAGGAGGTGCTGCTGGAGGTCTGTGTTCCTTCCATAGCATCCCCCTTTTCCCCTCAGCCAAATGAAGCGGAGAGGGCTTGGGCCTGACCCAGTGGCCTGCCCACGTGGCTCCCCTGGAGACCGAGGTAGGGGAAAAGGCAGAGAGTGCGTCAGTCCTGATGCAATCACAGGCTTAGTGCTTGGCTCACTTCCTCCTCTTTGGGTGTTTACGGGAGCCTGGATTCCACAGGAACCCTTGGAAGTGTGCACTGACAACAGAGTAGGGGGCAGACAGCATACAAAATTATCCCTGCTTCAGGGACAGTTCAGGAAGAAAGTGATACTGTGCCTGCCTGGGCCTCACATGCCCTGAGCTCAGGGACACGGGAAAGAGATACCAGGTGTCAAATCAGAGGCAGGGGAGGCAGGCAGGGAGGAAGGAGCCAGGACAGGGGACAAACCACTAGCTGCTGCCAGGGCCAGCTTCCAGACACAGCTCAGGGAGGCTGTGAATAGGCCCTTTATCTAAGCTGAAGTGGGGGAAAGGAATCACAGAAGGGGGTCTCAGGTGATAAGGAGCCTCAGAACAAGCTCAGGGGATCTTGTCCCTTCCTTCTCAGCAGAAATCCTAGCAGGGGAGAAGCTTCTTTTTAAGGATTTTGTTTTCCAGCCATTTGCCCAGGATCTTCATTTGGGAGGCCCCTCCTCAATCCCACAGGCCTTACTGGGTCACCTAGAGAGGTCCTAAGAGGTGCGGTGTTGCACAGTGGTTAAGGACATGGGCTTTTGGCAGTCAAGTCTTAGCTCTTCCAGTGACTGGCTGGATACCCCAGGCAAGTCATTTCACCTAACTCTCAACTCCCTACGTCAAACAAGGATAATAACAAGTAGTCAACCCCAGAGATAAAGCCGGGAGGCCCATAGAACATTGCCTGGCAATGGTAAAAGCACTCAATAACTGTTAGATATTGTTATTTTTATTAAGAATAAAGGAGCCGGGCATGGTGGCTCATGCCTGTAATCCCAGCACTTTGGGAGGCCGAGGTGGGCAGATCGCCTGAGGTCAAGAGTTCGAGACCAGCCTGACCAACATGGAGAAACCCTGTCTCTACTAAAAATACAAAATTAGCCAGGTATGGTGGCACATGCCTGTAATCCCAGCTATTTAGGAGGCTGAGGCAGGAGAATCGCTTGAACCCAGGAGGCAGCGATTGCCGTGAGCCGAGATTGCGCCATTGTACTCCAGCCTGGGCAACAAGAGCGAAACTCCATCTCATAAATAAATAAATAAATAAATAAATAAATAAAGGCTTGGAGAGCCATTTTTTTCTCTCTCTCTCTGAAGCTGGGGCCCAATTGTCCTTCTTCCTTCAATATCTAATGACTGTTTCCCAGCTATCAGAAAGGAATCCAACTTCCCCTCCCCCAGAGCTGTGAAACTGAGTAGCAAAGCTTGCTCAAGCTCCTGAGTCATTCAGCAAAACCAGCCCAAGATAATCAGTGGATCAAGGAAACTAGATGCAGAGTGGGGAAAACCCAGCCGCAAAGCTGGGGCCTTCTCGCAGGGCAGTTCCCTCTGCTGGCCCCTCTGGTGAGCTTTCACTTCAGGTTCACAAACAAGACAGCATCTTCCCAGGCCCTCCTGAACCCAGAATAAGGCCTTAGCTACTCCTGGGTCTCTCAACAGCAGCCAGGCCTTTCTCTGGAATCTTGTTTGACACAAACTTTTTGCCTTTGGACAAACTCTCTCCTTCCCTCCGTATCCCAGGCCTCAGGAGAGTCGAAACCCTGACTCCCATTCTCACTGTCCACTCATTTCTCAGTCCCTGTCATTTGACTTCTGCCCAGCCACTGAACTGTCTGTCATCACACTCAGTGATGATCTTTTCATCACCAAATCCAAAGACTTTTTCCAGGCCTTTCCTACTTGCCTCTTCTAAACAGTCAGCGCTGTCGACCACTTTCTTTCTTTCTTTTTTTTTTTTTCTGAGACGGAGTTTCACTCTTGTTGTCCAGGCTGGAGTGTACTGGCGTGATCTCGGCTCACTGCAACATCCGCCTCCCAGGTTCAAGTGATTCTCCTGCCTCAGCCTCCTGAGTAGCTGGGATTACAGGCGCATGTGCCACCACACCCGGCTAATTTTTGTATTTTTAGTAGAGACAGGGTTTCACCATGCTGGACAGGCTGGTCTCGAACTCCTGACCTCAGGTGATCCACCCACCTCAGCCTCCCAAAGTGCTGGGATTATAGGCGTGAGCCACCGTGCCCAGCCTGTTTTGTTTTTTTGAGAGGGAGTCTCACTCTGTCGCCCAGGCTGGAGTACAGTGGCGAGATCACAGCTTGCGGCAACCTCCACCTCCCGGGTTCAAGCAATTCTCCTGTCTCAGCCTCCTGGGTAGCTAAAATTACAGGCGCCCACCACCACGCCGGCTAATTTTTGTACTTTTAGTAGAGACGATGTTGCACCATGTTGACCAGGCTGGTCTCAAACTCCTGACCTCAAGTGATCCACCCACCTCGGCCTCCCAAAGTGTTGGGATTACAGGTGTGAGCCACCGTGCCTGGCTTCTTTTCTTTCATACTTATTTGTTTATTTTTTTTTTTTTGAGATGTTGTTTCATTCTTGTTGCCCAGGCTGGAGTGCAATGGCGCGATCTCTGCTCACTGCAACCTCCACCTCCCGGGTTCAAGTGATTCTCCTGCCTCAGCCTCCCAAGTAGCTGGGACTACAGGCATGTGCCGCCACACCCAGCTAAGTTTGTATTTTTAGTAGAGACGGGGTTTCTCCATGTTGGTCAGGCTGGTCTCAAAGTCCTGACCTCAGATGATCTGCCCACCTCGGCCTCCCAAAGTGCTGGGATTACAGGCATGAGCCACCGCGCCCGGGCTTGTATTTAATTTTTTTAAATAGAAACGGGGTCTCCCTATGTTGCCAGGCTGGTCTCAATCTCCTGGCCTCAAGTGATCCTCCTACCTCAGCCTCCCAAAGTGCTGGGATTGCAGGCATGAGCCACCATGCCTCACCCTGACCACTTTCTTTCTTAACTCTCCTTCCTGAGCTTCTGTGAGGCCACAGACCCCGGTTCTTCTCCTCCTTCTCTCTTCCTTGGTTGCTGGCAACATTCCAGCCCTTAAATGTCACTTCTCATAGTTCTGCTCTTAGCCCTCTTCCCTTTCTACCCCTCACGCTCCCTCCCACTTTTAAGCTGTGCCTGTGTCTTCAACCTCTACTTCTTTGCTGATGAATTCCCAGACTGTATCTCAACCACAGATCTTCCCCCCAAGAGCCACCCACCTGTCAAGCAGCTCCACTTGCACGCTGCCACATACAGCAAGCTCAACGAGGCCAAAACTGAACTCTATATCTTCCCCCAAACCTGCTCCTCCTAGGTTCCCAATCTTGATGAATGACACCACCTTTTACCCTGTTCCCCAAGCCAGAAGCTCAAATGTCACTCTTGCTTCTGCCCAGCCCAGCCCACCAATCACCATGTTCTTAACATCTTATAAATAAACCTCCCCTCTCCCCTCTGTCTCCACTGTTTCTCTTTTTCTTTCTTTTCTTTCTTTCTTTCTTTTTTCTTTCTTTCTTTCTTCCCTTCCCTTCCTTTCTTTCTTTCTTCCCTTCGCTTCCCTTCTCCTTCCTTCCTTCCTTCCTTCCTTCTTTCTTTCTTTCGTCTTGCTCTGTCACTCAGGCTGGAGTGCAGTGGCACAATCACAGCTCACTGCAGCCTCAGCCTCCTGGGCTCAGGTGATCCTCCCACCCCAGCCTTCCAAGTAGCTGGGACTACAGGTACTTGCCACCATTCCTGGCTAATTTTTGTGTTTTTTATAAAGATGGGTTTTCGCCATGTTGCCCAGGCTGGTCTTGAACTCCTGGGCTCAAGTGAGCCTCCTGCCTCGGTTTCCCAAAGTGCTGGGATTACAGGCGTGAGCCACCAAACCTGGCCTGTCTCCACTGTTTCTGCTTCAATTTAGGCCCTCATCATGACCTGAAGCCTGGATTGATACATTTTTTGGTGGTGGTGGTTGTTCTTTTTTTTTTTTTTTTTTTTTTGAGACAGAGTCTTGCTCTGTTGCCCAGGCTGGAGTGCACTGGTGTGATCTCGCCTCACTGCAAGCTCTGCCTCCTGGGTTCAAGCCATTCTTGTATCTCAGCCACCCGAGTAGCTGGAATTACAGATGTGCGCCACCACACCCAGCTAATTTTTGTATTTTTAGTAGAGACGAGGTTTTGCCATGCTGGCCAGGCTAGTCTAGAACTCCCGACCTCAGGTGATCTGCCCACCTCGACCTCCTTGAGTGCTGGGATTAGAGGTGTGAGCCACTGCATCCGGCCTGTTTTTTGTTTTTCTTGAGACAGGGTCTCACTCCCAACGCCCAGGCTGGAGTGCAGTGGCACGATCATGGCTCACTGCAGCCTTGACTTCCCAGGCTCAGATGATTCTCCCACCTCAGGCTCAGATTCTCCCACCTCAGCCAACCAACCGGCTGGGACTACAGGCACGTGCCCCTATGCCTGGCTAATTTTTGTATTTTTTGTAGAGATGGGGTTTCACCCCATTGCCCAAGCTGGTCTTGATCTCCTGGGCTTCAGCAATTCTCCTACCTCAGCCTCCCAAAGTGCTGGGATAACAGGTGTGAGCCACCACACAGGCCTATTATTACATGTCTCATAAGGGGGCTCTCAGCCTCAATCTCTTCCCCCTTGGTACTAAACTCCTTTCAAGTATCTGCCCATCTAGACTCCCTTTCCCCAGACCCCACAGTTGCCCATAGGCCTTGCTGAAGAGGTCCCCCTACACTCTCGCTGACCTTGCTGACGCCTGCCCTGCTATTGCCACAGTGTTTTGAACCAGGGGTGCCCATCTGACCCACACTGGGCTGAATTATATCTCTTGGGACTCTGAAAGTGGGACATAGTGACTCTAGTTCAAACACTCCCAGGGGTCACAATAGTAATGACAATGAGTGAAACAGCCCAGTGAGAGACAATGGGGAATGGCGGCAATTGTGGCAAATGGAAAGCGTGTGCCTCGGCTAAAGGTAGCAGCTGCGTCTCTGCTCTAGCAGATGGTTGCCATGGGAATATGGGCCCAGACTTGTCAGATATTCTGATTTTCCAGATTTTTGTGTGAGATTTCCCAATTTTTGAATTTGGGGCACTAATTCATTTTTGTAAATGCCACAGGCTAAGAATATTTTTTTTACATCATATTTGGCCTATAGGGCTGCCAGTTTGCAGTTGGTGCCAGAGAGTCAGGTTTAGGCATAGGACTCAAAGCTGGAGACAGCCACTTTCTGCCATGTGTATGGAGAAGCAGAGGAAGCCCTCTGCAGAGCAAGAAGAACAAAACCTATTCCTGCTGACTCCTTGCCCCCCAGATTTACTACATGTCCACATTTCCTGGCCCAACACCTCCCGCCCTTCTTTCCAGGCCCAAGATTATGTAATAACTAAAAGTTATGGGCGCTGAGGCCAGACAAACCAAGGTTCAGCTGCTGAGTCTGCAACTCCCAGCTGTGTGCTCTTTAAGCAAGTCACTTCTCTTCTCTGAGCCTCAGTTCCTTCCTTACTCTGTAAAATGGGCTACTTACCTCATAGAGTTGTTACTAGGATAAAATGAGATGCTGTTCAGAAAGTTCTTAGCACAGTGCCTGGCACCCAGTAAGCCCTGAATGGATGTCAGCCACTTTTATTATTACTGCCATTAGCAGTAGTATTCCTCCTCATTCCAGCCCTCTCTCCCAAAACACTTGTATAACTGTGGGCATTTACCATTTATTATGATTATTTTTTGAGACAAGGTTTCACTCTACGGCCCAGGCTGGAGTGCAATGGCACAAATCAGCTCATTGCAGCCTTGACCCCCTGGGCTCAAGCAATCCTCCCACCTCAGCCTACCAAGTAGCTGGAACCACAGCCATGCACTACCACACCCGGCTAATTTTTTTATTTTTTGTAAAGATGGGGTCTTACTATGTTGCCCAGGCTGGTCTCAAACTCCTGAGCTCAAGCAATCCTCTCACCTCAGCCTCCCAAAGCCTGTTATTATTTACTACTATTTTATCTGCCGTGGTATATTTTAAACTTCTTGAGTGAAAGGCCACATTTTATCTCTCTTTATATGTGCAAAGGGGAAGAAATGGGGTTGGAACACTGTTTTGTCCGTAGTAGATATTCAAGAAACATTTATTTGTTGGCATGCTCCTTGGAAGTTAGGCTCTGTGAGAGCAACGACCTTTGTCTGTCTGATTCCCTATTTCATCCCCTGAGCCAAGCAGTGCTGAGTACACATAGAACTCTTAATAATGTGTATGGAATACAAGAGTGAAAGGCATCTCTTCACCCTCCACCATGATCTTTAACATATCCTTGGAGGTTCTTGGTATAAATCTCAATCCACTGTTTCGTAGGTTCTGGAGTCTCTGTTAATGGCATCCCATTTTTCCTTTGGAGAACTGTCCCTCCTCTACTCAATGTGGCTGACCCACCTCAGCTTGGGAATGGTCATCTGACCAAGGGCTCACCAGTCAGAGACACCTATCCTCTGGCCTTAGTGATGGGTTCAGGATGGACTTATGACTCAATCAAGGACAATCAGAGCTGGAACTATTGGAACGGGGAAATTTGCTTTCCACTGAGGAAGCCAATTCACGAGAACATAAGCCCAGATAGAGCTGCTAGTAGCCATTTACCACCATGAGGAAAAGGCCTACCTAGGAATGAGGCAAACACAGAAAAAGGTCTGAGAGATAGAAAGAGCTAGACAGGTTCCTTATAGGTTTTTGTTGTTGTTGTTGTTGTTGTTGTTGTTTTGAGACAGAGTCTCACTCTGTCACCCAGGCTGGAGTGCAGTAGCGCGAGCTCAGCTCACTGCAACCTCCACCTCCTGGGTTCAAGCGATTTTCCTGCCTCACCCTCCCGAGTATCTGGGACTACAGGCACGCACCACCACGCACAGCTAATTTTTGTATTTTTTTGGTAGATACAGGGTAGAGAATAACGAAGACGTACTTATAGAAGCAGAGGCTGGAGGCCATGATTTCCCAGACAGAAAGAAACAGAAAGAGAGAGAGCACTGCTTCCTCATTCCTCATGAGACTAATTACTTCTTCTCCTGGGTTCGATGAGATTTCTCTGGGTTTCTCTAATTCCTTCTCACCGTTATCCTCCACCCTGTTTTTTTTTAACTTAAAATAGTTCTAGTGGTTTTTTGATCTTTTGTTTTTGCTTGTAACCAAAAGGTTCTTAGACAACTGTCCTAGGAAGAGGTCTGCAGCTAAGCAGTTTTGTTCACTGTGCTGACAAAGAACCTGGGTCCCTGAATCAAGACCCAAACATACATTTGTTAGCTGTGTCACCTTGGCCAGAACAGCTGGATTCACTGGACTGGCTTGGCCCTCTGTAAAATAAGAATAATAATGCCTATCTTATCAGACTGAATGAGAGAAGGTGGAAATCAGAGCTTAGCAGAGTGCTGGGCACAGAGAATCCATATCACCTGTGTGTGCTGAGCACAGAAGAGGGGCTATGTCCAAGCCCAGAGCATCCCCTGGTTGGTCCCAGCCGAGAGACCAGAAAAGAGGCTTAAAGGGACAACCCCTCTCCCCATCAGCACCTTTTTCATCTCATTTGTACCAATTTTTTTTTTGAGACAGTCTCACTCTGTCACCCAGGCTGGAGGGCAGTGGCAGGATCACAGCTCACTGCAACCTCCGCCCCCCGAGTTCAAGGAATTCTCCCACCTCAGTCTCCGGAATAGCTGGGATTGCAGGTGTCTGCCACCATGCCTGACTAATTTTTGTGTTTTTAGTAGAGACAGGGTTTCACCATGTTGGCCAGGCTGGTTTAGAACTCCTGGCCTCAAGTGATCCACCCGCCTCAGCCTCCCAAAGTGCTGGGATTACAGGCGTGAGTCACTATGCCTGGCCTTGTACCAATGTTTTAAAAGCATTGAGGGGGAAAGAAATAGCTTTATTTTTAAAGGAGCCCATTCTGGAACTCTATTCTAATGACATAATCAAACAAGAGAAAATACATATGCATAAGGATGCTCATTGCAATAGTGTTTACATTAGAGAAAAACTGGAAGTGACTTAAGTGTCCAACACTGTTTGCTTATTAATGATGATACCTTCATACAATAGACAGTTATACAGATTTGGAGGAGAAAGGACAGAATTATTTTTAAATGAAAACAACTAATGAACAGAATTCAAAATGTTATGGGGTATACTGCAGAATTTGTCTGAATGTTTAAGGTGAAAGCCCAGTATTTCAAAGAAGGTTCTGTTGCTCTCGTACATTTCAGACCCTACACACAGTCTCATGCATTACCTGTCTGGCACAGCATTCATCTTTTCTGCCTCTGGGGTTACTGGGTGGAAAAACTTAAGAAGCATTTATGCAAGTACAAGTCCTGAGGCCTCTAACATTAAAGGTATTTACAAAGATAGATATCCACAACATTTTCCGAGTACAAAATGCAGGTTTCAAAAATATTGCCAAAAAAAGGGCAACCTGCTTGGATCCCCTTCCACGCTGTGGAAGCTTTGTCCTTTCACTCTTCACAATAAACCTTGCTACCGCTCAAAAAAAAATTGCCACAAAAAACTCGAAAAAACAAAAGTATTGCCAAAAATTTGAACAGCGGTTATTTCAGGCCATGACACTTCAGGAGATCTTTCTCTTCTTCTTAGTATTTATTTTTTTCTTTTTTGAGACGGAGTCTTGCTCTGTCGCCCAGGCTGGAGTGCAATGGTGTGATGTTGGCTCACTGCAACATCCGACTCCCAGATTCAAGTGATTCTCCTGCCTCAGCCTCCTGAGAAGCTGGGACTGCAGGTGCATAGCACCACTCCCGGCTAATTTTTGTATTTTTAGTAGAGAGGGTTTCACCATGTCGGCCAGGATGGTCTCGATCTCCTGACCTCGTGATCCTCCCGCCTCAGCCCCCCAAAGTGCTGGGATTACAGGCATGAGCCACCCCGCCTGGCTTCTTCTTTGTACTTTTATGTATTATTTGAAGTTTTTATAATCTGCATACATTATATTTATGAGGAAAAAAAATGAAGCTATTTTCATGAGGAGTCCACCTTGATTTTACTTTCTCCTATATTGTCCTCAAATCACATTCGACCAGATTTCCTCTACCATACCTTCCTTCTTCTTCTTTTGTTTTTGTTTTTGTTTTTTTTGAGACTGAGTTTCACTCTTGTTGCCCAGGTTGGAGTGCAATGGCGCGATCTCCGGCTCACCGCAACCTCAGCCTCCTGGGTTCAAGCGATTCTCCCATCTCAGCCTCCTAAGCAGCTGGGATTACAGGCACCACACCCAACTAATTTTGTATTTTTAGTAGAGACGGGGTTTCTCCATGTTTGTCGGGGTGGTCTGGAACTCCCAACTCCAGGTGATCCGCCCACCTCGGCCTCCCAAAGTGCTGGGATTACAGGCATGAGCCACCACGACCAGCACATACCTTCATTCTTCAGGAAGAGGAGAATTTACCTGGCTGCCCAGTCCTGCAGGGAGCTACTCCAGACAGACACTCCCTGTATAGGAAGGGCCTTCCATGAGCCTGGCAGAAGCGCTAGGCAGCTCACTACTGTCCTCTTGTGGTCAGAACAGGTCAGAGCTTGATCTAGCAAAATACCGCTCACCCAGTCTACTCTGAAAGTCAAGGTCATCCCCAGAAGTGTGACCTCTGGCTATCCCTGCAGTTAATGTGCTGCACACCAGCATCAGTAGCCCAGCACCCCATCCCAAAACGGGCCATAATCAGGGTTTAGCAGCCTAAGCCTAAAGACTGCAAACCTATCTGAACAATGCTGTCTATTCCAAGCCAGAGACTTTCAGGAGACACTCTTTTCTGACAGCTAGAGCAAGTGATGGAGAGCACGCCTGTCCACTAGAGAGAGCACTCATGGTCAGAACTTGGGGTTTCAGACTGCAGAGAAGGCAAAGTTGCAGGAAAACAACAACAATCATCCTAATCATAAAAGCCCTTGCCCTTGTATGGTTCTTTTTACTTTTCAAAGTATTTCCCAAGGCAATTTGGCATGTCCAAAGAAATTAACACAAGGATGTTTGCTACAGCAAAAGAGAATTTAGGCTGGGCGCCTGTAATCCCAGCATTTTGGGAAGCCGAGGCAGGTGCATCACCTGAGGTTGGGAGTTTGAGAACAGCCTGGCCAACAGGGTAAAACCCTGTTTCTACTAAAAATACAAAAAAATGGCCAGGCATGGTGGCTCACGCCTGTAATCCCAGCACTTTGGGAGGCCGAGGCAGGTGGATCATTTGAGGTCAGTAGTTGGAGAGTAGCCTGGCCAACATGGTGAGACCCCGTCTCTACTAAAAATACAAAAATTAGCTGGGCATGGTGGTACATGCCTGCAATCCCAACTACTCGGGAGGCTGAAGCAGGAGAATTGCTTGAACCCGGGAGGCAGAGGTTGCAGTGTGCCGAGATCGCGCCACTGCACTCCAGCCTGGGTGACAGAGTAAGACTCCGCCCCAAAAAAAACCCCGAAAAAATACAACAAAAAAGCAAAAAAATTAGCTGGGTGTGGTGGCAGGCACCTGTAATCCCAGCTACTCGGGAGGTTGAGGCGAGAGAATCGCTTGAACCTGGGAGGCAGAGGTTGCAGTGAGCTGAGACTGCACCACTGCACTCTACCCTAGATGAGAGAAACTCTGTTTCAAAAAAAAAAAAAACAGAGACAGAATCTAAACATCCTTCAGTAGGACAGTCATTTACTAAAATGGAATAGTATGCAACTGTTTAAAATATTTCTTTATTCCTTTTCCACTCCCACAGCTTCACTTGACTTAACTAGCCTTAAAAAAAAAAAAAAAAGGGTCAGGCACAGTGGCTCACGGCTGAAATTCCATCATTTTGGGAGCCCAAGGTGCGTGGACTGCTTGCACTGAGGAGTTTGAGACCATCCTGGGCAACGTGGCGAAAGTTCTTCTATACAAAAAAATACAAAAAATTAGCTGAGGTGCGGTGGTGTGCACCGGTAGTCCCAGCTACTCAGGAGGCTAAGGTGGGAGGATCGCTTGAGGCTAGGAGGTTGACACTGCAGTGAGCTCTGATCACGCCACTGCACTCCAGCTTGGGTGACAGAGTAAGACTCTAAAAAAAAAAAAAATGAGGCTGGGCACAGTGGCTCACACCTGTAATCCCAGCACTTTGGGAGGCCAAAGCAGGCAGATCACTTGAGCTCAAGAGATCGAGACCAGCCTGGCGAACATGGCGAAACCCCGTCTCTACTAAAAATACAAAACTTAGCTGGGCGTGGTAGTGGGCGCCTGTAGTCCCAGCTACTTGGGAGGCCAAGGCAGGAGAATTGCTTGAACCTGGGAGGCAGAGGTGGCAGTGAGCCAAGATTATGCCATTGCACTCCAGCCTGGGCAACAAGAGCAAAACTCCCTCTCAAAAAAAAAAAAATGACAGATAAATCTATCTGGATGTGTTGGTATGGAATAATCTTCAAGATTCATTGTTAAGATTGTTTTTAAAAGAAAAAAATAAGTTTATGTGTCTGTTTAAAATAAGAATTTGTATAGATGTAGATATATCTATTTAGGTATGTATAGAACACATTGGAAGGAAACACCTCCAATAATGACTGCCTCTGAGAATGGAGGAAAGAGGGCATGGCAGTAGGAAGGAGAACTAATTCCTACTGGATATCCTTATGTACTATTAAATTCTCTTCTTTTTTTTTTTTTTTTTTTTGAGACAGAGTCTCGCTCTGTCACCCATGCTGGAGTACAGTGGCGCGATCTTGGCTCACTGCAAGCTCCGCCTCCCGGGTTCATGCCATTCTCCTGCCTCAGCCTCCCAAGTAGCTGGGACTACAGGCGCCTGCCACCACACCCAGCTAATTTTGTGTATTTTTTTGGAGAGACAGGGTTTCACCGTGTTAGCCAGGATGGTCTCGATCTCCTGACCTCGTGATCCACCCGCCTCGGCCTCCCAAAGTGCTGGGATTTTAGGCATGAGCCACCGCACCCAGCCTGTACTATTAAATTCTTTATCATGCACATTATTACATTTTCAAGGTAAAATTTATTTAAAATTTAAAATGTATTTCAAAAGACCTTTGGATATAATGGAATCAGAAAGACTTGGGTTCAAATCTAGACTCTGAGACTTACCAATTATATGACCTTAAGTAAATCACTTAACTACTTCGAACTTCAATTTTCTCATTCCTAAAATAGGATTAGTGGCCAGGCATGGTGGCTCATGCTTGTAATCCCAGCAGTTTGGGAGGCTGAGGCAGGCAGATCACAAGGTCAGGGGTTCGAGACCAGCCTGGCCAACATGGTGAAACCATGTCTCTACTAAAAATACAAAAATTAGCTGGACATGGTGGCACACGCCTGTAATCCCAGCTACTTGGGAGGCTGAGGCAGAAGAATTGCTTGAACCCAGGAGGCAGATGTTGCAGTGAGCCGAGATCATGCCACTACATTCCAGCCTGGGCAACAGAGTGAAACTCCATCTCAAAAAAAAAAAAAAATAGGATTAGTAACATCAACCTCATGGTATTATGAAGATTAAAGAAGCTTTTGGGAGCTGGGTGCAGTGCCTCACGCCTATAATCCCAGCACTTTGGGAGGCTGAGGTGGGCAGATCACTTGAGGTCAGGAGGTCGACATCAGCCTGGCCAACATGGTGAAACCCCATCTCTACTAAAAATACAAAAATTAGATGGGCGTGGTGGCAGGTGCCTGTAATCCCAGCTACTCAGGAGGCTTAGACAGGAGAATCACTTGAACTTGGGAGGCAGAGGTTGCAGTGGCATCCAGATTGGAGTAAAATTGTATTTGCAGATGACATGATCTCGAATATAGAAAATCCTAAGGAGTTCACAAAATACTATTAGAACTAATAAATGAGTTTGGTGAGGTTGCAGGATACAAGATCAATACACAAAAATCAGTTGAATTTTTATACACTGGCAATGAACAATCTGAAAATGAAATTGAGAAAATAATTTTTATTTACAATATCATCAAGAAGAATAATATACATAGGAGGAAATTTAACAAAAGAAGTATTATACAAGACTTGGATAGGCACGGTGACTTATGTCTGTAATCCCAGCCCTTTGGGAGGCTGAGGTGGGCAGATCGCTTGAGGCCAGGAGTTCAAGATCAGCATGGGTGATACAGTGAGACCTCGTAGCTACAAAAAAAATTTAAAAATTAGCTGGGCATGGGCTGGGCACAGTGGCTCACCCCCGTAATCCCAGCACTTTGGGAGGCCGAGGCGGATGGATCACGAGGTCAGGAGATCGAGACCATCCTGGCTAACATGGTGAAACCCTGTCTCTATTAAAAATACACAAAATTAGCTGGGTGTGGTGGTGGGCGCCTGTAGTCCCAGCTACTCAGGAGACTGAGGCAGGAGAATGAAACCCGGATGGCAGAGCTTTCAGTGAGCCGAGATCGTGCCACTGCACTCTAGCTTAGGCAACAGAGCAAGACTCCGTCTAAAAAAAAAAAAAATTACCTGGATGTGCACTCCTGTAGTCTCAGCTACTTGGGAGGCTGCGGCGGAGGATGGCTTGAGCATGGGAAGTTGAGGCTGCAGTGAGCCAAGATTGCACCACTGCACTGCAGCTGGGGCGACAGAGCAAGGCTCTGTCTCAAATATAAATAAATAAATAACAAGATTCAGACACTGAAAACTATAAAAATGTTAAAAGACTTTGCGTCTGTTTTTTTTGTTTGTTTGTTTGTTCGTTTGGTTGGTTGGTTGGTTGGTTGGTTGGTTGGTTTTATAGAGAGAGTCTTATTCTGTTGCCCTGGCTGGAGTGCAGTGGTGCTATCACAGCTCACTGCAGCCTCTAACTCCCAAGCTCAAGAGATTCTCCAGCCTCAGCCTCACAAGTAGCTGGGACTACAGGTGTATACCACCAAACCTGGCTAATTTTTTTCATTTTTTGTAGAAACAAAGTCTCACTATGTTGCCCAGGCTGGTCTTAAACTCCTGGGCTCAAATGCTCCTCTCGCCTCCACCTCCTAAAGTGCTAGGATTAGAGGCGTGAGCCTCCGCTCCTGGCCTGTTGAAAGAAATTTAATAAGACCTAAATAAATGGGAAGACATCCCGTGTTCCTATATTGGAATGAACAGATGGCATTCTGGGGAGTAAGATGGCAATACTCCCCAAACTGATCTACATTTTCAGTGCAATTCCTATCAAAATTTCAGCTGGTGTTTTTTTGGGTTTTTTTTGTTTTTGTTTTTGTTTTTTGCAGAAATTACCAAGCTGATCCTAAAATTCATATGGAAATGCAAGGGACACAGAATAGTCAAAATAATCTTGAAAAAAAATAGTTGGAGAACTCACTGATTTCAAAATTTATACATAGCCAAAGTGATAAAGACAATATGGTACTGACATAAGAATAAATATATAGGCCAGGCGTGGTAGCTCACGCCTGTAATCCCTGCACTGTGGGAGGCCGAGGGTGGGGCAGATCATCTGAGGTCAGGAGTTCGAGACCAGCCGGGCCAACATGGCAAAACCCCATCTCTACTAAAAATACAAAAATTAGCCAGGTGTGGTGGCACATGCCTGTAATCCCAGCTACTCATGAGGCTGAGGTGGGAGAATCTCTTGAACCCGGGAAGTGGAGCTTGCAGTGAGCTGAGATCATACCACTGCACTCCATCCTGGGCAACAGAGTAAGACTCTGTCTCAAAAAAAAAAAAAAAAAAAGAATAAATATATAGATTAATGGAATAGAACTGAAAGTCCAGAAATAAACCTTTACATTTGTGGTCAATTTTGAACAAATGTATGAAAACAATAACTGGATATTCACATGCAAAAAAAATTAAAATGAACCCCTGTTCACACTATATAAACAATTTGATCAAAAATGTAACAGACCTAAATGTAAGAGCTAAAAAAAGCATAATACTCTTAGAAGAAAACATAGGAATCAATCTTCACGACATTGGATTAAGCAATAGTTTCTTAGATATGATACTCAAAAGCACAGACAAAACAAAAAAAAGATAAATTGAACTTTGTAAACATTAAAAACTTTTGTGTTTCAAAGGACACCATCTCTCTCTCTCTTTTTTTTTTTTTTTTTTTGGTTTGAGACAGAGTCTTGCTCTGTCGCTCAGGTTGGAGTACAATGGTGCGATCTTGCCTCACTGCAACCTCCGCCTCCCAGGTTCAAGCAATTCTCATGTCTCAGTCTCCCGAGTAGCTGGGATTACAAGCACCTGCCACCACGCCCAGCTAACTTTTGTACTTTTAGTAGAGACGGGGTTTCACCATGTTGATCAGGCAGGTCTCGAACTCCTGACCTCAGGTGATCCACCTGCTTCAGCCTCCCACAGTGCTGGGATTACAGGCATGAGCCAGTGTGCCCAGCCCATCTCTTGTTTTTAATTTAACTTTTAAGTTCAGGGTTACATGTGCAGGTTTGTTGTATAGGTAAACTTGTGTCATGGGGGTTTGTTGTACAAATTATTTTGTCACCCAGGTATTAAGTCTAGTACCCGTTAGTTATTTTTCCTGATCCTCTTTCTCCTCCCAACCTCCACCTTCCAATAGGCCCCAGCATGTGTTGTTCCATTCTATGAGGACACTGTCTCCTGATGGTGAAAAGATAACCCACAGAATGGGAGAAAATATTTACAAATCATAGATTGGATATGGGACTTGTATTCAGAATAAAGAAGAACAACAAAAAAACCCCACTGACTTGTATACTTTAAAAGTGAATTTTACGGTATGTGAATCACATATCACTAAAGCTATTTTTTATTTTAATTTTTTTTTTTTTTTGACACAGGGTCTCACTCTCACCTAGGCTGAAGTGCAGTGGCAGGATCTCAGCCCACTGCAACCTCCATCTCCTGGGTTCAAGCGATCCTCCCGCCTCAGCCTCCTGACTAGCTGGGCCTACAGCCTGTACCACCATACCCGGCTAATTTTTGTATTTTTTATAGAGATGAAGTTTCACTATGTTGCCTAGACTGGTCTCGAACCCCTGAGCTCAAGTGATCCACCCATCTCAGCCTCCCAAGGTGCTGGGATTACAGGTGTGAGCCACCACACCTAGTCAATAAAGCTGTTTTTTTTTTGTTTCTTTTTGTTTTGTTTTGTTTAAGAGTTGGGGATTGTTAGATGGAAAATACTCCTATCTTTCCCTTTCATGGGAAAGGCATCCATAGTGTAACACTCCTGGCTTCTCTCTGCTTCCCCTGAAAGAGGCAAGTGACTGAATCCATCCATGAGTCTGTGATAAAGAACTGGTATATGCAGCTCTGCACACTTCTCTCCTAAAGGATGCATTCTGCCTGTCTCTGTATGCCTTAAGTTCTACTTCATCAGGCACTGCCTGTGAATCCATGGTTAAGCTGATGCAATTCTGGGGTCAGTACTTGGGTGCACACCTATCGACAGACATAGGTCACTCTCTCTAAATCAGCTTTATCAATAATAAGGCTGCTATTTTGGTCTTCATATGCGTTATTTCTTAGTCTTATTTCTCAAATGGTTCAGAGCTTTTTCAAGCAAAGAGAGTACTATTTATAGACTACTCTTCTAAGAATTCCCGCAGCACTGAGAGCGTGATATGAGTGCCACCAAATAGCCACAGGTATATCACAGACACGCTTAGTCTGGAGAGGTAGCATGGAGCAATTAAATGAGTCAACAGACCTCATTTCTTCTTCTAAATTCATTTATTCATACATGTATTCAACAAATGTGAATCAAGCACCGAGGACGTGCCAGTCATTGTTAAAGGAGCTGGAGATTCAGCCATGAACAAAACTGATCAAAATCCTGCCATAGCGGGGCATACATTTTAGTGGGACTGACAATAAGCCAGGATATATGGTATTTTAGGTGGTAATACATCCTAAGGAGAAATAAATAGCACAGGGAAGGAAAATAGGTACTATAAGTGGAGGGTGTGAAATTTTAGGTAAGGTGTCCAGGAAAGGCCTCATTAAGAAGATGGCATTAAAGACCTGAAAGAAATATGGAAGTAACCAATGGGCATTTGGAAATAAAAAATTCCAGACCAAATAAGTACCACATGTAAAGGCTCTGAAGTGAGAGTGTGTGGTCTGAAGAAAAGTATGTGTAGCAGAGTGACGGCAGGTGGAGAGGCTGGAAAATGAGGGAAGAGATGTCTCAAGAAGCCAGTTTAGGCTGGGCATGGTAGCTCACGCCTGTAATCCCAGCACTTTGGGAGGCCGAGGTGGAGGGATCACTTGAGGTCAGGAGATCAAGACCAGCCTGGCCAAAAAGATGAAACCCCATCTCTACTAAAAATACAAAAATTAGCTGGGCGTGGTGGCATGCACCTGTAGTCCCAGCTAGTCAGGAGGCTGAGGCAGGAGAATCACTTGAACCCGGGAGATGGGGGTCACAGTGAGCCGAGATTGCACTACTGCACTTCAACCTGGGTGACAGAGGGAGACTCCGTCTCAAAAAAAAAAAAAAAAAAAAGCGCTCAGCTGAGCACAGTGGCTCACACCTCTAATCCCAGCACTTTGGGAGCCCAAGGTGGGAGGTTCACTTGAGCCCAGGGGCTCAAGACCACCCTAGGCAACATAGTGCAGCCTTGTTTGTACAAATACATTTTAAAAATTAGCATGGTGGCATGCACCTGTTGTCCCAGGAGGCTGAGGTGGGAGAATGGCTTGAGCCCAGCCAGTCTAGACTGCAGTGAGCTGTGATTGCACCACTGCACCCCAACTTGGGTGGCAGAGTGAGACTCCATCTCAAAAAAAGCCAGTTCAGATAACGCCTTGTAGCTCAGGGTAAACACTTGGACTTTTACTCATCCATTTACCCAATGCAGTGCTCAGGCAGAAGGGTGACATATCTGAATCTGTTGAGAGATTAGGGGAAGCAAAGGCAGAAACCTGAAGAGCAGTGAGGAGGCTGTTGGTGGCTTAGGCCAGAACATGAACAGCGGAGAGAGTTGGAAGGGGTCAATGCTGGAGATATTTTGAAGGTAGACCTCACTAAGTGTGTTGATGGATTGAAGCTAGGGTGTATGAGAAAGAGAAGTTAAGGATAGCTCAAGATTTTTGGCCTGAGCAGTTGAAAGATGCAGTGGCAATTAACTGAACAGGTTAGGGGTCAGGGAGTGGATAGCAGGAACTTGGTCCTGGACATGTTAAGTTTGAGGTGCCCATTGGACATTTAAGGGGACGTGTCAAATAATCAGCTGGTCATACAAGTCTCGAGTTTAAAAGAGAGGTCCAAGCTGCTTTTCAGCTTACCATTTAGCCACTTGCTAGCCCCATGACCTTACACCAGTCACACTTCCCTCTTATATTAAGTAGAAAGAAAAACAGTAGCTATGATACAAGGTTGTTGTGAGGATTAAACTTGATGATTAGTTAAGTCAGTGGTTCACCGGAGGCTCTGAAAAAATTATGACTATTATTAAGTTCAATTAAACATACAGGCCAGACGGGATGGTTCACGCCTGTAATCCCAGCACTTTGAGAAGCCGAGTCAGGTGGATCACTTGAGTCCAGGAGTTTGAGACCAGCCTGGCCAACATGGCAAAACCCTGTCTCCACTAAAAATACAAAAACTGCCCAGGCGTGGTGGCACACACCTGTAATCCCAGCTACTCAGGAAGGTGAGGCACAAGAATCGCTTGAACCCAGGAGATGGGAGGTTGCAGTGAGTCAAGATCACGCTACTGCACTCCAGCCTGGGTGGTACAGAGAGACTCTGTCTCAAAAACAAAAAACAAAACCAAAAAAAAAAAAAACCATACAGGCTGGGTGCAGTGGCTCACATCTGTAAATCCCAGCACACTTTGGGAAGCTGAAATTGGAGGATCACTTGAGCCCAGGGGTTTGAGACCAGCCTGGGCAACATAGCAAGACCTTGTCTCTACAAAAAATTTAAAAATTGTCCGGGCGTGGTGGCTCACGCCTGTAATCCCAGCACTTTGGGAGGCCAAGGCGGATGGATCACAAGGTCAGGAGTTCAAGACCAGCCTGGCGAACATGGTGAAACCTCATCTCTACTACAAATACAAAAATTAGCCAGGCGTGGTGGTGTGTGCCTGTAATCCTAGCTACTCAGGAGGCTGAGGCAGGAGAATTGCTTGAATCCGGAAGGCGGAGGTTGCAGTGAGCCGAGATCATGCCATTGCATTCCAGTCTGGGCTACAGAGAGAGACTCCATCTAAAAAAAAAAAAAATTAAATTATCTGAGTGTGGTGGTACATGCCTGTAGTCCCAGCTATTCGGGAGGCTGAGGTGGGAGGATTGTTTGAACCCAGAAGGTGGAGGTTGCAGTAAGCTGAGATCACGCCACTGAACTTCAGTCTGGGCAACAGAGACTCTGTCTCTCAAACAGAACAAAACATGCGTTTAGTTACTGGAAACCCGAAAATGAAAGATTCTGTACCTACCCTCACTCCCAATGCAGAAAACTTAGTCAAAGCTTTCAACAAACTCTCAGGTAACAGCAAGAATTTGGGAGAATCAGTAGGTCCTGTTATCTGATTGGACAACAAACGAAGAGTCAAAGACAATGGACAGTTGGTCTCAGTATGGAAACCATCCAGGAGATTAGGAGACAAACCAGAAGGTGTACCTGGTCCTCTGGCCAGCTTGCCAGGCAACCTGCCCCCTGCCAACCTCCCACTTCCCCAGTAGGGTGAATCCCAGTGCCCTGGAGATGTTTTTGTTTTTGTTTTTGTTTTCCCCGAGACGGAGTCTCACTCTGTCGCCCAGGCTGGAGTGCAGTGGTGCGATCTCAGCTCACTGCAACCTCCGCCTCCCAGGTTCAAGCGATTCTTCTGCCTCAGCCTCCCAAGTAGCTGGGACTACAAGTGCAACGCCACCACATCCAGCTAATTTTTTGTATTTTTAGTAGAGACAGGGTTTCACCATGTTGGCCAGAATGGTCTCGCTCTCCTGACCTCGTGATCTGCCCGCTTCAGCCTCCCAAAGTGCTGGGATTACAGGCGTGAGCCACGGAACCCGGCTGAGATGTTTTTAAAATGTCCAAAGTTTCTCAGGGGAAAAACACTTGATGCTGTGATGTTAATCACATCACCTCCCCAGGCCTGTTTTCCCACCTGCTTTCCTCTCACTGAGCCCTTTCTCCCCATAAGGACCTCTCCAGGCACAAGGGCCATGACCCTGATTCTTCTCAGCTTCTAGGCAGCAGAAGAAATAGCTCAGGGACCCTGTGCAACACAGAACAATGAAAATTCTGAAAAAATGCTGGAACCAACATGAAGAGAAAAGTCAGGGAGCATAAAAGGAGAGAAGCTACCACTGAGTTCCTACTGGGCAAGGGGCTATGCTAGATGTTTTCAAGAGTGAGAAATTGTTGCAAGATTTAAACATGTGTCCACGCAACATTTGGCTCAGGGGCTGGCACACAGTATGTGCACAAAGAGTAAAATAAATTTTTGCTGTACTATTTGTATTATATCTCTTTTAATCCTCACAATACCTTGCAAGCTAGGCTCCAACTGAGAAGCAGTTTGGTAGAGAGGTGTGTGTTCTTCTGTCAAACAAATCTGGGTTCACATTCTAACTCTGCCATGTCTAGGCTTTTGTGGCCCTGAGAAAGCCTGTTGTCTTGTCTTGTCTTGTCTTTTTTCTTTTCTTTTCTTCACAGAATCACGCTCTCTCGCCAGGCTGGAGTGCAGTGGCGTGATCTCGGCTCATTGCAACCTCCGACTCCCTGGTTCAAGTGATTCTCCTGCCTCAGCCTCCCAGGTAGCTGGGATTACAGGCACGCACCACCACACCCAGCTAATTTTTGTATTTTTAGTAGAGATGGGGTTTCACCATGTTGGCCAGGATGGTCTCAATCTCCTGACCTCGTGATCCTCCCACCTCGGCCTCCCAAAGTGCTAGGATTACAGGTGTAAGCCACCGGGCCCAGCCCTTTTTTTTTTTTTTTTTTTGAGACGGAGTCTTGCTCTTGTCACCCAGGCTGGAGTGCAGTGGCATGATATCAGCTCACTACAACCTCCCCCTCCTAGGTTCAAGCGATTCTCCTGCCTCAGCCTCCTGAGTAGCTGGAATTACAGATGCCTGCCACCATGCCCAGCTAATTTTTATATTTTTAGTAGAGACGGGATTTCGCCATGTTGGCCAGGCTGGTCTCAAACTCCTGACCTCAGGTGATGCGCCCACCTCGGCCTCCCAAAGTGCCTGGATTACAGGCATGAGCCACTGCGCCTGGCCCACTTTACTTTTCTGAGTCTTGGTTTGCACATCTATAAAGAGGGGGAAACAATGAGAGCTACCAAACAAAGATTCATCTAAAACCCTCGATGTAGGTCCTGGCACACAGTAACTGCTCAATAATCATTATTCTTAATAGTATTGGAAGAAAGAACACAGAAGTTCCAGAGGTTAGGTCATTTATCCAAGTTCACATAGCCAAGTAGAATACACTCATGGAGGCCAGCCTCAGTGGCTCACGCCTGTAATCCCAGCACTTTGGGAAGCTGAGGTGGTGGATCACTTGAGGTCAGGAGTTTGAGACCGGCCTGGCCAACATGGTGAAATACCATCTCTACAAAAAATACAAAACTTAGCCGGATGTGGTGGCAGGCACCTGTAGTCCCAGCTCCTTGGGAGACTGAGGCATGAGAATTGCTTGAACCTGGGAGGTAGAGGCTGCAGTGAGCCAAGATTACGTCACTGCACTCCAGCCTGGGCGACAGAGTAAGACTTTGTCTTAAAAAAAAAAAAAAAAAAAAAAACAGATTCATGGTTTGGGCCTACTCAGCATCTGTGCCTTTCCTTTCCTTCTGGTGAGAAAACCTTGACTTTTGGGAATTGCCTGCCCCTACTATCAGGCCTGTTGACTTAGGTGGGGTCAACACACCTCTTCCAAGCTCTAGAGGCAAGACATGACCCACATCTGGCCAATTACGTGTTCCATCCCTCTGGTCACAGTGACTGGTTTGAGGTAGCCTTGTGACTCATGCCAAGTCCATGAGAATACTGGAACTTTGTCAGATCCATTGGGATAGAGATGAACCTTTCTTTTTTGTTTGTTTTTTGTTGTTGTTGGGGTGGGAGTTGTTTGGTTGTTTGTTTGCTTTTTTCTTTTTTTAAGGCAGAGTCTCTGTCACCCAGGCTTGAGTGCAGTGGTGTGATCTCGGCTCACTGCAACCTCCGCCTCCCAGGTGCAAGTGATTCTCCTGCCTCAGCCTCCTGAGTAGCTGGGACTACATGCACCTGCCACCGCACCCAGCTAATTTTTGTATTTTTAGTAGAGATGAGGTTTCACCATGTTGGCAGGCTGGTCTTGAACTCTTGACCTCAGGTAATCCACTCACCTCAGCCTCCAAAGTGCTGGGATTACAGGCGTGAGCCACCGCACCTGGCTATGTTTGTTTGCTTTTTGAGACAGGGTCTCCGTCTGTCACCCAGGCTAGAATGCAGTGGTGCAATCACATCTCACTGCTGCCTCGACCTCCCAGGCTCAGGTGATCTTCCCACCTCAGCTTCCCGAGTAGCTGGGACTACAGGCATGTGCCATTACACCTGGCTAACTTTTGTATTTATTGTAGAGATGGGTTTTCGCCATGTTGCCCAGGCTGATCTTGAGCTCCAGGACTCAAGCAATCCACCCACCTCGGCCTTCCAAAGTGCTAGAATTACAGGTATGAGCCACTGCACCCAGGCTGAAATGAACCTTTCTTTGGACTTGACACTGGGAGGATATAAGCTTGGAGCTGCTGGAAGTTGCTAGGTAGAGAGAGTGCCCGAATGGAAAGCACACCCAGAGGAACTAGAGCTGAAGGAGAGAAAGAGACTGAAGCTGCCAACTCTAAGTAAGCTCTTGCCTAAACTCTTGAACAAACATGTCTAATGTCTGTACATCGTTTCGGGTACATGAAGCAATAATGAGGCAATAATTCTCTCTCTTTCCCTTAAGACAACCAAAAGAATCCTTATTTGGCAAATGTATCAGTCAGGGTCCCAAGTGAAAACAGATGACACACTAAAATTAGAATAATTTGAAGAGGGTTTATTTACGATGGTGTGAGTGGGTGCACAGAAACCATAGGGACAGCACAGTGGCCCGGGGCTAGCAACACTTGAGGAGCTGCCACCACCCTTAGGCCTGAAGGGACAGGGGAGAGCATTTCCTGAGGGAGGGAATTTTGGAAAAGAGGCCTCCTTAAGAAGAGCTGTGACTGCCCATCAAGGATACCCTGTCAACCTGTAGAGGGAGCAAGGGAATAACTACCCAACTTCTCTCCCTTCTGGCCCCTCAGACCCAGTGTCCCCAGTGGCTGAGCCCAAGAAGGAGCCAGAAGGCAAAGCAGCCTGCTGATGTGTCCAGACAAGGCAGACACAGAACAGGACAGAGAAGAGTGAAGCGTGGGTCTGCAGGGGCAGATGGGAGATGGCTGGCTCTCCCAGAAAGCAGCACAGCCTGGTCTGACTGTCTCTCCACCAGCCCCGTGATGGCTGGTGACAATTTGGAATCTCAGGCCAGAGGGTTTTTTTTGTTTTGTTTGTTGTTTGTTTTTGAGACGCGGTCTCGCTCTGTCTCCAGGCTGGAGTGCAGTGGCACAATCTCGGCTCACTGCAACCTCTGCCTCCCAGGTTCAAGTGATTCTTCTGCCTCAGCCTCCTGAGTAGCTGGGACTACAGGCATGTGCTACCACGCCCAGATAATTTTTATATTTCTAGTAGAGACAGGGTTTCATCATGTTGGCCAGGATGGTCTCGAACTCCTGACCTTGTGATCCGCCCGCCTCGGCCTCCCAAAGTGCTGGGCTTACAGGCATGAGCCACCGCGCCTGGCCTGTTTGTTTGTTTTTAAAGGGACAGAGTCAGGGCCGGGCACTGTGACTGACACCTGTAATCTTGGGAAACACCTTGGGAAGCTGAGGCAGGTAAATCACTTGAAGTCAGGAGTTTGAGACCAGACTGGGCCACATGGTGAAACCTCATCTCCACTAAAAATATATATATACAAAAATAAGCTGGTGGCACATGCCTGTAATCCCAGCTACTCCGGGTTGAACCTGGTAAGCGGAGGTTGTAGTGAGCTGAGATCGCACCACTGCATTCCAGTCTAGGCAACAGAGCGAGACTGTCTCTAAATAAATAAATAAACAAATAAACAATCAAAGGCACAGGGTCTTGCTTTGTTGTCCAGGCTGGTCTTGAACTCCTAGACTCAAATGATCCTCCCACCTCGACCTCCCAAAGTGCTGGGATTACAGGCATGAGTCACTGAGCCTGGCCAGACCAGAGTTTTCAAACTCTCATCATTCCCTTTGGTCTTTTCTATACATCTGTGTCCCTCCTTCCCTAGAGAAGACCCTATAGGAGGTTGGAATTCTGAGAATCTGGAAAGAATCCACAGACCAGCCCAGCTTACTTTGCAGGAGGTAGAAGCCTCTAGCTCAGCCTCCCAGTGACCAGAATCCTGGGCTGACCCTCAGGCCTCACCCTGCCAGTTCCCTTGCCCCACAGACATCTCTTTGCTTGCCACTGTGGCCCCAGTCACCACCAGACAGCAGCTCCGTGACTTTCCTTTCTCTCCATAGGAGATGTCTGTTTCCTTCTGTAGCCAAGCCAGAGAAGGTTCTGGGATTCCCCACTACTGGCAGAAGCCCACAAGTGCCCTGAGGACGGGGCTGAGTTGCATCCAAGTATCTCACTTTGGTCACGCAGACACCTGTTCCCTCTTTCTTTTATTCCCAAGACACTCACCCTAATCTTCATTGCCAAAATGAGTTACTCTCCACCTTTCAAATCCAGTTTAAACCTTAGAATCTTTCAGTTTCAACACCAGAGGACATACAATTTAAAAAATTAAAAAAATTAAAAAACGGCTGGGCATGGTGGCTCACACCTGTAATCCCAGCACTTTGGGAGGCTGAGGCGGGCAGATCACGAGGTCAGGAGATCGAGACCATCCTGGCTAACATGGTGAAACCCCATCTCTACTAAAAAATATAAAAAAATTAGCCGGGCATGGTGGCGGGCGCCTGTAGTCCCAGCTACTCGGGGGGCTGAGGCAGGAGAATGGCGTGAACCTGGGAGGCAGAGCTTGCAGTGAGCCGAGATCGCGCCACTGCACTCCAGCCTGGGCGACAGAGCGAGACTCCATCTCAAATAAATAAATAAATAAATAAATAAATAAATAAATAAATAAATAAAAATAAAACAACTTAGAATTTCCTCAGAAAGCCTTCCTCATCAGTTCTTCCGACTCCACTCTTGCTATTATGACAATTATTATCAGAAGGACTTCTGCACATAAATACCTAATAATAGCAACTAACATGTACTAAGATGTACTAAGTGCTATCAGCCCATCGCTGAGCTATTTGCAATACAGAAACCATCTCATTTAATTTTTACATCCACCTTGTAAGATATGTGCTACCGATATATAGAATATGTTGTGATTGGTAGCCCTGGACTGTACCATGAAGCGACCTTAGGAGCAATTACTTTATCCATTTCCATGGAAAAAAGTGAGGCTCGGAAAGGATAAATTACTAGCTTAAGTTCACACAAGCAAGCAAAAGGCAGAGACGAAACCTAAACCCAGGTATGACCAACCCCAAAGCCTATATTCTCTCTCTGTCTCTCTTTTTTTTTTTTTTTTTTTTTGGAGACAGAGTCTTGCTCCATTGCCCAGGCTGGAGTGCAGTGGCGCAATCTCGGCTCACTGCAACCTCCACCTCCCAGGTTCAAGTAATTCTTCTGCCTCAGCTTCCCAAGTAGCTGGGACTACGGGTGCCCATCACCATGCCCAGCTAATTTTTGTATTTTTAGTAGAGACGGGGTTTCACCATGTTGGCCAGGCTAGTCTCGAACTCCTGACCTCAGGTGATCCACCCAACTCAGCCTCCCAAAGTGCTGGGATTACAGGCATAAGCCACCTTGCCTGGCCAAAGTCTATATTATTAAGATTGCAATATTTTACTATGTCCCAGGTATGTGCAGTTCCAGAGTTAGGTAGTAGCTGGAGGAGTTTCTGAATTTTCTGTGTAACGTGGTTATATACGTGCTAGAATCGCAGTCAGTGAACTTAATATGCAAATGAAATACTCTGTACACTGTAAACAATGTTACCTCTCAAGTTTTTGCAGCAAACACCACCATTATCCCTTTGGAGTTAAACCCGCTTGGCTACCACCCTTGCTGTCAAACCCCCATGAGATGCCAAACACTTGAAAAGGGTTTCATCGGAGATGTCAGTGTGAGATTAAGAACACACAACAGATGAAATAGAGAAAACAAGGGAATTCACTAGCAGTTACTGGTAAGACGCTCAGGCTATTAGCCTGTCACACTCCCCACTGCCAGCAAAGCCATCTTTAGCCACTTGGAAACCTGGCCTTGCTTTCACTTCCTTTGTGAAATGTCCCGGGTGGTATTTTCCCCACAGTGTAAACAAGTCCTTTTACATTAATCAATTCATTTAATTCTCACAAAAACACTATAAAGTAAGTACTGTTATCATCTCCATTTTACAGATGACGTAACTGAGGCACAGAGAGTCTAAGCAGTTTGCTCAAAGTCACATGTGACATATGGCAGTGCTAGATTCAAACCCTTAAGTTACTGCGGAATCTGTGCTCTCAAAAACTACTACTCAGGCTGGGCGCAGTAGCTCACAGCTGTAAACCCAGCACTTTGGGAGGCTGAGGCAGGCAGATCACCTGAGGTCAGCAGTTCGAGACCAGCCTGGCCAACGTGGCAAAACCCCGTCTGTACTAAAAATACAAAAAAATTAGCCGGGCATGGTGGTGCATGACTATAATTCCAGCTACTCAGGAGGCTGAGGCAGGAGAATCACCACTTGACCTGGGAGGCAGAGGTTGCAGTGAGGTGAGATCACACCACTGCACTCCAGCCTGTGCGACAAAGTGAGACTCCGTGTCAAAAAAAAAAAAAAAAACCACATACACACACACAAAAACCCCTACTACTCTGTAGTTTGACAACAAAGCTAAATGAAGATAATTAGAAAATCCACTATTGCACCAGAATTGCAAAAGGGCTGTGGAGATATGTTTTTTTGTAGAATCTATGTGCTTTAGTAATGTGGAAGGGAGATCTCCCACCAAAATGTGTGGTGAGGTAGGCCTGGGTCACTCCCCAGACCAGGATCCCCCAGGCTCCAGGCTTTCATCTTAGCCCTGTAGTAACCCCCTCAGAAAAAGAATGCTTCTTTCCCATTTGTTCCAGCAAAAATCCTAAGATTGCTCTGATCAACTACCTTGGTTCTGTGCTTAACATTGACCCAGTTACAGAACTAAAGGATGGAATATGCTGACTTGTCGGGCCTGGGTGATATGCACATCCTTCTCTGCAGCCACACCCCAACACACGGAGCAAGAATGGAGAGATGGCTCCTAGCGAAAACTAGACTACTGAGAGGAGGGGAAAGAATGCTGAGCAGGCAAAACAACAGATGATCCAGGGATTCAGGCATTGACACTGGTAATTATAAGCCAGTGTGATAAATGACTTGACAGGAAGGAACTGGCACTGGAAGACAGCAGAGGAAACACCTAAACCAGAGGAAGTGGCATGTAAGCTGAGACCCAAGGAGGAGGTATCCAGGGCAAAGAGGGTGTGGGGTGGGGAAAGGAAACAGGCTGTGCATATTTTTATTTCCTTCCCTCCCTCCCTCCCTCCCTCCCTCCCTTCCTTTTTTTGAGACAGAGTCTCGCTCTGTCACCCAGGCTGGTATGCAGTGGCGTGATCTCGGCTCACTGCAACCTCCGCCTCCCAGGTTCAAGGGATTCTCCTGCCTCAGCCTCCCAAGGAGCTAGGATTATAGGCGCCTGCCACCACCCCTGCCTAATTTTTGTATTTTTAGTAGAGACAGGGTTTCACCATGTTGTCCAGGCTAGTCTCGAACTCTTAACCTCCAGTTATCCACCTGCCTCGGCCTCCCAAAGTGCTGAGATTACAGGTGTGAGCCACCACGCCTGGCCACATTTCTTGAAATGTGTGAGATTGGGGCCTAAACATTCACAGAGTCCGTGAGGATGAAGATGATGGGCCAGTCTGGGTGCCCTGGAGTGGCCTGAGCAGAAAGGAAGGAAAATGGATTAGGGGCTGAAGAGGAGATGAAGCTTTTAGTTTGGATATTGATCCTGAGGGGCACATGGGTCATTCTGTTAGAGATATCAAAGAGCCAGCTGAATATGTGGGTATGGCATTTGGGAGCAGGATCTCTGGACAGAGATCTGGGTGTGATCAGCACAAGGATGACCATTGAATGACCATCAGTTAAGGTCATCAAATGGTTACTGAGTGTAGGAGAGACATCCTTGGGTGAGGGGACCAAGTGGGAACAGACTCTTCAACAAAGACATCCAGATGGCCAAATAGCACAAGAAACAAGCATGTAAAAACATTATTACTGGCCGGGCTTGATGGCTCATGCCTGTAATTCCAGCACTTTGGGAAGCCGAGGCGGGCAGATCACTTGAGGCCAGGAGTTCAAGACCAGCCTGGGCAACATAGCCCGACCTCATCTCTACAAAAAACTTAAAAATTAGCCAGATGTGTTGGCATGCACTTGCAGTCCCAGCTACCCAGGGAGCTGAGGCAGGAGGATTGCTTGAGCCTGGGAGGTTGAGGCTACAATGAGCCATGATCATGCCACTGCACCCCAGCCTCGGCAACAGAAAAAGACCCTGTCTCAAAACAAAAAATATTATTACTTATTACTATGTGGGTAGATACATTAAAACAGTGAGATACCACTACGTACCTATCAGAATGGCTGAAATTTGAAATTAAAACGACTGACAATATTAACAACTGGAATTCTCATACACCACTGAAAGGAGTGTAAACTGGTACAACCACTTTGGAAAACTGGCGGTATTTACTAAAACTAAACATACGTATCCCCTCTGACCTAGCAGTTCCACTCAAATATATATAGCCAAGAAAAATAAATGGTTGAGTCTACCAAAAAGACATATGTAAAAGAATGTTTGTAACAGCATTATTCAGAATAACCAAAAGCTAGAAACAACCCAAATGCCTCCATTGTTATATGTTCATTTGATAGAATACTATACCACATACATAAAAAAACAAGTACTAAGTACTAACATGGATGAATTTTATAGCTATAATATTGAGTGAAAGAAGCCAGAACAAAAATAATGTACACCATGCAATTCCATTTAGAAAAATCTCAAAAACAGGTATAGTTAGTTGATGGTAATGGAGGTCAGAAATAATCGTTTCTATTGTGACAGGGGGTATGTCTGAAAGGCGGCCAAGAGAACCTTCTAGGGTCCTGGAAATAATCCGGATTTTGATCTGGTTGATGGTTATACAGGTATATACATGTATAAAACTTCAAGTTGGGTGTGGTGGTATGTGCCTATAGTCCCAGCTACTCAGGAGCCTGAGGAAAGAGGATTGCTTGACCCAAGGAGTTTGAGGCTGCAGTAAGCTATGATTGCACCTGTGAATAGCCACTATACTCCAGCCTGGGCAACATAGCAAGACCCTGTCACTAAAAACAAAAACAAAAACAAAATATTTTTAATTTAAAAAATCAGACAGTAGGCCGGGCATGGTGAGTCAGGCCTATAATCCCAGCACTTTAAGAGGCCAAGGCAAGCAGATCGCCTGAGGTCAGGAGTTTGAGATCAGCCTGGCCAACATGGTGAAAACCCTTCTCTACTAAAAATACAAAAAATAGCTGGGCTTGGTGGCAGGTGCCTGTAATCACAGCTACTTGGGAGGTTGAGGCAGGAGAATTGCTTGAACCTGGGAGGTGGAGGTTGCAGTGAGCTGAGATCACGCCATTGCACTCCAGCCTGGGCGACAAGAACGAGACTTCGTCTCAAAAAAAAAAAAAAAAAAAACAGAAAGTATTCATCTAGTTGCTCATTTAAGGTTTGTGCACATTACCGTATCTATTTTATACCTAAAGGTGGGGGTGAAGGAAAGTTTATCCCCTCTTCCCAAAGCCAAAATTAGTACTGATCCAGGGACTGTGGATGCTTTACAATTTGTGATATGATGTGACAGTTTCATGAGGCCCATCTTGATGAAGTTCCCCAGGACAAGAGCCTCTCTTTTGATTGTTTTCTCTACTGTTCCAAAGCATCTATACTGGGGCTCAGATCACAGCAGGCCCACAATGTCTGTGACTCAGTATCTGCTTGGAACAGCACACCCAGCCCTTCAGTGTTCAACTCGACACTCACTTCCTGAGTGTCTGCTCTATGCCAGGCCTTGTGCTGAGAGCTAGAGGTACAAACACAAGTAAGACAACCATCCCTACACTTGAAAAGTGGCCAAGCAAGAGGTGGGTACCCCAGGATGAAGGACAGGAACTTGCAGCAGCCAACCCATCCATCAACACATGTAAAATAATATTAGTAACAAATAACCACCATTTATGAACTGCCAGGTGCTTTATGGTGTAACAGATTTTTTTTTTCTTAATTGCTATTTTAAACCACAACTGCCTGCAGCTACTTTTGTCTATTAGGGGAGTGGCACAATTTTTCTCTGGGTAGAGGGTTCTTTGTTTGGGAAAATACTTCATAAGTTGCTTTGGCATGAAGAATGAAGCTCTCCAGAGCTAGGGCAAGACAAAGACAGCTGAACTGCTTTGCAAATTAGAGAAAAATGTGGCAGCAGAGGGAGCGGGGGGTCTAAACGCAGAAGGAAGGGAGACATTAGGAGATATAGTTAGAGAGATCTATGTTGCTTTTGTTTTCCCAGGCTCAGTGCTTTAGAGAACCATCCCTTTGCCTTACTAATCTTACTTATTCTTCAGGTTTTACCCTTCAAAAATCACTTCCTTATACCACACAGCCACCAAAAAGAATGAGGTGAAGCTCTCTGTACTAACATGGAAAAAATGCCCTGGGTATATTGTGAAGTGGAGGCAGGGGAAGTCACCAGCTGGATAGGAGCGTAGTAACAACCCCGTTTTTAAAGAGGACGGCCCTGTATATGTACTTACACTTGAATACATTTGGAAAGTCCCCCGGAAAAGTACATAACACTCTGTTAACAGCTGTTACCACCAGGGAAGATGGTGGGGAGTAATTTGGAGCTTCTGATTTCAATTTTTATCCTTTATTTTTAAATATTTTACCATGAGATTTTATCTCTATTTGTTTATTTTTTTATCTGTTTTTGAGACAGGATCTTGCTCTGTTACCCAGGCTGGAGTGCAGTGGCACCAACACAACTCACTGCAGCCTCAACCTCCTGGGCTGTAAGTGATCCTCCTGCCTCAGCCTCCCAAGTAGCTGGAAACACAGGTGTACCACACCAAGCCCAGCTCATTTTTTAAAAACTTTTTTTTGTAGAGACTAGCCACTACACTGCAAAGTGCTGGGATTACAGGCATGAGCCACCTTACCCAGCCCGAGACTCTTAAAAACGGGGTAGGCTTGGTGCAGTGGCTCACGCCTGAAATTCCAGCACTTTGGGAGGCAAGGCAGGAGGATTGCTTGAGGCCAAGACCAGCCTGGGCAACAGGGTGAGACCCCTGTCTCTCTGAAAAATTTAAAAATTAGCCAGGCATGGTGGAGCATGTCTGTAGTCCCAACTACTCTAGAGGATGAGGCAGGAGGATCACTTATAGCCCAGGAGGTCAAAGCTGCGGTGAGCCCTGTTCATGCTACTGCACTTCAGCCTGGACAGCAAAGCAAGACCCTTTCTCTAATAAAATAAAATAAAATAAAATAAAATAAAATAAAATAAAATAAAATAAAATAAAATAAAATAAAATAAAATAAGGCTGGATGTGGTTGGTCACTCACACCTGTAAGCCCAGTACTTTGGGAAGCCAAGAAGAGAGGATTGCTTGAGCCCAGGAGTTCAAGACCAGCCTGGGCAACACAGTGAAACCTCATCTCTATGACAATACATTTAAAAATTAAGGAAAAAAAAAAAGCCAAGAACCTAATTTCTATCGTAGGTCAGGTTCCCGTGGTATCCTGCTGTCCTCCTTTGTGACATTTGGTACCTTTGGAATTGCCTGCCCGTTGACTTCCCCATCCCTCCACCTCCTGCACCCACTCTGTTCCCCTTGGCTCCAAGACTACAGGGACCAGGAACGCCTAGCAAAGTGCTTGGTTTAGCAGTTGACCAAATGAATGAGTTCTCCCACCTTCCAATGACTTTTCTCTTGCCTGGGTTTTGATTCTTCCAGAGAAAGGAGAGAACAGCTCAGCTCCATCTGTGTGTGCCGCCCAGGCCTGGCTCACACAGTTCCTGCACATTCCCCACCCAGGGCAGGGTGAAGATGCCCTCTTTCTTGTCCTGGAGAGAGATGTAAAAGCAGTAGCTCCTGCTGTCTTCACTGCCTCAGCCCTGGGGGACACCAAAATGCCTGAGACCACAACAACCTGTGAGAGGTGTGAGCAGGTGGCAGAGCCAATTACAGGAACAGGACTGGGCATTCTGGCTGACCTTGGCAGAAGCTTCTCTTCCATCTTCCTTTTATTTCTAGCAGCTGGGGGAGGAGGGAATGAAGCCCTAATTGCTTTCACCTTGAGAAAAATCTGCGGCTGACCATGTGCAGAGAGAATCATTCTGTCACACAGCAGGGGGGCTCGAAATTAGATCAGATCAGGAAGGCTGGCGTTTTCCCTGAGGCTCTCGACTAACGACCAAGGGGAAGAGAGGCACTTGGCCTAACGCCCCTCCTCACTCTGCCCTACCAGTCACACAGTGATAGCTGAGCTCTTCTCTTCTGCCCAGAACTCCACAGGGAACTCCCCATGCCTGCCCCCTCCCCACCCAGGCTGCTGTGACTAACGTGTGCCTTCACTAGGTCTTGCCCAGGCCACAACTCAGGCTGCTGGGTGAGAACTAGAGCTATTCTCACAGGCCCCCAACTGCCAGGCAGATGCCTCTGTCGACCCAGCCAGCCTGTCCCTGCCGAGTTCAGACAGGAAGGCGAGGCTGGCCCCTGGAACTACCAGGGAGAGACATCGGCCAGCCACATATGCCTGATTCTGCCCAGACACTTCTAACAATTGAGGCAGTGGGTGAACTCGCATGCTTTCTCCATCCCCGATGAAAAGCAAGTTCAAAAGCCACATACTGTCCTCAAGCCCTGGGGGAAGCCAGGACCCTGACAAAGAGGAGGCATTGTAACTCGATAGAGCAGTCTTGAGTGATACTGATGCAGTAGAGTCAACCACCACACACTCAGCATTGGAGCCACCGAGAATCATCCAGAGCGCA
This sequence comes from Homo sapiens, assembly GCF_000001405.40. Classification (NCBI taxonomy): domain Eukaryota; kingdom Metazoa; phylum Chordata; class Mammalia; order Primates; family Hominidae; genus Homo; species Homo sapiens. The sequence goes on from NC_000001.11 coordinate 31,987,912, forward strand.
TGTGATACTGACGTTAAGCAATTAATGGCATACAAAGCTTCAGAGCACTAGCTGGTCACCTACTGGATCCCGAGTAGAAATTTTCTGTAAGAAATTCTGGGGAAGGCCGGGCGCGGTGGCTCAAGCCTGTAATCCCAGCACTTTGGGAGGCCGAGGCGGGTGGATCACCAGGTCAGGAGATCGAGACTATCCTGGCTAACATGGTGAAACCCCATCTCTACTAAAAATACAAAAAAATTAGCCGGGCGTGCTGGTGGGTGCCTGTAGTCCCAGCTACTCAGGAGGCTGAGGCAGGAGAATGGCGTGAACCCGGGAGGCGGAGCTTGCAGTGAGCCGAGATCGTGCCACTGCACTCCAGCCTGGGCGACAGAGTGAGACCCCGTCTCAAAAAAAAAAAAAAAAAAAAACTCTGGGGAGGGCCAGGCGCAGTGGCTCACACCTGTAATCCCAGCACTTTGGCAGGCTAAGGCGGGGGAATTGCTTTAGCCCGGGAGTTTGAGACCAGCCTGGGTAGCAAAGCAAGACCCCACCTTTACAAAAAAAAAAATTAGCCAGGTGTGGTGGCACATGCCTGTGGTCCCAGCTACTTGGGGGCCGAGGTGAGAGGATAGCTTGAGCCAAGGAGGTCAAGGCTGCGGTGAGCTGTGATCACAACACCACTGCACTCCAGCCTGGAGCAAGCAAGAATTTCATTCTAAAATTAAAAAATAAAAATTCTGAGGAGGCAATAGAAACTGATAGCTTCATACATAGCCCACTGCAACAACTTTCTGGCTATGTGACTTCGATGGTGTCACTTAACCTGTCTGAGCTTCAATTTCCTCACTGCAAAATGAGATTAATAATACCTACCTCAAAGGGCTGCCATGAGAATGAAGTTAATATATGTAAACTATTTAGTGCAGCATGTTGCTCAGGAAGTGCTCACTAAACGGTCACTGTCCATATTATTATTTTATTTTATTTTATTTTATTTTATTTATTTATTTATTTTGAGACAGAGTCTCGCTCTGTCGCCCATGCTGGTGTACAGTGGCGCAATCTTGGCTCAAAGCAAGCTCCACCTCCTGGGTTCACACCATTCTCCTGCCTCAGCCTCCAGAATAGCTGGGACTACAGGCGCCCGCCACCACGCCTAGCTAATTTTTTTTTTTTTTTTTTTGTATTTTTAGTAGAGACGGGGTTTCACCGTGTTAGCCAGGATGGTCTCGATCTCCTGACCTCGTGATCTGCCCCTCTCAGCCTCCCAAAGTGCTGCTGGGATTACAGGCTTGAGCCACCGCACCAGGCTTTTTTTTTTTTTTTTTTTTTTTTTTGAGACGGAGTCTCGCTCTGTCACCAGGCTGGAGTGCAGTGGCGTGATGTCGGCTCACTGCAACCTCTGCCTCCTTGGTTCAAGCAATTTTCCTGCGTCAGCCTCCTGAGTAGCTGAAATAACAGGCACACGCCACCACACCCAGCTAATTTTTGTATTTTTAGTAGAGACAGGGTTTCACCATGTTGGCCAGGATGGTCTCGATCTCCTGACCTCGTGATCCAACCCCCTCAGCCTCCCAAAGTGCTGGGATTACAGGCGTGAGCCGCCATGCCCCGCCCATATTATTATTATGGAGCCATCAGTGCACACTGCAGTATGGACACTGAGGAGAGATGGTGTATGGTGGGGACTTTACGACCATGCAGACCTGGTGTGAAATCCTGTTTTCATTATTTCTGCCTTATGTGGCCTTGGGAGAGTTAATTAATTTCTTTAGGTTTCAGTCTCCCTCTGTAGAAAGGTATCGATAACACCTACCTTGTCAACAGGATAAAGTCCTGTTATTACCAGGGCCCAAGCATGCAGAAGATGCTCAGGAAATATTAGCTGCTGTGGGTACCGAATCATCATCCTCTTTCCGGCATCCTTCACCTTTTTCATGTGGTAGTTTTTACAGAGAGGTGACAGTCTCCTCAAAGTGATTTACTGTGGAGGAGCATATTGATTTTTTTCAAAGCCAGTGGTCCCTTTCCTGTCCTGATTCTTCTTGTCATCTCTACTATTTGACCTGGTGGCCACCTCTGAGACCTCCTCCCCCTTGGTTTTCTTGACTCCAGTACCCCAATCTTTGCTTCTCTCTCTCTGTCTCTCTCTCTCTCTCCTCCCTTCTTCACAGTATCTTCAGCTTCCCTAGCCTATTCCACAGTCCTGTGGCCCCCGCATTCTACCTGTTCTCCCCAAAAGAAAGACTATGTCGTCACCAAAACCAAGCTCAGCCTGCCATTCCTCCTGATCTCAAAAGTATCATTATTCTCCTGGCCACCCCGACATAAAGTCCCAGATCCTTCTCTTTTTTCTTTCCTCTCTTTCTGAATCCAGTCAATTGCCATCTGCTTTTTCCTTCAAAATATTTTTCATATCCATCTCCTTCTTTTCCATTTTCCCTCTTGCCAATATCAACTCAGGCCTGATCTAGTTTAAACGTCCAGTTCCCATCCATTCTGAGTATCGCAACCTCACCAAAAGTATCACTTGAAGCTCACCATCAGATATTCTTTTCCTACCACCCTTCCATCTCTATTCGAAATCCTATTAAGACTTTTTCCTTCCTACAGTAGATTCAAGAGCATTCAAGATCTTCCATACCTAGATTTTCTAGAGTTGGCTTTCCATTTGGCCCCAATCCAGATCCTCCATTCTGTTCATTCCTTATCCACCATGTCCATCTCCTCTCCTTTGCATTTGCATCCTCCTCTGCTTGGAGTCTCTTCCCTCCATTTCCTCTCCTATTCAAATTTCACCCATCCTTCAAGGCCTAGCTCAAAACTCAACTCCTTCCTGAAGGCTTCCCTGACCACTCTGGTCAACAGTGGTCACTTCCTCTGAGTTCCCTTTGATGGTGTTGGGGGTGTAGGGGTGGTGGTGGTGAAGAGCTGAATGTCTGAGGAACTGGTCAGTGCTTGCTGGATCACCTGCCTGTGCCTTCAACGTATACCTGAAGGCAGAGATGGTCTCTCCCACATCCTCCTGGATGACACAGCACAGTGATTTGAAAACAGACTTGTGTTCAAATCCTAATCTGTCACTTTCCCACTGGTTGTAACCCACCCTCTCCAAGCCTCATTTTTCTCATCCAAAATATAGGGGTCATAAAGGCCTTATACAGTGGTGAAGACTGAATTATAATGTAAGCAAACGACATGGCACAATGCTTTGCATACAACCTAGAAAGGTAGGAATTATTACAGTTCCTGGCACCCTGCAGTCTAAACATTATTTTTGCAGCCTTGCTCATTTGCATAGCCAAATAGTAATTTATATAGACTGTGACATTTCACTATAGGTATATCTGCTTCCCAAACCTCTTGCTTTTCCCAACTTTCCATTTTTATAAATGCTACCACTGTTCCAAGTCTCCCAGGAGCAAACCTTGGCAATGTACTCAGCTTTTTCTGCTCTTTCATGGGCCAAACCCATTGGCACTTAACCATGAGCTGTCTCTAACTGTTCTGAGATGTCTTAACTCCCCATTGGGACTGTGCATGCTTTGAGAGCAGGAACTATGACCTGCACTGCCTTGGTATCTATTACACTAGCTTAGAGCAGGGACTCAATACAGATTTGTTTTCTAAAAAAATCCTATCAACAAACTACAGGGGCAGCCGTGAAGGAGGTATGACAGCAATCTAAAAAAAGAATAAGATATTCTGTAATTATGTTTTATCCTCTCCTCTTTCTCTAATTCATGTATTCCTCCTACTCATTCTTTTTTTTTTTTTCAGACAGGGTTTCACTCCTGTCACCCAGGCTTGGAGTGCAATGGTATGACCTCGGCTTACCGCAACCTCTACTTCCCAGCTCAAGCGATTCTCCTGCCTCAGCTTCCCAAGTAGCTGGGACTCCAGGTGCATGCCACCCTGCCCAGCTAATTTTTGTATTTTTTGTAGAGATGGGGTTTCGCCCTGTTGGCCAGGCTGGTCTCAGAACTCTTGGGCTCAAGCAATCAGCCCGCCTTAGCCTCCCAAAGTGCTGGGATTACAGGCATGAGCTACAGCGCCCAGCAATTTCTCCTACTCATTCTTTTTTTTTTTTTTTTAGACAGTCTCCCCTAGGCTGGAGTGCAGTGGCACGATCTCAGCTCACTGCAACCTCTGCCTCCTGGGTTCAAGGGATTCTCCTGCCTCAGCCTCCCGAGTAGCTGGGATTACAGGCACCCGCCACCACACCCAGCTAATTTTGTATATTTAGTAGAGATTCACCATGTTAGCCAGAGTGGTCTTGAACTCCTGACCTCAGATGATCCACTTGCCTCGGCCTCCCACAGTGTTGGGATTACAGGCATGAGTCACCACACCTGGCCCTCCTACTCATTCTTTTTTTTTTTTTTTTTTTTTTTGAGACCAAGTCACTCTGTGGCCCAGGTTGGAGTTTGGAGTGCAGTGGCAAGATCTTGGCTCACTGCAAGCTCCACCTCCCGGGTTCACGCCATTCTCCTGCCTCAGCCTCCCGAGTAGCTGGGACTACAGGTGCCCGCCACCACGCCTGGCTAATTTTTTATATTTTCTAGTAGAGATGGGATTTCACTGTGTTAGCCAGGTTGGTCTCGATCTCCTGACCTCGTGATCCGCCAGCCTTGGCCTCCCAAAGTGTTGGGATTACAGGCATGAGCCACTGCATCCAGCCCCTCCTACTCATTCTTTAAGGCCCAAATCAATATTCTCTCCTCCAAGGTCTGCCATAAGCATTATTTCCTTTTTTCTTTTATTTATACTACATATTTAATTGCATAGGGATTTTACCAAATTTTTTAAAATTAAAAATTGAAAAAATTAAAATAATGTAGAACTATGTAAAGTGATTATAAAGCTTTTTCTCTTCTCCCCAGTTCTCAAAGGTAACAACTGGGAACACTTTGGTGGGTTTCCCTCCAAATCTTTTTTCTGTTACGCTGGAAATTAATATACTAAGATAGAATATGAAAATAATCTTTTAAAAATAATTATGTTTATTGTAGATTTTATGTGCCCAAATTGGCTATTTTGAGGTCAGGGGAAACTAAATAAATCCAATATGTGAAATAAATGAGAAAACTTCAAATCTGTTCCATAGCACCTTAATAACTCTGTTAGAGAGTACTTACCATACCGTGCAGCTTATGTACACATCTGTATCCCAGTTGGCTTGTATGACAGGCAGCAACTCCCGTTAATTTTTATATCCCAAATACCTAATTTGCACATAGTAACTGCTCAATAAATTTATTTTATTTTATTTTTACATTAAAAAATTCTTTTTTTGGCCGGGTGCAGTGGCTCACACCTGTAATTCTAGCACTTTGGGAGGCCGAGGCAGGAGGATCACGATGTCAGGAGATCGAGACCAGCTTGACCAACATAGTGAAACCCCGTCTCTACTAAAAGTACAAAAATTAGCCTGGCATGGTGGCATGCACTTGTAGTCCCAGCTACTCAGGAGGCTGAGACAGGAGAATCACTTGAACCTGGGAAGCAGAGATTGCAGTAACCCAAGATGGCACCACCGCACTCCAGCCTGGGCAACAGAGCGAGACTCTGTCTCAAAAAAAAAATTATTTTTTTAGAGACAGGGTCTCGCTCTGTCACCCAGTGGCATGATCATAGCTCACTGCAACCTTGAACTCTTGCCTCAGGACTACAGAGGCATGCCACCATGCCGGGCTTCAAGTGATCCTCCTGGCCTCAAGTGATCCTCCCATCTCAATCTCCCAAAGTTCACAGGGTCTCATGCTGTTGCCCAGGCTCCAGTACAGTGGCACAATCATGGCTCAGCAGCCTCCACCTCCTGGGCTCAATCAATCCTCCCACCTCAGCCTCCCTCAATCCTTCTTAATATGTTTTATGACTTTATTATTTTATTTTATTTTTTTGAGATGGAATCTCACTCTGTCACCCAGGCTGGAGTGTAGTGGTGCCATCTCAGCTCACTGCAACCTCTGCCTCCCAGGTTCAAGCAATTCTTCTGCCTCAGCCTCCCGAGTAGCTGGGACTACAGGTGCACACCACCACATCCGGCTAATTTTTGTATTTTTAGTAGAGATGAAGTTTCACCATGTTGGCCAGGCTGATCTCAAACTCCTGACCTCAGGTGATCCACCCCCATCAGCCTCCCAAAGTGCTTGGATTACAGGCATGAGCCACCACACCCAGCATGATTAATTTATTTTTAATAATAAACTCAAGTTTATTTCAGTAATTTTGCAATTCACCATTAAATGATCGATCTATCATTCAGGGTCTTAGCAAGAAACTGAACTAAACTCAGATAATTCAAGAAACTTTAATGAAGGGAATATTCAAGAGATATGGGTAGAGTTGAGGGAACCAAAATGGGAGGTTGAGGCAGCCAGAGGCTAGCAATAGCAGGAAGCCACCACGACTGTGCTTGCTCAAAAAGGCAAGGGGAGGAAATGCAGTTTCCTTGAACCCAATGACACGCCAAGCCCTGGAAGAGGGGCCACAGACAGGAGCTATTGTCTTGGAAGGAAGTAATCATTGCCAGAAAAAAATTAAGATGTGGCTGGGTGTGGTGGCTCACGTCTGTAATCCTAGCCTTTGGGAGGCCAAGGTGGGTGGATCACCTGAGGTCAAGAGTTCGAGACCAGCCTGGCCAACATGGCGAAACCCCGTCTCTACTAAAAATATAAAAATTAGCTGGGTGAAGTGGTGCGCACCTGTAGTCCCAGCTACTCAGGAGGCTGAGGCAGAAGAATTGCTTGAACCTGGAAGCGGAGGTTGCAGTGAGCCAAGATTGCGCCACTGCACTCCAGCCTGGGTGACAGAGCAAGACTCCATCTCAAAAAAAAACAAAAAAAAATCTCTACTGTAGCTACAGACCCTGCCACAGTGAGATGGTCATGAGGCTGAGTTGGTCCTCATAGCTGCCTTCTTCCACTCTCTAGTCCATGTTCCCCTCACCCTTTGCCAACATGTTAGCCAGAGGAAATTCTTTACTCAGTGGAATGAACCAAACCTTCATTTCCACAGGATTCAAGCCATAAGTGGTCCTGTCTTTATTGCTTTGCTATAGTTTTACATTGATAGTTATTAGGTATGGGAGTACTAAGAGGTACCCTAGTGTATCCACTGGGAATAAGCATAGGTCTTCTTGCCCCTGTTGGTAGCAGCAACCTAATTTCCATGCAGGATTAATCACCCTAGCCAATAGTATAATAAACTCCTTATCTGCCATTGGCTCAGTAGTACTAAGAGTCCAAAATGACCAGTGGAAAGTCTCAGCTTCCAAATTACAAGAACCAATGTAATGTCTGTGTTCCCTGAAGGAAGCGTTTCTCCCTTGGGAAATAGGACTTCCAAACCTACCGAACCCAGAGTTGCAGGGACAAAAAGGAAAAAAAACATATGAGTTATTAAGTAGAAATGTGAGAAAGATCACTCCCACTCCCACCCTGGATGCAGACGGTACTGTATACTGGTGACTTGTTTAAGGCATATGCCACATCCTTTGACATCACCTCAAAACTTGTCTTTCTCTTTTGTTTTCTTTTTGTGGAAACAGGGTCTCACTATGTTGCCCAGGCTGTTCTCAAATTCCTGGCCTCCAGCTGTTTTCCTGCCTTTGCCTCCCTAAGTGTTGGGATTACAGGTGTGAGCCGTCATGCCCGGCTGATATCACCTCAACTTTCAGGTTGCTGTCTCCTTGATGGCATTCCCAGGAATCAGCTGGCTGTGACTTCCTAAGCCATTCCTACACTATCCAGAGTTTGTCTTAAGGTGTGACATCTGAATTGGAATTTTTCGCTGGTGGCTTTACCACCTCTCTATGAAAGTGTTCAAGGGATATTCTGGTTATTTGAGAACACTTTATATTTTCATCACCAAAAACAAAACCAAGAAAACCATAACCACTCTTATTTTGTAATTTTCTTTTTAAGTTATACAGGGCAGACCCCTACCTCAGATACTTGGGTTTTGCCATGCAATTGATGCCTAATTATCACTCATATCCCTGCTCTCATGGCTTCACCCCACACAGTGGAGAATATGTCCGCTAGGCCTATTTCGGCATTTTTCACAGAGATGTTTTAAATTTGCTATTAAGAACAATTGCAAATGACAATGTGGTAATTATTTCTGTGGATTCATAAACTGTGATATGCTCTGTAACACATCAACAAAGTGTCAAGTGGGTTTTGTGTTGGTCAAGAAAAAAAGATAATGAGGCCAGGTGCAGTGGCTATCGCCTGTACATTTTGGGAGGCCAAGGTGGGCAGATCACATGAGGCAAGGAGTTCGAGACCACCCTAGCCAACATGGAGAAACCCCATCTCTACTAAAAATACAAAAAATTAGCCAGGCATGGTTGCACATGCCTGTAGTCCCAGTGAGGCATGAGAATCACTTGAACCTGGGAGGCGGAGGTTGCAGTGAGCCAAGTTCATGCCACTGCACTCCAGCCTGGGTGACAAAGCTAGACTCTGCCCCGCCTCCCCCACCCCCAACGAAAAAGAAAAGAAAAAAGGATAATGGCCCCTAATGCTTCCCATTTCATAATTTGATCTAATATCTATGATTAAACTGAGGAGCAGTTTGTGATGAAAGAAAGGGTCTGACTTCATGTTCAAAATTCTGGGAGAAACACCCTCATTATAGTAATCAACCTCATGCATTTAAATAAGTGTTTCTTAGAGCAAATCTCCACAATTATTTGGGAGCTATGAGCTCAGACTTTGAAATCAGACAGCCCTGGATTTCAAGCTTTAGTTCACCACGTATGTGACTTGGGCAGATGATTTAAACTTTTTGAGCCTCAGTTTCTTCTTCTCTGTAAAGTGGGCACAACTATTGTCCTATCTCCCAGACTTAAAGGCTTACAAAGAGACTGGCATGTACTAAATTCTTTTAAAAATATTAGCAATTGTGATTTCTAATAGTTATTACTTACTAGGCATTATAAGTATTGGGCTCTTAGATGAATGAAAGATTTCAGAAGTCTCTGCTTATAACAGGGAAATTTATCAAGAGGAAAAGACTCCAACTTAAGTTTCCTTTAGGCTGTTTTTTAGAAGGTTGGATCATTTCCCTTCCCCCGCCAAAAAAAAAAAAAAAAAAAACACTTGATAAACTTTCAGAAAGAAAGCACAATTGCTTAATTTAAATTTTATCATAGATATTTAAAATAAAATAGTTTTAGAATAAATTCATTAACTTAGGTCAACATGATACAGAGAAATTATGTTTTAATGAGTTGTAAGTTTATTTTGTAGGACACTGAAACCACTGTATAATCATTGAAGTCAGTATAAGTAAACCAAATTTTACAGAACTAGGGGCCAGAATTTGCCAATTTTGGGGGTTTATGATTAAATCTTTGTCTTTAAATCCCTAAGTAAGTCACACCTCTGATATAATGCTTAAAACATTTAGGCTCTCAGCTGGGCACAGTAGCTCATACCTGAAATCCCAGCACTCTGGGAGGCCAAGGCAGGCGGACCACTTGAGGTCAGAAGTTCGAGACCAGCCTGGCCAACATGGGGAAACCCCGTCTCTACTAAAAATACAAAAATTAGCCGGACATGGTGGTGCACACCTGTAATCCTAGCTACTCGGTAGGCTGACGCAGGAGAATTGCTTGAACCTGGGAGGCAGAGGTTGCAGTGAGCTGAGATCACACCACTGCACTCCAGCCTAAATAACACAGCAGGACTCCATCTCAAAAAAAAAAAAAAAATTGGGCTCTTGAGTCAGACTGCCTGAATTCAAATCCCCAGTAACCTTGCAAGTGACTTAACCTCCTTGTGCTTTTATTTTTTATTTTTTATTATTATTTTTTTTTTTTGAGACGGAGTCTGGCTCTGTCACCCAAGGCTGGTGTGCAGTGGCGCAATCTCAGCTCACTGCAAGCTCCGCCTCCCAGGTTCACACCATTCCCGTGCCTCAGCCTCCTGAGTAGCTGGGACTACCAGTAGCTGGGACTACAGGCGCCTGCCAACACGCCCGGCTAATTTTTTGTATTTTAGTAGAGACGGGGTTTCACCATGTTAGCCAGGATGGTCTCGATCTCCTGACCTCATGATCTGCCCGCCTCAGCCTCCCAAAGTGCTGGGATTACAAGCATGAGCCACTGTGCCCGGCCCCCTCCTTGTGCTTTTATTTTCTCAGCTGTAAAATGGGAATAACAGTACCAGCATCACAGGACTGTTGTGAGAATTAAATAACCAAACACATATAGATGTTGGCTATCATTATTTCTTATTCCTGCGATTCTAAGTTCCCAGTAAGTAAATGCAATGTGAACAGAAGTAGGATCAGCCTGTCCTGTCAAAAGAAGTATCTCAAGATGGGTGCAGTGGCTCACACCTATAATCCCAGCACTTCAAGAGTCTGAGGTGGGAGGATCGCTTGAGCCCAGGAGTTTGAGACCAGCCTGGGCAACCTGGCAAAACCTGGTCTCTACAAAAAATACATAAATTAGCTGGGCATGGTGGTGGGTGCTTATAGTTGTAGCTGTTCAGAGGGGCTGAGCTGGGAGGATCACTTGAGCCCAGGAGGTCAAGGTTGCCATGAGCCAAGATCGCACCACTGCACTCCAGCCTCGGGGACAGAGTGAGACCCCATCTCAAAAAAAAGAAAAAAGGTATTTTAGAGTCATAAGTGCCCTAGTGAGCTTGGCACAGGTAGTGAACTGCTGTCCCAAGAAATGCAGACCAACCATGCTGATAAGGTATCCATTTTATACACATCCTCCCCAGAGCTTAGGGACAAGCCTAGTGAGTCAGCTTATTGGATCACACAATCAACTGACTGGTCCCAAGCTTTGAAAAATTAGATTTTCCAAAAGTTCATTTAAAAAATGTAGGCCGGGCGCAGTGGCTCACGCCTGTAATCCCAGCACTTTGGGAGGCTGAGGCGGGCAGATCACAAGATCAGGAGATGGAGACCATCCTGGCTAACACGGTGAAACCCCGTCTCTACTAAAAATACAAAAATTAGCTGGGCATGGTGGCAGGCGCCTGTAGTCCTAGCTAATTGAGAGGCTGAGGCAGGAGAATGGCATGAACCCAGGAGGCAGAGCTAGCAGTGAGCCGAGATTGTGCCATTGCACTCCAGCCTGGGTGACAGAGCGAGACTCCATCTCAAAAAAAAAAAAAAAAACTTAAAGTAGGCCTCAAGTCTCTTTACTACACTCTACCTCTGGGCTGTGGCCTCACTGATGATAGGATGTAAGTGGTCTCAGGCAGTTTTTCGGGTAGTCCTTTTCCGATACTCAGAGACTAAAAACATCTTGATTTTTCCCTCCTTTGTTCCTTTTCACCTAGGTAGGAAGTGGGCATGGTAGCTCACACCGGAAATCCCAGCACTCTGGAAGGCCAAGGCAGGTGGATCATTTGAGGTCAGGAGTTCGAGACCAGTTTGGCCAACATGGTGAAACCCTGTCTCTACTAAAAATACAAAAATTAGCCGGACATGGTGGTGCACACCTGTAGTCCTAGCTACTCAGTAGGACCAATATGCTCTCTTCTTTATCAACACTGAGTATAATATCAGATTCAAAGTTTCAGCTCAGCAGTTGATTGTTAAGACTGACTTGAGAGTAGGGAGAAAGGCAGGTGAGAGTTGGGCAGGCCCAACCATGAACCATGTCATTCCACTGCTGAAAAACCTTTGAATGCCTTTCCTATGCAAACTTAAGAGGCTTATAAGAATAAAATAGGCCAAGCACGGTAGATGGCCAGGTGCAGTGGCTCACGCCTGTAATCCCAGCACTTTGGGAGGCTGAGGCAGGCAGATCACCTGAGATCAGGAGTTTGAGACCAGCCTGGCCAACATGGCAAAACCCTGTCTCTACTAAAAATACAAAAATTAGCTGGGCGTGGTGGTGGGTGCCTGTAATCCCAGCTATTTGGGAGACTGAGGCAGGAGAATCACTTGAACCCAGGAGGCGGAGGAGGTTGCAAGGAGCCGAGATCACACCACTGCACTCCACCCTGGGTGACAAGAGCGAAACTCTGTCTCAAAAAAAAAAAAAAAAAAAAAAAGAATAAAATAAACTTAGACCAATCTCTTTTTTAACAGGATATAAACCCCTAAGATAGGTAGGTCCTCTGAACTACAGGTAGGTCCTCAAACAACCAAGTTCTCTCTTCGCTCTACAACCTCTCATGTGTCTGGGATGCGCTTCTCCAGCCCTTTACCTGGCTAACTCCTGAGGTCCTTTAAGTTCAGCCTAGATGACACCTCCTCCAGGAAGCATTCCTTAACCTGAGACTGGGTTAGGTGACCCTCCTCTGTACTCCTATAACACCTTGTACTTAATCTTATTCTTATTATTTTACCCACTCTGCTCTGCAACTGCCAGTGTATTTATCTGTGTTGCCCCCCGCAATCATCAGTATCCTGAGGATAGGAACCCACATCTTATTCACCATTATATCCTTAGCCTCTAGCATAGTTCTGGCACATAGTAAATGCTCAATAAGTAAATATTTGTTGCATATTTAGTGTAGTAGTCTCCTAATTGGTCCTCATGGTTTCGTTTTTCTCCCAATTTCTACACAACAGCTAGAGAAAGCTCAGCACAGCCTACAAGGCCATGCAGCATTGTGACCCTACCTACCTCACCCACCTCATTTCTACCTGCTTGTGCTCACTGTCTTCCCCAGCCATACGGCCTTTCTTTTTTTTCTTAGAATTCACTTCACCAGTACCTGTCTTAGGGTAGCTGCACTCGCTGCACCGTTTGTCCAGAGAGCTCTTCCCCTAGTACTTGCCATGGCTGGCTTCTTCTCCCCGATCAGGAACCCCCGAGAGAGACCTTCCTGGACCATCCTACTTAAAGTAGCAACCCATCCCTTCTCAGTCACTCTATCACAGTATCTTGTTTTATCTTTTTTTTTTTTTTTTTCTGAGACTAGGTGTGCACCACCGCTCCCAGCTACATTTTGTATTTTTAATAGAGACGGGGTTTCACCATGTTGGCCAGGCTGGTCTCAAACTCCTGACCTCGGGTGATCTGCCCACCTCAGTCTCCCAAAGTGCTGGGATTACAGGCATGGGCCACCACACCTGGCCATTTTATCATCTTTCTAGAACTTATTTCTACCCTGTTTACTTGGTGTTTATCTGTCTCCCCTATGTAGAAAGCAGCACAAAAGCAGGAACCCTGTCTATCCTGTTTACCGCTTACCCCACATCCAGTACAATGGCTGGCATCTATTCGGTAGGTATGTAATAAATATTCATTGAATGAATTAATGCATGCATGCCTCATGAATGGAGCAAATGCTGCCTTCGAAGTAGTCACCTTGGGCGGGTGTGTCTATCCTTGCTCTGACAGTGCCATATTGCTCAAAGGTATTTTGGGGCCTTATCTTTTAGAACTGACTTCAGGATCACTTCAAAAGTTACACAAGCTCTTAGACAAGATGGCATGAAGAAAAAAGTTACAGAAGAAAACTAGATTCACAGCTGGGCATGGTGGCTTATATCTGTAATCCCAGCACTTTGGGAGGCTGAGGCAGAGGGTCGCTTGAGTCCAGGAGTTAAAGAACAGCCTGGTCATGGCAGTGAAACCCCATCTCTACAAAAGAAACAAATTTAAATTAACTGGGCATGATGGTACGTGCCTGTTGTCCCAGCTACTGGGAAGACTGAAGCAGGAGGATCGCTTGAGCTCAGGAGTTTGAGGCTGTGAGCCATGATTGTGCCACTGTACTCAGCCTGGGCAACAGAGTGAGACCTTGTCTCAAAAATAAAAAATAAATAAAATTTGTCACCTGTGTCAATATTTTGAAGAATAAACTTTAGGCTCTAAAGGGAATTTGCAAAGGGAAATTCAGGCACCTCTCATTCTGATGTGTAAGTTCTCCAGTGTTATGTTACTTCTAAAAGATCATCTTGTTTTACAGTGAAACTTCTTTTTTCTTTAAGACAAAGTCTCGCTCTGTCACCCAGGCTGGAGTGCAGTGGTGCGATCTTGGCTCACTGCAACATCTGCATCCTGGGCTTAATTGATTCCCCTGCCCCAGCCTCCCCAGTAGCTGGGATTACAGGTGCACGCCACCATGCCCTACTAATTTTTGTATTTTTAGTAGAGACGAGGTTTCACCATGTTGTTCAGGCTGGTCCTGAACTCCTGACCTCAGGTGATATGCCTGCCTTGGCCTCCCAAAGTGCGGGAAGTGAAACTTTATACACTAAGACAACAGCGTTTTCACTTTTGGACTGCTTTCTCATTTTAGTGATTTTTGAAACAGTTCCATTGTGAATAATTCAATTTCTAGGAAAAAAAAACACAATGGTATTTACGTTAGAAGGCATCTCAGGGTCTAAACAATTGCTTCCTTCTCTCCTACAAGAATCACTCCAATCTGATAACTTTGCTATTCTCAAGCATCTCACAGATTCTCACCAGTTTGTGCCCCTCTTTCTGTTCTTTCCTCTGACAAAATAGACCTTCTATCCTTTACCCCAGTCCCTAGTAAAATTGTATTCTTCTTTCTAGGCCCTGCTCAAACATTTGCCTTCCAGAATTCCCACCCCATCTAAACTTCCTTCAGAATTAATTCCATTATTTGCCGGGCATGGTGACTCACGCCTGTAATCCCAACACTTTGGGTGGCCAAAGTGGGTGGATCACTTGAGGTCAGGAGTTCAAGACAAGCCTGGCCAACATGGCAAAACCTGGTCTCTCCTAAAAATACAAAAATTAGCCAGGCGTGGTGGCGCATGCCTGTAATCCCAGCTACTTGGGTGGCTGAGGCATGATAATCACCTGAAGTTAAGGTTGCAGTGAGCTGAGATCACACCACTGCACTCCAGCCTGGGCAACAGAGCGAGAGTGTTTCAAAAAAAAAAAAAAAAAAGAATTAATTCCATCATCCCCTTACTTCCCACTTCCCACACCAGCTAGTATAAGCACCATGAGGGCAGGTGCAATATCTGTCTTTTTCATGACTATGTCCCCAGGACTGAGCACAGTGTCTGGCACATGGTACATGTTCAAAATATATTTGTTAAATGAATAAATGCTTCTCCATTCTATTATCTTGCATATATTACTTAGTTGTTGTTGTTGTTGTTGTTGTTTTTGAGATGGAGTCTCGCTCTGTCGCCCAGGCTGGAGTGCAGTGGGCATGATCTCGGCTCACTGCAACCTCCAGGTCCCAAGTTCAAGCGATTCTCCTGTCTCAGCCTCCCATGTAGCTGGGACTGCAGGCACCTGCCACTACACCCGGCTAATTTTTGTATTTTTAGTAGAGATGGGGTTTCACCATGTTGGTCAGGCTGGTCTCGAACTCCTGACCTCAGGTGATCCACCCGCCTCGACCTCCCAAAGTGCTGCAATTACAGGTGTAAGCCACCGCACCCAGCCTATTATTTAGTTCTTTAAATGCCTTCCTTTCCCTCAAGACTGCCAGTTTCTTCTACAGTGAGGTCCACAGCTTTACTCATCTTTTATCTCTCTGAGGCATGAAGAGGACAGAGGTGAGCCTGAGCCCAGAAGGTGGCATTTATTTTGCTAAAATTCCAAAGGTTGCTCTCAGATCAGCCAGCATCACAGTGGATTCCTTTGCTTTTATATTCTCTTTGAGCCCAAACTAAGCTTCTAATGTGAAAGGGTGGCCCTAAGTTCTGAATATTATCCCCCTCCCCAGCCCCAGGCCTGAGCCTGACTGAGCCCAAATATAGTGTCCCTTGGGTCTACATATCTCCAAATTGAGGGTGAACTCCCTTCTCTCCCTGGGCTTCTCTGACTGCCATTGCAGTCTCCTCTCCCATTCCACGACCAGAATGATCTAGGACAGGATCACTACCTCAATCAAACGCTTAAAGAGGCAGGCTGGTAGCATAAACGCCTGGGGAGTTAGAGGTAGTGCCATCTAAAGGCAGAAGCTAGTTATTGCTTGGAGGAGTATGAGCCCAGAACTCCTGTACGTCCCTAGAACATCTGATGTTTCAAGAAAAACCAGAAATCCAGAACTTTTTAAAAAATATGAAATCTCCTAATGTTTAAGTATTGGCAACTAATTCAATTTTTTAAAGTTAGGTAGGCCTAATTTTATTTTATTTTATTTTATTTTATTTTATTTTATTTTATTTTATTTTATTTTTTGAGATGGAGTCTCACTGTGTTGCCCAGGCTGGAGTGCAGTGGCACAATCTTGGCTCACTGCAACCTCCACCTCCCAGGTTCAAGCAATTCTCTGCCTCAGCCTCCCAAGTAGCTGGGATTACAGGTGCCTGCCACCACGTCCGGCTAATTTTTGTATTTTTAGTAGAGACGGGGTTTCACCATCTTGGCCAGGTCGGTCCTGACCTTGTGATCTACCCGCCTCGGCCTACCAAAGTGCTGGGATTACAGGCGTGAGCCACTGCGCCCGGCCTAGATAGGCCCAATTTTAAAACATATGGATAGGCTAAATCTAACCTGTGAGCTGTGGTGTTCTTCCCTCCTTTCCGCGTCTGACCACGTTATCTCACTGTTCTCCACTGGCACTCTATCTCCTTATCTGAGCATCAAGACTCAGACTACCTTTTTTTTTTTTTGAGACGGAGTCTCGCTCTGTCACCCAGGCTGGAGTGCAGTGGCGCGATCTTGGCTCACTGCAAGCTCCGCCTCCCGGGTTCACGCCATTCTCCTGCCTCAGCCTCCTGAGTAGCTGGGACTACAGGCGCCCGCCACCGCGCCCGGCTAATTTTTTTTGTATTTTTAGTAGAGACGGGGTTTCACCATGTTAGCCAGGATGGTCTCAATCTCCTGACCTCGTGATCCACCCGCCTCCGCCTCCCAAAGTGCTGGGATTACAGGCGTGAGCCAGCCCGCCCGGCTCAGACTACCTTTTGGCCTTATCTCCTGCCATCTTCCATGAGCCCCTCCCCACTCATCCAAATCTAGCTCATATCCCGCAACTTGCCATTCCAGGGACCCACACCAAGTTTTGTAAAGTTTTGTTGTCTTTGCATGTGCTGTTCCTATTGATATTCATTGAGTCAACAAATATTTACTGATCAGCCAATCCAGACCAGCACTGTGCTGGGGACATAACCTTAAACACCAGAAACAAAGTTCCTGCTCTCATAGAGCTTACATTTGAGTTGCAGAGATGGAGGTTACTCAAATAATCACAAAGAGGTAAATTTTTGTGTGGTTTTTTTTTTTTTTTTTTTGAGATGGGGTATCACTCTGTCACCCAAGATGGAGTACAGTGGCATGAGCTCGGCTCACCGCAACCTCCACCTCCTGGGCTCAAGCAATCCTCCCACCTTAGCCTCCCAAGTAGCTGGGACCACAGGCTCACATCACTACACCCAGTGAATTTTTTTTTTTTTTTTTTTTTGGTAGAGACAGGGTTTCGCCATGTTGCCCAGGCTGGTCTCGAACTCCTGAGCTCAAGTAATCCACCCACCTTGGCCTCCCAAAATGCTGGGATTACAGGAATGAGCCACCACATCCAGCCCCAAAGAGGTAAATTTAAAAGGTGCTGTTTTAGGAAGGAGCCATGAAAGCATGTAACAAAGGGAGCTAAGCCAATCTGCACTAGGGGGCCTGGACACCTTCCCTGAAGAAGTGGCAATTGACTATATCGGAAGAATATATAGGAATTACAGTAGCTAAAGAAAAGAGGAGTAGCTAAAGAAAGAAAAGACAAGGGACTGGATTGGAGGAAGGGGGACAGTGATTGGAGTTTTAAGCTAAGGAACCAGAATGGGTGTGGTCGAGAGGAAGCAGGAGTCTGGCTTATTTGAGGAACTGAAAAAGGCCAGGGTTGCTAAGCACAGGAACCAGGGAGGAGAATGGCATGAGATGAGGTAAGAAAGCCATGTGTAGCTGGGCACAGTAGCACCTGTAGTCCCAGCTACTTGGGAGGCTGAGGAAGGAGGATCATTTGAGGCCAGGAGTTGGAGGCTGCAGTGAGCTATGATGGCGCCACTGCATTCCAGCCTGGGCAATACAGTGAGACCCGATCTCTATAAAAAAAGAAAAGAAAGGCATACAGGTAGGGGCAGGTCAAACATGTTAACAGGACTCAGGTCTTTATCCTAAAGGCAATAGGAAAAATACTATTCTGGCTTCTGGGTTGAAAATAGAAAAGGGGAAAAGGAGTGGAAGTAGGGGACCAGGTCAGAGGTGGCAGAAGTTCAAGAGAGGCATTATGGCACTTCAGCTGGAGGCAGAGGCAGGGGAGACAGAGAAATGTGGATGGGATTTTCAGTATTTATGAGGTAAGCAACAAAGGACTTAAGAATGGTTTGTATGTGGTGGGGGTAGAGTGATGAGGCAGAGGAGGGAAGTCAGAACAAGTCTCAGATATCCAGGGTGTGCAGTGAGTTAGGGGTGCTGTTCCCTAAGATACAGACACTGAGGAGGAGCAGGTCAGTGGCAAAGGGCAGAGTGGGAGTTTGTTTGTTTATTTATTTATTTATTTTGAGACAGTCTTTCTCTGTAACCCAGGCTGGAGTGCAGTGGTGCGATCTCGGCTCACTGCAACCTCCACCTCCCAGGTTCAAGCAATTCTCCTGCCTCAGCATCCCGTGTAGCTGGGATTAAAGGCAGGTGCCACCACACCTGGCTAATTTTTGTAGTTTTAGTAGAGACGGGGTTTTGCCATGTTGGCCAGACTCGTCTCGAACTCCTGACCTCAGCTGATCCACCCACCTCAGCCTCCCAAAGTGCTGGGATTGGGAGCCACTGCGCCCAGCCTATCTATTTATTTATTTTTGAAATGGAGTTTCACTCTTGTTGCCCAGGCTGGAGTGCAATGACGCGATCTTGGCTCACTGTAACCTCCACCTCCCAGGTTCAAGCGATTCTCCTGCCTCAGCCTCCCAAATAGCTGGGATTACAGGTGCCCGCCACCATGCCTGGGTAATTTTTATTTTTTATTTATTATTATTATTATTATTATTTTAGATGAAGTCTCGCTCTGTCGCCCAGGCTGGAGTGCAGTGATGCAATCTCGGTTCACTGCAACCTCCACCTCTTGGGTTCAAGCGATTCTCCTGCCTCAGCCTCCCGAGTAGCTGGGATTACTGGCGCCCACAACCACACCTGGCTAATTTTTGTATTTTTAGTAGATATGGGGTTTCACCATGTTGGCCAGGCTGGTCTAAAAACTCCTGACCTCAGGTGATCTGCCTGCCTTGGCCTCCCAAAGTGCTGGGATTGCAGATGTGACCCACTGCACCTGGCAAGCAGCTCACTTTCTGGTTAGCAGGACAGGCAGGAAAAAAAAAAAAAAGATGATTATAATGCAAACATCACACAAGCCTCAGTGGTCTGTGGATTCAAACAAAGCCACGTGAATGCTAATCATCCCAAGTTCCTGTTCTTGCCCCAGCAAAGTCTCCTTCAAGTATTTCTGGGATTTCTCTAGGGACTTTTCACACAAGGCTATCACTGGTCACATCAGCCTTGCTCTGATCCCCTCTGCCCCTACCAAAGGTGCCTACTGTGGGAGTGCCTGATGACCCTGTGGGCAGGACTCAGACTATTATGAGGGTGGCAAAGGGCAAGCCTCAAAGTGAGTGACTCCTTCAAATCTGCGGGCCCCATGTTCTCTTTCTGCGCTGGAGCAGGCCGGAGAGAGGAAAAGTTCCATGAAAGGGGAGCTGGGCCCAGAGCAGCACCGCTAATGCCTGCAGTTTGGGTTCTACTGGGGACATGTTGAGTTTGAGGAGCCTCTGAGACATCCAGATGAGGATGTCAGGGATGCAATTGGCTTTCTGGATTTGGAATTCAGAAGTTTGAGTTGGAGATCTGAATTCCAGAGCTGTAAACATGGAGGAAGGAGTACCGGCACAGGACCAAGCTTTGCTGAACTCCCAACATTTAAATGCCCTGGCCCTCCCTCCACCTGGCCACTTCCCAAATACTCAGCTTTCCTACCTCATCTGGGCAGTTGGTCAGTCACTCTCTCCTGTGCATACCTATGTGTCTCTGCACAGTCTTCTATTACAACACCTTTCATTCTACATGGCAACTTGATTTACATATTTGTCTCCTTGAGAGTAGGGACTTTCTCTTAATGTTGAATTTTGGTCTCCCCATCTCCTTCCCCTTCCCTCCACATATTTGGCACCAAGTAGGTGTTTAAAATTGAACAAATGAACTACACTTTTTTTCTTTTCCTTTCTTTTCTTTTTCTTTTTCTTTTCTTTTTTTTTTTTTTTTTTTTGACAGTCTCGCTGTGTCACCCAGGCTGGAATGCAGTGGTGTGATCTCGGCTCACTGCAACCTCCATCTCGTGGGTTTCAGCAATTCTCTGCCTCAGCCTCCCGAGTAGCTGGGATTACAGACACCCACCACCACGCCCAACTAATTTTTGTATTTTTAGTAGAGACGGGGTTTCACCATCGTGGCTAGCCTGGTCTTGAACTCCTGACTTTGTGATCCACCAGCCTCAGCCTCCCAAAGTGCTGGGATTACAGGCATGAGCCACCGCGCCACCTGAACTACACTCTTGGAAGAGAAACTCTCCTGCCCAGGGCTGGGGCCTTTTGTCTCCTGGGAACTGGCTGCAATGCAGGAGAGGTAGATGGGGCCTGCAGATCTCCCACCTGCTGAGATCACACAGGTCAGGAGCTCTAGGCAAGTTTCAGTCCTTCTAGTCATTCCCGTAGGGATTCATGTGAAAGTGAAAGTCTGCAGTAGGGTACTCAATAAATGTGTGTGGTGATCATAACAATGGCCAATATTGCTTATGAAGTACCTACTAATTGCCAGCCTCTGTGCTAAGTGCTTTATAGATACTATCATGTTAACCCTGTATGTGTTAACCCTAACAGCCCTGGGGCAGGCATTGTTATATCCTCTGTTTTTGGTTTGTTTGTTTGTTTGTTTGTTTTGAGACAGAGTCTTGCTCTGTCGCCCAGACTGGAGTGCAGTGGCGCGATCTCGGCTCACTGCAACCTCCGCCTCCCAGGGTCCAACGATTCTCCTGCCTCAGGTTCCCGAGTAGCTGGGATTACAGGTGCGCACCACCACGTCCGGCTAATTTTTTTACTTTTAGTAGAGATGGGGGTTTCACCATGTTGGCCAAGCTGGTCTCGAACTCCTGAACTCATGATCCACCCGCCTTGGCCTCCCAAAGTGCTGGGATTACAGGCGTGAGCCACCGCGCCCGGCCATCTCTGTTTTATCAAGGAGAGGGAAGAGGAGTCTGAGCTAGTGTGATGGTTAATTTTCGGTGTCAACTTCACCGGATTAAGGAATACCCAGAGGACTGATAAAGCATTATTTCTGGGTGTGTCTGTGAGTGTGTTCCCAGAAGAGAGTGGCCTGTGAGTGGACTGAATGGTACAGATCCGCCCTCAATGTGGGCGGGCGCCAGCTAATGGGCTAGGGCCCAGAATGAACACAAAAGGCAAAGAAGGGATTTCCTGTCTCTCTTCCTGGAGCTAGGACACTCTTCTTCTCCTGTCCTTAGACATTAGATCCCCATGCTCTTCAGCCCTTGGACTCCAGGACTTACACCAGCAGCCCCTGGGTTCTCAGGCCTTCATCCTCTAAGCATCACACCACTGGCTTCCTTGGTTCTGAGGATCTCAGATTTGGACTGAGCCACACGACCGGCTTGCCAGGGTCTCCAGCTTGCAGAAGGCCTCCAATGGGACTTCTCAGCCTCCATAATCATGTGAACCAATTGCCCTCACAAGTCCCCTCTTGAATGTGTACATCTATCTATATACTGTATTTATTCTGTCTCTCTAAAGAATCCTGACTAATGCAGCAAAGCAAAACACTGTGCTCAATCACCCAGCAGGTAAGAGGCAGAGCTACCAACCTCCATCTGAACCATTATGCACTGCTGCTGTATCCTATACCATAGTAACTGGATTAAGGGTAGAAGAAACTTGCTCTTTTTGGAACCTCCTCCTCCCCCCAAAACAAGCCTAGCTATACTCAGTGAAAATTATACAGATTAGAGAGTAGGACTTGGCCAGGCGCGGTGGCTCATGCCTGTAACCCCAGCACTTTGGGAGGCTGAGGCGGGCGGATCATGAGGTCAGGAGATCGAGACCATCCTGGCTAACACGGTGAAACACTGTCTCTACTAAAAATACAAAAAAATTAGCTGGGCATGGTGGTGAGCTGTAGTCCCAGCTACCCGGGAGGCTGAGGCAGGAGAATGGCGTGAACCCAGGAGGTGGAGCTTGTAGTGAGCTGAGATCCTGCCACTGCACTCCAGCCTGGGTGACAGAGCAAGACTCCATCTCAAAAAAAAAAAAAAAAAAAAAAAAAAGGAGAGAGAGAGTAGGACTTTCAGATCCATAGCCAACATAAAGCACCCACAAATCTTCATCAGGTACTAAAGGGTATAATAGTGATTACTTCTGTTTATAAGCCCTACTATCAGGAGGTTTACACTGATATTTGTTAATGTTCACAATAAGCCTTCAAGGTAGATGGCATTACCCCACTTTATAGAAGAGAAAACTAAGTTTCAGAGGTCTTCCAAATGATACACAGTGAGGACAAGGCATTGCCGGGTTGTTTGAATTTGCCCCACTCCAACGTTAGTCTTTTCACATGGTTGTTAACCTTCAGGTGGACCTGGGGCAGCATACTGTGGTGAACACAAAATAAACTCCAGACTTCTAGGCTTTCAGAGCAGAAATTACTCTTCCCTACCCTGAGAAGGGCCCCCAAAATAGAAGGCTGCTGCATCACTTAGTGGATACATACACCGCAACCTCAACCACTCTTGGCCTGAGATTACCTTTAGGGTTCTCGCCTGGAAGAAGAGCACATCTCTCCCGCTCAGCCTACTCTCAGGGAAAGCAAGTAAAGATCTGGCAAGCACCCAGAAAGACTGAGGGTTATTTTTTGTTTTGTTTCCAGTGTTTTTAAAATTGTATATAGGTATGGCTACAACATGTTTTGATATACATATGCAGTAACTGTTGATTCTAGTCTAGAAAGGCCATAGATACCACTACCCAGCTCCTTCTCAGACAAACCTTTATCAAAGTTTTATTAGCCTCAGCTCAAGGGATCTCTATTTGGGCATCTCATTACAGGGCAAGGACGCTTCAGCCATTTGTAACACCACCACTCAAGAAGGATCTTCAAGGGTGGCAGTGGAAATGAGTTGCAAAGGAACTGTAAATTCTCCTTGCCCCTTCCCCCCTCTTCATGCAGTTGCTCTCTCAACCCACCTATTCCTTCAAGTCTGACACTGGATTACTCCCATTCCCTGAACACATTTCCCACGTTCTCATCTCTGCTCATTTATTCCACTTCCCTTTGCCTGGAACTTATTCTTCCTTGGCCAAAATCTATCTTCTGCATTGAACTCCAACAGCACTTAATTTTTTCGTTTCTTTTTTCTTTTTGACACGGAGTCTGACTCTGTTGCCCAGGCTGGAGTGCAGTGTGGCGCGATCTCGGCTCACTGTAACCTCCACCTCCCGGGTTCAAGCAATTCTTCTGCCTCAGCCTCCCAAGTAGCTGGGATTACAGGTGCATGCCACCACGTTCAGCTAACTTTTTTATGTTTTTAGTAGAGATGGGGTTTCACTGTATTAGCCAGGCTGGTCTTGAACTCCTGACCTCAGGTGATCTACCCACTTTGGCCTCCCAAAGTGCTGGGATTACAGGAGTGGGCCACCGCACTGGCCTTTTTTTTTTTTTTTTTTTTTTTTTTTTTTTTTTTTTTGAGACAAGGTCTCACTCTGTCGTCCAGGCTGAGTGCAGTGGGGCAGTCGTTGCTCACTGTAGTCTCAATTTCCCAGGCTCAAGCAGCAATCTTCCCACCTCAGTCTCTCAAGTAGCTGGGGACAACAGGTGCACGCCACCACACTCAGCTAATTTCTTTCTTTCTTTCTTTTTTTTCCCAAGACAGAGTCTCGCACTGTCCCCCAGGCTGGAGTGCAGTGCTGCAATCTCAGCTCACTGCAACCTCCGCCTCCTGGGTTCAAGCGATTCTTCTGCCTCAGCCTCCTGAGTAGCTGGGACTACAGGCACACCACCACACCCAGCTAATTTTTGTATTTTTAGTAGAGACGGGGTTTCACAATGTTGGCCAGGATGGTCTCGATCTCTTGACCTTGTGATCTGCCCGCCTCGGTTTCCCAAAGTGCTGGGATTACAAGCATGAGCCATCGCATCTGGCCTATATTTTATATTATATATATATAATTTATGTAGATACGTGTTTTGTTTTCATTTCTGTGGGTAATTTGGAAATCCTCTCCCTTAACCCCTTAAAGAAGGCCTTTAGGTTCTCTAGTTAAAGGGTTCTAAGCTTCACATCCAAAAATCAAGTTTCCAGGCACTCAGAAGACAATTTCCAAATAAACCTTTTTTTCCTTTTTTTTTTTTTTTGAGACGTAGTCTCGCTCTGTTGCCCAGGCTGGAGTGCAGTGGCGTGATCTCGGCTCACGGCAGCCTCCGCGTCCCTGGTTCAAGCAATTCTCCTGCCTCAGCCTCCCAAGTAGCTGGGATTACAGGTATGCACCACCACACCCGGCTAATTTTTATATTTTTAGTAAAGATGGGGTTTCATCATGTTGGCCAAGTTGGTCTCGAACTCCTGGCCTCAGGTGATTTGCCCACCTCGGCCTCCCAAAGTGTTGGGATCACAGGCATGAGCCACCAAGCCGGGCGGAAACTTTTTTTATTGTAGAGATGAGGTCTCATTATATTGTCCAGGCTGCTCTCGAACTCCTAGCCTCAAGTAATCCTCCCACCTAGGCCTCCCAAAGTGCTGGGATTACAGGCATAAGCCACCGCACCGGTCCCCAAAGACTTTTGAAAAGTGTGGGCTCATTAGGAGAACTAATCCAGAAGGAAAAGAGATGGGAGTGAGTGCTTTAAATGGAAGAAGAAAATAATCTGCGGAGGGAAGGGAAAGTTAGAGAGGGCACCAGGCTTTTGATGGCTTATGGGACAAGTAGGGACCTAAGGCTCCACTTGCATATAGCACACCAGGATGTGGAGAACGTCGTAGGCGACTGTCCACTATGTACCTTGCCTTTGAGAGTAGTGGCAAGGGTCTCTTTGAGCAAGTCTGGAGTGGTAGAAGAAGCCATCCTAATGATGCAACCAACGTGGATTAAGGATCTGGTCTCTACCTCACTTTTTGAAGGAAGAAACACTTAATTGGCAATAATGACGGCGAAACAAAACAAACACAATTCAGAAAAAGCAGTAAAATATGTAAAAAGAGCTAAAATGCTGCTTAAGATTTCCCGTACCAACAATGTCAACCGTTTTAGAACCGACTGGAATATATGTAATACTGGAAATATATATACTGGAAACAACTTCTTGTGTTCCCTGATGTCTGGGACCCTTTTCTTTGCTAGACTTCAGATCTCTGATCTGAACCATCCCTCTTAGTTCAAGTACTCCAATCGCCTTCAGTGTTTCCACCAAGCCGTCCTTCCTCAATTTCTCCCTCCAGGTTTCCCTTCCCCAACTTTCCCCCTGCATCAGACTCTCCCTCAGCCTTCCTTTCTCCCTGTGCAGTCTGTCTCACTCCTGTCTTCCTCCCCAGGCGGTCTCAATTCTCTCTCCCTCCCCTTTCCGTGACCCTCTCGGCAGTCTTTTACTTCCTTACTTCGGTGACCGCCCCCCACCCCACTCCCCACAGCCTCCCTCCACTGCTCAGCCGTTGGAGAGGGCGTGGCCCCGCGAGTAACAGGTCTCCCGCCCCACACTCCGCGGGCCCGCGCGCAGACAAAGACATTCCACAGCTCCCGCCCCCTCCACGCCAGAAAGGGGAGGAGACACGTGTTCCGCTAGCGCCGAGTCACGTGGAAAACGAAACGAACGGAGCCCACTGCCTCCCGCGCATGCGCATCAAGCTCTGGCCTGGCGGGAGCGGAGGGAAAGCCAGAGTCGGGAGGCGACTTCTCGGACGCCGCGGCGGTGCGCAGGCGCCGTGGCCGGACTGGGGACTTTGTTCTCCGCGGAGAAACCCAAGGGCGGTGCCGGTGGCTGGCTGCGCACGCGCGCCGCCTCATTTCCGGTGCTCTCTCTCGCTGGGTCGCTCGGGTCGGCTTCGGTCGCTACCGCTCCCGCTCTGCCACCCCCGCCAACCGCCGCTCGGGCCTCCGTCGCTGCCGCGTCGCTTTCTCGCTCCTTGGATCGCACATCCTCCCAGATGCAGCGCCGGGACGACCCCGCCGCGCGCATGAGCCGGTCTTCGGGCCGTAGCGGCTCCATGGACCCCTCCGGTGCCCACCCCTCGGTGCGTCAGACGCCGTCTCGGCAGCCGCCGCTGCCTCACCGGTCCCGGGGAGGCGGAGGGGGATCCCGCGGGGGCGCCCGGGCCTCGCCCGCCACGCAGCCGCCACCGCTGCTGCCGCCCTCGGCCACGGGTCCCGACGCGACAGTGGGCGGGCCAGCGCCGACCCCGCTGCTGCCCCCCTCGGCCACAGCCTCGGTCAAGATGGAGCCAGAGAACAAGTACCTGCCCGAACTCATGGCCGAGAAGGACTCGCTCGACCCGTCCTTCACTCACGCCATGCAGCTGCTGACGGCAGGTAAGGGGGCCTCCCGTGTCCCTCTGGGTCGCCCGGCCATCCCGGGCATGAGTGGCCCTGGCTTTGTTCCTCTCGCTTCCCGCCCCCTCGGGACCGAGGCAGTCGGGAGTTCCGGTCTCATCCTCATTTTTGGGAGCCTGGATTCCACATTCCCACCTCAGCCCGGAGTGCGTGGGAGAATTTCTAGGCTGCAGTGGAGGCCCGAAGGCGACTTTGCGATCCCCTAGCGCTAATGTCTTGATGGATAGTGCTGAGCTCCCCGCCCCTTTCCCGACTCTTCCCTCCTCCCTCCTCTTGCGGCTGCCGGGCGCGCAGATTCTTCCAGAAATGAACCTTCATTTCCCCCTTTCCCTGAAGGGAAACCCTTTTTGATCGCGGGTGGCGATGAGCGCCTCGACCGAGGTGTAGGAGGTGAAGACAGCCAGAGCGGGGAGGGACCGTGGGAGGAAGGGCCGAGGTGAGGTGGGGTGAGGCTGGAATGCCCTGTCCAGTGCCTTGCTGTCGCTGGGGCCGAGCCGGACTTAGCGGTAACCGCAGCTTAAGTTGCTGGGAGGAAGGAGCGATTTATGTGGATCGGAGCTTGAGGTTTCCGAATCAGATTTCCGACTAAGGCTGATAAAATAAGAATTGCTACTGAGCCATTTTACACCGTGTGTTCACTGTCGTTGAAGGAGTGAAGTAACCCTAGAGACAGTGAAATGGGACGATAGGGACTCCCGCGTAGTTCACATGACGTTTCCCAACGAGATGGACAGAAATTGAGAGAAGTTGCATGATGCTTGTACTGAAAGGCTTGGCCTTTTTGTTGCTGTTTTTTACATTTTTGATTCAGTAGTGAAATAGATTAGAAATGAGAGTCTTTGTTCTGTAGGTTAGCGCTCTTTTCCTCATCAGCACTGGCCAATCACCTAGTCGCTCTGATTTTTCCCTAAAGCTGTCTGACTTTCGCTTCTAGTTAAAATATTATTTTAATATTTTTTATGATACCTAAATTTTACTAAGCAAGTAAAAATTCACATCCTTCAACACTGAATGAGTAGTTGGACTCTTTGGCAAGGTTAATATAATGGACAGTTCATTATGAAAATATTATCTCCCTCCCTTTGTTCTCTGTCTCCCAACACTGTAAGGTAAGGGATCTTTACCAGTGTGGTGTTCATCTTTTATGCTTTCTTAAGATAACTGTCAAAAACTGTTGATCCTTAAAAGTTACTTTTAATTTTCAGTCTCCCCTCACTGCTTAACTAAGAGAGTGCTCTTTATTTTTAACTTGGGCTTTCTGGATGTATTTTTTTTAAACCCAACTGAAATTGGAGAAATGTGATTGAGGTTACTGTTGGTTTGGGATGTATGAATTCTTTCTAGCATGGATAAGTGTTAATATATGTTGAGCCTGGCTTTTAAGGTATTTCTGAATTATCTTGCAAGGGGATTGCAGTGAAGTCACAACCCATTGTGCGGAAGTGAGACTTTGAGAAGATAGAATAGTAGTATTTAAGCTCTGGTAAGATCACATGGAAGGGGCAGGCGCGGTGGCTCACGCCTGTAATCCCAGCACTTTGGGAGGCCGAGACGGGCTGATCGCGAGGTCAGGAGTTGGAGACCAGCCTGATCAACATGGTGAAACCCCGTCTCTACTAAAAATACAAAATTAGCTTCGCGTGGTGGCGCACGCCTGTGATCCCAGCTACTTTGGAAGCTGAGGCAGGAAAATCACTTGAACCTGGGAAGCGAAGGTTGCAGGGAGCCCAGATTGCGCCATTACACTCCAGCCTGGGCAACAAGAGCTAAACTCCATCTCAAAAAAGGAAAAAAAAAAAAAAAAGAAAAGAACACACGGAAGAAAAATATAGCTAACACTTAATGTTTGAGGTCTGAGCACTTTACATTAAATATTTAACCTATAAAATGAAATGAGAACTTACTTTTATTATCCTCACTTATACAGATGAGGAAACCAAGACACCCAGAGATTAATAATTTGCCTAAGGTAACAAAATTAGTAAGCATCGTAACCAGGATTTTTGGTCAGTCTACACACCTTCCCCGTTCCCTCACTATAGTGCCTGCTGCAAATTGTACTTTAAGCTATAGTTGGACAAAATATTAAAATCTATCTGGGATGATAGGTGACCAAAAAAAAAAAAGTATATTTGAAAGTATCACAGTGTTAACAGGGCAGTGAAGATGATAAGGCTAAGATACAGAAAGGAAACCAGAGAGCAGAGTCTACTGCTTGGGACTGTGGCTCCTCCAGGCACCTTTGACCATTCCCAATAAGGTACCGTGAGACCCTGAGCACTCTTCCTGTACCACCTACACAGCTCTCCTCTTCCTTTCCTGGGTTTACTTTATTTTTCACTATCAGCATCTGTTGCACTATATTGTCGTTATGTACAGTATTTGTTTGTTGATTACCCATTCTCCATGGCTAGAATGTCAGCTCCACCAGAGCGCAGGAATCTTTTGTCTACTTTGTTCACCGTTGTATCTTCTATGCCTTGAAGAGTGCTGCACAGAGTGGCCTCTTATTAAATATTTCACGAAATAATACATATTCACCTTCATTGAAGATGGGACTGATGAAAAAATGATGACAGCCGTGCACGGTGGCTCACACCTATAATCCCAACACTTTGGGAGGCTGAGGCAGACGGATCACTTGAGGTCAGGAGTTCAAGACCAGCCTGGCCAACATGGTGAAACCCCGTCTCTACCAAAAATACAAAAATTAGCCGGGCGTGGTGGCACATGCCTGTAATCCCAGCTACTTGGGAGGCTGAGGCAGGAGAATCACTTGAAACCGGGAGTTGGAGGTTACAGTGAGCCCAGATTGCACCATTGCACTCCAGCCTGGGTGAAGAAGCAAGACTCCGTCTCAAAAAAAAAAAAAAGACAAAATTTTGAGGGATGTAGATTTTGAATGTAGACTTCTATGTTAGCCAGATTGATATTCAGCTGTGATGACTGTCGAATGTATCTGCAGACATAAGGATTCAATCATCCATCTTTGTTTTCTGGAAGAGAAATAATTTACCTTATTGTGTTAATATATTTATATACTAAGTAAAATGCTGTTGTATATATTCGAATGTGTCTGCAGACATAAGGATTCAATCATCTATCTTTGTTTTCTGGAAGAGAAATAATTTACCTTATTGTGTTAATATATTTATATAGTAAGTAAAATGCTGTTGTATAGATACCAGTGTTCTTTTTCTACTTTTTTTTTTTTTTTTTTTTTTTTGAGACGGAGTTGCACTTTTGTTGCCCAGGCTGGAGTGCAATGGCGCGATCTTGGCTCACCGCAACCTCCACCTCCCAGGTTCAAGCAATTCTCCTGCCTCAGCTTCCCTGGTAGCTGGGATTATAGGCATGTGCCACCACGCCCGGCTAATTTCGTATTTTTAGTAGAGACGGGGTTTCTCCATGTTGGTCAGGCTGGTCTCAAACTCCCGACCTCAGGTGATCCGCCTGCCTCGGCCTCCCAAAGTGCTGGAATTACAGGCATGAGCCACTGCGCCCGGCCTATTTTTCTACTTTCTACAATTAGGGAAATACAAGTTAGTATAAGTGACTCAAGAATAAACATTTTGAATAGATTAGCAATCTGCAAAAGATCTTGGAGAGATACTCAAAAATCCATCCTTCAAAAGCATACAGTGGAAAACATTTACAAAGTCTGTTGAAACTTCAAAATAGTTAATTCCTTTATTTACAGTATTCTCTAGAAATACATTAAGACCTTCCCAGTTCATTCTACAGGGCTAGCAAAACCTGCTTTTAAAACTGGAAAATAAGGGCCGGGCCTGGTGGCTCATGCCTGTAATCCCAGCACTTTGGGAGGCCGAGGCAGGCAAAGCACGAGGTCAGGAGTTCGAGACCAGCCTGGCCAACGTGGTGAAACCCTGTCTCTACTAAAAATACAAAAAATTACCCCTGGTGTGGTGGTGGGCGCCTGTAATCCCAGCTACTCAGGAGGCTAAGGCAGGAAGATCATTTGAACTCAGGAGACGGAGGTTGCAGTGAGCCAAGATCGCACCACTGCACTCCAGCCTGGGCGACAGTGTGAGACTCCGTCTCAAAAAAGCAAACAGGCCGGGTGCGGTGGCTCACGCCTGTAATCCCAGCACGTTGGGAGGCCGAGGCGGGTGGATCACGAGGTCAGGAGATCAAGACCATCCTGGCTAACACAGTGAAACCCCGTCTCTACTAAAAGATACAAAAAAATTAGCCGGGCGCAGTGGCGGGCGCCTGTAGTCCCAGCTACTGGGGAGGCTGAGGCAGGAGAATGGCGTGAACCCGGGAGGCGGAGTTTGCAGTGAGCCGAGATCGCGCCACTGCACTCCAGCCTGGGGGACAGAGTGAGACTCCGTCTCAAAAACAAACAAACAAACAAACTGGAGAGTAAGGCCAGGTGCGGTGGCCCATGCCTGTAATCCCAGCACTTTGGGATGCCAAGGCAGTCGGATCACTTGAGGTCAGAAGTTCGAGACCAGTCTGACCAACATGGTGAAACCCTGTCTCTACTAAAAATACAAAAGATAGCTGGGTGTGGTGGCACGTGCCTGTAATCCTAGCTACTCGGGAGCCTGTAATTCCAGCTACTCAGGAGGCTGAGGCAGGAGAATCACTTGAACCCAGGAGGTGGAGTTTGCAGTGAGCCGAGATTGCGCCGCCACTGCACTCCAGCCTGGGCGACAGAGCGAGACTCTGTCTTAAAAAACAAACAAACAAACAAAAAACCAGCAACACCTTTTCTAGGAATATGCTCAAAGAAACTTATACATGAGCACTTGATTCATGAAATGGTGTACCTTGTTCACAAAACATTGCAACTTGTTTCACCATTCATTGGATAATGTGATAGATTTACAACAGAAAATATTTGGCTGGGCACAGTTTCTCACGCCTGTAATCCCAGCATTTTGGGAGGCAGAGGCGGGTGGATTAACTGAGGTCAGGAGTTTAAGACCAGCCTGACCAACATGGTGAAACCCTGTCTTTACTAAAAATACAAAAATTAGTTGGGCGTGGTGGCAGGTGCCTGTAATGCCGGCTACTTGGAAGGCTGAGGCAGGAGAATTGCTGAAACCCGGGAGACAGAGGTTGCAGTGAGCTGAGATCTAGCCAACAAGTGAAACTCAATCTCAAAAAAAAACAAAAAGAAAGAAAGAAAGAAAAAGAAAATATTTGTACAGCAGTGAAAATGGATGAACTATAGCTGCAGGCAACAACATGGAGAAATCTCCAAAATCTAATGTTATATGAAGAAAGTACATCCCATAAGACTACATACAGTATAATACTATTTCTATAAAACAAAGCCTAGTAAGATAAAGCAGAATATCATTAAGTATACATTTATCTGTGATATTGCAGGTTTTGTTTTTTTGTTTGTTTGTTTGTTTTGAGATTGAGTCTCGCTCTGTCGCTCACGCTGGAGTGCAGTGGCGCGATCTTGGCTGACTGCTACCTCTACCTTTCGGTTTCAAGCAGTTCTCCTGCCTCAGCCTCCCGAGTAGGTGGGATTACAGGCGCCCACCACCATGCCCGGCTGATTTTTGTATTTTTAGTAGAGATGGGGTTTCACCGTGTTGGCCAGGCTGGTCTCAAATTCCTGACCATGATCCTCCCTCTTCAGCCTCCCAAAGTGCCTGTGTTACAGGTGTGAGCCACCATGCCCAGCCCAATGCAGGTTTTGTTTGTTTGTTTGTTTTTTGTTTTTTACAAAACTAAATGTGCTTATTGGCTGGGCATGGTGGCTCATGCCTGTAATCCCAGGACTTTGGGAGGCCAAGGTGAGAGGATTGCTTGAGCCCTAGTGAGAGCTTGTCTCTACAGAAAATTTAAAAATTAGCTGAGAATGGCGGCACACACCCATAGTCCCAACTACCCGGGAGCCTGAAGCAGAAGGATCACTTGAACCCAGGAGATTGGTCTTAGGCTGAGGTGGAAGAATCGCTTGAACCCAGGAGGTCGAGGCTGCCTTGAGCTGAGATCGTGCCACTGCACTCCAGCTTGGGCAACAGTGAGATCCTGTCTCAAAAAAAAAACGTGCTTACCGTATCGTTCAACAGTTGCATTCTTGGGTATTTATTTCAGGGAAATTAAAACTCAACACAAAACCTGTACATGAATGTTCACAGCAGCTTTATTCATAGTAGCCAAAAACTGGAAACAAACCAAATGCCTCCAATAAACTGGCACACCCATACAGTGGAACAGTACTGTGCAATAAAAAAAAAAAAAAAAAGGAACTGTTAATAAATGCAGCAACTTGCTTGATCACAAGAGAATTAAGCTGAGTGAAGAAAGCCAATCTCAAAAGGTTACATACTATATGATTTCATTAATATAACATTCTTGAAGAAACAGAATAGTGGAGATGAAGACTATATTAGTGGTTGCCAGTGGTGAGAGATGAGGGAAAACGGTGACTGGCTATCAAAGGGTAAGGATCCTCATGATGGAACTGTTCTGTATCTTGACTGAGGTGGTGGTCACATGAGTCTGATTAAATTGCATAGAACTAAGCAAACAAGTACATGTAAAGGTGGTGAAATCCTAATAAAGTCAATTGTTAATTTTTTTTCCATGAAACCTGTACAACAAATTTTCTTATTTTAATGTTAATTTTCTGATTGTGATACAGATATGCAAAATGTTATGGGGAAAACTAAAGTATACAGGATCTCTGTTATTTCTTAGAACTGCATATAAATCTAAAATTGCCTTAAAATTAAAAAAAAAAATTTTCAAAGTTGCAAAGCTCTAAATTGTGCACTAAGGAAAAGATTTGGGAGACCATAGTCAATATGACAGAGTTTTCTACTGTCCTGGAATGTAAAAATTGAGCCCATATGAAAGGGCTTGTAACAGGCCTTTGGGGGATTTTTTTTTAACCAATACCCAGCCTTTCTATACCCATAGCCAATATTGTATATAATATATTATGAGTTTATATTTTTTTCTGGGTTGCTAATCAGTAGCTTCCATCAAATTCTCAGAGGGACCCATGATTCCAAAAAAAATAAAGAACCTATTGGCTTTGTGCTCTTGCTTGAAACAATAAGTAATTTGATAAATAAAACAAATGAAGTTGTTTTGCAATAGTAAGCTTATGGGACTTCTGATTCCAAAAGATGATACCAACAGAAAAGTTGAGAATTATAAATTTGGGGATGATAAAGTCATGTGAGTTGTTTAAGGGAAGTTGAGGGTGTTAACCATACTTTTTTGTATTTGTTTTTTTTTGAAACAGGTTCTCACTATGTCACTCAGGCTGGAGTGCAGTAACGCAATCTTGGCTCACTGCAACCTCTGCTTCCCGGGTTCAAGCGATTCTTGTGCCTCAGCCTCTCAAGTAACTGGGATTACAGGCGCATGACACCACACCTGGCTAATTTTTGACAGGCAGGCGGCACCACGCCTGGCTAAGTTTTGTATTTTTAGTAGAGACAAGGTTTCACTGTGTTGGCCAGGCTGGTCTTGAACTTCTGACCTCAGGTTATCTGCCTGCCTCAGCCTCCCAAAGTGCTGGGATTATAGGCGTGAGGCACCACACCCAGCGGCACATTTCTTTTTTTTTTTTTTTTAAGGAGATGGAGTCTTGCTCTGTCACCCAGGCTGGAGACTGGAGTGCAGTGGCATGATCTCGGCTCACTACAACCTCCACCTCCCGGGTTCAAGCGATTCTCCTCTCTCAGCCTCCTGAGTAGCTGAGACTACAGGAGCGCGCCACCACGCCCAACCAGTTTTTAGATTTAGCTAGAGTAAATCTTTAAATCTTTAGTAGAGACAGGGTTTCACCATAGTAGAAACAGGGTTTCACCATGTTGGCCAGGATAGTCTCGATCTCCTGCCCACCTTGGCCTCCCAAAGTGCTGGGATTACAGGTGTGAGCCACCGCGCCCCAGCCGGTACATTTCTTTTAATTCGGTTAATGATTATAGATGCCTGTTGTGTATCAAGCATTGTACTGTACTAAGAATTACAGACACTCAGCAATGGAAGGAGTCCAGAGATTGTTAACAACAGGCAAAGGAGGAGTGCTGTGTTTAGAAGTGTAGAACCAAGTATAGTGGGAGTCTAGAGGAGGGTATGAAATGAACCCTGACCTTTTAGAGCAGTTCTGAGAATCTTGCTCTCCTAGAAATACTCGCTCTGGATACTTAGAAAATCTTGACCATTGTCTTGTTCCTTATGCAGGCCATATCAAACGTTCAGTTGGCCGGGCGCGGTGGCTCACGCTTGTAATCCCAACACTTTGGGAGGCCGAGGCAGGTGGATCACAAGGTCAGGAGATCGAGACCATCCTAGCTAACACGGTGAAACCCCGTCTCTACTAAAAATACAAAAATTAGCCAGGTGTGGTGGCATGCGCCTATAGTCACCAGCTACTCGGGAGGCTGAGACAGGAGAATTGCTTGAACCCGGGAGGCGGAGGTTGCAGTGAGCCAAAATTGCGCCACTGCACTCCAGTGTGGGTGACAGAGCAAGACCCTGTCTCAAAAAAAAAAAAAGTTCAGTTAATGATATATTTGTATTGATTTTTTAGTTAAGCCAGACC
The DNA here is from genome assembly GCF_000001405.40 of Homo sapiens. NCBI lineage: Eukaryota > Metazoa > Chordata > Mammalia > Primates > Hominidae > Homo > Homo sapiens. Next base: position 32,022,950 of record NC_000001.11, read on the forward strand.
AGTTGATAAAGTTGGTATATAATTTTCCCAGACTTCTCTAATATTAACTTTTTTTGTGTGAGTTACATCTCTTTTTCGCCCTCTCTCTTTTTTTCTTACTATTTTTCTTATTAACATTCTCTTTTAAAGTCATACACCAAGCATGTAGGAGAGCTGGGAATCAAACCCACTTTGTCTAGCTTCAAAACCCTTGTCTTTCCTCCAAGATATATTAAGCAACGTGGAAGCTTATAGTCTGGTTGGGATAAAATCTACAAAAAAAACAAAAGTGGGGGGTGGGAAAGGTTAAGTTATAGTAAAAGATGAAGGAAATTTTGAAAGGTTAACTGAATTTACTTTCTTTGGTATAAGAAGTGACTTGGGTTTAAGTATCTGCTATGTCACTAATTAGTTTTGAGATCTTGGACAAGTTATATAGCTTTTCTGAGCCCGGGTTTCTTCATCTGTCAAATGAAGATAATACTGGTTACAAAGACAAAGTGAAATAATAAATACAAAATTCCTGACGCATAGAAGGCATTGGATAAGATATGATTATTCTGAGTGGCTGGGAAACAAATGGGTCACCTCTTGTGTTGTTTACACCTCAGCTTTGTTTTCTTTGGCCCTTGGGATATCCAAGGTCTCCAGAGACCCAAGCAAAGATTACTTAAAGGAGTCAGTTCCAAAAGGGTTGTCTAGAAAGTACTTTTGCCTGAGGTTAAACCATTTTTAGGAAGCTCCTCCTTGATTTTTTGTCTTCCCATTTCAGTCTACTCTAGCTCTCCGGGGAAAGCAAGGACAAGGAGAGACATACAGAGTTGAAAAAGAAAAAAGAAAGACCAGACCATCAGACAACTGAACATCTGAGACACCCATAAAGCCCTTTTATTACCTTTAGGCCACATGCCAGTGTCTGAGGGTATAAATTGTACTTAAAATTTTATAAAAGTCAGCTCTTCCTTGCTTAAATAAAGTGTGCCCCCCACAAACACACACTCATCAAGAGACAATAGGAAAAGCATGAAATTAGAAGTTAGAGGCCTGGCGCGGTGGCTCACGCCTGTAATTCCAGCACTTTGGGAGGCCAAGGTGGGTGGATCACCTGAGATCAGGAGTTGAAGACCAGCCTGGCCAACATGGTGAAACCTTTTTTCTACTAAAAATACAAAATTTAGCTGGGCGTGGTGGCAGATGCTTGTAATCCCAGCTACTCAGGAGGCTGAGGTAGGGAGAATTGCTTGAACCTGGGAGGCAGAGGTTGCAGTGAGCTGAGATTGTGCCACTGCACTCCAGCCTGGGCGACAGAGTGAGACTTCGTTTCAAAAAAAAAAAGTCAGAAAAGGCCTAAAGGCCTGAGTTTGGGGGTTTTCTAAAATTTTTTATTAATTTTTTTTTAGAGACAGGGTCTTGTTCTGTCACCCAAGCTGGAATGCAGTGGCGCCCATTATGGCTCACCACAGCCTCCAACTCCTGGGCTCAAGTGATCGTCCTGCCTCAGCCTCTCTAGTAACTGGGACAACAGTTGTACGCCACCACACTGAGCTAATTTAATTTATTTTTTTTTTTTTTAATTTTAGTAAAGATGGGATCTCACTCTGTTGCCCAGGCAGGTCTCAAGTTCCTGGGCTCAAGCAATCCTCCCACCTCGGCCTCCCAAAGTTCTGGGATTATAGATGTGAGCCCCTGTGCCCAGCCAGGCGTGGGTTTTTAATTCTTGTTCTGTTACTTTAACAATTTTATGACCTAGAGATAGTTATTTAACCTCTTTGAGTTTTTGTTGCCTCAGATGTAAGTAACTCAGTTCACTGAGTTATTTTTGAGGATTAATGAGGTAATAGTTCTATGGTATTTGATATATAGTAGGCATCAAATAAATATTCAGCCCTACCTGGGTAAGGTGGCACGCACCTTTAGTCCTAGCTACTGGGGAGGCTGAGGTGGGAGGATCACTTGAGCTCAGGAGTTCGAGGCTGCAGTGAACTATGATGGTGTCACTATGCTTCAGCCTAGGCAGTAGAGAACCCATCTCTTTAAAACAAACAAAAAAAAAGGCGGGGGGAGCATAGTAGGTCACGCCTATAATCCCAGCACTTTGGGAGGCCGAAGTGGAAGGATCATTTGAGCCCAGGAGTTCAAGACCAACCTGGGCAAAATAGGGAGACCCCATCTCTACAAATAAAAAAAATTAGCCAGGCATGGTGGCACGCGCCTATGGTTGCACCTACTGGGGGTGCTGAGGTGGGAGGATCGCCTGAACCCAGGAGGTTGAGGCTACAGTGAGCCATTATTGTGCCACTCATTCCAGCCTGGGTGACAGAGTGAGACCCTATCTCAAAAAAAAAAAAAAAATTCGGCTCCTCCTTTTTTTTTTTTTTTTTTTTTTTTTTGAGACAGAGTCTCGCTCTGTCACCCAGGCTAGAGTGCAGTGGCACGATCTCAGCTCACTGTGACCTCCGCCTCCCGGGTTCAAGCAATTCTTCTGTCTCAGCCTCCCAAACAGTTGGGACTACAGGCACACGCCACCATGCCCAGCTCATTTTTGTACTTTTAATAGAGATGGGGTTTCACTGTATTGGTCAGGCTGGTCTCGAACTCCTGACCTCAGGTGATCCACCCGCCTCAGCCTCCCAAAGTGCTGGAATTACAGGCATGAGCCACAGCGCCTGGCCCCCTCCACCCTTCTTGAAAGCTCGAGTAGCTTCTTAGTCTTCTGCTTGCTTCCTTTTCTTCCCTCTCCCTCTCCCTTCATCCCCTCCCTGCCTCCCTTCCTGCCCCCTCCCTTCTTCCCTCCCTCCCTTCCCTCCTTCCTTCCTCCCTTTCTCCCCTCTCCCCTCCTCTCTCCCTTCGATACCCAAGCTGGAGTGCAGTTGCACAGTCATCATAGTTCACTGCAGCCTTGAACTCTTGGGCTCAAGCGATCTTCCCACCACAGCCTCCTGAGTAGGTAGGATAATAGGCAGGTACCACTACACCCAGCTAATTTAAATATATATATATATTTATTTATTTATTTATTTATTTATTTTTGGTAGAGACAGGGTCTCGCTGTGTTGCCCAAGCTGGTCTCAAGCTCCTGGGCTCAAAGCAGTCATCCTGCTTCAGCCTCCCAAAGCACTGGGATTACAAGCGCATGTGCCACTGTGCCCAACCAGTCCTTTGCTTTGTAGGTTAAAATTCTGATTCTCTTTTCAACCCTCTGTTTTATTTAAATGATCCTTCTCTGAATTCTCTAAAAATGCTTTCCTTTGCTTTTTTGAGACAGGGCCTTACTCTGTCACCCAGGCTGGAATGCAGTGGCATGATCTTGGCTCACTACAGCCTCCAACTGCTTATCCTCCTGCCTCAGCCTCCCAAATAGCTGGGACCACAGGCGCATACCACCATGCCTGACTAATTTGTTATTTTTTATAGAGAAGGGGTCTCACTATGTTGCCCGCTCTGGTCCCAAACTCCTGGGCTCCAGTGATCCTTCTGCCTCAGCTTCCCCAAATGCTGAGATTACAAGTGTGAGCCACCATGCCTGGCCACTGCTATTCTTTAAAAAGTTGTGAAATAATTGGACAGAAGGATTCTAAGATCTGAGTAGTTCAAAAATAGAAGAATCCATGTTATAGAAAGGTCTTATACTATCACACTGGTCTTTAAGAAATGAAAAAATGAAAGGCCTTAAATTCACAGAGTGCATTACATTGCATATAAACACACCTTCTTGTAGGAGTATAGCAGATGAACAGACTTTGAATCGTCTTGCACTGACCAAGGTTTCTGGAAAGTGGTATAAAATACAGCTGAAAGGTCTAACTCAATGGTAGCCCTCGGAAGCACAAAGCGACATAGATAAAATGAAGTATCTAATTTGTTCCACATTCTTTTTTGTTGTTGTGATGGAGTCTTGCCCTATCGCCCAAGCTGGAGTGCAGTGGCGCAATCTGAGCTCACTGCAGCCTCTGCCTCCCGGGTTCCAGCGATTCTCCTCCCTCAGCCTCCTCGGTAGCTGGGATTACAGGTGCACACCACCACGCCTGGCTAATTTTTATATTTTTAGTAGAGACGGGGTTTCCCCATGTTGACCAAGCTGGTCTCGAATTTTTGACCTCAGGTGATCCGCCCACCTCAGCCTCCCAAACTGCTGGGATTACAGGCGTGAGCCAACGCGCCCGGTCTATGTATATATTTTTTTAGTAGAGATGGAGTTTCACCACGTTGGCCAGGCTGGTCTCGAACTCCTGACCTCAGGTGATTTGCCCACCTTGGCCTCCCAACGTGCTGGGATTACAGGCATGAGCCACCTCTCCTGGCCTGTTCCACATTATTAAAAGCTCCTTGGTGATGTTCTCAGATCAGAATTATGGCATCTTTGTTCTTCTAGGACTTTGAGGATTGAATAACTAAGTTTTCCAGTCTGAGAACTTAGAAAGTGGTGTAGTCAGGTACAGTAGGCTCAAAAAGATTGATCAGAAAAAGTATATTAGCAGTAGGGGAAAAGAAGTAGAGGTCAGGATCTGCCACCAAACAGTAAGGGTTAGGGTTAGGATTACCCTCACAAGTAGACTGTTGAATGAAGCATTACTCTGTTAACTGTAAGGTCAAATTTGTTTTCTATTCCAAGCACTGAAACAGGATTGTGAAGAGCACTGTCATTTACAGTTCTTCTCATAGGAGTAAAGGTTTTTAATTAAGGATATTTACAATTCATCAGCAATTTTAATTGTCAGAAAACCAGGAAGTATGTGTCTATTAGTTCATGGTATAGTATAGCATCTGAAATTAGGCTTTTTAACAAACAAGCATTCAGTCTGAAATTCTAAATTCTCTAAGGCATGTCAGAGTCAAAGTTATTTTTCTTCGTCTATATATTTCACAGCTGCACCTCTCTAAATATTTATTTTAAAAACTGTTAGGCCAGTACGGTGGCTCACATCTGTAATCCCAGCACTTTGGGAGGCCGAGGCGAGTGGATCATCTGAAGTCAGGAGTTCGAGACCAGCCCAGCCAACATGGTGAAACCCCATCTCTACTAAAAATAGGGAAAAAAATTAGCCGGGCATAGTGGCGCATGCCTGTAGTTCCAGCTACTCGGAAGGCTGAGGCAGGAGAATCGCTTGAACCCGGGAAGCAGAGGTTCCAGTGAGCAGAGATTGCACCACTGCGCTCCAACCTGGGTGACAGAGCGAGACTTTGTCTCAAAAAATAATAATTAATAAATAAAAACTGTTAAGGGTATAGATTTGTGGAACGTGTTTGAGGTAGGGTGTCTTTATACTTCAAGCCAATGGTTTTCAAAGTATGGTCCCTGGACCAGCAATATCAGAATTACCTGGGAACTTGTTGGAAATGCAAATTCCTAACACAAATCCCAGACTGGCTTTGAAGCCCAGCAATCTAGTTTAATAAGCCCTCTTCTAGGTGATTGTGATGCATGAAGAAGTTTGAGAACCCCCGCCTTAAAATTATAGAAGATGGGAATGTTATGTAATATTCTATTACAGACTATTCTCTGATATTTAGAATGTTCCACTGATTTTAGGGAGTATATATATATACACGTATATATATATACTATATATACTTTTTTTTTTTTTTTTTTTTGAGACAGAGTCTCGCTCTGTCGCCCAGGCTGGAGTGCAGTGGCGCGATCTCGGCTCACTGCAAGCTCTGCCTCCTGGGTTCATGCCATTCTCCTGCCCCAGCCTCCCTAGTAGCTGGGACTACAGGTGCCCACCGCCACGCCCGGCTAAATTTTTTTTGTATTTTTAGTAGAGATGGGGTTTCACCGTGTTAGCCAGGATGGTCTCGATTTCCAGACCTTGTGATCCTCCTGCCTCAGCCTCCCAAAGTGCTGGGATTACAAGCGTGAGCCACCGCACCTGGCCTATTTTTTTTTTTTTTAACTACTCTCAGTGGATCATATAAGCTTTCAGTTGCTACTCATCCTTGGGCACTCTGCCCTCATCTCTATTAGAACTCCTGTTATAGTACTTTACTTCATTGCCACCTCTATAGTCTGGGAACTCCAGTATATAAACAGTGAAGACAAGAGACCAGTCTGACTCGCTCTATTGTATCTCCTGTGCTTTGCAAGACAGATGTCTGGCTCTTATTAAGTCCTCCATAGTGGTTAATGATTGTACCTATTATAGCCCTCCCTTCATCTGCCTCTCCATACTATAGGAAGCACTCAAACACTTGCAGTCACTCAATGAATGAAGTTCCTTAATGGTAGGAAATCTTTTTGTATGCCAAGTTTCTATCTAATGAAACTGTCTTAACCCGCGAATTGAAAGTACTTTTAGGTGATGATGGATATGTCTGTGCCCATGATGGTGGTGATGGTTTCATGGGTGTATACTTATCTCCACACTCATCATTGTATACATTAATTATGTATAACTTTTTACATATCAGTTATACTTCAATAAAATGTTTTTTTAAAAAGTACCTGGTGGCTGGGCGCGGTGGCTCACGCCTGTAATCCCAGCACTTTGGGAGGCTGAGGCAGGCGGATCACCTGAGGTCGGGAGTTCGAGACCAGCCTGACCAACATGGAGAAAACCCTTCTCTACTAAAGATACAAAATTAGCCGGGCATGGTGGCACACACCTGTAATCCCAGCTACTTGGGAGGCTGAGGCAGAAGAATTGCTTGAACCCAGGAGGCAGAGGTTGCAGTGAGCCGAGATCATGCCATTGCACTCCAACCTGGACAAAAAGAGCGAAACTCCATTTCAAAAAAGAAAAAAAAGTACCTTGTGCATTTTGTATCATTTAGGCATTGGCTGAATTTGGGCTAGATAACGGTAACGATATATTAAGTACTTTATGAAAAATTGGCCTTAATTAGGCATATCTACGTATTTTATTAACTTAGGTCACACGACTAGTGAGTAGCAGAGTAAGAATAAGGTCTTTCAGACTCTTAAGGACTAGTATCTAGAGTACTAATGTCACCGTGGAACTTTAATGGAACTATCCATTGTATATTTAGATTATTTACTTTTGTTTTTTTCAAGGTAAGATTATACTTTGTCTTGATGCAGATTTTGATTTTTTTGTTTGTTTCTTTATTCTCCTTTCCCCCATCTCACCCAATTAATTTTGTTAAATTGATTTAAGAAACATTTAAATGTCTCTGTTGTCATGGCTTCAGGTGAGGGTGGAAGAGTACACTTCTTTTATTAGAAGCAGGCTTTGGGCTTTCTAGTCAACTTCATATAGCTTTAGTGCTTTCAGCTAGTTTCTTTCTGAAATTGGCACATTTGTGTGAACTATTTGGTTTCACTATATGGTATTCCATGTTATTGCTTTAAGCAGACTTCAAAATTTGCATTTATTTACCAGGGCAAAAATAAATTGTTTTTCCTATTCAGAAATTGAGAAGATTCAGAAAGGAGACTCAAAAAAGGATGATGAGGAGAATTACTTGGATTTATTTTCTCATAAGAACATGAAACTGAAAGAGCGAGTGCTGATACCTGTCAAGCAGTATCCCAAGGTAAGGCAAAAAGTGCTTTGGATCTTTGAGTTATCTTTATAGTTATGAGAGAGTCATGGGCTATAATAAAGACTCCTGGGGATTGTGATGCTTTAGAAACTTAAGCCTGTGAAGCTTCTCTTTCATGCTTGTAGTACCTGTTACTGAGAGTTGAAATATCTAAGTTCTTAACTAATAACATAGCTATAGCCAGGAAGGAAATATAATCATCTTTTTATTATCAAAAAGTTTCTTTCTCAAATGATTGCTCAGGCTACAAGTTCAAAGAAAAAAAAATTAAAACCTGAAGAGTTGCTCTTTGTCAAAAGACTAACCTGAAATCTAAATAAAAGGAAATATAATATGAATCCTCAATTGGTTGAAGTTAATTTTATTTTCTTACTAAAAGTTTACTTTTAAGTAAATGCTTTTTTTCTTCCTTTTTTTTTTTTTAGGAAAGCATTTAGTTACATTTAGTTTATCCAGCGTGTTATCAAAGGGTGCTATATAGTCTCTTCTGTTCTGAGGTCACTGCCTTAAAAATGTTGATGTATGTTAAGTGCTGGGCCAGGCACAGTGGCTCATGCCTGTAATGCCAGCACTTTGGGAGGCCGATGCAGGCAGATTGCTTGAGCCCAGGAGTTCAAGACCAGCCTGAGCAACATAGCGAAACCCCATCTCTACAAAAAATACAAAAATTAGCCTGGTGTTGTGGTGTGCACCTGTACCCAGCTACTCTGGAGGCTGGGGCAGGAGGATCACTTGAGTCCAGAAAGTTGAGGCTGTGATGAGCCATGATTGTGTCACTACACTTTGGCCTGGGCAACAGAGTGAGAGCCTGTCTCAAAATAAAGTAAAAAATAAAATAGTAAAGGTCTTAATGTATTATGGAAGAGCACCAGAATACATCAGAAAAGCCAAATTCAGGTCTAGGAACTGCCACTTTCTAGTTTCATAACCTTAAGCTAATCACTTTATTAATATGGCTTCAGTGTCCTTCAGTAAAATGGGAATGGTAATACTCTACCTTTGCAGGGTTGTTTAAAATCAAGTGAGGTAATTTATGTGGAAATGTTTTTATATAGTAGCATGTATATTTAGAAATCCTCTATTTTCTGTCAGTTCAATTTTGTGGGGAAGATTCTTGGACCACAAGGGAATACAATCAAAAGACTGCAGGAAGAGACTGGTGCAAAGATCTCTGTATTGGGAAAGGGCTCAATGAGAGACAAAGCCAAGGTAAGCTCACATTAGTGAGGCAAGAGGACATCCTAATGCCTTCTACTTGCCCAGAATGCAGTATGGATGTCTTATAGAGGCGGCAAGAATTTTGTATGTGTACAGAATGTGGCTCCTTTAAGTTTGCACTGGATGCAAGAGATTATACACCAAGTTAATTTACTTGGCTTGGCAACCCTGGAAGAGCCTAGGTGTGCCCTGGTGATAGTTTTCTTTTGGACTTTTTGACTGTGTAGTAATGGAAACAGCAGTAGCATGTTGCGCATTGGTAGGATTGTCTGTGAAAACTTGAAAGGGGAACTGAATATACTAAAATTTAGTCTAAAGCAGACAAAAGACGCTAAAATGCAAATAGCACACCCCCTTTTTTGTAACCTGGAAAAGTGAGAACAATAATGTGAGAGCAGATGAGTTTGAGGATTAGTTGGTTTGTTTTATAGCCGGTTTGGAATGTGAGGCTCACTAAAAGAATGTATTCCAAAAGGAACCATGAGTAATCCTGACTACAGAATCTAATGCGTCTTTTTTTTCCCCATGCCATAGCCGCGTACGCTGTGTACTCTGTGACAAGAAACTTCTCACCAAAACAGAATAGTCTTAGCCTTCTGGGGTCACCTTATTTGATGAGATATTCCTGCTACAGTCCAAAAACCAATTCTTTCAACCCTCCTTTTATGTAGTCTAATGGACACATGTTTGTTTTCTCAGGTCATTTCTTGCTAGATGCATATAGTTACGGCTGAAGTGTGTTCTAACTAATGAGATTTACATGAGCTTTTCTTCCCTCTGTCCTGACTTCTTTCTTCCCCTACCACTCCCTAGACCATATAAGCAGATAAGCAGAGCTCGTGGTGATTAACAGCTCTACCTGTGATTTAAAAACAAATGCTTGGCAAACAGCTATTATCTGAATAGACTAGAATTAAGTTTTTCTTCTTTATGCTTTTAGTAGGAGCTCCAATGGATATCTCAGGGATTTAAGACAACAATTAACTGTAAGCAGCAGACCATGTGCAAGTTTAGCAGGCTGTGCAAATTACTGTTCTTGAGAGTTTGTTTTACTTTTTTTTTTTTTCTTGAGAGGGAGCCTTGCTCTATTGCCCAGGCTGGAGTGCAGTGGCTCACTGCAACCTCCACCTCACGGGTTCAAGCAATTCTCCTGCCTCAGCCTCCTGAGTAGCTGGGATTACAGGCGTGCGCCACCATGCCCGGCTAATTTTTGTATTTTTAGTAGAGACGGGGCTTCATCACATTGGTCAGACTGGTCTCGAACTCCTGACCTTGTGATCCTCCCGCGTCAGTCTCCCAAAGTCCTGGGATTATAGGCGTGAGCCACCGCGCCTGGCTGCTTGTTTTACTTTCTTAAACTTTACTGTTTTTCTTTTTTCTTTTTTCTTTTTTTGTTTAATTCTTCTCAGCTCATACCAATTAACTTTACTGTTTTTCATGGACATTAGGGGTATTTCTTGCTGTTCCTTTGGCTTAGAGGTAAAGGTGGTGTTTTCTCCCTAGTCCATGGTGTGACATTTCTCTGCATTTTTCCATAGGAGGAAGAGCTGCGCAAAGGTGGAGACCCCAAATATGCCCACTTGAATATGGATCTGCATGTCTTCATTGAAGTCTTTGGACCCCCATGTGAGGCTTATGCTCTTATGGCCCATGCCATGGAGGAAGTCAAGAAATTTCTAGTACCGGTAAGGAAATCCATATCCTGTGTCTTCTGAGCAAAAGAGAACTGGGATCTTATACTGTTGTGAAGGTAGGGGTTCTTAACTAAGGTCTCTGCATAACCTGTATGTATACCAAATTCTGCACTTATGTTCATTTTCCTTAGGTAGTTCGTTACTTGCACCTAGTTCTCAAAGCATTATGCTCCAAGGCCACTCTATCCCTCCTTGTCTAATGTGGTTTTCATTGTGTACCGGTATCTTGTCAGTATCTCGGGTCCACAGTGTGCCTGCATTCTGATATTTGGTTAACTAAGGTTTAACAGGGTCTTCACCTAGCTGAGTATTTTGGTAGTAGTGTGGAACAAGGAGATTGTGTTAGGAAAGTGACTAAGGTGGGTCTCTGCACTCAAGAAGTTCATGCTGTAGAGAGTAGAGACTAGCAGCAAGAAGCTTATAGCATCTAGTGTTATTGGGTTAAATTCTGACCTGAGCACACTCAGGGATTTCTTTCCTGGAGGAGTTTGCTGAGGACGAGTTTAGTTTGGAAGAGGTTGACTATTGATGTTTAACAGATAGGTGAGCAGCTTTTTTCAGACTATTACTGAGGACTAGATAGAGATGGGACAGGCCAGTTTATCTATCTTGCTTGTTACCACCTTTGAATACTTGGTTGGAATATTACTTTGAATAAATAGGAAATGGTACTATTTTTGCCTTTTAGCAAGGCCTGGTGGTTGTCAGAGTTAACATACTACTGTTGAATATTTAATAACAAGGATGAATCTGGAGACTTATGAAGGATTTGGAATATTATTAAGTAGAATTGAGTAAGCGTCATGTGTTCATCAGAAAACTAGGAGGAGGTAAGATACAGTCCTTGGTTTTCTTGAATGTTAAATGAGGGAATTAGAACTAAATGTGGTGTCAGATGATGTGAAAATTGATAGGGCAAAAATTTATAGGCAGTGTGGGCCAGGCACGGTGGCTCACGCCTGTAATCCCAGCAATTTGGGAGGCCGAGGAGGGCAGATCACCTGAGGTCGGGAGTTCGAGACCAGCCTGACCAACATGGAGAAACCCTGTCTATTAAAAATACAAAATTAGCCGGGCGTGGTGGCACATGCCTGTAATCCCAGCTACTAGGGAGGCTGAGGCGGGAGAATCACTTGAACCCAGGAGGCAGAGGTTGCGGTAAGCTGAGATTGCACCATTGGACTCCAGCCTGGGCAACAAGAGTGAAACTCCATCTCCAAAAAAAATAAATAAATAAGTTTTTAGGCATTGTGTACCCATAATGCTGAACTCCAAGGATTCCAACAGTCTCAAATGTCTTAGCAGCTGCTTTGCTTTCAAGTACCTCATCTTCATTAGAATGTTCAACATGAGGCAGGGCGCGGTGGCTCACACCTGTAATCCCAGCATTTTGGAAGGCCGAGGCGGGTGGATCACGAGGTCAGGAGATCAAGGCCATCCTGGCTAACATGGTGAAACCCCGTCTCTACTAAAAATTCAAAAAAAAAATTAGCTGGGCGTGGTGGCAGGCGCCTGTAGTCCCAGCTAATCGGGAGGCTGGGGCAGGAGAATGGTATGAACCCGGGAGGCGGAGCTTGCAGTGAGCCGAGATTGCGCCACTGCACTCTGGCCTGGGTGACAGAGTGAGGCTCTGTCTCAAAAAAAAAAAAAAAAGAATGTTCAACATGAAACAGACCATTTAACATATCCTAGAGAAAAACACAGCTGGTTAATAATCTTAAGGAAATTCTTTTTACTCTTTTTGGGGTGTTCTATTGATCACCCAAGCCATTCAATTTCCAAAGGACTGCAGAGGGAATGCCCATCTCCTCTCTTCATTGTTAGTCTCCCTCATATTCCTCAGAAGGGTTAGGTTTATGAGGCTTGCTTGTAAGTGAATCTTTTGAAAAAGATGCTTGCCGGGGAGATGTGGGTTTCCTCAGTGTTGATGTGGCAGTTGGAGGAGTCTGAGCAATGGTCTGGCATTGGTTACTTGATTCTCCAAGGTGTGAGTCTCAAGCAGCGGTAATGTGTAAGGTAGGAGGAGCTAGAGAGTTGAGGGGGGCATCAAAGACTAGCATCATCTATTGAAGCTGTATACGCCTGGGATATATAAAAATGCATGAAGTATTAAGACTGAATGGCTCTCAATAGGAAGTGTGAAAAGATTTGCCAGTGGCATTTGATTTTTCCCTCTTGTGGAGGAAAGAAAAGTGAGGCTATTTTTGCATCTGTGACCAGAGCCCTCCATTTTCCACTTAGAACAATTAACTATACCAGCAATGCTTCACAGTGCCGTAGGAAGAGCACTGGACTATGTATGTCTGTCTATCTGTGTCTTCCTGAACAGGTTATCATTTCACTTTTCTGAGCTTCAGGTTTCTTGTTCGTCCCAAACATTTCTTAAGTATCTGTCAGATGTCTGATACTATGCTTGGGTGTAAAGTTACAAAAATGGCTCCTAAAGAGCTTACAGTTTAGTGACAGACAATTCTAAAATTATGTGGTAAGTGCTTGGGTATAGGGAATTATGTGGTACTTTGAGAAAAGAGGAGTTGTAGGGGTGGCATCAAGAGAAAGTTTTTCAAGAGACACTTATTTAGGCAAGTCTTGTAAGGATGAATTAAGAATCCCTCAGGTGGACAAAAAAGACAGTATAAGGACAAAAAAGCCTGTTGATCCAACACCTAGATTTTGAGACAGGTAATTCTGAATTCACATCTAGAGTCTGCCATTTATTAGCTCTGTGTTCTTAAGCTGGTTGATGTATACTCCTTGAGTCTGTTTTCTTAACTGTAAAATGTGGAGATCTGCCTACTTATTTCAGGGTCATTTTGAAGATTTTTTTTTTTTTTTTTTTTTTTTTTGAGATGGAGTCTCTCTCTTTCGCCCAGGCCGGACTGCAGTGGCGCTATCTTGGCTCACTGCAAGCTCCGCCTCCCGGGTTCTCGCCATTCTCCTGCCTCAGCCTTCCGAGTAGCTGGGACTACAGGTGCCTGCCGCGCCCGGCTAATTTTTTTGTATTTTTAGTAGAGATAGCGTTTCACCGTGTTAGCCAGGGTGGTCTCGATCTCCTGACCTCGTGATCTGCCCGCCTCGGCCTCCCAAAGTGCTGGGATTACAGGCGTGAGCCACTGCACCCGGCCCTCATTTTGAAGATTAAACTGAAAAATCTATATAAAGCTTATTATATAGAGCCAAGTGCATACAGCTCCATTAATGGTAGTGGCTTTTATTATTCCAGGAAAAGGAAACTATTTGCAAAGAATGGATATGTAAGAGTATGCCAGGCTCTGAACTACAAGTTGTTCAGTCTGGCTTGTGAGTAGGTTATATATAGAGAGAGAATGGAAGTGATCCGGAGAGCTAGGCAGAGACCACATTATGAATAATGAGGGGTCTACCATCAAGACTTTTCTCAAAGAGGTGACAGATAGGGTGCCATTTGACTTCAGAGAAGGAATGACCTGAGACCTCATCTGGGCTCTCAAGAGCTCTTCTTAGAATTCAAGTCTCCCGTGGACCAGATGATTTCTCAGTAGAAAGTGTAGATACCACACAATACTCCTTGTATCTTTCGTTCCCAGGATATGATGGATGATATCTGTCAGGAGCAATTTCTAGAGCTGTCCTACTTGAATGGAGTACCTGAACCCTCTCGTGGACGTGGGGTGCCAGTGAGAGGCCGGGGAGCTGCACCTCCTCCACCACCTGTTCCCAGGTAAAAATAATGGAGACACCCAGAAATAGGATGTGAATTTGACTACTAGTGTCATCTCTTTTAGTGGTGCTCTTATGTCTAGCTTAGGAAGGGTCTCAGGATTTGTATGTTGCATAAAGAACAGAATTCTACAACCATACTCTCACACCTGTAATCCCAGCACTTTAGGAGGCTAAGGCAGGCGGATCAACTGACATTTGGAGTTTGAGACCAGCCTGGCCAACATGGTGAAACCCTGTCTCTACTAAAAATACAAAAATTATCCAGGTGTGGTGGCATACACCACACTACTCAGGAGGCTGGGGCAAGAGAATTGCTTGAACCCAGGAGACGGAAGTTGCAGTGAGCCGAGATCATGCCACTGCACTTCAGCCTGGGAGATAGAGCAAGACTCCATTTCAAAAAAAAAAAAAAATAGAGTTCTAGATCTTGGGCACTTTGACCATAGCCAAGTGCTGCAGTCTAGCTGAAACTTTTGGTCTTCTAATTTTGGACAGTCTTAGCATTTGTTAATGGTCTGACTTTAAAATTCTACCTTTTGTGACTGACCTTTATAGAGTATTCAGACTCTCCAGACCTACCCAAGGCAGTGCAGTGATGAATTGGTCCTCTATAGGACCTGGGGGATCTTGCAGTGTGGGTCCTTTACCCTGTACATTCCTCTGTGCTTTAATAATAGCCTAGTTAAGGCTTCATAAAATCTGCCTAATTCCAGAATTTGTAAACAAATCAGAACATAAAAGTGGCCTGTTTATAAAAAGCTCCATTTAAGATAAACTTTCATTTTGTAGGGGCCGTGGTGTTGGACCACCTCGGGGGGCTTTGGTACGTGGTACACCAGTAAGGGGAGCCATCACCAGAGGTGCCACTGTGACTCGAGGCGTGCCACCCCCACCTACTGTGAGGGGTGCTCCAGCACCAAGAGCACGGACAGCGGGCATCCAGAGGATACCTTTGCCTCCACCTCCTGCACCAGAAACATATGAAGAATATGTAAGAAATTTGAACAATGTGCCATTTCCCAGTACCTAGAAGGCTGCTAAAGGAAGTTGAATGACAGGGCCTCGGTCCTTTATGTAGGTGTCATGGACTGCCTGTAAGATTTGCAATCTGCCCTCTTCTCTTGCAGTGAATGTTGAACTATTAGAAGATTTTTCCATTTTAGGCAGGGTTTTACTATACGCCTGTAGATTAAACAAGAAATAAAATGTACTTTAATGTAGTATTTTATAATGAATTTCTTACTACTAGTACTGATAATACTAAAGCTCGATTTTGTACTTTACTTCCTGCCCACACTTCTTCTGTGGCATATCATATTTGTTTGGGTTTTCTTTGTTTAGTAACCCTTTCTCTTTTGACTATTCTACAGTAGGCATTAACATTTTGGAGGGAAATGTCATGTCCTTTTAATTCAGAAGCCTACTTACTCCCATGGGATGTAATTACCTTTCCTACTCTCTATGATTTTGATCTTTTATTTCATTTTTTTGTTGTTGTTGTTCTAGGGATATGATGATACATACGCAGAACAAAGTTACGAAGGCTACGAAGGCTATTACAGCCAGAGTCAAGGGTGAGTCAGGCAGTATAAGCACTGTTTTTTGTCCTGAGGATGGATGGAGGGAGTTGGAGGAACAGAGAGATTTAGACAGTACAACCCTAAGGAGCAGAATGGTTCGCCTTTTGAGGGTATCTCCTCTGCAACCCCCACAGTCCTGACTGGTCTTGAACTCTTGAGCTCAAGCAGTCCTCCCACTTTAGCTCTCTCTAGTAGCTGGGGTTACAGGTGCGTGCCACCATGCAATGCTTTCCTCTGCGTTTGACATCTGTGAAGCACACACTTGGATTTGTAAATCTGGATAACTGTGAACCTTAAATTATAATTTAGAACCTGAGAGTAACAAATGAAAAATTTCCAAGCTGTGACTACATGGAAACAAGGAGAAATGCCTTTATGTTATTTTGATTTATTATTTTAAAATATCAAAACCACATTAAAGCTCCATAAAATTTTACAAGAAACTTGAATTCCATTACCATAACTTAGGTTCTTTTCTGCATTTCTCTTTAAGACCATTTCCTTGTGTGTCCATATATATAGCTTACCTGTGAATTGATTGAAAAAGAGTTCCAGAATTCTACAGCAGTGATAAAACAGTTCTTTTTTCCTTCTGGTGAGCCCTATGAATACATGTATATATATGCTATATTAAAAGGGTCAATTTAGGATTGTGCTTTTTCACTTTATATTCTGTGGTATCCATTTTTCTTTGCAATAGTTGTCAATTATTTTATAAGTACATAGTCTATACATATTTTGGAAATACTTTACGGTTTAGGGATGGGGCAGAATGAGTATTTTCCTGTATTAATACACTTAGTAAAATGACTGACTTATGGAAGTATTTGAGAGAAAGTTGAAACATAGTTACTCTGTAGCTTCCTAACACTCTGCCTTTGGCTTTCAGGGACTCAGAATATTATGACTATGGACATGGGGAGGTTCAAGATTCTTATGAAGCTTATGGTATGTCTTTATCTCTGTGGTGGGGCAGAATGTACAAGTAAGTGCCTGGGAGAATGCTGGTGACTAAAGTATTGAGAGTCAGACAAACACACCTACGGATAAACCTTTAGAAGGCCAAGATTTTGCTAGATGTGACAGTAAGAGTTCTGCTCTTGCTTAAATTTTGCGGTACATGGTAGAAAGAGGGACTGCTAAAGTGAGGTGGGGTATCGTTACTCTTGGAAGGGTAGTGTTTGTCTTAAACAAGGGCTCAAGACCAGCTTGGCCCTGGTTGGAGCAGCAGACTTATAAGCTAATGTTATTTTTTTTCTACTTTAGGCAGGGAAATAGCTAGACCTGGGTTGTATTTCTGGGCCTTTGCTGCCGATATCTAGGCCACTTTGGTAGATAACAAGAACTTAATCGTACACAACTGTACTCATCTACCCCATTTCATTAAAAAAAAAATTTAGATCTCATTGAAAAGAATGTCATTGTAAAGGAAATGTCAGCTGAAAGGGACCTAGATGGCAAGCAGCTAGCCAGACCAGGTTGCGGGGCAAGAATAGTGCCTATTAGGGCCGGGCGTGGTGGCTCATGCCTGTAATCCCAACACTTTGCGAGGCCGAGGCAGGCGGATCACCTGTGGTCAGGAGTTCGAGACCAGCCTGGCCAAGATGGTGAAACCCTGTCTCTACTAAAAATACAAAAAAATTAGCCAGGTGTGGTGGTGGGCGCCTTTAATCTCAGCTACTTGGGAGGCTGAGGCATGAGAATCACTTGAACCTGGGAGGCGGAGGTTGCAACGAGCTGAGACCGTGCCATTGCACTCCAGCCTGGGCAACAAAAGTCCGTCTCAAAAAAAAAAAATAGTGCCTATTAGAATCAGATTAGAGGCTGTAGGGGCTAGAGCCAATAATTCAGGACAGTACTGGCACCAAGCTCCTTGTTGGCTTGAAGACATCAACACAGTCCTTGATCCCAAGAGAGCTATGGAGGCTGCAACAGCAGCAGGACAAGGCTGCCTTCCCTGAGGTTTGGTTAAAAACACATCGCTCAAGTGTGTCCTCAAGAGCCAGTTATGGCCCTGTGTTAATAGGCCTCACTGGGAATACTATGTGGCAGTGGATGCAGCGAGAGCTACCTTTTCAGTATAAGGTATTTTCAGCATACCTGAGGGACTTCCAGAGAGTCCTTGGCAGGGGCTCAGCGATTGACAGTTCACGCTAAGATACTGGTTGACAGTCTCCCCTTATCCCTAGCTGAAAAAGAGGAGCCCCTTAGGGCCTCCCAGAGACAGACAAGCTGAGCCCAACTCAGCACAGTATGAAGTAGCCAATCAGCTGCTTGCCCAAGGAAACTGTTTTTACCAGTTTTAGCGAAATAGCACTGGACAGTTGCCAATCACTAACACTGTGTGTGATTGCACCCAAGTATTTCCCTCCATCAGTGAGGCAGTACAGTGGGGCCTCTGTATGTGTTTGACTAAATTGCATTTCTGTTTTGCTGGAGAAAAGACCAAACTGAAAGAGGCAGGCTTCTCTTTGTGCTCCTGATACGACGTTGCCACAGTTAATCCGTTCTGATCTCTGCTTTGATTAACAGAATTAGAGAAATAAACTGTCCAGGATGATCTGTATACGTCAGGAAAAAAAGAAAAAGAAACTGTCTTGTTGATACCCAGAAGCCACTTGGAAAGTGATGGACATGTGTGTTATACTAGGGGTATAATTAGGGTTCTGTGTGACTTTAGATCTGTATAGGAGTTTGAGGCCTATAGAGATGGAGGCAGATACTTGTGAATACAGGCAGCTGGAAAAATACTTCAGGGATGAACTAGCGTGTGTAAGGTGTGGGAAGAATAAATTTAACGCAATTTATTTTCATAAGAGGTCACCTCTAGAATTATGTGATCATATTCCTCAGGCTTTTCCCTGTCACAAAGGAGAACCATTTGAGGATGTGAACCACATTGTCTGGCTTCTGGCTTCTCTCACCTGTTGACTTAAGAAAGGAGATAAGGAATTATCCTTTTTTTTTTTTTTTTTTTTTTTTGAGATGGAGTCTGGCTCTGTTGTCCAGGCTGGAGTGGAGTGGCACAATCTCAGCTCACTGCAACCTCTGCCTCCCAGGTTCAAGCACTTCTCCTGCCTCAGCCTCCTGAGTAGCTGGGATTACAGGCATGCGCCACCACGCCTGGCTAATTTTTGTATTTTTAGTAGAGATGGGGTTTCACCCTGTTGGTCAGGCTGGTCTCGAACTCCTGACCTTGTGATCTGCCTGCCTTGGCCTCCCAAAGTGCTGGGATTACGGGCGTGAGCCACCGCATGCAGCCTTGGAATTATCTTAAACAGTGCTGTCAGTGCAACATTTGATTGCACATCCCTCTACCAGAGAGAGCAGTATCAGCTCTGCTGGTGGAGGGCCCCATGGAAAGTGGCCCTTGCTTGGTTTTCCCAGGGAGCTAGAGGACACTTCTCCGTAAGGAAACGTGACTTGCTGTTGCATGGAAGTGGGGCTGGCTGCCTGCTTCCAATCTGAAAGACTTCCAGAAGTCTTCCCACCTTACCTGAGGGTGCCTGCCAAATTGTTTTGGGAACAGGAAAGGCCATTGCAGACTCACTAAGATTAATGAGTTCCTCACTATCTCAAGCAAGGTGTTGGGTATCTCCAGGTTTGGGGACTGGCGTACAGATCACATTTGTCTATGAAGAACCTCGTTGTGGGAGATTACTCCAGAGTCAATGGCAGCCTTTTTAGATTTGTTCCCTTCTGTCCTTCCACTCAAAACTGAAAAATTGCCCAGGCTGCCCAAGAGGGCCAAGCCAAGTAGAGAGCAAGGAACACCAGGGGAAGTGTCAAGACATTAGAAGAAACTCAGTGTTTTTGGTGATCTTTACTATGTGACCTATCCCTGCTTATCCCTAAGTGCTGTCGCCACATGGTTTATAAACTGTCTTTGTTTTCCCCACAGGCCAGGACGACTGGAATGGGACCAGGCCGTCGCTGAAGGCCCCTCCTGCTAGGCCAGTGAAGGGAGCATACAGAGAGCACCCATATGGACGTTATTAAAAACAAACATGAGGGGAAAATATCAGTTATGAGCAAAGTTGTTACTGATTTCTTGTATCTCCCAGGATTCCTGTTGCTTTACCCACAACAGACAAGTAATTGTCTAAGTGTTTTTCTTCGTGGTCCCCTTCTTCTCCCCACCTTATTCCATTCTTAACTCTGCATTCTGGCTTCTGTATGTAGTATTTTAAAATGAGTTAAAATAGATTTAGGAATATTGAATTAATTTTTTAAGTGTGTAGATGCTTTTTTCTTTGTTGTTTAAATATAAACAGAAGTGTACCTTTTATAATAAAAAAAAGAAGTTGAGTAAAAAAAAAAAACACACAAACCTGTTAGTTTCAAAAATGACATTGCTTGCTTAAAGGTTCTGAAGTAAAGGCTTGTTAAGTTTCTCTTAGTTTTGATTTGAGGCATCCCGTAAAGTTGTAGTTGCAGAATCCCAAACTAGGCTACATTTCAAAATTCAGGGCTGTTTAAGATTTAAAATCACAAACATTAACGGCAGTAGGCACCACCATGTAAAAGTGAGCTCAGACGTCTCTAAAAAATGTTTCCTTTATAAAAGCACATGGCGGTTGAATCTTAAGGTTAAATTTTAATATGAAAGATCCTCATGAATTAAATAGTTGATGCAATTTTTAACGTTAATTGATATAAAAAAAAAAACAACAAAATTAGGCTTGTAAAACTGACTTTTTCATTACGTGGGTTTTGAAATCTAGCCCCAGACATACTGTGTTGAGAGATACTTAGAGGGAGGGAGTAGGTTTTGAAGAGGTTGATGGTGGTGGGGAGGGAAGGCCTCCTGAATTGAGTTTGATGCAGAGCTTTTTAGCCATGAAGAATCTTTCAGTCATAGTACTAATAATTAAATTTTCAGTATTTAAAAAGACAAAGTATTTTGTCCATTTGAGATTCTGCACTCCATGAAAAGTTCACTTGGACGCTGGGGCCAAAAGCTGTTGATTTTCTTAAGTTGACGGTTGTCAATATATCGAACTGTTCCCAAGTTAGTCAAGTATGTCTCAACACTAGCATGATATAAAAAGGGACACTGCAGCTGAATGAAAAAGGAATCAAAATCCACTTTGTACATAAGTTAAAGTCCTAATTGGATTTGTACCGTCCTCCCATTTTGTTCTCGGAAGATTAAATGCTACATGTGTAAGTCTGCCTAAATAGGTAGCTTAAACTTATGTCAAAATGTCTGCAGCAGTTTGTCAATAAAGTTTAGTCCTTTTTTAATCAAAGTAAATGTGATGAATTGTCATTTTTTTGGGTGGACCATAAAATAGTTTTCTCTTTCAAATAAACTTAAATTAACTCTAAAGTTAATGGGCTTGTTAAAAGTTGGAAACATTCTTAAAAGTGGTGGGGGGGATTTTATTTTAAGTTTACCAAAAAAAAGTTGATGGAGTTGTTAAGTTTTAGTTTAAAAATAACCAAAGCTTTTTCACCCCCTGGAAGTTGTTGGAAGCTGTTGTATCCAATCCTATCAAAAATTCTAATTTATGGAGAGTTTTCAACTCAACTGAGCTGAAACTTGGATTGGTTTCCATAGATAGGTCTCAGTATTTAAAAGTGCAAGCCAGCCTGGTTTGCACCTTCTGTAGAACCCCTAGGTGGCTCTAAAGTGTGACACCAAATAATTTCTGTGAGCTCAGAAGGGGACAGCATCTGCCTTTAGGCATGACAGTTCAGCCAACTCTGGGTGCCCTTGAGGGTTTCTCTTTCAATCCCAGAAATGCTGATAACTCAGCTGGGCTGGGGCAGGATTTGGCATGATAGGCTGGCTCTGAACCCCCTCCTAAGAGACCAAGAGAGGAAGTGATGGAATTGGTTGGTCCCATTTCAACTCTATGCTGATTCTCAGGGTTCTCATGGCTTCCCTAAGAGAGCCACCTAAACTGCTCGGGGGTGAAAAATCCTCTTGTATTGAAGTGCCAAGCTGCCTGCAGCAGTGCATGATGGACATTTTTTTTTTCTTTTTAAAACACACCAACAAAAAAATGTATTTGTAGATTGTGATAAAATGTAAATAACTGAATTTTCAACCATGGTTTGAAGTCAGCTTTCAGGGCATTATGTCTTGTTTTGATGAAAAGAGATCACTCTATACCCCCCTTTTTAAAGGAAAATTATCGCAAGAGAATCAGGATGTGTAAAGCTAACATGCATCGCAAAAAACCAAAGGTAACCTAAATGTCTGATTTTAATAGCACATATTTCTCTTTTACATAAACTGTGACAGCAACTTGCATAAACAATTCTTTAGCTGTTAATTTTAATGTTAAAACTTTGCAAAACTTGTTTAATAAAAATAGCTGTAAAAAGAAAAACCATATGTTGCCGCATAAATTAGCCATAACTCTTAATAATCCTGCCCATCACAAGTGAACTGTAACGTAACCTGGGCACAAAGTCTGACATCTTAAATGACACATTGTAAAATTTCAATGACTGTAGATTAGACCTCCTGCTGCACCCCAAAAGCTTTCTGCTCAGCTATTTAAAACTGTGTAAGGATGAGTCCCTGTAGGTCCCCATATTGATATTCACAATGAAACTTTACTTAAAATTTCTTAAAAGTTGCATGTTTCTCCTGTAATGTGTAAACTGCATGCAGGATCTCTTTATCTTTTATTTTGTATGTCTTTAAAACTTCCTCTTCAAAAGACTGATCTGTTATTTCTCCATTTTCAGGTGACTGAAAACTCCTGAGGCATTTCCTGGACTAGAATGGGTAGTGAAGACCCATGTCAGGTATGTTAAGGTGGCTTTCTATTAAGGAACATGGGCCTTTTATCATAACTGTAAAACAGTTATGCTAGGAGGTGGCCTGTAAGGTGGTCAATGGGTTAATCTTTTTTGTGGTCATTTGTACCTTATTTACGACATGACCACACTTACATGTCCATACTGAATTTACATCTAGTGGTTGATAAGGCCAGACAATATCAACTTAGATCTGTTGAATCCCACTCTGTTTATCCTGTTAATAACCTGATGAGGTGGTGTTCCACTTGGAGTTCATTGGTTGCAAGCAACAAAGTGGCTAATGTAAATGAAAAAGACTTTATTAGAAAGGTGTTAAGGGCTCAATGTTCAGTGCGAAGGATAAAAAATCTGGTGTGGGAACTGTAGTGGCTGCAGGGAACTGGGACAACAGTGGTAGACCACAGGAACGATCTTGAAACAAGGACTGGCTCCTTGGGCACAACTCAAACTATGTTGGGTCTCTTTCTGCCTCTACTCAAGATTCAGGTTTTAGAGAGGGAATATCAGACTGGATTAGCTGAGTCACATGCGTAAGAAAAACCAGTTCCTCAAAAGGCAGTTGGTGAGTTGTTAGGAAAGGGAAATGGATGCTGGGCAGCCCAGAAACAATTGTCCAGTAATATCCATATTTTACAGAAGTAACTTAGACCTAGTGAAGTTAAGTAACTTCCCAGGGTCCCATAATTAGTATGGCTGGTACTCAAGCTCAAGATTTCTGTTGCCAAAACCTGTCATCTTAATCCTATACTATACTGTCCTTAATCTAGGGAAAGGGTATTTCTTTTTTTTTTTTGGTTTTTTTGGTTTTCTTTTGTTTTGTTTTTTTTGAGACGGAGCCCTGCTCCATTACCCAGGCTTGGCTGCAGTGGCGCAATCTCAGCTCACTGCAACCTCCGCCTCTGGGTTCAAGCAATTCTCCTGTCTCAGCCTCCCGAGTACCTGGGACTACAGGCACCTGCCACCACGCCTGGCTAATTTTTGTATTGTTTAGTAGAGACGAGGTTTCACCTTATTGGTCAGGCTGGTCTCGAACTCCTGACCTCAGGTGATCCACCCACCTTGGCCTCCCAAAGTGCTGAGATTACAGGCGTGAGCCACCACACCCGGCTGGGAAAGGATATTTCTTATACTTAGGAGGTCCTTCATAGGGATAATTGTGGTATAGAAGAAAGGATGTGGAGTTTGACTCCCTGGTTTGTGTAGTTGGGGGCTGTGACAACAGTGAGCTTTCCTGTTAATTGAAGCCATTAAGCAACTAACTGGCTGATTTTTTCTCTGCTCTGAGGTGTTAGGATTAGGATGACACTGAGGAGAAAGGCCTAACTAGGTAAGCCCTACGCATATAGAACCTTTCACAGTGAAATTTGGCTTCTTGGAATTTCTTTTTCTTCCAAGCCTGCCTCTCAGCCTGTGAGAGATCTGGAAGCTTTAAGAGAGGGGCATATGTACTGAACAAGATTCTGGGCACCTGGCAAGTCCTACGTTTGATGTTGGTCACATGAATGGCTAGGAAATTTAGCGTGGGGAATCCCTGAATGCAGAGAATTTAGTCTCAACTCTTCCTAGGGTAGTCTGAAGAAGAAAAATGGATTAGAAGTTTGGGGAAACCTTTCATTTGGACTGTGAACTGTGCTTGGAAAGGCAGGTTCTGTTTGTGGACCTAGGCCTGCTGGTGTTCTGCCTGTTCTGGACATGTAGCTTCGCCCATTGATCCAAGTGTTTTCTGTAAAATTCTATCACTCACTACCTGTGAACTTTATTTATTTATTTTAAGGTGGAGTCTCACTCTGTTGCCCAGGCTGGAGTGCAGTGGTGTGATTTCAGCTTACTGCGACCTCCACCTCCCGGGTTCAAGCGATTCCCCTGCCTCAGCCTCCGGAGTAGCTGGGATTATAGGCACACACCACCACGCCTGGATAATTTTTGTATTTTTAGTAGAGATGTGGTTTCACCATGTTGGCCAGGCTAGTCTTGAACTCCTGGCTTCAAGTGATCCGCCCACCTCAGCCTCCCAAAGTGCTAGGATCACAGGCGTGAGCCACTGTACCCGGCCAGCCTGTGAACTTTTATTACAATTCTGTAAGCTTTAGAGACAGGCAAGATTGGGTATCTGTCCTGGCTCTGCTTCATGTGAGCCTTTGTCACCTTAGTCAGAAACAAAACCCTTTCAGTGCCTCATTTATCATCAAATGAAGTTGATGATAATACCTGACATTTATCACTGTATGCATCATAATATCCTAACAGAGTTAGTAAGTATCTCATTTGGTCCCTTTCTACCTTTGTTTCTGTTTTGAGGAAAAATTCACATAGCATAAAATTTACAATTTTAAAGTGTACAATGCAGTAGTTTTTAGTATATTTATACTGTGCAACCATTTCCACTATTTAATTCCAGAATATTTCCATCACTCTAAAAACAAATCTTATATCTGCTAATAGTCACTCCCAACTCCCTTCTCTCCCCAGCTGTTGGCAGCCACTACTCTTTCTGTGGGTTTGCCTATTCTGAACATTCCATATAAATGGAATCATATAATATATGCTTTTTGGAATTGGCTTCTTTGACTTTGCATAGTGTTTGGTTCATCCAGGTTATAGCATGTAACATAGTACTTCATACTAGTCATAGGAAACATTACTTCCAAAAGCAGCCCATTTCATTAGAGATGGCTCTAAGTATTTTATCTCTCATTTTGAATGAGACCTGTACCTCAGTAATTTAAACTGAATCTGCTTTGGACCTCTGAAGCAACATCCTTTCAGGTATTTGAAGATCATTTTCATTACTGTGTCTTTCCCTTCTCTAAAAATTTTCTTGGCTGCGCATGGCAGCTCATGCCTGTAATCCCAACACCTGGGGAGGCTGAGTTGGGAGGATCACTTGAGGCCAGGAGTTCAAGACAAGCCGGGACAACATAGCAGACTCTGTCTCTACAAAAAGTTAGCTGGGCATTAGCTGGGCATGATGGCTTGCACCTCTTATCCTAGCTACTCAGGAGGCAGGGGAAGGAGGATCACTTGAGTCGAGGAGTTCAAGGTTACAGTATGCTATGATCACAACACTGTACTCCAGCCCGGGTAGAAAGTTTTTAAAATACTATTGGTCCCAATAAAATACATTTGCTGCATGCCAGATGTGGCCTTTAGCTTACCAGTTTGCAGCCTGTGGTTAGCTTCTGTTAGTATAAATTAAAGGTCATGTTAGCATTTTTAAGTGATTCTTTTTGGACAGACATAACTGTCCTAGTGGCAAAGAAGTCTAGAGTTTTGGCGGAATTTTAAAATAACAACTTTATTGAGATATAATTCACATACCATACTGTTCTCTCACTTAAAGTGTATAATTCAGTGGTTTTTAGTATATACAGAGTTGTTCAGTCATCACTAGGGCCCATTTAAAATGTCTTTATCATTCCAAAAAGAAACCCCATGCCTTTTATCTGTCTTCCACCAATCTATTTATTCCCTCCAGCCGTAGGCTACTACTCTGCTTTCTGTCTCTAAAGATGACAAGGGTTTAGCCTCCAGAAGGCTAAGTCCAAGGGTTTAGCCAGTCACAGAAGACCACTTTCTGTATGATTTCATACAAATGAAATTATACAATAAGTGGTCTTCTGTGACTGGCTTCCTTTTTGTTTTTTTTTTGTTTTTTTGGTTTTTTTTTGAGACGGGGTGTTGCTCTGTCGCTCAGGTTGGAGTGCAGTGGTGCGATCTCAGCTCACTGCAACTGCAACCTCCGCCTCCCAGGTTCAAGCGATTCTCCTGCCTTCCTGAGTAGCTGGGATTATAGGCACGCGCCTCCATGCCTGGCTAATTTTTGTATTTTTGGTAGAGGTGGGGTTTCACCGTGTTGGCCAGGCTGGTCTCGAACTCGTGACTTCAGGTGATCCGCCTACCTTGGCCTTCCAAAGTTTGGGATTACAGACGTGAGCCATCACGCTCAGCTGACTGGCCTCCTTTCACTTCGGATGTTTTCAAGGTTCATCCATGTTGTAGCATGTATCCCTACTTTGTTCTTTTTTTTTTTTTTACTGTTAAATGCGATTTCACTGTATGCATATACTACGTTTCATTTATTCATTGATCCATTGACAGGCATTTGGATTATTTCTACTTTTTGGCTATTATGAATAATACTGCTTTGAATATTTGTATATAAGTTTTTGTGTGGACATGTTTTCAGTTTCTTGGGTATATACCTAGAAGAATTTCTGGGTTCTGGGTCATACGGTGACTCTGTTTATTTTTTTATTTTTTATTTTTTTTTTTTTGAGACAGAGTCTCACTCTGTCGCCCAGGCTGGAGTGCAGTGGCACGATCTCAGCTCACTGCAACCTCCGCCTCCTGGGTTCAAGTGATTCTCCTGCCTCAGCCTCCCAAGCAGCTGGGAATATAGGCACGTGCCACCACACCCGGCTAATTCTTTGTATTTTTAGTAGAGACGGGGTTTCACCGTGTTAGCCAGGATGGTCTCGATCTCCTGACCTCATGATCCACCTGCCTCAGCCTCCCAAAGTGCTGGGATTACAGGCATGAGCCACCACGCCCGGCCTGTTTAATTTTTTTAGGAACTGCCAAATTGTTTTCTGCAGAGAGCCTGTACCATTCCTACCAGCAACATATGAGGGTTCCAAATGCTCCATATCCTCACCAACATTTACTTTATTATAGCTATCTTTAGTGGGTGTGAAGTGGTACCTCACTGTGGTTTTGATTTGCATTTCCCTAATGACTAATGTCATTGAGCATATTTTCATGTGCTTGTTAGCCAATTATATATCTTCTGTGGAAAAATGTCTATCTAAATACTTTGCCCACTTTTAAATGGGATAATTTGTCTTTTTATTAGCGAGTTGTAAGTTCTTTATATATTCTGGACGCTAAACTCTTGTCAGATGTATGATTTGCAAATATTTTCTCCCATTCAGTGGGTTGTCCTTTTACTTTCTTTAAATCACCAAAATTTTCCATTTTGTTGAAGTCCAGTTTATCTGTTTTTTTCTTTTTTGTCATAGGTAATAAACTATTGTCTCATTCAAGGTCAGGATTGTACCTGTTTGTTTCTTTCTCAGTTTTTTAGTTTTAGTTCTTTTTGTTTGTTTGTTTGTTTGTTTGTTTTTTGGAGACAGAGTCTGACTCTGTCCCCCAGGCTGGAGTGCAGTGGTATGATCTCAGTTCACTGCAACCTCCAGCTCCCGGGTTCAAGCAGTTCTCATGCTTCACCCTCCCAAGTAGCTGGTACTACAGGTGCGTGCCATCATGCCTGGCTAATTTTTTTTATTTTTTAGTAGAGGCAAGGTTTCACCATGTTGGCCAGGCCAGGCTGGTCTTGAACCCCTGAGCTCAGGCAGTCCACCCACCTCGGCCTCCCAAAGTGCTAAGATTACAGGTGTAAGCCACCACACCCAGCTTTAATTCTTGCATTTAGGTCTATGATTCATTTTATGTTAACTTTTGTGTGTGTGGCCTGGGGTGGGGGTTCAAATTATTATTTTTTTTTGAGACAGAGTCTCACTCTGTCACCCAGGCTGGAGTGCAGTGGCTCAATCTCGGCTCATTGCAACCTCTGCCTCCCAGGTTCAAGTTCAAGCAGTTCTCCCTGCCTCAGCCTCCCAAGTAGCTGGGATTACAGGCGCCCACCACCATGCCCAGCTAATTTTTGTATTTTTAGTAGAGACGGGGTTTTGCCATGTTGGCCAGGCTGATCTCGAACTCCTGACCTCAGGTGATCCGCCCGCATCAGCCTCCCAAAGTGCTGGGATTACAGGCGTGAGCCACCGTGCTCGGCCCAAATTCATTCTTTTACATGTGGATATCCCATTGTCCCGGCACCATTTGTTGAAAAGACTATTCTTTCTTCATTGAATGGTCTTGTCGCCCTTATCAAAAATCAGTTAACCACAGATGTATGTAGGTGTACTGCCTTTTGAAGTAGTTATTACTTAAAAGTTATTGATACAATTTCTGGCAGTAGCTGTTCAATAATACATAATAGCTGATCAGATTATTTTTACATCACTGAGAGTTTGTAAGTGATAGAGCTAGGATTTGATCCCAAGAATGGGTGACTACAAAGCATGCTTTTATTTCTGTATTATACTGCAGGCTGCTAAAGTGGGAATGAGGCTGTTCTAGCTGCCATGCCTGGTCATAGGTGGTTTTCCAGAGGTTCAGAGGCAGCGCTCCAGCATGCCCTTCTCCCACCATCAACTTCCTCGCTTCCTAGCCCTCTCTTCCCCCACCACAGTTTCCATAGAGTCTCCAGGGTGGACACTTGGCAGTGACAGTTACTATTGAGGGAATACTCTGACCCTTCCTTACCTACGGATACAGGCTTAGGGTTTGTCCCACCTTTATACTCTCTTCCACCAAATCCCACCTCCTGTCCCAGGCTAAGAATGAAGTTAGAGATGCATTAACACCTGCTAGAACTTTGTGGCCACCAAAAATGTGGATTAGAGTGTGTTAGGCAACACATGGGCTCACTGTCTTCTTGATATGTTCCTGTACTTTGTATGACCCTACAGAGGCTGCTGTTTGCTGGCAGTACTACTAGTAAGTAGTCATTTTCATTTTTTTCCCTCATTTTATTCTCAGTCTATGCCATCCACTGATCTTGACCACATTTAAAAGAAGAAGAAAGTGAGATAGGGAAAATAGGCAGCTTTGTTTGGCTGAAAGAGAAGAGCTCAATTTGAATGCCTACTGTGTGTCCCTATTTTTATAGATTAGGCAACTGATACTAGAAGAGGTGAGGTAATTTACCATGGTTGCATAGCACATTAGGACAGGGTGCATATCAACATTTTTGTACAGCAAAGTCTATTCTCTGTGCTAAAAGCTTGCTGCTTCTGTAATTCCAAATTTCATTGACCCTAAGAGACTGCTTATTGTAAATTGTGTCTTTAAGTGCTGTAAAGAAAGAAAGGAAAGAAAGAAAAGAAAAAAAGAAAGAAAGAAAAAAAGCTGCCAATTAAACTGACATAGTGGTTTCTTTTTTTTTTTTTGAGACGGTGTCTCACTCTGTCGCCCGGGCTGGATTGCAGTGGGGCGATCTCTGCTCACTGCAAGCTCCACCTCCCAGGTTCATGCCATTCTCCTGCCTCAGCCTCCTGAGTAGCTGGGACTACAGGCGCCCGCCACCACACCCAACTAATTTTTTGTATTTTTAGTAGAGACGGGGTTTCACTGTGTTAGCCAGGATGGTCTCGATCTCCTGACCTCGTGATCCACCCGTCTCGGCCTCCCAAAGTGCTGGGATTACAAGTGTGAGCCACTGCGCCCAGCCGAGTGGTTTCTTTTCACATCAAGTACAAGATGCATCCTGAAAAAAAAGTCATGTTATTACCGCATTTTGTGAATTCAGACATGCATTGACTATTTACTCTGTGCCATGTAGTTTTCTCCACCAGTGAGGTAGATGTTATTATCCCATTTTTACACATGATGAAACTGAGACCAGAAAATTTTAAACAGGCCAGGCCTGGTGGTTCACCCCGTAACCCCAAGGCAGGAGTATCGCTAGAGTCCAGGAGTTCGGGACTAGCCTGGGCAACATAGTGAGACTCCCATCTCTACAAAAAAAATAAAAATAAAAAGCTAGATGTGGTGGTGCACGCCTGTAGTCCCAGCTACTTGAAAGGCTGAGTCAGGAAGATCTCTTGAGCCCAGGAGGTCAAGGCTGCAGTGAGTCATGATCATGACACTATACTCCAGCTTGGGTGACAGCAAGACTCTGTCTCAAAAAATAATATACCTATAAAATAATAAATTAAAAAATAGTTGCAATAGTGTATCATCATGTTCTCTTGCAGAACTGAATACCAGGGAGCCTGGAGGAGCTGCCTGAGAAAGGCTTAGGGAGTGCCAGAGAAAGGTGATAGCATTTAAGTTACAATTTAAAGGATAATCAAAATTTGCCAGGCAGACAAATGGATAGCTTAGCATAATAACACTTTATTATAGCTTTAAGCAGACTAATTAAATTAATTAATTAATTACAGATGGGGTCTTGCTTTGCCACCCAGGCTGGAGTGCGGTGGTGTGATCATAGCTCGCTGCAGCCTTGAACTCCTGGTCTCAAGCTGTCCTCCTGCCTCAGCCTCCCAAGTAGCTAGGACTACAGGCATGGGCCACCATGCCCACTTGACTTTATTTTTTATAGAAACAAGTCTCTATGTTGCCCAAGCCGGACTCAAACTCCTGGCCACAAGCACCTTCCCAGAGTGGTAAGGATTACAGGTATGAGCCACCATACCCTGTGTAAGCAGACTACTTTCAAATTCTGCCTTAGTTTCAAGTCTCAATTTCATCATTTGTAAAATGGGGATAATATCATTTACTTCGACACTTGGGAAGATCAAGTGAGCTAATGCATATAAAACATTCACCAGGCCGGGTGCAGTGGCTCACACGTGTAATCCTAGC